>NC_000002.12:224364618-224989618 GCF_000001405.40 Homo sapiens | reverse complement strand
GCCCTGGAAAATGACCAAATCCCATGACCTGGTTTTACTGACTGGGGGCAAAATCCCCTGCCACTTTCAATCTAAGGTGTTCTCCTCCTTTGGGTCACTTTTGTTTAGGAACAATTGCTGAGCCTCTGGAAAATTTACAAAAAAAGTCCAACATGATTAAGAGCTTGATGATGAAGATGATAATGATGACAATGATGCTGTGATTTTTATTATCTGTTGATTCATTCATTCCACTAATCATTTCTGAGCTGTCATGGAAAGGCAGTGCTACAGCTTAAATCAGCAGATGGAGGTTTCCTACCCTATGCCTTGGTCCCCATGTTTCTTCCCATCACATGACTCCACAGAGAATACTTGTGGTAGAGAAGGAAGATGAAACAAAGATTGCGAGGCAGTTGAGCTCCCACCAACTTGATGGTCACCCCTAGGTCCTCACACTAGCCCAGGAAGGAAAGTGGCTGGTTCCCTCTGCAGCAGCGACATGTTTGAGCTGTCAGCCAACTCTCCAGGATCAGCCTCCAATGAATTCAAGAGTGAGTGGCAGCTCTTCCAGCGTGGGCAACCAAGTCCACACTCACAGAGTGTCCTGGGGTAATGGCCTCATTTTCCTCTTTCTAATTGGACCCAAAGTAGCCTCTTTTCTGGGGGCATTTTGGTGTTCACCAACATTTTATGTCATGTAGGGGGAAGCAAGTAATGATAAAGGGAGCCCATTACGTTTCTGTATTCTAAATATATGCTTTGACAGCCAATTTAGGCAGTTAAGTCACTGCTGCCAGTGAACACTTCACACAGTAAACACAGCACCTTAAAAAAATTCGTTTATCAAATTCATTAAAGACTGGTTTCAATTCCTACCAAAATGCAATTTAAATCATCACCTTAAAACAATCTGCTCAATTGTTAGCTGGTTTCTGAAACTGTCATCCAAGAAAAAGTCACAGACTTTCCTGTGAGGGACAGACCAGCTCTCAAAGGGAATTTTCCAGGGTTGCCTCACTACCGCCTGCCACATGCCAGTTCTAATTCTGATTCTGCCACTTACTAGCTGTGATTCTCTGAGGGAATCACTTAATTTCTCTGTGCCTCAGTTTCCTCAACAGTAAAACAGGGATGATCACAGCACTGCCTCATAGAGGGAGGTGTACATGTATCCCGATGCATAAATATTCATTAGCACTGTGCCTGGCACATGGCGAGTGCTATAAGGGCTTGCTTTCTTAGGGGTATCATCATCATGATTATTATTCATTGAGCATGTACTCCAAGGTGGGTGCTGGATATATAGCAAACAAGGTAAGCACAATCCTGTGTCTTACAGAGAGGGAAGACAATTTAAAATCTAAATCAATCAGGATGTAATTACAGGGGTGTGTTAGAAAGGAAACCTACAGGGTACCGTGATAAGGACTGAGGTTCAGGGCTGTGAAGCAATGCCCGTTAGGGGAGGCTTTTCCAGGGCAGTATCACCTTTAAGCTGATCCTGGAAGCTGAGAGGGAAGAGACCAAGCCTCTGTTATCACCCTAGCAGAGGCAGCATCACGCTTGTTCACTGAATAATTATGGGCCAGGCTCTATGTTGGTCTTTGCAGTTAATCTCTTCCCACCAATATCCTGAAAGTGTAAAGGATGATCTCCATTTTACCGCAGATACTATTGAGGCTTAGAGAGGTTAGGTGACTCGTATGAGTCAGGCTGACTCTGAAGCTCGCTGTGAGCTTTTCTACTGTGCTCTGCTGGCCACCTCTTCCACCAGGCTGTCATTTGGACAAGCATCAAATTAGACTTGAACCAGGATGCTCAGTCCATATTGACTGTAGGTTCTGTCAGTCTCACTGTAAATTAACCCAAACTAAGAGAGGTCTACTTAGTTTGGGGAGCTAGAATACTCTGCCTTCTGGCCCTGGGATCAGGGAGAGAAGGAACATTTGAATCCTCTCCTTCACTTGGTCAGACTGACCTGTGGACAAGCTGTTAGGTTGACTGGTGCACCAACTGCAGTCTTCATTTCCAGATATGTAAGCCAGTCTGGCAGGCCAACTAGATATACACCCCATCCCCACTGGCCAAAGCCAAAATAGTGAGGGGTTCCACTGAGGTGCTGACACCTATGCTAGGTATTCTGGAAGTATTTGCCCTTCTTGGGGTATTTGGTGACAGGTGCTCTAGTGTTTTATCTGTGCTGAGAACAGGGTCCAAGGGCAGTTATCCAGTTACTTTCTCACATTCAGCCCCTACTTTCTAGAGCTTGGAGCCCCTTTTGGGCCCTGTTGTGAGCAATGGCTGCCATCTGCTGTATCCTCTTGCTGTGCCTGTAAATTGTTCCTAAATACTTCATTTTTAGTTATTAATCAATGTGATCAAATTCACTTTTCATTCTTCAGAGATGCTCAAAAATTCTCTTTGCTGAAAAAGTTTCCCACCTTTTCTCATTTTGTTGTAATCAATATATTGCCTTTATACTGCTTTGTTGTCATTTCACTTGGATTTGGGGAAAGAGATAGCTAAAAAAATGTACTCCACGCACCACCTTGAGCTAGAAGTCAGGGCCTCCAGACTCCAAATGCGGAAACCATGTTCTGCTGGCCAGAGGGCAGGCAGGTGCAGCAAAAAGATACTTCAAAGGTGACTCCTGAACATTTGTGTTTTGGAAGCAGGGAGGAAGGCGGGGGTTAATTCAACCTGGGGGAATTAAGAGCCTTTCTCCGAGGAGGTGATGATTCCCTTGAGGCTTCACTGTTAGAATATGGTTTTCCCAGGCAAGGTCCTTGTATTGGCCTGCTAGGGTACTAGGGCTGCTCTAGCAAAACACCACAGACTAGGTGGTTTAAACAATAGAAACTCATCTTCTCACAGCTTTAGAGGCTGGAAGTTGAAGATCAAGGTGCTCTTAGGGTTGTTTTCTGGTGAAGACTCTCTTCCTATCTTGCAAATAGCACCTTCTCACTGTGGCTTCATATGGCCTTTCCCTTGTGCACACATGAAGACAGAGAGAGAGAGAGAGAGAGCTGGTGTTTATTCCTCTTCTTATAAGGACATTAGTTCTAGAGGATGAAGGCCCCACCCTTATGACCTCATGAAACCTTATTACTTTCTTAGAAGCTCTATCTCAAAACAGAGTCACATTGGCGCTCAGGGTTCCAACATATGAATTTTGGGGGGACATAATTCTACCCTTAAACTCTTAGCCTTTCCATAAATTTATCTTTATAAATAAGTTCTGATCATGACCTTATTAGGATCCTGAAATGGACCCACCAGAAACTCACAGTGTGTGAAGCAATGAAACCAAGCTGCATAGCATCAGGGATATCCAAAAAGCCCTTGAGGCTGATTTTGTTAGGCTTCATTTCTCAATTTTTTATTTCTCAAATATTTTATCTAAGCTCATCTTTGTTTTTACAAGACAAGCATCTGTTAGCAGCAGTAGTTTTCCGTGTACTTGATGCCTTATAGAGGATAGCAGAAAACCTCTCCCCATCCAAGGTCAGCATTATGTGTCAGAAGACTCAGATGCACCAGGTCTTTTGGGGAGGAGAAGAATGTGGGCTTCACCTCCATCATGCCAAAGCACAGTCCAATTTGACACGGTCAAAACAGACGTAGGTATTTTGCAATAGATTAGATATATAGATTTAGACACACGGCTCTTACATAATTTAACAAAGCTGGGAAGGTCCAACACTTTCAATGGACATTATTTATTTAAATTAAATGTGTATTTCCTTGCCCATTGTAAAAAGGTCTTTGGACATATTATCCCAGTGGTGGATATATCAACATGTACAGCCAAATCATTCTTAGGCCAAAAGATTTTAGAAAAGTGCTCTGAAAACTAAATTCATTAGTCAAGATTTGTTGAAGAAGGATGGGCAGTCTACAGCTGGGTAGGTGGACCCCTGAGGCAGAGTCCAGTATCCTCCTAGGATTCAGTACGATTTTGGTGGTTTTTGTTAGTCCCTTCATTCGTTTTTCTCTTTTTTTTTTTCCTCCTTAACCTCCTTTTACTCTCTTGAAATGCCTTACTTTTTCTTCCTACATGTCTTTCTCCCTGGTCAATAAGATGTTAAAAACATCTCCCTCCATCCTTCCTTCCATTTCCTATGAGCATTAAGGCTACTACAGTCTACACAACACGGCTATCTCTGCTTTGAAACAAGAACATTTTTTATTGTACACAAATTTAAGATTTCATAAGTGCTGAATAAATTTTTATATATGAAATAACATACAATAATATGATATAATATAATATATAATTAATGACCCAGGATGAAATCTAGCTTCCAACACTTCTTTGGAAAATTTAGCCTTACGAATTGTTAGTGACATTATTTCCTAATCTAAGACAATTACTTTAAAAATCTTGTTTCTAGCATTTTAGGTTTAATAAATACCTTATTGAATCATAAGATAAGACCCTACTAGGGGAAGAAGGCAGACAAGAGAGTGAACAAGAATCTCCAAAGGTCATTTATTAGTAAGGCCGTGCACATTTGATGTTTGGAGGCCAAATTAATGATTCATCTTATTAATAGTTCAAATAAAAATAGCAGACACCTGCTGAAGAGTTTATACCTAATCTTAAAATATTTCCTGCTTATCAAAAATTAGCCAGGTGTGGTGGTGCACACCTATAGTCCTAGCCACTCAGGAGGCTGAGGCACGAGAATCACTTGAACCTGGGAGGCCGAGGTTGCAGTGAGCCAAGATCCTGCCACTGTACTCCAGCCTGGGCGATAGAGCGAAACTCAACCTCAAAAAAAAAAAAAAAAAAAGTTTCCTGTGTGTCATATGACAGAAACATGGCCTCTGGGTAGGTTTCTGTGTCTCCCACAACCCAACCCAATCTCTAGCTTAATTTGCTATGTAAAACATAGAGCTCAGAACCCAAACCCTTTCTTGCAACTTTCCTACATGTTTGGAATCTTTCATGAGAAAATGTTGGAGAACATACTCAACTCTTCTTTCCTGCGTTTCATCTTTTTTATTTCTTGTCCACTGGATAATGGTTGTGTGTATTGAATTCCAAAGAAACTAATCCTTGGACATTCCTTTAGCTTGATAACAGAGGCTAACAGAGAGAGGAGACAGAATGAGAGAGAGAATATTCAGAGCCTGTCAGCAGCCCGTCAATAATAGGGGTGAATTCCTCAGAGGCAGAGGGGATCGATAAAGGCGGGACTGTAATAGCTAGAAAGCATCTCATTTGTCTCCCTAAAGACTTTGGCATCTGCCAAAACATCTGATTCCAAAAGCCACCGCAGAGGTCAGCCAGATTTAGAGAGAGATGGTTAGAGAGGAGTTTAGGATGTGAAGTGCATCGTGCCTGCCAAGCCCATGGTGGATAGCGGAGGGATCTGTCTTCTCTCTCCAGTTTCTAACTGGGGCTGGTTTACTATTTAAGCGTTTCCAGCTAGCAGCTTGCTGCCTGCAAACTACGCAGCCATGAGCAGATGATCACAACCTACGGAAGTGATTGGAGAGAGATATGTCCTGGGGGATGGGAGTAAGTGGGTGGGGGTGGGCACTGCCATACAGGGAGCCCAGAGGAACTGTCCTATTTGAAAAGACACATTCACAAACAGAGGAGCCCACTCTGCCCTTTGTCTCAAGTGGACACCATTAGATATAGATATTCAATACACACAAGCCAGACAGGCTAAGTCGTAGCCTCTCTTCAGTAAATGCCCTAGTTGTTTAGAGTAAAAATGGTTTAGATTAGCACCCGGGCAGTCTGACAAATGTCCAGAGGGAGTTAGGGGACTTGCCAGCATCATTAGCATTTTTTTTCTTCTTTTTCCAGCAGCACTAAAATATGTTTGCTCAAAACAGAGGGAGATGAAAAACTACTGGCAGCCAGTACTTCTTAAAAGAAAAAGAAGCATGTTTTACTTCTCTGGGGTGAACATACCAATTAAAACGATGCTGTGTTGTGACAGATTACTGAGCAATTAATGCCTGTTTGAGCATCATGCTAGATGCTTCCGCGAAAGCAACCTCACTGAGGCTGGGGCGGCCACACGTTACAGCAAAACAATCCTTCCTCAAACTTCCTGCAGCACCCTTCACGCCGAGGAGCCCAGAAACCACAGAAAACATTTTTTTTTCTTTGAATCTCCAAGAGTTACACTGGAAGAATTAGCTTGGCAGAAAGATCTCAAGATTGAATTCTATTGGGGATTTCATACTTTCCTCATTTGTAAGCAAAATCTATTTTCCATGAGATATTTTTAGCGCAAGCAGCTCCAGCTGCCCTATTCCCTTTCACTATACCATTAGATGTTGAGGCCATTCCAGAAAGGACACGTGATTTCTAAGCATCTCTCTTTGGTTCTTTCCTAAGTGACTAGTCTCGCAGGAGTCAGGGAATACCAGACTCTTAACTACCAAAGACCTCAAAGTCCTTCCCAGAGCCTTGAATTCTTATTGATAGGATGTTAAAATGCTTTACAGCTGCTTTTTCTAAGAGGTCAGCTTGGCGGAGCTTGCTCAGTGACCTCAGTAATAGAGATATTTTCAGCCCTGCAAGCCGCGTATGTAAATATAAAATTGTATTAGGCTGCAGAACTGCATGTGTGGGAACAGAACAACCATACTATTGAGAGGAAATCACAGGGGAACACTGGTGTCTCTCACTCAGGGCTGGTTAATGCGTGCATACTTTGGTTAAATCATCTTGATCTAGTGAACTCTATGTTTCAGATAAGCCAGTTTCATTTCTGGAACTTATGAGCTATGAAAAGTAAAACCTCAATCACTTAGTGAGATGTCCAGCAAAATTTCCTTCAGGAAGTGTTTACGTTTATAAAAAAAAAAATCATTTTCACTCCTTACATGATACCTCAGGAAAAATTGTGAGTGTAAAGTCAGGTTTTCAGTTGTGTGATTTGAAAAAGTAATTTATTTGTGTGTCTGAATGGGAAAGACATATTTATTCAGACCTCTGAAAGGAGAATCGAAGAGCTTCATTGTAATGAACAGGAAACATGCTCTCGATGTGAATTGAGAAATACTTTCTGAGCGCAGTGCTCTAATATTCCTGAGTGTGTTCAGTTTCCGTGGATCAAATCTTTCCCATCTCTGCATCCAAGCTATTTGGCCATGATCAGATGATCAGAGCTCAAGGAAGTGATTGGAGAGTGAGCCGGCTGCAGCTGCAGTGTAGGCTGTTTTCAGGGACAAGGAGCCACTGTTTTGCAAACATAGCATCAACATAGAAGTTATTTTGTAGGCTCCAGGATGCAGCGATGGGCTGCACTGCCAGCATTGTTCTGCTTCAAGCTTTTCGTTCTGTGGTCCAGAGGAGCTGTCCACACATTTGTAGACGACGCCAAGAGGAACCATCCCACGAAATTTTGCCTCTGGAAAGTGACGATGAAATGAATAGACCCAGAACCCTCATCATAATGGTATGGTATCCGTGGTAAAGCAGCCTCAGTGGATTGAACTGTTATTATAGAGAGGTTACAATTTAGGGGTTTTGGTGTTTAGCGTTAGATAAAGGCATGTGTGACCTAGAGTTTACTACTCTGAAGTACTGTTTGGGGAAAATCTTTCGGAACTATTTCTATCATTCAAAGAGCATATTTTCTTCTTCTTGTATCTGTCATGAAACTGTACAGCTTCTCGGTCTACCAGAAATTCTCTTCTGCCTCATGGTTTGCATGTTGTTATTACCTTTTGTGCAGAAAATAAGAGAAAAATTTGGAGTTTGGTTTAAGTGAGTGGATTTTATTTTATAACTATAATTTGAAAGAAGAGCCCAAAATGGGCGTTTTTTAAAAATCACATGTAACCATTGAAGTTGTATAGATGCTGATAGTTGGATCTTTAACTTCAGGATATTTGGGGCTTTTCTTTCTGACTCTGCAAAGGAAATGCCTTTCCAGAATGCCTAACTTAGGCACAATATTAGAATAAAGAATTAAGAATTTTGTAGAATGCATAGTGTTTTCATTAGAAAGCTTTTTCTTGCCACTTGTCAAATTACATTTTTGTCTGTGCTTTAATTGTAATAAACAATGTTTTCCTTTTTTGTGCATCTGTTTGATCAGCAAGAATAAATTTGAGGGTAGAGTTCTTTCTTTCTTTAAGTTTAAAAAGAGATCTGCTTAGTCACTAAAATTAGAATAGATGGTATGGTAAAGTTTCCAAAATTGAGGAGACATTGAAGTCTAGGTGGCTTCAGCATAATCGACTTTTTTCTCTTAGATTTCAATGTTGAGATATCAAGGATGTAGTAAATAATGAATGAAAAATACCTGTTACTCTAAAAGTTCTTAAATGAAAGTCATTTGGCTTGGGCTATGCCTCTGAGTGACAGAATACTAAACTATAACATTACTTGCCTACTTCTTCAACAAATCAATATTTTATTTTCAAAAAGCAATATTATTCTTGAACTAGGGGGCTGTGATTATTTCTAAAAGGAAACAGTAAATAGGAATAATTTCATGTTTATTATTCCCATAAGTTTTCACAAATTAAATTTTAAAGGATTTGAAATAGGTTCAAATGTCAAAGAAATCTTTGTTTTCCAAGTTTAACTCTTGTTAATAACATTAACACACTCTTTAACTATGTGTAGTGCTCATGCTATACCAGTAAGTCTTATTTTTCTAATTTTGTTAGTCTATAAAATTTCACAGCTAGAAATTTGCAAAAAAAAACCTTATACCTCAAAATAACTGAGAAATTTTTAAAAACTATTCACCTAGTCATATTTTTCCAAGGATCCTTTTGATTTATATAATACCTTTATTGATATTAAATAAGGTGATAAGAATATACTAATGAGGAAAATAAAGGCTCAGAAAGGTTGAATATCTTAACATTACACAGCTGCTAAATACCAGTTCCCCGAATCACACTTAGAGCAATGATTCCAAAAGCCAGTGTATTTTCCAGTCTGTTCACACTTCTAAGGAAATAATGATAACCGATAAACTGAATTTATGTAAGAAGTCTGATGGAAATCTTGGACTACTCTGAGTAAAATGTGCTCATACAAAGTCATTGTGCATCTTGAAAATTTCTTCTGGGCCACTCCAAAATTCACACACTCGCTAATGGTTTATTGCCAGCCCACTATGGTCCAAGCACTGGTTCAGGCACTTGGAATCCGCCAATGAACAAACCCATCAAAAGTCCCTACCCCAAGTTGCAAAGTTTGAAGGTGATAGAACATTTTGCCAGTGTTGTTGTTATGGAAATGCTATACTACAATTGTGACACTTAGTCTACAAACTTTAGCCAATGAAAATATTTTCTGTTTTCCAAGATGGTGGTTTGAAAATTTATTGTATTTCAAAATCACCTAGGAGTTTTCATTCATGCAAATCCTTGAGCTCTTGACCCCAAAGACTCTGTTTGAGAAGGTGTGGAGTGGAGCTCAGGAACCTGCTCTTGTAGCAAGCACTCCCAGTTGATTCTGACGAAGGAGTACTTTGGATGACACTTTGAGAAACATGGCTCTGGAAGATGGTAATCTAAACTGTCCACCCCTTCTCCTCCTCCAGTGTGATGTTCTTATATTGGCTAATCGTCTTCTTACTCTGGCTCTAAACTTCTGAGCAAACTTTGATTTTTCTTTTTTATTCACTTTCCCACTGCCCATTAGTCACCAAGTATTGTATATTGATTTTTTTTTTTTATAAGATCACAGACTCTGGAGCCAGAACACCTAGGTTGGAATCCTGACTTCATCACTTATCAGCTGTGTGACCTTGGGCATGCTGTTTAACATCTCTGTGTCTCTTTTCCTCTCCTATAAAATGAGGATAGAAATTTTATCAAATTAGAGCAGTTGTATGGGTTTGATAAAGTAAGTGTTAAGTGCTTAGAAAAGTGCCGGGATGTAACGGTAAGACGTTCAATAGGGATGTGATCAGGGACATCCTAACTGAAAAGTGGCATTTGAGGAAAGACCCTAAGGAGTCAAGGGAATGACCCATGCCACTTTCAGCAGGGAAATGCCTTATGCAGAAGGACCCGCCAAGGCGAAAGGCCCTAATGTGGGAAGAAGCCTGGAGTGTTAGAAGAACAGAAAGGAGGCCAGTGTGTCCAGATGAGCCAAGGAGTGGGTCGTAGAAGGCAAGGTCAGGGAGGCAATGGGGTCAGATCATGTCAGGCACACAGCTATCAGGAAGACCTAGGCTTTTTCCAAGTGAGAAAGGAAGCCACTGGAAGAAGCAGGCCCAGAGGTTAAGAGCCTGGGCCATGGAGCCAGAATGTCAGGGTTTGAGTTGTATCTCTGCCACTCACTAGCTGTGTGATCTTGATGAATGACTTGTCCTCCTTGTGTCTTTGTGTCTTCATTGATAAAATGTAAAAAGTAACAGTACCTACCGGTGTAAGGTTATTGTGAGAATTCAGTATGTTAATAGGTGCAAATTGCTTAAAACACTGACTGGTAACTAGTGAGTGTTATATTAACTATAACCCCACTAACTGGGAGGTCCTGAAGCAGGGAAGTAACAGGATCTCTGGCCATAGAGGGTCAAGGGTCAAAGCAGGGAGACCATTAATTAGGAAGCGGTTGCAATGATCCCAAAGACCTGGATGGTAGTTGTTGAGGCTGTGAAAAGTAGTCAGATTCTGGATAGATTTCAAAAGTAGAACCAATAGAGTTTGCCTATGGATTGAATATAAAGTGTGGGAAAGGAAAAGGTGTCAGAGTTGACTGTGCTTGTTATGGCCTGAATATCCAGAAGAACCAAGTTGCCATTCAGATAAAGAACACAGAAGTGGAAAGTTTGGAGACAGAATCTAAGCTCACCCTAAGGATGCTGAGTTTGAAATCCCTGTTAGGTCTATAGATGGAGATGTCAAGTAGGAAGTTGCATATATGTCTGGAGTTTCAAGGAACTATATAAAGAGGAGTAAAGCCTAGCCCAATGTAAACATCAATAACCGATTGATAAATGATCTTTCTCTCTTCTAATCTCCTATAATATTTATAGTGTATAAATCCATTTGAAAGTTAATCACGCATTACCTTCTAACACATCTCTGCCTATTTACTTGAATGTATAATTGTTTATTTACTTGCTGATCACATATTTTTCTTATCTCACTGGTAGACAGGAAATTCCATCTACCAGAGCAATCGCTTCCTAATTAATGTTCTCCTTGCTTTGACCTTGACCCTCAAAGGCAGAAAGTAAGCCTACTTTTTTTTTTCCGAGACGGAGTCTTGCTCTATTGCCCAGGCTGGAGTGTGTTGGTGCAATCTCAGCTCACTGCAACCTCCGCTTCCAGGGTTCAAGCGATTCTTCTGCCTCAGCCTCCCAAGTAGCTGGGATTACAGGCACGTGCCACCACATCTGCTAATTTTTTGTATTTTTAATAGAGACGAGGTATCACCATGTGGGCCAGGCTGGTCTCGAACTCCTGACCTCGTGTTCCACTCGCCTCAGCCTCCCAAAGTGCTGGTATTACAGGCATGAGCCACCACACCTAGCCTCTAAGCTTCCTTCTTGCTCCATTAGTACCCAGCCCAAAGCCTTTTACATCGAAGCTAAATAGGGATCTGTTGATTATTTGATATTTTTAAGCAGTTGTCACTAATATGCAAAATTCAGTTGATAAAGATGCCCACTTAACTCTTAATTGAAATGTCCAAGAGTGAGTTAAGGATGAAGAAAGTTGCCAGGATAAATACAAGGCTTTGAATATTGATACCCTTCAGAAGGCTTTGGCATTCAAAACTTCATAATGGAAGTTGTATCAGAGTCTCATTCCTGTGGTCTAGGTTCTGAATCTTTGTGCAGAGATAAGATTTGGGCTGGCATAATTGTAGTCTAGCCTATATAGTCCAAAGTGGAGAGAAATTGCTAAATATCAAAATTAACTAATGTAGATTCTTATTTAAAAGAAACACATGAATCCTGACATCTGAGACCATTACAATGGCCTGTTACGATGCAGTCAAGTTTAACGGGGAAAAAATGAAGAAATTCCTTTAAAGCTTTAATTTTATCTCTCACTCAAAAAAACTTTTTGGTGGGAGAATTAACAGAAACTTTCATAATTTTTTTTTACTTCCTTTATAGCATATTTTCTTAAAGTTCTCAGACACTAATTCAATTTATGTAGATTTACTATTTTCTGGTTAATGTCTATTATTTCCTATGTCATTTACTCATCACCAACCCCAGAAGTTAGCTTCATTTTAAGTCTTTTTCTTTCCCCTTCCCCCGAAAGAGAATGTTTTTCTGTTCACACTTTGGAGTTTAGAGGTGGCACAAGAGGAGAAAGAAAAGCAAGTGTTGGTCAGGCTACTAGTCTCACTTTGGTTATATGACCAATACCCACACACCAGATTCACAGGTCTCAACTCAAAAGTGAAAAAAAACTTTAAAATCCATGAACATTCTGGGGTTTCTCTGAAATAGTAGAAACCATAACATTTAAATTTAGGACTGCCAAAGATCTAGCATATACAGCAAGCCAAATATGGCTTTGTCTTGAATTTTCGTCTAAGGCAGGAAATTAACAATAGCCTAAATTTGCGGTGAGTTGGGAAGGTGAAATCTCTTCTGTGAGTCAAGGATGTGTGCACTTATATGGCAAACATTTCTGAGTAAGGGAATTGCAGTTACTGCTCCAAGACCTCCCTGACAAGTCCTCTCTGTTGGTGCTTCAGAATTTGCTCGGTCCAGCACTCTGATTAACTATACAGTTTGTGGGTCAAAATCTGCCTGCAGCCATACAGTGCTTGAGCTAAGAATGATTTTCACAGTTTTAAATGTTACAAAACAAAACCAAAAACAAAAGAAGGAGGAAGAGGGTGGCATAGGGCAAAAGATACAGAGACCATATATGGCCCACCAAGCCTAAAGTATTCTGACCATTTACAGAAAATGCTTACTGACCCCTGTCTGGTGAATGACGTGGCCTCAACCACAAAGGAACCTTTTTTTTTTTTTTTTTAATTAACTTTGACCTCTACAGCGTATTTTCTGTTATCCCCGACAAGATACCAGGGAACTTGGTTTTTTCCCTGGGTACCTGTTGTTCACCTGAGGGTCTGAGAACTACTATGATTGAGAAACTCTAGATTTCAAGTCAGAGTCTCAAGTCTGTCACTTAATATTAATAAAAGCCCAGATAACCTAGACATGCTGACTCATTTCTCCTAGTTGGCTAAATGGGGACTATTATCTGTCCTGTCTGTTGGAAGCACCAGAATATTGACTTTTTAAATTATTATTATTTTACTTTAAGTTCTGGGATGCATGTGCAGAACGTGCAGGTTTGTTACACAGGTATACATGTGCCATGGTGGTTTGCTGCACCTATCAACCCATCATCTAGGTTTTAAGCCCTGCATGCATTAAGTGTTTTTCCTAATGCTCTCCCTCCCCTTTCCCCCCACCCCTCAACAGGCCCTGGTGTGTGATGTTCCCCTCCCTGTGTCCATGTGTTCTCATTGTTCAACTCCCACTTATGAGTGAGAACATGTGGTGTTTGGTTTTCTGTTCCTGTGACTTTCGTAGAATCACATTGTAAACTAATTCACATTATAAAGCGATGGAGTCTTGCAGGTCGGCAGGCTCACATGGCTTATAAGAAATCCACAGTATGCTGGTCAGAATTCATTGTATCCCCTGGGTAACTCACTCAGCAATATAGGGAGGTGATTTACATTAGGATTTCACTGTATTTGTTCCACACCCAAAAAAAGGTGGTACAGTGAACAAGAGAGGCCAGTGAGGGTGTTATCAAGCTTCTACTTGATTTGCTTTTTGACCTTCAGCAAATCCCCACATTCGGGTCCCCCACTTGTAGAAGACAATAATTCTTCTTTCCTGCTCAAGTACTTTGAGAACCTCATATAAGGAAGCAAGTTAAATGAAGGAAATGAATTATTTATGAAAACAGTAATTCCATATCTTTGGAACATACATTTGTTTAATTTGTGTCCTATGAATACAATCAGGACCAGAGAGGGACATACTATGGAAACTATGGAAACTACTCCAAAGGAAATAAATTGACTCTCTTCTTATCCCTATAGTAAATATTCTAACCTAACAAAGTTTTATTATCAAAGAATGTTAACATGTTTTGCCCAGTTTCATCTTTTTCAGTATATGTATGAAGAAGAAACAATTTCCAGAATCTCTAAATCCTGAGCTAATGTTTCTATTTCATTTCAGTGAGGTTGAATCTTGAATATATGAATATTATCAGATTCCCCTGGGAAAGAAAGCCTGTGTCATGGAGTATGAGTTTAAACAGTCTACCATAAATGGGTATAACATGGAGCTTTAAAGCACATAGAATCTTTGGAGGTATTTTCCCTTGTGAACTAATTTTGAGTTGCATCCCAAAGCCACAGAAAATGGACAAATGAATTGAATGGCTTCTCTCTGGGTATGAGAATTAATTGAATGTAATGAGAGCCTTAGTAATTAGCAACATAAATCTTCGAGGTAAAGGCTTACTAAACTCCAATTACGCCCTGTATCATCTTGTTCAGATAATCTTGCATCTTTTTAATTCTCCAAATTGTACCAAATTTAGAAATGATTAGAAGCAAAGAAAAAATACACAGTGTCTAAAAAGAAAAATCAAAACAGCTTAAAATCTAAAACCAACACAGTGATAAAGAAAATCGGAAAACCAAGTATCGGTGTGGTGATTGGGGGAGGTGATACATAGAAACTTATACCAAAAACAAAGCAAATTCAACTATATGTAGATAGAGCTATAGATAAATACATATCACACACACACGTATATATACTCATATATACGTGTGTGTATATGTTATATATAATATATATATATTATATATATAATATATATGATATATATAGAGAGAACATTATACCTTTAGTGGATGTACGTGTTTTGGGGGAAATCATACTGTGGAGATGAAAAACATCATATTACCAAGTAAAAACATGTAGTTTTATGGCTAGAAAAAGTATAGACTCCAACAAATTACTGCTAATAAAACGTCTGTTAATTTTTAAAACATAATCAAATATAGAAAAAAACTGGTATGCTTGTTTGGGGTTTTGTTTCTTTGCCTTCTAGAAGAGTAGTTTTTAGGATTTTCTCTAAACGCCAGGCTTCAATATAATAAAACTTTGTGAAAACTGAGTAATACAGTTGAGGATATAATGTGTCTTTTGGCAAACCAGATATAAATACAGTATTTTTGTCAGCCTTCAATAAGTTTCTTGTGGATAGCTGTTTTATTCTCAGATTTTATTTTCATGGAACTGATTTACTCTGATAGGGGCTAAAGCTTAGGGTTTTTGAAATTCATTTTTCCAAATCTATTTCATTCTGCTGGAACGTATTTTAGTTTTTAAGACCATGCCCAATACATTCAATTTGCATGCAGTGAGTTTGTCATGGTTAGATTGTCTAAACATCAGAAACTCAATAAACAACTGAGACAATTGCACCTTGCATTTGGTAGGCACAGATGACAATAGACTGCTGCTGCCCTGCACTTACAGTTTGGTGGCAGACACAGAGCTCAAACAAATGGAAAATTGTAATCATGATAAGTACTTCCCTGAGAATTGCATTCTACCTTACCTTAAAACTGCATCCTTTGGACATCGCACCTCCTCAAATCAGTCAGGGAAGGCCTCCCCTAAGGCAGTGGCAATGCAGCTGAGACCTGGAGAATAAATAGATGCTAAGAAGAAACAGAAAAACCTCTGTACCCAGAAACCACATGAGAAAATGCCACATGCCAGCCCTGATTTACATTGCATTGCCATGGGTGAGGAACCAGGGTGTGTGGGTCTGAGTCACTTGCCAAAGCACTTGCTGGCAGTGTGATCTCTGGGTCAGCTATTTAAATTCTGTATACCTTGGCTTCCCTGTCTGTAAAATGAGAGTCGTGAGGGTGCCTATCTGCCTTAGTTTCCTATTTCTGCTGTAATAAATGACCACGAACTTAGTTTTAAACAACACACATATTGTCTTACAGTTAAAACACGTGTATTACATTTCTGGAGATCAGAAATCTGAAACGGATCTCACTGGGCTAAAATTGGCAGAGCTGCATTCCTTTCTCGGGGTGCTAGGGGAGAATCTGTTTCCTTGCCTTTTCCAAGTTCTAGAGGCTGCCCACATTCCTTGGTTTGTGGTCCTGGTTCATCTTCAAAGCCAGAAGCATAGTGTCTTCCAGCGACTCTCCGACTCTGATCTCTGACTCTCCCACCTTCCTCTTTCACTCGTAAGGACCCCTGTGATTACATTGGCCCCACCTGGCTGATCCACGCTCCTCTCCCATCTCTAGGTTAGCTGATTCCCATCTACAGCCTGGATTACCCTCTGCTGTGTAAATGACATAGGCACAGGTTCTGGGGATTAGGACATGTACGTTGTTAAGGGGCTGTTGTTCTGCCTACCATACTATCTATCAGGGTTGTTTAAGGATTCACTGAGTGAATTCAAGTAAAGGGCCTGTAAGAGTGCCTGGCACTTGCTAAGAATTCACTAAGTTTTAGCTATTATTATTGTGTATATTGTCTTATTGAAACAAAGAAAAATTTACAAACTTAATTTACTTTAAAGAATTGTTATAGAAAAAAGAATCTGTTAAGCAGAAACTTACTTTGTGCTTCATAAAATGTGTAAAAATGGAAATTCAAAGTTAGCTTATTTATGAGAGCACTGAAATACTTATTGAATAGATTATTCACACAAATAGATTATTCAAAGAACATAAGTTTATTTGAGTTCTCTTCTGTGTTATCCACTAATTGCCAGTTTTCCGAAATTTAACTTTCAGTTTCTTCTGTTTTCCTTTCATCATTTATTAAAGGAATGTTGCAGCCTTTAATACAACTGAAATTAACCATTTAATTTCAACTTTGTCATTCTCAAATTGTGCCAAATTTAAAAATTATAAGGAACAAAAGCTTGAATGTTTAGGATTTAAAACCACCACAATCATAAAGAAAAGTCGAAAATCAGGTGAGAGAGAATGCATTTTAAGTTCAGTAGGTACAACTGAACTTACTAATTTAGAGATGGAGAATAGATTGTATCTCATTTGTAATTTTAAAGTTATCTCAGTGTTTTTAATTGTGAGTAGATTTTTTATTACAGATTTGTAATCATTAAGAAACTTAAGAATGCAAAATTACAGCATCTTGATTCTTCTACCAATAGGTACTCAATCAAAGGTTTGATGAATGAATGAATGCAAGCCATATCTTATGGGTCATAAAGGTAGAAAGTAGGAATCTGTTAGGTGGAAAGAATATGGATTCATTTGGTAGATTATCTGCATCCTTAATATTGGTCACTGGGTAATCAAGGGCCTTCTTTGCTTTCATACACTTTATGAGAACTGAGTAACCCACAGATTACCTTAAAATTCTGCTTTATGAATAATTGGAGGAAGTGAACATGGAAATAATGTCCAAAAATAATAGTTCTTTGCTGAGCACTTCCAATTCTGATAGTCACTTTGCTACAAACTTTGCACAGTATTCTTTATTTGTTGCCACAGTCCCTCTGAAGGATATTGTGATTTTTGTTCCAATATAGTTAAGGAAGAAATTAAAGCACACGGAGTAGCTCTGACCAATTGAAATATAACATAAGCCACATATGTAATTTTGAATTTTCTAGGGGCCATATTTGAAAAAGAAAAAAAGCATATTAAGTTAGTTTTAATAATATATTTTCTTTAAACCTATATATCCAAACTATTATTATGTTGGCATGTAATCAATATAAAAATTATTACAATACTTCATAGTTTTTTTCACGCCAAATCTTCAAAATGTGGTGTACATTTATACATATAACACATTTCAATTTGGATGCTAAATCTTTAATCACAAATATTTGTTCAGTATTCAGATTTCATAAAATTTATAGTTGAAAGAGTAAATTCATATTCCAAAGTTTCTCCAAAACTAGTTAAATGTTTTCCAGTTACTAGATAAAATAATCAATTCTTAAAGTTAAATCAAAGTTAAATAAAATTAAGTAAAATTAAAGATTTAGTTTCTTTGTCACACTAACCACCTTTCAAGGACTTCATAGCCACTTATGGCTAGTGGTGGCTGCATTGAACTATGAGGTGTAGCTATTACTGCATTTGTCCAAAGTCACCCATCCGGTGTGGCCCTAGGCAAATGTGTACCTGCCACCTTCCCTGCAAGCCCAGCCACACCCACCTCTTTCACTTCACACCCTGCTACAGTGCAACCGCGCCCATTCCTCCCATTCCACCCACCTCCTCTCCTCTCTTCACCTGCAATCTGGCCATGCCCACTTCTTTCACTCCACCCACCTCCCCTCCCCTCTTGCAACCCAACCACACCCTCTTCCCACTGCACCTTCCTGCCCTCCGTGTCTCTGTTGACTCAGGTCTGGGATCTCTTGCAGTGGCATTTTTCTGTTCAATATCCAATAATACAGTGGCATTATTCTGCTCAAATGGTACTTCTCTTTAAAAGTCAGGGTTTTTAATATAGATTATATAGAATAAAATGTTAGAAATTTGATATTATAGAATCCAGCTGCCTCACTGGAAGATGAAATCCAGGCCCAAACAGGTAAATTGACTTATCTGTAGCTTCTACAAAGTTGCTGGCAGAGCAAGGGTATTTGTTCAGGTCTCAAAATGATGAGACCCACATTCTTTTTAACTACATGGTATTTCCTCCTCTTAATCCAGAAATAATGAGCTATAGTTCCAAGGTATGTGCAGAATTTTAAGTGAAACTACATAGATGCTAGCTACAAAATACAAAGTAATGTCAATAGCATAGCAAATCCTATCCAGTTTCTGGTTATCTTAGAGGAATAAATCCATTTGGAGATGAAAGCCAATTCTGTCATAGGGATTCTTGCTCCAAACTAGTTTTTTGACTTTTCTTTAAGGATTAAATACAGAGATAATGAGTTCAAGTTAATCTGTAGAGTAAAGCTATGAGCAGAACAGATGCTGTGGAGATACAGAATGCAACTGTGGGGGCTCATGGGTCCCACGGCAGAGACAACAAAGAGAAAAAAAGGGAAAATCACTTTGTTGTAATCTCTTCGGATTGAAGGGTTTATAGAATTCTATTTTGGGAACAGACATCTATCTCTGTCATGTTGCAGAAGTCTGAATCCGGAAATGTCGTGCTAGAACAGAAACAGAATCATATAATGACAAAATCTGGGTATTGATATCAGGCTTGTTGTGCCTTTTGAGAACTGTAGGACTTCGGATAATTCCCTGAGTTCCCTGAGCCTCAGTGTCCTTATTTGCAGCATGGTGGGGATTCCTCACAAAGCTGTTGGTGATGATCTAAATGAAAACTGAGTAAAAACACTGATCACAGTGCCTGGATCACTGAGGGACTGCACCTCTTTTTAATCTGTAAAATGAGGAAAATACCTGCTGCCCACCTGCATCATAGAAATTTAAGTAATTACTTCTACAAGTAGAAACATACTGTTTATTAGATTGGATTAATTCTGGGGAGACGTTTTGACACACATGACTACCCTTCAGTTCTCCACTAATAAGGAAACTAGAATATTAAATAGAACACTCATCAGGTGAACAGAGTTGCTCAAAAAGACGACTCAGTGAAAAAGCCAGTGAACCCAATGATATTCCCCAAATGAAAGCCACTGGGGGAAATGAGTGAGCCAAAAGGCAGAGAAAGGGATCAAGGACAAGGAGAGATGTAGACAAGGAAGAGGCTCCTCGAGCAGGGAAAGAAATTAAGCATGAAACTAAAGTGGCCTGTGGTTGTTAAAGGGGACTGTTTAAAGGTTTGCTTTAAAACCGGCCTGCTTTTCTGTCACTCTAAAGGTGACACTTCAGTCTGTGTCATCCTCCACTCTGGTTTTTATTTCCTTAAAGATGTTGGTTCTTTCATAGTGGCCATCCTATTTTGTCTCATTTTTGCCCATGCTGTTGAAAAGAATGCTGATGGGTTTCAAGTTAAAGATTACATGCATCTATTTCTTCCTTTTAGCTCTGAAAATTGAGTGAAGCATAGCAAATCTGTGATTAATAGAACTGGGGTAGTATCACATCTTCAGGGGCTGGCATGATGGGCATCGGAGGCTTTTGTTTTGACCTCCAGGCAAATGAACCAGTGAACAGCCCTGGAGGACTCATTTGCAAAGAAGTGGGGAATAAAAAGTCTCATCACAAATTCGTCTTCTTTTTGCACAACTATAACAAAAAGAAATGATGAACCATATATGTGTTCATCACAAAACCGTAAGGACCTTTGGAATCACCCAAGTTCACCTACAGAAGCTTTTCAGATCTGTTCTTAGAAGATGTTCGCTACAGATGTGGTTAAGGTCATTAAAGAACACCAAGACGTTAGATGACTTTCTTAAGGGTGGAGATTGAAAGGAGAAACGTTAGGATTGTGGAGTGATATCATCACTGAGTGAGTTAAAAAGTAACCAGAGAAATCTGGTACCCCCATTTGAGAGGACTGCTGCTGCTTCACACAAGTGCACATTTTTAACACTTCCTTGGCAAAAGCCAGGAGCCTAATTTCAAACTGAGACCGCCAAAAAGTAGAAAAAAAATCACAGCTGAACAGCTTTGCCCTGGGGTTCCGCAGAAGACACTGTGCCTCTCTGCAGCCCTCCTTATTTCCTGGATTTGGCAAGCCCTACATTGAGTTCACCTTCCCAATCTTCTGCCTCTGTTTGGTTGAAGTGTAGGGGGTAGTTCTAAGTGTGTGTCTGTCTGTGGCTCTGTTTGAGTTACAGTCAGTTAAAGAGACGTTCACACCTTGTGTTGCCTTTAAACATTCAGCCCTATTCATATCCATAGATGCACTATAAATGTTTGCATGTGCACATACCATGTAGCTATGTAGCTGGATAAAGACTCGTTTATGATGTTACATCCATTAACCTGGTAACCAGATTTTTAAATTGACCTTGTATGTATGGAAAAATAATCTAGTATCTTAGTCAGTTAGGACTGAATCTGTCATTTTAGAATCTTGGGAAGGTAAAAGCAGTAAGGATTTGAAATTATTGTTATAGAATTCATAAATTTTAGCAGCTGTCTCATTTGATCGCTCACCTTCTAGCAGTAAATATCAAATTATCACCATTTTACACAGAATTCCAAATCCCAAATACTCAATACCAAGTGGATTAAAAGCAGCTATGTGCCAAAGGGCAGTCATTGAAGTGGGAAATTAGGGAGAGGGGCTGGGGAGGTTGCAGGAGATGAGAACTGTTGTGTGGGGTTGAGCTTCCTCAGGCCCCACACCTGCCCTGCCTGGGATTGTCTTTTTCCTTGATTCATATTTCCTGTGGTTTTATGAATCAAAAGTTTAAACTATTCTTAGTTCCGGGAGGTCATTTTCTGGCGCTCTTTTTAAAATACCACATGGGAATTATTTCGGTCAGCAAAAATACTGAACATACCATTTTCTGTTAGCTCTCTCCTTGCCATGTTTGTTTCACACATACTTGATTTCTCAGCAAGTGCTCCCTTTTACGATCATAATCATGGCTTAAATTTAACATTGTTTTTTTCTCCAAATGGTTATCTTACTCTATGTTCAAAAGTTTAGATTTAGAGGACTCAGTTCAAAATTCAGCTCGTGATTTCCATTTAGATGTTTTCCCAAAATACATAATGAATAAGTATCAGAAAACTGCAGTTGCAGAAGTATAAAAAATCAAGACAGAGTAAAGCCTCTCCATTTTTTCTTTTTATATATTTTTAAATTGTAAAAGAAGTATATACTATGAGAAAAATATAAATACTGCATACCAGTATAAAATAAAAATTGAAAACATTTGAGGTCATTTTTTTAAAACTTCTTCCCTATAGTCCCACACTCCTCTCAGATCCCTACAGAAAACCATTATTAACAACTACATATATGTGGTTTTTTTTTTTTACAATATGGATTTCCATGACTCTTAACATCTGACTCATTAAGAGAAGGTCTTTCTAATTAGAAAATTAAACATGATCAT
Source organism: Homo sapiens (assembly GCF_000001405.40). Taxonomy (NCBI): domain Eukaryota; kingdom Metazoa; phylum Chordata; class Mammalia; order Primates; family Hominidae; genus Homo; species Homo sapiens. The sequence goes on along the minus strand of NC_000002.12, from coordinate 224,967,652 downwards.
GGTGTAGTACACACAACACAGAGCCAGTTTGAGGCTTAATTTCCTGGTGCGATTTGGTAAGGAGGCCTATTGTACTGGCTATTATAACGTACTTCAGTCATAGTCACCAAGTAAAGTGGCAACTTCAGAAACCTGATTATAAAATCATACTTTGGGGTTGACCTACCCAATGCCAAGACATTGGGCAAAAACCTGAAATTTTACTTATTATGGAGATCATTAAGACATCTGAGGGTAAACATTTTAACACCAGATAAGACTAGAGGATAGGCCGGCTGGGCGCGGTGGCTCACGCCTGTAATCCCAGCACTTTGGGAGGCCGAGGTGGGCAGATCACAAGGTCAGGAGATAAAGACCATCCTGACTAACACGGTGAAACCCCGTCTCTACTGAAAATACAGAAAAATTAGCCGGACATGGTGGTGGGCCCCTGTAGTCCCAACTACTCGGGAGGCTGAGGCAGAAGAATGGCGTGAACCCGGGAGGTGGAGCTTGCAGTGAGCCGAGATCTCGCCACTGCACTCCAGCCTGGGCGACAGAGCGAGACTCCGTCTCAAAAAAAAAAAAAAAGACTAGAGGATAGGGTGAACTTTATCCATTTGGTCCTGATATTCCATGAACAATGGACAGTGTCGTTTCATGTACTCTTGTTTTAGCAGCTACAATGTTTTAAACTGAAGGGGTTTGCAAACATGTGTAATTCCCGCCTCCTTTATCCCTGATACCATGAAATGTGAGCCTCTACTTTTTTTTTTTTCATCTGAGTACCTGCTTCTAGATGAGCTATTTAACTTTATTACCATGAGCTCGCTGGTATGAAAGGTTTATTCATATTTGTTCACAGCCTCAATAAAATATAATTGGCCATAAAGCCAGCAAGTGTTGAGGTCTAGGTCCAAAGAAACTTAATATGTAGCCCATTACTCTCTTTGTCACACTTAGTATTTTTCAGCATCTTAAAATGAGAGTTATTCCCCTCTTTCTCAGGGATGCTGTGTGATAACAACTGAGGTTTAAAGGCTGTGTGATCAGTTTTATGATTCGCATATTGACAGTAGTAGTCTTACTGACTTCCAGAAGGAGGAAATAAAGACTTGAGATTTCTAGAAAATAGCGATAAAGCAAACATCTCCCTTTTGTTGACCTGAAAATTATATTCTGGGATTTACGCATGCATAAAAGAAGAAAGTCAGTCTTATATAAATCTTAACAGGCCATGAAGCATTTGGTGATGGTTATTTTGTATATTCAAAACAGCCTGTGTTGTATCATGCTAATGCAAAGAGGCCATTATTTTCAAATAAGGTTATCTCTCTATAGGGAGGATAAGACGACAATCAAGGGCCACGGGGGGTGGGGGGTGGGGCACCATCCAATTGTGCTTTCCTAGTTGCCGATATAATTTTTAAGTATCAAGAATATGCAGGCCCTTCAGAAAAGTCTTTCAAATCAAATTGGAGGGAATGAGAGGGCTAAGAGTGGATGGTGTATAGGCTGCACACTCTGTAATGTTTGCCAAATATCTGAAGGCGTCAGAGAGTCTGTTGTGCCCGCTTGCATGTTTATAGGAGAACGTTAATCAATTAGTTCCATTCTGCTATAGATAGTAAGTAATTACATTCACTGGAAGCCACAGCAATGTGATTAATAATACATTCCAATTTCCCAAAGTAGCATTTCTCCCAGAACTTAAACATGGCTCTTTGAAAAGTACATTTTTGTATATAAGAGACGTGGTTGAATTGAAATTTATTCCCCCAAAAATAATACTGTGAGAAGAAAAATACAGAGTTTTATATAATGCCTTCCGACTCTTCCTACATAAATGGGTAAAATTTAAGTTACTTTTTTTAAACAATTTTCAAATAAATTCTCAAGAAAGAGTATTTTAGGCTTAACCAGTATTTTATGCTATATGGAAGTTTTAGGGAAGCCAGTTAATTTCTTAATAATTATGGAGCACCTGCTATTTTCAAGTTCTGACACTAAGCTCTCTAAACGATAGAAAGGTAATTAAGCTACTATCTGTGTATTTAAGAAGATATCACAACAATAAGGCATTTGGCCTGTATTAAGTGAATACAATCTAAAGGGAAATAAGATAATTTCCACAAGAAAAGCAGAAAGAAAAGTGCCATGAGGTTTCAATAGAGGGATAAAGAAGACAAGAATCCACCCAAGAAGGATTGTATCATAGCCTATATACAGAATCATACTCAGAGATAAAGGCAGAAAAGTTAACTGCAGACCGTCTTGTGTAGGAACATTGACCTTGAAAGGGTGCCCAAGAATGCCTACTTGTTGGGCATTCAGTCAGAAAACGGGTACTTTTCCTACCTGCCAGGCTCTGCTCCCTCTCTGACACAACATGAAATCTGGGCACTTTTAGGATTATCACCAAACCTCCTTGAACTTTGCACACACTATGAAGTTAAAGCATTTCCCATCGAATAAGCTATTTGTTCAATACATCAAAAAGGCTGAATGATTATGTTTTTGGAAAAATGTGCCTCATGAGATACACAATGTAATTATTTTCTAAAATCAACCCTATTCATTGCTGATATTTTTGCAAACAATGGAAAAGTTGATTAATGAGAGTTCTTGACTTCTACCAAAAGAATTTCTTTTTTATTTGATATAGTGGTATTGACATAAACCATCAAAGAGAAGTATGTTTGCTGCGGACATCCATACTAGAAATAACTTGGTAGTTTAGTGGACAACACATTGTCCTATGTCTCTACCCGTAGCCATTGTGAATCATTCTCTCAGAAGAATGTCTTGTATCCTTGAAGTATGTGTTCTTATAGCCGGGCTGTTCTCCCCTTTTGAGGTTCAGTGGCCGAAGGGAGAAGAGAAAGAAAAAGAAGGAAAGGAGATCTGCATTTTTGAGGGCATGTTACCAAAAGGTGAAATTTAACATTAATTTGGTAATATTCAACACCAGTCATCACCTTTTCTTAGAAATATTCAAAGGCCACGCCAGGCATGGTGCCTTACACCTGTAGTCTCAGCATTTTGGAAGGCCAAGGTGGGCCGATGGGTTGAGCCCAGGAGTTCGAGGCTGCAGTGAGCTATAATGATGCCACTGAACTCCAGACTGGGTGATGGGGCGAGACCGTGTCTCTATTTAAAAAAAGAAAAAAGAAAGAAACGAAAAAAAAAAGAAGAAAGAAAGAACACATACTTAAAGGCCAGGACTTAAAGCTGTAGAAAAATCATTATTTTATTCCTGGGTCCATGGTTCCTGTGCCTCTTTAAGCCCTCAATAAGGAATTACTGATGAGTCAGGTCATATCTCTTTCAAAGAGGTTTGTTATTTTAAGATCAAGCTATATTAAAGAATCGTTTGCATTTAGAAAATGAACAACACATTAAAGTTTAACCAATCATCAAGTATCCCTTATTATTACAGCAGCTTATTATTTGTAGTTGTTCTAATTCACTTTGAATTCTATGACATATTTTTATTACATCCACTTAAATACAGTCATCTAAATTTCACCAAGGAAAACACATAAGACATCTCACCTGTGCTAACACCCTCCGCATCCTGTATTTTATTTCTCCTTTCAAACATAAAGTTTTAAATAGGTATTTCGAAAATATAACATGTAAGAAATGACTCTATTGTAAAAAAAAAAAAAAAAAAAGAATTTTAGACCAAATTGTGAAAACATGTGATTGTAGTTTAGCTTTCTTGTTCCAATAGTCAGTTGGACTGTACATCAAATTCTTCCCTTTGCAAGAAGAAGTCATGTAAAATGTAGATAATGAAGAAATAGATGAAGAACATCAATGAGAATGTGACATTGCATCCACCTTTTCTTAAATTGTGAAAGACAAGTAATTGAAAATTTTAACTTCGAGTAACTAACTTTCATGTTACAGTCCTTATATTTCTTTCATTCTTAATATAAAATTACTACTTGAAAACTGTTTACTTCCCCTTTAAAATAAATCTCTGTCACTTCTTAGAAGTTTTGCTTAGCATCACGTTCTCGTCATTTACATGAAGAGGTTTGAGCCATACCATTAATTGCCACACTGATTTCTCACATGAGCTGACTCTGCCTCAAAATGGTTTTTATTCTTTTAAATTAAAGAAGAAATTTGGTGCAATGTAATGATTACTATGGCTTAATCAATACAAGAAATATTCTCTTGTCCTGTACATTTAAGGAGAGGGCATTCTAGTTAGACAGAACAGAAACACAATTTTATTACTACCTTCAAAATTTTGGCACATGATTCACATTTGAGAAATCTTCACGAGTAAACTATTGATCTATTGCAGACCTGTATTAACTGCGAATATATCAGCAGTAGAAATCCTTAGGATTATTGTCTAATGTAGAGGCATCAGGCAAGGCTTAGATCAGAGTCTCAGTCACAATATTCTTCCCAAAAGACATGGTCTTAAACGTGAAACCCTTAAGGGTTCCAGACTCCATGCCAGCAGGCCACGAAGGGAATAAATGAAACAGGCTAGACAATGGCTCAAATCGGATTGGTGGGTAGCATAGCAAACTAGGGCAGGCATGGCCCATCCAGAGGGTTCAGCCACCACTCAGCTTGGACAACAGTTTCCAGGTCAAAAGGTGGGATCAGTATGGTCAGATCTCGAATTTTTCAAAAAAAACTAGTAACCAGGGTTTATATACAAAAATCTCCCAATTGTTAAATGCTGGCAACAAATTCATATACCTTAAAACATTTTTTGGCAGAAAAAAAATACAACTGTGGGACTAACTTGAATCCTAGGCTGCCTAATTGTTATTCTCTTTTAAATTTTCATTAGGGTTTCACTTTAATTCAGTATTCCAACTTCAAGGTACCAGTGAGAACTATAATGTCTGCAATCCATTATAATATACTTGGCTGATATGAGTGGAAAATGATTTTGCTGTTAATGTAAATGTAGGATTAAGGATTATATTTTTGACTTTGAGAAACATGCATTCTGGCTCCTAATTCAGAAAGATTTCCACAGGTATAATTGAATAGTCACAAGTCAGACTATCTTTTCTTGACTGTAAAACAGTACAAGCGGAATGTGGTAATAAATATCTGACACTTAATTTTCAGCAACATAATGCAAGTAGGAGATGTGAGTACTAATGCATCAAAAGCAACAAATCCTTTTAGAAATCTGTTTACAAAGCAGATCAGAGATATCATCGGTTATTGAAAAAAGTGGGTAGAGAGTGGACTCTCATGTTCCATATTTTCCCTTTAACTGAGTCATAAATTATCTTCCATGCTGACTACAGTGCTTATTTAGTGCTTACTATACAACCATGAAAATTTGTTCATGCCTCACTCTATTGTGCTGAGATTTCACAGAAACCCCGTGAACCCAATGCTACATACCTAATTATGTGTCAATTTTTGTCCAATCTCAGAAAATAACTGGAAGTATTTATTTAAGTTATGCATTCCCCTAACTGATAGGCACAAGTATCTTGGTCAAACTGCTATGAAAAAATGATTCCTGGTAGAGATGTGTGATTTGGCTGGGGTTCATTTCAGGGAAGGAACAGACCAAAATTGGGACAGATGCAGAGGTCTTGCCCTGAAGCCTGTCAGCCAGCCACCATGCTGTCAATTCTTTGTTTTAGCACCAGTGCAACCTGGCATCTGCCCTAGTTCAGATTTTCATGGCTCCTCAATAAACTCCTGCAATTCCTGTACCCCCTGGAGAAGATGTCACTGACATCTTCTTATGCTAAAAAATTTGAAATTCTATCTCACTAGTTTTCTCACTGAGACTCAGTTGCACAGATCATTTCCTAAATTGTGTGACACAGAATAAGATGTACCCTGTAAGAAAATGCTGCTATGTGGCCAGGCGTGGTGGCTCACACTTGTAATCCCAGCACTTTGGGAGGCCGAGGCAGGCAGATCACAAGGTGGAGACATCAAGACAATCCTGGCCAACATGGTGAAACCTTGTCTCTACTAAAAATACAAAAATTAGCTGGGCATGGTGGTGGGTGTCTGTAGTCCCAGCTACTCAGGAGGCTGAGGCAGGAGAATCGCTTGAACCCAGGAGGCGGAGGTTGCAGTGAGCCGAGATCGCACCACTGCACTCCAGCCTGGCAACAGAGCGAGGCTCCGTCTCAAAAAAAAAAATGAAGAAAGAAGGAAGGAAGGAAAGAAAGAGAAAGAAAGAAAGAAAAAGAAAGAAAGAAAGAAAGAAAGAAAGAAAGAAAGAAAGAAAGAAAGAAAGAAAGAGAAAGAAAGAAAGAAAATGCTGCTATGCAAAAATAAGCATGGGAAATATCACATACTACAGACTGGAGAGAGAGTTGTGTTGCACAATGGGAATTGGAGCTCTGAGGAATTCTGCAGTGAGAAGGTCAGTTTAGCTTTGTTCAACGCAGCATTTCTCAAGTTTAGTTGCCATTGTAAATCTCTTCTCTGTCATCCTGGCTAACATGTTGTGAAGCTCTAGAATACAGTTGGGGAAACACTGATATTGACAAGAGAGGATGCTACTCAAGGCTTCCGAGTTGGGAATAACTTGATCAGACCTGGCTTTCACAAGGAAGGTTGCTGCAACGAGGAGGATTACAAGAAAATATACAATCATTAGAATTTGGTGATGGGGGCCGGGCGCGGTGGCTCACGCCTGTAATCCCAGCACTTTGGGAGGCCGAGACAGGCGGATCACGAGGTCAGGAGATCGAGACCATCCTGGCTAACACGGTGAAACCCCGTCTCTACTAAAAATACAAAAATTAGCCGGGCGCGGTGGCGCGCGCCTGTAGTCCCAGCTACACGGGAGGCTGAGACAGGAGAATGGCGTGAACCCGGGAGGCGGAGCTTGCAGTGAGTCGAGATAGCGCCACTGCACTCCAGCCTGGGCGACAGAGCGAAACTCCATCTCAAAAAAAAAAAAAAAAAAAAAAAAAAAGAATTTGGTGATGCGTTCATTGTGCACATAAGGGATAAGGGAAGTTGAAAATGAGTACCAAGTTTCCAGTTTTATCACTTAGGTGGATGATTATGTTAGTAAAATCATGATAAAGTTGCATGGAAGGGTATTTAGAAGGAAAGGGAATGAGCATATAGTTGGTTTGCTTTTTGGCCCTTGAAAGGACATATGGAAGAAATGATAATGAAATTTTCATTTGTTAGACTTTTAGTACTTTCTGATGCAAATCTCTCATCACAGCACCTGCCAAACCAACTCCTCTAAGCTCTGTAAAGACAAATAAGTTATTTTATTCTTCTGGTTATCCTGAATACTTAGCACAATGTCTGTACCCATTTACAGTGTAAATAAACATATGGTTGCAAATAGTTATATGGTTACAAAAAGAAAATGACCTTAGCTAGGTCAAGGAAAATAAAGAGTGCAGGTAGGGGAATCCCCTCAGACTGGAGGAAGAGCTAAGCAAGAGGCCTCAGTAAGCACGGCGGGAGCAGGAGCCCAGGAACAATAGGAATAACAATAATAATTATAATAATGATAATAAATGTGCAGCATTCAAGACACTGTCTTTGGTATAAATCATGGCTGTTTTCTGCCTTTATATATCATTCCTCTCAAGGTTCAAGTTCAGAGAAGGAACAATCTGATTGGTGGAGGTGGGTCAGGTCACCTTGTTTGATGTGCTCTGGAAGGTGAGGGGATAGAGGAGGTGTTCCCCATAGGAAAATCAAGGTACAATTTCCACAACAAGGAGGACTGTATATGTCACACCCATATTGACTCTGCCTTTTTCTCCAGCAGATGAAAAGCTCAGGCTTTTATACAAAGACTCAGTCTTGGCAATGACTACTGAAGTCAACCCAAAGAGCAGAGGGGGACAAAACTGAACATCAGGCCTGTTGGAAAGGAAGGGTTTCCCAGTGTCGGCTTCCGTTTTGCAGCTGTATTCAAGGCGAAAGTAATGAGATGTTAAAAATACATAACTGAATATTCAGATTTTAGCAAGATATTATCAATAAATTAAGTGGGTGTGAAAACAGCCCCAAAATTATTTCCAGTGCTTTATTTACAAATCATGTCAAGGGCAATGTCATCTAGTGAGAAGGCACAGCTGTTTCCTTCTGAAGTAGAATCCAGCTGAGAGCAGGGAATGAGAGACAGTAGCATCTTTTTGGGTGCATCATCTGGACTAAATGTGGAGAAAGAGGAGCTCTGATTGAAAAATCATTTTTCTTGCCTAAGTGGTACTTGAGGTAAAAAAAAAAAAAAAAAGAAAATAATAAAGGCTTATTTTTTGGGGTCCGGTTGTAGGTTTACCTGGAAATGGCTGATACAAGTTGTTTTATTTAAAAACACACAAACATAGAAGTTTAGAGTTTTTTTAAAAAAAGCTTCAGAACAAGAAGTCCAGAAAGATTACTGTTTTTGCCTGAGGTCACTCAACCTATCAGCGATAGATGTTGAATACAGGCTTCCTGATGCCATCCAATGCTCTCCTCACTGTGAATGCAGTGAGATGCACTCTGCCTAAAAGAAAAAAAGAAATGGCTTATCATGGCAGTCTCCACTCTGTAGTTATGGGCAGTGAGAAAGAAGAAGTCAACACAAATTCAGAACTGGTTCCTGAAAATATGTTCCCTAATGCCAACCAAAGCAAGAAGGATGCCAATTTTAAATGCTGCCAAAGATCTTTTGATGCAGTCTAGGTAGCGGATCTCCTTCCCAATCTATGATACCCTTGCAAAAGAGAACAAAGTCAGATTAAATGTCTCTTTGTCAGTGTACTTTAATACCTTTCCGTGGCCTTGGAAATTTATTCAAAGGAAAAAGAGGAAGACGGGGAGAAAACAAAGTGCAATACTCTTTTCTGCTGTTCACAACATCAAATTGGTAATTATAATGTTGGTATTTGCCACATGCCAGTAGGAGATCCCGCACCGTTGAAACATAAAGAGGATACTGTTTATTGCTCTGGGAATTTACAGTCCCGCTTAGGCAGAAAAGTAACCATGAAAAGTTCTTTTTTTTTTTTAAACATATGATATTGGTTAAAACTTGGCTTTCTTAACTTCCTTGGAATTTGAGTCTTCTTTGTGGGATAAAGGGAGATGACAGAAATAGGATAATTGGAACCTTTTGTAGTTGTGCACAGAGGGGATTTAAAAATGAAATAGCCAGTGTTGCAAGACACAATGAGCACAAAGAGGTCAGTTGTGGAAGGAGTGAGTGTGCAGGGGAAGAGAGGCTGTTTAACCTAATTATCCTTATCCAAACCAAGGGGTCTTCTGGCTACTCCCTTCCTTTCTGAAGCATCCTATTCCTTTCACTGCCACTTTCGAGGTGCCCTTTTTGTGCCCGGAGCTGGTGCCCTTTTTGTGCCCGGAGCTCCTCCTCCTAATGCTCAATGCATGAGCAGCTAGGATCATCCTGCACTCATAAACCATACACTGTAGCAGCGCAGCTCAAGATGACCTCAACACAATTACTTTATAATCCAACTTACAACTGACATCCACTGAGCATTTTATTATATTCCACACATGGCGCTAAGCACTTCACCAATATTCTATTAATAAGCCTCACAACATCTAATAAAGTAGATACTGTGGTTATCTTTATTTTGCAGATAAGGAGACTCATTTCCAGAGAGGTTAGGGAAGTCACCCAGAGGTACCTGGCAAGTAAGTGTGAAGGCCAGCACAGTGGTCTTACCCACAGTGGCCAACACCACAGTCCCAATGACATGCTTTCATGCTTGAAACGTGTATCCTCATCCCCAATTCCTTGGGCCTTTGCCTAGGTGACCAGTTTGCCTCTTCTGAGATAATATTCTAAGTTATTGAAGATTATAATGGGTTTGTAGCTTTTCCAGGCAAGTGAAGCTGCATTTTAATAGAGACGTCCCAGAACAGAAACAGAAACCTAGGCTTATGCACTAATTTGAATAGTGGTGTTTTGAGACATGTAGAGAAGTGAAAGAGGGCACTGATTTGAAGGACAGTAGGTCTGAGGTTCTTCCAAGCAAGTCAGCTCGGCTTTCAAGAGGTACTAACTCTGGTCCAAAGAGAAATCTCCACCATCTGCCAGGAGATCCCTGGCTCTGGAAGCCATCATCAAGGAAATACTGGATTTGGTGGCTCACACCTGTAATCTCAGCTACCAGGAAGCTGAGGTGAGAGGATCTCTTGAAACCAGGAGTTCTAGACTAGATTGGGCAACATAGCAAGACCCCACCTCAAAAAAAATTAAAATGAAAAAAGGTGTGATGATACACATTTGTAATCCCAGCTACTCAGCAGGCTGAGGCAAGAGAGTCATTTGAGCCCAAGAGTTCAAGGTTGCAGTGAGCTATGATCACACCGCTGCACTTTAGCCTGGGTGGCAGAGTGAGACCCCATCTCCGAAAAACAAAGCCGGGGGGGGGCGGAAAGTAAAAACTAAATACTAGATTTAGACCTAGGGTTGGGGAGAGATTTTTCCCTGCCCTCCCCCAAGAAGTTTTGGCAACTTCTGAGGACCTCAGTGGCTGTCACAGATGGGCACAGCAGAGGGCGGGGAGTTTGCTACTGGTATCCATGGGTAGAGGCCAGCCAGGGATGCTACAAAACATCCTGCAATACAAGGGACACCCCCACACACAAACAACAAATGATCAGATCCAAGATGTCAATAGTGCTGAGTTTAAGAAACCCTGATTTAGACAATACCTGAGGGACATGACAAGCATGACCAGGTTTACAAATTCCAAGCACAGCCGTGGCCAGTGAAGAGGCTGGCTTTATTCCAGGGTTTTCTCCTCCATTTCCTAAACATGCGGTGTGATCCAGCTGGTTAGTTAATTCCACCTGACTGAGTATACATTAGGAAAAGAGAATATTTGATTTTATAAATGAGATCTCCGTGCAGTATAAAAATAGTTTGTGTTGGGAGGTAGTGCCACAGAGGGCACTATTATATGATTTTCTGCCTAAGAAAACTATTAGGTGAACCAGCTTCTGAGGCATTGTTTCTCAAAGTGTGGTCTGTGTAGTGTCTTTAACAGGCATCACTTCGATGCTCTTTTTTTTTTTTTTTTTTTTTTTTTCTGAGGTAGCGTCTCGCCCTGTTGCCCAGGCTGGAGCGCAGTGGTGCAATCTCGGCTCACTGCAACCTCCACCTCCGAGGTTCAAGTGATTCTCCTGCCTCAGGCTCCTGAGTACCTGGGATTACAGGTGCATGCCACCATGCCCAGCTCATTTTTGTATTTTTAGTAGAGACAGAGTTTCACCATGTTGGCCAATCTGGTCTCGAACTCCTGACTTCAAATGATCCACCCACCTTTGGCCTCCCAAAGTTCTGGGATTACAGGCATGAGCCACCGTGCCCGCCAATGGATGGTCTTTATAAAGCCAGATTACTAAACCCCCCAAATGAGAGCTACTGAGCTCCTGGTTAGGGTCAAGGAATCCACATTTTAAACAACTTATCCATGTGATTCTTACAAACACTGGAGAGTCTCTTCTCTTGGGGTTATAGTAGTAACTTTCAAAGTCCTACTATTGTCCAGGTCCCAAATCAAGTCTCAGTGCTTGTATGAAGAAATCCTGCTTCACCTTGGCCAACACAATGTTCTCCTTTGTTTTCAGATGCTGCAACCCATATTCTTCATTTGTCACTTCGTTTCTGCCTTTTGTGTTTTATGTGTACCATCATCTCCCCACATGGACTGTGTATAGTCTGTTCTAATTCTCTCTTATCATTGATTCCTGGCACTGGACAGACACGAACAATGTTTGACAGAGAGTCATTCTCATAAACTAGATTAAATACATATGGGTGCCCTTATGAGAGGTATCCAATTCTTGTTTCTCTGCTATTTCAGTTCTTCTTGTTTACCTAGTGAGGTGCAGAACACATACCCAGAGGTTAATTTGCCCTTTAATTGGGGACCTTAACTACTGGACTTCAAAATGTCAAGAATTTACTGCAGTGTGCACAACTAAATAAAGGAAATTCAACAATTAGTTATCTGCAAAACACAAAGTTCTTGATTGCAAACCCAAGACCCTACCATTATTCTCCAATTTCCACAATGCAAGGCATTAAACACTTAAATCAAAGTATTGTATTAGCTTTATCTCCTGGTGGAGGCCTTAAAAGACACAAATGCATTACGGTGCCATTAAATAAGTGGTTTGTGGAGTCGACTGGGTTACAGGGATTGTACCTAGGCTAACAATCTGATCCACTAGCAATAAATTGTTGGTCTAGATATCTGGTTGCCTTCACACTCAGCAATTGGCATTTACATGACAATTAGTTTCCTTCTCAAAATTGCTTAGGTAATAATGCTTTATTGCCTTCCATTTATAAAGACAAATCCTTCTGCAGTAAAAAGACAGCCACAAGAATAAAGCATATGTAATGGTGGTATTCCATAAATTGACCAATTTTTCCATTAGAGCTTTACAGATTTGAAAGACCTTAGTCTCCCCACAAAACTTACATACAATGTGCTTTTCAGGGTAATTATTAAACAGTGAGTGACATTCATATTGAAAGCAAGGTAATGAGTAGTTTGAATGGCTACAGGAGGGCAATTTTAGGTGCTTGTTTTATTTTAAAGGAAATAACATTGGTCTGTAGTTAATTTTGCCAGTAGTGGGAAGCTGGAGTAGGCTCCAAGCCAGCAAGCAGACAGGATACCTCTGTCTCTAGGGAAAATGCAATTGGAAAACAGTCCCTATAAGATAAAAAGATAACTGCATTGATTCAGATCTCCTCAGCCTCATCTTCTTGGAGGCTGTATTTGTGTGTCTTCACCTGATCATTTGTGGAAGAAATCTGCTTCAGCTCGGAATGCTTTTCATTTTCTTTAAAAGGTAGAGGAAAAATAGTATAATGAAAAATATATTGCTTTGGAGTTGATTACTTTTTAATAGGAAAAGAACACTGTATTCTAGGTGAGAATTAGCTGCATGCCTTTGTAAAGAGCAGTATCAATCCAGGCATATATATTTGTATGAAACATGTTTAGAAATGCTATGAGCTAGCTGTGGTATTTTTGTTGTTGTCATTGTCATTATTGTTATGCCCTGGCTTCTGAGGATGGAGGCAAGGGCATGTGAGTTAGAGTTTTGTCTCCATAAGAATAAATGTTTGTCCCTTAGAGATTTCCCATTTTCAACAGCAGAGCAGGCTGAAGCTGGAAATATTAAAATACACATGACTTCTCGAAGACAGTTGGATGCCTTTAGCAAAAAAAAATCAAAAACTTCAAAAAGGGTGATTAACTAAATGCCCAACAGGAAATTCAGAAAATAATAAACCCTAAAATCAATGTATTTTATTTTCTAAATATCACACTAAGATACTTATTGGTAAGATATATACATATCTCTGGACTATAATTTTTTTCTGGAAATGGATATCTCTGACCAGTGATGAAGTCCACTATTGAAAAAGTATAACTCCTTCACTGTTTGCTGTTAGATTCTAAGATGGGCTCTGTAAACTCTGTAAGAAATGAATTTCTTACCTACCCAAACCCCTCTCCCATCAAATTCTGATTTGATGAGAATTCTCTAAATGAGAATTTTCACCTTCTAACCTATTGAAATTCAGTACTGTGAACAAATATTACAACTTTATACCTGTCTGAAAGGCTATAATTGGAGTACTATGTTATTTTAATGCAATCAAGATAATTTTATGCCTATATACCTGTACAGACATACACAGCAAATGCACAACATCTACCCCACACACACAATAAGCATGCATCACACACACACACACACTCTGCACACACAGACTCCCACATGCACCACACACCCACAAACTGCAGTCTCTGTTATTGTTGGCTCATCTACATTCTCACTCATGTGCACAGCACCCTTTATTTTCCAAGAAATTTCTAAATACTGTATACGATTAGATTGGCACAAAGGTAGTTGTGGGTTTTGCCATCATTTTTAGTAGCGCCATTTTAAAAAACCACTATTTTAAAAATAATCGCAAAAACCGCAGTTACCTTTGCCCCAACCTATATTTCACAGACATTGTCCACTTTGAAAACTGTACGTTTAGAAATACGAGGTTTTGTCGTGTTCATTTAAACTCCCCCAGACAAGTCTACTCTCATTGGTAACTTGGAGCTGCTCAGTTGGGTTGACCTTTCTAGCAGGAAGCAGTGAGCCTGAGTACCACTAACTTTAAGAGCTCTTCTGCAGGGCTGAGGCTCAGGAGAGACCACAGTGAAGGAGGAAGTAGATACTTGCTGCTTTACTTCCTTTAAGCAGGGTGTACACTGGTTGAGCTGAGCCTGCAGATGCACCATGGACCAGTCTTGTTTTTCCTATGACAGAAAGGCTGTGCAGCAAACTAACCTGCAGGCAAATGGGGAAATCTACTGGAAATGGAAGAGAAAAAAATAAAATGAATTATCCAAGCATTCTGCGATAATGAAGAAGTAATCAATGGCAAATGCCAAAAAGCTCAACAGGTTAAAAAACTTGGAATAAAGATAAAATGTAATAAGGAAGTAATAACTGAAGTGGGAAGAAATGAATAGGAGGTGCCTTACCAATTGCTCAATTTAGGACTTGTGAATCCTGTCATCATGTACATGTGTCTAAATCTTAAGCACTATGTTTCTGTTACTCTAAATTCCTAATGGTACTTTTGGGGCCATTTTAATGGAATGGATTCAAATGCATTGTCAATGAAAGCCAGGTTTCTGCCCCCCGGTTGCTTAGATTCAGTGATGATGCCATTTCCGGATTGGATAGCCTATCTAACTGAAAATAGTTAGAATTGAGCATGTTAAAACATAACATAGGCCGGGCGCGGTGGCTCACGCCTGTAATCCCAGCACTTTGGGAGGCCGAGGCGGGCAGATCACGAGGTCAGGAGATCGAGACCATCCCGGCTAAAACGGTGAAACCCCGTCTCTACTAAAAATACAAAAAATTAGCCGGGCGTAGTGGCGGGCGCCTGTAGTCCCAGCTACTTGGGAGGCTGAGGCAGGAGAATGGCGTGAACCCGGGAGGCGGAGCTTGCAGTGAGCCGAGATCCCGCCACTGCACTCCAGCCTGGGCGACAGAGCAAGACTCCGTCTCAAAAAAAAAAAAAAAAAATAACATAATTGAGCATTTAAAAAGGACTTTCACATAGTATATTGACTTTGTTTGCTGCCTTTCCTCCACCATTATTTTTCTTCCTTTCTTCCAACTTTGTTGAGCTCTCCTGTGCCATTCGACTTCTCACCTTTATTTCGACTTCTCACCTGTATTTCACTGCCAGTATTTTCCAGTAAATGATCTAGAAGCCAATTTTCCATTTCCTCCCACTCATTTCTTAGTCCCATTGCAACCTGGATCTCAGTGGTCAGTGGAAACCACAACCAAAGGCCAAGTGTCTTTCTCATCTACACCTTCTTCTCAGTACATCCTTGATGTTAAAATTAAAACACACGCATACAAAATTCGAGAATAAGACGTAGTAGACTGTATTTTAAAGACGTCCCCTCCAGACTGCCTGATTATTCAAACATGAATTTTCGTACAGCTGTGAAGGGACTTTGCAGTCATAAATTAAGGTTGATCATCAGGTGGCCTTAAAGTAGAGAAATGATTCCAGATTGTCCTGGCCTGATCACATGAGGCCCTGAAAGCCAAGGCTTTTTTCCCTGGCTACAGCAGAGAGATACAGAAGAAGAGATATGTTAGGAAGATGAGGCAAAAGGAGAAGTTAGATTCAAAGTGTGAGTGATTCAGCTGGCTATTTCTGGTTTAGAAAGGGTCCTTGAGTCAGGGGATGTGGGTGGCCTCTGAAAGCTAAGAATAACCCCTGGCTGACAGACAGCAAAGAAATGGCCACCTCAGTCCTACAACTGTAAGGAATAAATTTTGCCAACAACCTTGCATGTGCCTGAAGACAGCTTCTCCCCTGGAGCCTCCAGAAAGAGATACCACCCTGTTGACACTTAGGTTTAAGTCTTGTGGTTCTCCAAGCAGAGAGTCAGCTGAGCCGCACTGAATGCAGATTTCTGACCCATGAAAACAGATCATAAATGGAGGTTGATGTAAGCCACTAAATGTGTGGCAGTTTGTTACAGTGGCAATAGAAAACTAATACAGATTGCCAGAACTTTTTCTTAGGTTTCTGACATTTTAGCATTCAAATTCCCATGTCTCTAAATCATGGTTAAGTGTCCCATCTTACTTAATTTCCAAACATCTAGCCTCTTCTCTACTGAAAATGGCAAACTTACTTTCTGACTGGACACCATGGGACCAGACTTTGAATTCTTATATAAGAATATGTGAGACTGTGCGTTTTGTATGTACATATATGCATGCATATATATGTATATACATAAATACATACTTACATAAGAAATGACAAATACCCATTATGTTCAATAATAATAGTTTATGTATATACACAGATAGGAATCTTAGCCATTATACATACACATATATATATTTTGTTCACAACTCCAGGGACTCACATATATTGTTTCACAGCAACCCTATAAGCTATAAACTAATTGCTCTATTCTTACATATAAAAGTTAGGCAGAGATAAGTCAAATACCTTGCTGGACGTTATCTAATAGACAGCTGAAGATTTAAGCACAAGTATGTCTAGATCCAAAACTGCAAGGTCCTTAGTTTTCAGCCTGTCTATCTCTCACACTGAATCTTTTTAGACATTGCCAGGCCCTACATCCATCTCTGTTCAGATGCCATGCAGCACCTTCCTTAACCTCACCTGTCCAGGACATTGAGGCTCTGTAATGGCTCCGTAATTTCCCCTTTTATCTCTATGCCTTCTCAGTATTTCCTGAATTGCCCTCCATCTACCATATGTAAAGGAACTTCAAGACTGTGTTCTTAATTCTGTTAATCTGTTCTCCAAAAATTCAGTTTACTTTTAGACTTTTAAATTTAGTTATTTTCATGACTTTCTGCTCCACGTCTCCAGTCCTAACTTTTTCTTAAGTTCTAGGCACACATATAACAGCTGGACTTTCCCTTTTGACAATCTTCTGGATGCAACATTCAACATGTCTAAATCAGCATTGCACATTAAATAAAGGGGGGAAACCCTCCCTTCTTACCACCCTTTTTCCCTCACTCATATTACCCATCTCCTTCATGGCCAGTCAGAAACCTGGCATCTTTGAACTTCCCTTCTGGCTAAGACGGTGGGCTCAGTAGCTGGACCCCCTGGACTTACATCCCAGCTCTGCTACTGACTTTGGGCCAATTGCTTAATTTCTCCAGAACCCAAATATTCCTCTGTAAAACTGGAGTGGTGATAACAATGATAACAATACTTACCTCACAGGGTTGTTGGATGATTTAAATAGGTTCCATAAAAAATTTAGACCAGCATCCAGCACATAGTACTTGCTCAGTAAATTTCAGCTCTCATTTTTTATTTAATTGCTAGATCTTTATAATTTCCCTGAAATGTATGGTTATGTTTCTGTTGCCTAATTTTCTGTATTCCACCACCCTATGTTAATATCTAGATTAATGCAAACCATCTCTGGGTCAAATTATCTGCAATCCAGCCTGCATGTAGCTACCGAATGAATCTTTCTAAAGCACTATTGTAATTATAATTCAAAAATCCTTTAGTGGTTCCTCATGATTTCAGGATACAGTGGAAACTTTTCCTTATCTTGGCATTCAAAGCCTTCCATGAACTAGCTCCTGACTTCTACCTTCAATTGATTCTATCTCTCCTCTCCTATTTAACCCTGGGCAGTAGACAGGCAGATTTCTAATTTTTTCTTAAATATTCTGCTTTGGCCTGCCTTTTTGCCTTTGTTGTAACTAATAGTTATGCATACTATGTACCAGGCAAGGCAATGTGTTGATATTTTTAAGATGTCATTTTATTTATCCTCACCACAAACCTATAAGGTAGTGACTATGCTATCCCTATTTTACAGATGAGAAAACTGAGGCCTGGAAAGGGTGAGTGATTGGCCAAAGGACACACAGTTAAGAAGTGATGGATCCAGGATTTGAATCCCAGATGATTCTGTAATTTTAACCATTCTACCTTGATGCCTCCCCTCTGCTACATTTCCTTTCCAGCAGGATGCTTTCCTCTGCATTCATCTCTTTGATTCCCACCTATTATTCAAAGCCTACCTTAGAGATATCTTTTCTATAAAGCTTCCCCAGACTCCTTCAAACTCTAATGAACTCCTCTGTAGGATACAAGCTTCTTAAAACTAGGAAAGGTGTTTTATTTTTCTCACAAAGTTCAGTGATGTCTTGAATACAGTACTTAATAAATTCTGATGATTTATTGGTCTTGGATTTCTTTTCTAATGAACTTGGAGGCATCTCCTTGTAACTAAGCCAACAAATCTCTGATTGCTCCTTATTACTGGTTCTTGCCCATTGTCCTAGCTAGGACTTTTGATTAACAATATGTTTCTAAAACTAAAGCAGAAAAGAAATGTGTTGGAATGGTGTGGAGTGTCTCATAGAATGGTTGAGAAACAGGCTTGGTCTAGAAACGAGGAGAAGAAAGCCTGTAGAGGGCCCAGCGGTGCCATCCCATGGAACACTCCATGCCATGCTTCTGGATTTTCCCCTCCTTTGCATCAACACAGACTCTGTCTATCTGACATCCCCATATGCTGCCGGGTGATGCCTCTTTTTGCCAATATTTCAGGAAGCTATGATTAGCAGCTGAGGAAATGGAGAAATGAGTCATTCTCATATTGCAGAAGTTGAAAAGTGGGAGGAACTCTAGGATAAAGAACTGTGGTGCCTAAAGAGGAATAGAGGACAAAATAGATGCAAATATTAGACAGACAGAAAGTCGCTTAACAGTTTCTCAAGATTATTCAATGCTTTGTTATAAGACAGTATGCTGATCTTCTAAAACTGTGATTCAGAAATTTAAGGCACCATTGTTGGATGGATCCACAGATGGTTTTCAGAAGTTTGTGACTCTTGACCATGCATGCACATTTTCTGAGTGCTTATATTTTTCTGATGAGTGGGTTCATAGCTTTTATCAGATTTTAAAATGAGCTCATGATCTAAAAAGGATTATAAAATACTATTTTTAGCCATCAACATATACACATAATCTAACCCCAGGAAATCAGGTGATCCAGAGTCAGACTCTCATCACACCATATAAGGAAAAAATAATAAATCTGAAGATTCTGCATGTACTATAACATACCTGTTCATCTGTCAGATGTCAAAGCGTTACTTTGAGGGTGAAATCTGTTTAGCACTAAAGACATATGGTGGAATTTCTAAATATCAAATGACCAGGGATCAATGGACTTCTGCTCAGTGGAATCCTTAGTTTGCCTAACTAAGCCAATTACAAAGTAATGATATAATTTATCTCCCCAGCTGTCATTTTATAGCATCATGCTATTTTTCTGATTGGTTTCAAAAGAAGGTCTTCTCAGTCTGCATGCTAAGACAGGAATAATCAGAATCCCTTTTTCCCTGTCTGGCACAAATCACTGCATGACAAAGTAGAGACAGGTGAATGGCTCAGGCCTGGGGTACATGTGTGCCTATCAACTAAATCTAATTATTACTGGGGAAAAGAGAACAGCCTAGTCCTGTGGCCTCCAAATATTTCTGCTTCACCTAGTAGAAAAAAACTGAACATACTCCTATATTGTATATCTGTTTATCAATTATATGGCTTTTATCAATAGCTAATATTTCAAAGCACAATATATATATGAGACAAGGTTCATTGTTAAGCATAATAAATGTAAATCCCTAATTTATTCTTTATTAAACATATATTTAACTAATATATACTGAAAGCCTTTTGAGTGCCGCGTGTTCTAATCACTGAGGACCCAGTGAATGAAATGAAATTGCATGCTCATGGAACATACAGCCTGGTAGAGGAAGAGACCCTGAGTAAAACAAATAAATAAACCGTACAGTTGTGTTACGTGTCAGTGACTGTGATGGAGAAAATCAAAACAGGAAAGAGCATCTGGGTGGGTTTGAGGGGAGAACTGCACTTTTAAATTAAATAGCCCCAGAGAAAGGGCTTGAAGATCTAAAGATGAGGGAACTAACTCTGTAGCTCTTTGTAACTATTTGACATACAGATTCAAGGAGTCCATGTCTGTGTGCATTCTATTAAATAATAGTCAAGCATAATTTCTTTATTTAGATAGCCAATATACAAAAAATTCTAATATCTTCTTCTTGTTCTCTAAACAATCACTTTGGGAACTCCCCTCGGAAGATCACTTATTTAGTCTACACTTAACAAGAGCAATTGCTTTAAACACAATTCTCAGACCTCAGCCATATTATTACAGTTGACTTTTGGAGTCTAACCAGAATTATAAAGTTTGGGTGGCTGTTTTGACAGCCGTGGAGCCCTGTTGTCAATTAACTGTTCAATTCAATCTTGATTTGGTTGCACGGGTGGTTTTACATCATATGGTTTATTTAGCTGTGAACAATTCTCTTAAACGTCCAAAGTCATTTTGTGTTGCTTTATTGCAGGTGAAGAGGGAGGATATATGCACAAAAGCAGTATCTGAACAGCTGGTAGTTAGTTACTCACAGGAAGTGGTAACTTGACAGCTTTCCTTTCCTTTCTGTTGAGTTACATTCATGTAGCATGAGCATTTCCCTTTTTACCAAGAAGAAAGATTTGTTCAGCCTGGTGACGCTTCAGAAGAGAAGAGTTTAACGACATTGATATTTTGAAATATTTTGTGACTCAAATTATAGCAATACGATGAGTTTTCGAGGGAAGGTTTTTAAACGGGAGCCCAGTGAATTTTGGAAGAAGAGACGAACTGTGAGGAGAGTAAACCAAGAAGAAATCCACAGATTTAGTTCTGTAGGTATCCAAATGTCAATGTTTTGCTTTCCATCTTTCCTTCAATCCTTTCTTTCAAAAATGATTAGCTCTACAGTGGTATTCTAGCAGAGGCTGCTGGGTGAAGTCTTATATGGAACAGAAGATTCCATTTGGGTCCTAAATATTCTCTTTTACTTCCATCATTATTTTTGAAGTCACGCTGTTCTCAAACCGCATGTAACTCTTGTAAAATATATTAATAGAGAATTTAATCATTAAAACATTACTATAATATTTGGAATTTAAGGTGATCTTAGTATTATGGTACAAATTAAAATTTCTGAAGAAGTTATTCTCTTTATTAAAGAAAAGCCTCTAATTGCCTAAGGACTCAGTTGATGACATGTATATGGTTGTATTTTTAAAAAATTGTCATTGCTCTATTTTATCATATGCCACTAATTATTTATTTTAAAATTCTTAGAAAGAGCAATCCAAAATATGAAAGAAAAAGTAAATAAGCATTTGATTAATAGAGCCAAGGAGGACTTTAAAAAGTGATACTTTTAAAGGTTTTAAAGGTTAAAAAGATTTGGTTTTGTTTTGCTGTTAAAAATATTTCTGCCTTATTGTTTGCAAACAAAATGAGAGCTTGAAAACCTGTACTTATTACAGAACTTTACAGATCTATAAACTGTAGAATGTATAGAACTTTACAGTTCTATAAACTACTGACAGTTGAATATCAGAGCTGATTGTTAGAGCACTTCAGTGACTTTCATGTAAAGTGAAGGGCCCACTTTGTATGTTAAATGGTTGCGGCAATATTCCTGGGTAGCTTATTTTAGAAGAATGTTCATTTCACATGGTGGATCTGGCTTTGCTTGCCTTTTTCGGAGCAGGGTTTCTCAACCTCAGCGCTATTGTCATTTGGGGTCTGAGAATTCTTTTCTGTGGGGGGCTATCCTGTACCGTGTAGGATGGTTAGCAAATTCCTGGCTTCTATCCATTTAATGCCAGTGGCAATCCCTCCCCAGTTGTGATGACCAAGAACATCTCCAAACATTGCTAAACGTCTCCGGGAGGGTGATCACTGATCACCCATATGAAAACCACAGTTCTAGGGGTGAAAGATCTTTTTGTTCATAGAAACATCTTTAATATAGAAACAGAGATGGCTTTTCAAAAATATTATATATATATATATGCACACACATGCATATATATAGGCTCTTTATAAATATGAATAAGTACGTTGCCTCTCAATGAATAGAGGCCCTCTTTATACTAACAATTAGTTGACGGTAACTTGATATGAATAGAGTTTATTAGAGGTCTGCTCAGAGGGTTGGTACTGTGTTGTTGTTTGTTCAGTTTCTATCTCAGGAGTGTGTGTCTGCCATTGGTGAATACATGCAGTTGAGCCCCTACCCTTGTTCACATTAAATGTAGCTCTAATCTTTCCACTGGGTATTTCATAACTGGAATATGCAGAGTCCTGGACCTGACCTCTTTCTCCCCATTGGTCAGAAATAAGAGCCTGGACCTAACCACTTCCTCCCCACTGGTCAGATATATCTTCCCTACTGACTCCAAAAGAGCCTTGTCAGCCTGTTAAGGAGAATAACTGTTTCAAAATATTGCCTGGTTTGAGATTATTTTTAACTTGAGTCTTGTCCCCAAAACATAATTTCCCTGCTGTATTTATCTCAATGGAATTTAGAAGTAGCATGGATTATGTCACCCTGAGAGTTATTTCTTGTGTCCACTAAAAGAGAAAATGCACAGAAGAACGTGTCTATCTTACCGAGACCACTCATACAGTGTTGGCAAGAGGACAGTCCCCAGAGTCTCACCATATAATGAAGCTAATCACTCTATGAATTATCTTAATTGAATTTGAATGTATTGCTACTGAGTACTATGGGAAGAGCGGCCAGTAAGGACGCGGTATTTTCCCACAGCATTCAGTTAGCAATGCATTCAAATTTAATTAAGATCATTCATACAGTGATTAGCTTTCTTCGACGACAGAAGGCACTGGGGATGTCCGTGCTACAGTTGCCTGCTTTTGGTCTGCCTAAGATAGGCATATCTACTTTCACAGGTTGTCTCTTGTATTGAGTACAGGATTGTTTGATCCATCCTTAAGTATTATCCTGAGATGTGCTTTTCATTTTGGAATCCAAGAAAGTGCAACGAGTAATTAGAGCACTAGGATTTGAAACAGATATCCTGAGGAAGTCGTTCTCCCTGCCGCTCTCACCTGCCATCTATATGACCTTGGGCAAGTTACTTAAATCACTCTGAACCTCAGTTTCCTCTTCTGTAAAATGCTTATAATAATACCTATCCTGCGTTAAGATTGCTTATTAGAATTCAGTTTGGTACTGTGCATTCTGAACAGTTACAAGTGTTGTGTTGTGTAACTTGAACAGTTACAAGTTACAAGTGTTGCCAAAGTTACAAGTGTTGTGTAGTGTTATTAAAACTAAGTAAAATATTTCCATTTCCAAGGACAAGGGAAAAGGGACACTGAAATTGTCTTTCTAGTGCCTTCAGCAGTCGAAGTCACTGGACTACAGGTCACGCTTTTCTCCTGGGAATCTTTTTTTGGTAACAGAACCACCTAGGAGACAGACTTCTGAACTGCATTAAGCTGAGTGCTTGGGGTCCCAGATCTTTCTATGTGTCAATACAGTTTATTTCAGAAATACCATGGTTTTTTTTCTACCCAGTCTAAGCAGAGTTTAGCTGAAACCCACTCACAGCCTCATTGTACCGTGCCCAGCACATTCATCTAAGCTTTCTAAAATCTAAACCGGCCGGGCATGATGGCTTATGCCTGTAATCCCAGCACTTTGGGAGGCCAAGGCAAGTGGATCACAAGGTCAGGAGATGGAGACCATCCTGACTAACACGGTGAAACCCCATCTCGACTAAAAATACAAAAAATTAGCCGGCCGTGGTGGCACGTGCCTGTAGTCCCAGCTACTCGGGAGGCTAAGGCAGAAGAATCACTTGAACCCAGGAAGCAGAGGTTGCAGTGAGCCGAGATCGTGCCACTGCACCCCAGCCTGGGAAACAGAGCAAGACTCTGACTCAAAAAAAAAAAAAAAAAAAAGAAAAGAAAAAAAAATCTTAAACCAACATCCCTAGACTGGCTTCAGAGCCTATTCATTTGAATAGTGATGAGGGAAGGAGCAATTCAGTTGACAAAATGCCCAACAAATAAAGATGAGACCTAAAGTTAAAGAAGAAAGCAATAACTTCTTTTAAATTTTTGGATATACTCATAAATTGTAGTGAAAGAAGAAAAAAGTGATCGTTGCAGATACTTATCATATCTGTTTTTGTGATGATTATGTAGATCTTGAACTCAAGTCATTTCTGAATCGAAAGAAAATTTAGAAATGGTTTAATTTTACAGTAATCTCAAATACCTATCCAGAGCTCTGTGACTTCCTAAGAATTATGCAACCCAGATTTTATACCCTCTTGACCCAGATGGACTAGTCTGTATATTCTGGGTTTTTTTCAAATGCTATTTGAAGCTGTATATTTTATGTAGAATTTTTAGTTGTTTTGAAAGTTTCCCTTATTAATCTAATTTTCAAGTGTATTGTCTGAGAAATGCCACTTATCACAAACAACATACAATTGAGAGACTGAAGTTGTGTTATGAAAAAAGCTTAAGGAAAAGTGAAATTGTCATGTTAGATCATCAAGTAGAACTTCTTCCCTTAATTTTTGAAATGTGTGTGGTGGTCTGCAGTTGATGGTTTTCTTTTTAACTGCCTTTCTATTTTTATTTTATTCTTTTTTTAACTAAAATTCTTCAGTATGATCTCTAGTGCAAAGGAAGTCAATAAAGAGATCATTTCCTTCCTAAATTATGTGTCCTAATTTAGAAAGATTAAAAACAGACTTAAGTTGAATTACTATATCAATCATCTGCACAGTCATAAAAATATATGAACATATTTAAATAAATGTGATTTGTTGTTTTTAAGTTGTTACTGGTTTATGGGTCATTAATCTGCAGGATTTCAAAATATTTGGAAAACTGGATACCCATGAAAATTCATCCTCTTATCTTTAAAGTACCTATTAGCACTTTAATAGGAAAATAAAAATGAAAACTATAAGTAGAGGATATAATCTGAATAGCTTTAACATATCTCTAATATACATTATTTTATATTGTGTTGTACTATTATTGTTCAAGTCAGTTTTTTCTTCTTGAATCTTCCATGCTAATGTGAGAAGCCTCCCTTACTGGTGATCTGTGCTTCGTTAGGTGCTATCTCTTTGTTTTGTACAACCATTCATAGGGCGTTGCTTATTTAGGCTGTTGTGAAACGAGCCAGTTAGCTGAAAGAAGCAATGGATGGGGTTCCAGGAGCCAGGATTTTGGTTCTAGGAACAATGAAACAAGGCTGAATCAGGGTTGAAACACAAAGGAAAGCAGGAATGAATGTTGGAAATGGACAGGTTGAAGAATGCAAAGAAGCAGGAGTAACCGGGGGATGTGAATTCAATCCAAGAAATGGAGATGTGAGATTTGAAACTTGGTCTGCCTAAGAATCCAGGTGAACACAGATCAGAGGACCTGGGTGTGAGCTGCAACACTGAACAGTTAGCTCATGTGTCAGGGAGCTGCAGAGAAGCTGCTTCCAAAATGGAAATGGGAGGGGTACCTGTAATTTAACTAAGAATGGTCTTCCTTTCCCTAGCAGCTGACTGCGAAGGGAGGGAGAAGAGTTAAACCAGAAGTGAGCCAAGCTTCTGAGCATGGGCTGGACCATTTGCTAGAGAAGAAGAGTAGCAACAGGGACAGGAAGGAGGGTCATGATCCCAGCAACCCTTTATTTCCTGGAAGGTGGCCGTGGTACAAAACTTTTTGATTGTAAAGATTCCCTCAATTGGTGGCAATTGTCATTGTGGATGTTGACATACACACTAATAACATTCATTATATGGTTCCTTAAATCTACCTTTTCATTTTCTTTCCCTCCTATAAACTTTTTTTTTTTTTTTTTGAGATGGAGGCTCAGTCTGTTGCCCAGGCTGGATTACAGTGATGAGATCTCAGCTCACTGCAACCTCTGCCTCCCGGGTTCAAGAGATTCTCCTGCCTCGGTCTCTCGAGTAGCTGGGATTGCAGGCGCATGCCACCACGCCTGGCTAATTTTTGTATTTTTAGTAGAGACGGGGTTTCACCATGTTGGCCAGGCTGGTCTCGCACTCCTGACCTCAGGTGATCCACCCACCTTGGCCTTCCAACGTTCTGGGATTACAGACGTGAGCTACCACACCCGGCCTGAGCCACCAGGCCCGGCCTGGTCCTCTTTCGCTACCACTTTGTTCCCCTGAGGTGCCTGGTGACCTTATTATACCAGCCCCAGCCTTCTCTTGCCGTTTGCTGCAGAAACTCAAAAGTGGAGCAGAAATAGTATGCCAAATCACAGCTCTATTCCAGAATCCTCCCAACAGGGAGTGAAGAAAAAGCATTTCTGTTTTCTGTTCTCTGTTTTGCAAGGCTATGTTCTTTGCTGGTAGAGTGGAGTGGAGTGGACTATAGGCTTCAAACTGAGCTGGGTTAGAATGTCAATTCTCCCATCAACTTGCAGCCAAGTTGTTGAAGTCTTCAAAATCCAAGCTTACTCATCTAAAAAAAAAAAAAAAGAGCAGTAATGTTCTTTTCCAGGGTTGATGTTGGTATTCAGTGAGAGAAGATATTAAATACTGATTATGGTCTTTGCCATTATGTATGATAGTGGTAGTAGAAAAATAATAACCATTATTGGCATTTACAGGGTAATTTATTTTAAAATGGTAGTGCATATTGTTACCATTATTATCAATTATTTGGTGTGACTGTTATTTCTACAAGAAAACACATATGAATTAGTTTTACTATAATAAATAAATACAGTAAATGTGACTTGTAAGATGAAAATGGGGGGAGGAAGAAAGGTGAAACCCCTATAATATACAACAGATGAGACATACCTAAATCATTGCTAGCTTAGGTGTGTCTGATCTGTTGTATATTGCAGGGGTTTGCCGGAACTTCCCACACAACCAGGCACCTCCTACAGAGAGCAAAATTATAGTATGTGACTATCGTCACTGAAGGTAAACGGGGTCTTAAACTCATTTTTTGGCTTCCAGATATTCTGCTGTCATAGGAGAGTGATGGGTTGAATGGGTAAGGCTTAATGGAAAATTAGAGATCAGGGCTGCACTGAATGTATTTCCCTGGAGAACCAGGAAGGTTCTTAAGCCCCCATTTTCAGGATGCTTGATACCTGGTGTACTTTTCACAGAATGAGACAATCTTGGGTTGCACTGGTAATTCAGGAGTTTACCAAACCTAAATTCCCACACCTCAAAGACAGAAGTCATTAGCTAAAAGAGGTCCTCCTTTAAGACCATTCAAATCCAAATAAACATAAAAATTGAGGAAATAGTAGTCCCTTATTCTAGGCACTATTCCTTGTATTATATCTCATTAGATTCCTATAGTTGCAAGCATTGGAAACCTACTCCAATGAACAAACACAGTCCAGAGAAGGGGACAGAAGGAAGAGTGGAGAGATGGGCTCAGAAAAGAACGAGGAATGGACTTAGAGAAGCTCAGAACAGTGGGAAATGGGTGGTTTTGATGATTCAAACTAATGGAAAGTCTTGTGGGAGTGTAGCCCCAGAAATGAAACAATTCCAATCCTTTCATCAACATTTGCATCCTTCCACTCAAGATTCAGAGTTCGGCAGGAAAGCGTTGAATGGGTCTTGCTGGGGTCACACACCCATGATGCCAGAAAATCAGGACGCTTTCATTAGTCAAATCCACCAAGGCTGCTTCTTATGGGAATGTGGAAAGAAGTAAGTCCCCAAAAGGAAATTAAAATGCTAGTACTAAAAGAAAGTAGGATGAGTGCCACATAGGCCAAAAGACAACAAATATCCACTATGCATATTCAACTTCAAGTAGCCACAGGTAGGAAAGGAAATAAAAGAATGGTCTGTCATTATGGGAAGACATATTGAAATTATAAAATGCCTATTGTTGACAAAACTATTTACATTTGTATGTGTGACATGTATGTGCGTGTACAACACTTGACCTGTGAGTGAATGTTTTTGTGATTATTAAAAATAATAAGATAGTATCTGAGGTTAAGCTGGTGACAGCTCTCATCACAGGCTTCATATAAATTAATCTAAAATTCTCCAGTTTACTCTAAGGCATTAATTTCCCTTGTGTCAGGCAGCCTTGTAATTGGGTTGTGATGTATTTTTAATGATATTTATTATCATTCAAGTGTTTCTAGAAAACTAAATGAGACATGTAATTTAGTTTGATTTAGATCTTCTTGGATATTTTCTACTTCTTTACAAATACAGAGAAGCAGCCACTTTTAAATTTTATTTTTATTTGCTATACAAAAATGTGTGAATTTTAACATGCTCATAAGAGATATACATGGTCAGATTTCTTTAAAAAGAAAATAAGACTTCAAAGATCCAAATTTAGTTTGAAAGTGCACCTTACATCACAAATCCTATAAAGCTCCTTTGTGTCCTTGCTTTCCCTAAAGAAATTAAGGGTTAACAAAATAGAAAATTCTGATTTTTCTAACGATAATGTGTGTGTTGAATGTAACAATACAGTCATCCCTTATATCTGCAAAACATTTTATGCTTTACCGACTTTCACCTGCTTTATGTCACTGAAATGGACTAAGACATTCAAAGAGTTACTGCTGATTGATTTCTTGTGAGATCTGTGTCCGTCTTTGTTACCAAGGGAGCCATTTCCAAATTCAGCTTAATCTGAGTTTGCCCAGCTGCACAGTTGTTAACTTTGATTTGGCTGGTGTTTTTCCATTCTCATGAAACTGTGTGGTTCAAGACAGACAGAAGGTTAAAGGGTTAGTGTAAGATGGCTTATTCTTTACTTAATCACTTCCTTTTTGGTAGGAAAAAGTAGCCTTGTTTTCAGAAGCTCAAACATTTGAGAGGTTCTCCAGGGGAACTCCCTCTGATGAAAGGCTAAATTAAATCTGTTACATGACCCAGGCTGACAGCTGCGGCCGTGCATCCAGCTGTATGGACTTTCTCCGATCTTCTCATTTGTTTTAAACACAAGTGGCGTGGAAGTTGGCTTCATTCCAATTACATTAAGGTCAAAGGGTCCTGGATTAAGTCAAGGTCTAAAGAATCCATGTGTCATTTAGATCTTCTATTTCTTCTAAGAAATCTAATCAGTTATCTTGATATAACACTGAAATTGGTTAACAGCTGTGTTGCTTCTCATTTGTTTTGGGGATTTCAAGATTGGAATTTTTGGAGGGTCTCTCAAAAGACCCCATGAATCGTCACTGTGAGTGATTTGCTTGTCCGTGTGTCAAGATGTGAAGAGAATTGAAAAAGAATTAGCATGTGGTGTTCTAATAGAGCCTACTCTATTGGTACCAAACTAAATACCTATTTTTTGTTAGTTTTTCTGTGTCATTAACTAGGATGAATAGTTTTGAAAACTAAAGAAGCCACTCAGATACAGGATTAATTCTGTTATGAATATTGAAAATAGAATAAAGGTTCAGATATATGGGAACAACAGTGCTGGCTGAGGAAGAGGGAGTTCCAAATGGCATCACAGGATCTACCGCATGTCACAGAAAGAACATACAACTTCTCAAAGGAAGTGGGGAACGCTCTTTTCATAATGTTTCTTGAAAAGACTAGGTTTTCTGAAAAAGAGAACCAAGAATAACTACTTCAGGTAGACAAAACTAGAGCAACCCCAATGGTGAATAACCAAGACATGGCTCCCTAATTACATTCAAAATGTAGATACCAGATATGCGGTCCTCAGTCACGAGGGATTTGCCACAGAGATGTTCTCTCTTCCTCTTTCCATCAGTCCTTTTCCTGATTAGCTCCCCAGTGCCGACAAGCTCACTTTGTATCTGTGTAGGTCAGAGCTGCAGAAAGATATTCAAAGTATCTGCAACATTGATTGTTCTTTAGATTTTTCTATTTGCAAAGCTAATGAGTTTAATATTAAACCAATCCTAAATTTAATCCTTCTCTTTTGATCTGCAAGTATAAATACATGAAAATATTTTCTAGGCCATTTCTCAAGGAAAACAAAGGTAGAATTTCAAAGTCACTTTCATTTGCTGATATGCTAATTAGGTAGATCGCTTTCCTTTTTCCTATGGGGGATAGAGTAGACTGACTTCACTCAGGAGATTCTGGAAGGAGAAGCTGTCCTTTTTTTATTTGAGTACTCTTCATTATGACTACCATTTTTGCCTCCAGTAGAATCATTAATTTTCAGAGTGTTATTTTAATAAAATTTAAATCATAAATATGAAAGCATATAGGACAGTTCCTGGTACATGAAGAATTCATTGTAGTTGGTTTGATTAGCTGATTGGCACATGTTTCTTGGGTAAAACATGTAGGGTAATTTTCAATCATCTTCAAATAAAAACAAATCTACATTTGTCTGATATTCAGTGGTTCACTTACCACTTTTCATACTTTATCTACTTGATCTTTGCAGCAACACTGCCCTTTTCCCATTTATCCCAATATCAGCTGTTGCAAATGACTTGTCAAAGTTACGTAGCTGGTAGGTAAGAAATCCTGAACTTCCAACTAGAGATTCTGATTTCTAATCCTTTGTGACAATGACCAATACACATGAGTATTTAAGTAAGTTACCAGATGTTGATGGTTCCCTACAGAGGTGAAAAATATTTTAGTTATTAAATTGCTAATTGCCCATCTCCTTTTTGCTGACATTAGCTTCTAGAACCACATATATAATCTGTAATTATTTTCCCTGGTCTCCTTTCCCCAGGGTTTTGTGTATCTTTTCTTAATTACTTGAAACTGTTAATGGTTGAACTTCTATGTGAAGTCTCACTGTGATTTTTCTAGGCTGCCTCTCTGGTGGATTTTCAGAGGGTAAACAATTTTAAAATCAAATAACTCCCCAGTGTTTCCATGAACATATGATAGTTTTGAGAAACCAAGTTCATTTTCTCACCACGAGGAAAGCAATACATGTTCATTGTAGAAATTTGGAGAATGCAGAAAAATCAAAATGGCAAAATCCTAAATATCATAACTGATAATATTAGGACCCATATCTCTAATGTTTTCTCTTTAAATTTATTAAATCTTGTGTGATTATTCTGTTGTATTATATTTATTACTACTTTATTGAACAATAAATACATAAACAATTTTGCTTTTTATTACAAACTTTAAAAAATTTAGTTTTAATGGATATGTGTTGTTTCTTAGGATGAATGTACCATAATTTCCTAATTATTTCTTACCCATGATGATTTACTGTTTCTCATTTTTAGCTAGTTGGTGCCCTTACTATCCCTTAGACATATGGGTATTCTGGGCTCAAACTCTAATGTCATAATAGCTATGAATCTAGAACCACTGTCAAGGTGACCTTAACCTCTTTCCTTCTGAGGTAGCGAGTGCCCTTTCTTTATCTTTCCTTTTGTACCAGTGCTTGCCATCTTGATCATGAACTCCAGCCACTTCGTGTTTTCCAAAAAGAAAAGCCAATTATATGCAAAATATTGTGAGTTCACTAACTTTGCTGAAGAATTGAAGTGTTTAGTAAATTTATGGCATGCACTGCACCATTATTTATGGCATGTACTAATAGTCATTCACGGATTTATGCCAACCCTTATCCTAGTTTCAATGTCCTTCCCAAAGCACATCACAGCATTAAGCCTATCTCCACCATACACAGTTCTCTGAAAGAGATACACTGTTTGGAACAGCAGCTCTGGAGTCTTCACTCATTGGGTATAATCTCCACTAGCCTACCTTTCTCCCTTATACCTTTGGATTAGGGTGACTATATTTTCTCCATCTTGTTACAAAGATAATATTGCAAAGACATCCTCGTATAAATCTTGGATTATATGTGTGCTTGTTTCTTTAAGATAGAATCCCGGAAAAGGAATTCTTGGATCTGGATGAAATAATATAAATTTATTTATTTAACAAATAGTTATTGAGTGCCTACTATTTGCTCTTTGTAGACATTAAATTTATAATACTGATGCTTTAAATCCCTGACTAGTGAACATTAAAAACCCATAGGCTTTATCTATTAACACTTGGATAATGAGGATTTTACGTGTGGGCTCTTCCAGGGGTTTAAAAAGTATTATCTCATTTAATCCTGTGAGGCAGCACTAACTAAACCATTTTACAGATGGAGAAATTAATGCATGGGGATTTTAATTACCACGGCTGAAGTTCCACAGCTCATATGTGGCAATGCCAAAACTGGAATCCCAGGAATTCTGGCACTAGAGTATATGTTAAACTCTCTGTTGCATCGTAACATAGAAAACCTATACTCACACTCTACTTTATACTTTGGATTTTTCCAAAATAAGGCTGGGTAGTCTAGCTTATGTTTCAGTTAGATTGTACTTCCATTCTGGAGGAATATGAAGGTTGGTAATTCAGCCATGTAATTTTTAGTGTTACATACTTCAAATGCTTATTTTCTTCAATGTCATTTCTTCATCCATTTGATCTTGAATTATAGTGATGAAAATAATTCAGATATTTGTAATGGAATACTTTGTTCTTGCTTGTTTCAAACCAATTGAGATGCCCTGGGTAGCCCAGACTATTACAAAGATGACAGTTTTACCACCCTGGGGCTTAGATAATCGTCTTGGCATTCAGTAGTGAAATCAGGTAGATGGGAAGCAAGCATTTGTTTTTGTGACAGGAGCCCATTCTTCTGCTGTGAAGTTGATTTGGAGGAGAGCTGTGGATTTGGGGAACTAGATCAAAGAAATCTCTTAATTCTCTGTAAGAAGAATAGGGCCTCTCACCACTGTGGTGCAACACCAACCCTAATGCATAATAACAGGTACTGGTGGGTGCCTTTTCCCATGCAGAGTGACTTTAGAACAGCTAATGAAATTCATTACTCATTTGAGAGAAAGAGAGAAAGAATAAAAAGCACTATAAAAATCCAAGCCAATTCAGAGTAATCTTGGCACATACCTTATCCCCGTTGGTGCATTTCCAAAAGAAACAAGCACATTAAATTCAAGAGGGACAACCCAACCCTTGTTAAAGCTGTAAATCAATGCTGCTCAGTCCCCAGTTTCACTCAATGTCTCTGCAAGGAGCAGTAGTGAGAAATTAACTGATCCCACCATCCTTGTATACATCTGTCTCTTTACATTTGAAGGGAGCAGGCAGCTCCCTTGCTGCGGACAGAACTACTGGTTATGTAGTCCGGATTCTCGCCATCACAGATGTGTAAAGCATCTGTGACAACTTTGGCCTAATCCCAGGCTCTAGACACTATGGAATATATCATTGCTATTTCTTTTTAAACTTTATGTCCACAAAATTATGATGCATTGGATATCTTGAATGTTACACAATGATCAACAAATTCACTGGAAAGATTGAATTTCACCAATCTATTCCTCCAGAGGCCAAAACTTAGTAAATTACATGAAGTAGATCTGCTGGATTTTGCAGTTCCATGTCAAAATAACCCCAGTGCAATATTCTAAACAGGAAAGGCCTAATAAATATCATTCATTAATTGATGTCATAGCCTGAAATGAATACCTAAAATTATGCCTTTAGATGCTTGCAGGCCATATGTTTTATTTGGGTATATCGAACCAAGGTTGCTGCAGCCACAGCACAGAGTACTAACCACTATACGATCACGGCGAACTACCAGGGACCATTATTTGGGTATATCAAGGCAAGTTAGGATTTAGTTTCTCTGTGGTTTTATTAATAACTTGTGACTTGGGAGCTCTGATTTGCCTATTGTACTAATTTAGGTGGGATTGATTTTAGGTAACATTGGGGTACCAGAAAAAGATCTTCTTTGAAAGATCTTCTTGTCTCCAACTCCTTAAATAATGCTGGATTTGGGGACTAATGGGTGATAAAATTTAAAAGATAGTGAGAACCCGATTATAGAAGTCCTCTCAAAACATCCATATGTCATTTGCCTTTAAACCTATAAATTACAATATACACTAAAACCACACTCTCATATCTCTACTCATTTTGGTGTGAGGAGGGAGAAGATAAAAGTGTTATTAGCCACATCATGGACTATTGCTGTAAATACCAAAGGGCATCATATACTTAAGCTGAAGAACTCTTAGAGACATAAACAATGAACCAAATCTAAGGCAGACGTAAGAGCTTCCTGAAAGGGTTTTACTGTACATTTTGTTTCGTTTGCTACATTTGATACCTACACACTCAATAGGGAGGAAAAACAGGTTTCAGAATAAGCCAACTGTTTCAGACTTGAAGGCCTGTGGGGGCAGTTGGTAATATAAAAGTAATATGCTGCAGGGTAAGATAAAGACTACTGAGGCCTACAGCTGAATTGGAGAGAAATACCATGACTTAAAGACATTCAAAGCCAATTAAAAAGAAAATAAATGTGGGTGGCAAACCAAACATCTGGAACGTGCATTTGCCTTTTGAGCTGTCAATCTAAATCTTTGGAATTAACCTTTGCCTGGGAAATAAGGAATTAGAACTTAAAATAAGTCTAAATAGAATAATATCAAAAGGCAATGATTCCAGAAAGTCTTTTTTTCCACTCCCCAAGTCATGCCATAGCATCTCTGAATTTTCTTCCTCAAAATACTCAATGTCTCACAGCTCTTTCATTAAATATGTTCGTCAACTGAATTTCTTTTCTCCAAACATTGTGTGGGGTATTTCTTTTTTACTAAACTAGCCATCTTTCTGGAAGGACCTTCTAGACAGAATATTCACCTGGCATTACCCTTAGTTTCCTTAAGCATTTGTGAAGTGAGCTGGGTTTTTTTTTCTAATGTAGAAAGTATATGATGACCCTTGCCTTTGGCCCACTATGTTCACATTTGTTTTATTTTTTATATTTGGAAAATTATCAAAATATATATTGACTGCTACTTTGAAAAGCCCATTAGCATTTATTAAAATGTCAATGAAAGTTCCTAGGGCCTTATCAGAAGAGATCTTCCAAAGAAAGCCTTAGGAGTCAAAGCTAACTCTGTGTACTTTGCAGAATGAGGAAGGGTGGCATGTGTGAGTGTGGGGAAGGAAGAGTTTGGTGGGGAAGTATCTGTTGATGTCACTTACGTGAAAAAGAAAAATAATAATTTTTTTCACTTATGGGATCACTTTAGCGTTCAAATTTTGTAGGAACCACTCAAGCTTCTAGGAGCCCCAAAATAACCCAGAGGACCACCGCTTTTCACTTAGGTTGCATAAATGCTTCATCAAAAGGGTTAGAGGATGCAGATTGTGTTTTTGGTTTTCTGTTTTGGATTTTGTTGTGTTTTGCGGCGAGGGAGGGTCCACTTTTCTCACCTTATGAGTTCTGTACAATTGGAACAAACACATCAACCCTATAATGAAACTGTCACATTTCTCCCTCTATTTTATTTTTATTTTTGGCACTATGAGGGGCTTCTTTGAGGGGAGCACATTCCCTCTTGGCTTCAGGAATCTAATGCAATGTGATTATCGGGCTATTTTTTCACTTATCCATTTTCATCACACTGCATCCATAATAGTCCTGTCGTTCAGTTCTATTAGAAAATGACCTAGCTTGTCTCTGTAGAGACAAAGAGGCTCAGAGCCAAGCAATTAATCCTGACACAGGATCCATGTGTTCGTGACAACCAAGAGTGCCTGTGATACTTTCATTGCTAACAAGGTGCCAACATTTTTAAATAGACCCAACAGAACTCATGAGGAAGTATCTAATTCAGAAGAAATGATGATAATCATCATAATACCGTAGCAAGTAAGCAGAAGGTCTTTCTTCATGTTGACAAAGATAAAATTTACATAAACATCTATTCTGTGGATGTGATAGGGCTGGGTATCATGAGCCTTGGGGACTCAATAAGAACAGCTTGAATTTCTGAGGGAGATATCAGGTATTTTAGGATTTTCTCATATTATTTCAAATCTGGAAATAATAGGTGTGTGGCTTTGCCCTAAATTCCTGGAGTCTCTGTGACTGCATTGGAAGGATTGTGCAGTGTTAAAGCCTCAATGATAACTAAGAGATGAAATCCAACCAGGCATAGAAAAGGGAGATGGTGTATGTCAGTGATTAATACCATATTTTCTTTTTCTACAGCAAGAAAAGCCTAGGCTTCTCGAGCCTTTGGATTATGAGACTGTCATTGAAGAACTTGAAAAGACCTACCGGAATGATCCTCTTCAAGATCTCTTGTTCTTCCCCAGTGATGACTTTTCAGTAAGTCTTCTCTTCTCAAGCCATTTAGATTCAGGAGGGCCCTACACATTGGGTCATTGTCTTTCCCTGTAGATTCAGAGAGTCCAGGCCTCCCTGTGGCCACCCTACATCTCAGTCTCTGCAGCAGGAGTTCACATCCTATAATAGAAAGTACCCCAGGGCCCCCTCAAGTTGAAAGATTGGAGGCTGAGTGAGTCAGTGGCCACTGGGGACTGGGAGGAGGCCCAGGACACTGCCCGGTTCCAGCTGGCACTCGTGTGCCTGCCAATGTCTGGGTTTCTAACCACTGCCTTACCTGGACTCACAGAGCACTTCCTCCCTCAGCCATTTCTAACTGAAAGCTTCCAAGCAACTGAAACCAACCAATGGCAAAGACAGGACTCCATTAGCACAAAAGATGCAGTTCTTAAAAATCACCCTTAATCTTGGTTTGTCTTTCATAAGGAGATACTGACACCTGGGGGCAAAGAAAGGTAGGCTAGAACATCTTCATGGAGAGATTGGCGGTCTCAGATAGTCCCCTTTAGGACAATGCACACTACCACACAGACAGCCTCTGAGGATAGTAGAGATAATGAATGAAAAGGAAATTCGCTTTGGAGACAAACACAAAGTTGTGGATGGTGAGCACCCACATGTTCCAAACATAAAATACTGTTACCTTGTGGTCTTAAATGTTTTTAAATTGTGATCTAATATCTAACTGTCAAACAGAGATCTCAATGGGCAGCTATTAAACTTTCCTGTCTCTTCCTAAAAGAAAGGTGGTCTCAGACATCACAAACTTCAACATCTTAAGGCAAATAAAAAGGCAGCTGAAGGGTATCCCTGTGAAACAGCCATTGTCCATGCAAACCTCTATCAGGGAGCATGGGTCTCAGTGCCCACACATTCCTCAAGCAGCCTCAAACTTCCATTTTCTCTCTTACTTTGAGGGCAGGTCTGGCTTCTGGCTTTTAAAGAGTTTTTTTTTTTTTCACCTTCCTCCATGGATTCATGAAAAAGAAGGTATATGGAAGTTAATGATTTTCTGTTTCAAGTGTGAAGAATCATGGAAAAAAGGAGACAGATTTGTAAACAGAAAGAAAGAAACTCTTCCAATGTTTTTCAAAATTTTAAACGGCTTCCACTTGAGTGCTGGCACATTTTGAGAGAGACTTATCTCGTGCAGAGATCTCATTTCCGTGGTTGGACTAGGCCACTGGAAGTTGAACTGCAAGCATAAAGTTAAACCGCATTTTTTTAAATTCCACATCCTCATTTTCATTTTTCAGACTGAAGATTAACCTGATGAACAGTCTTTTTCTTTCTTTCTTTCTTCTTTCTTTCTTTTTTTTTTTTTTTTTTTACCGAGTGTCACTCTGTCACCCAGGCTGAAGTGCAGTGCCATATTCTTGGCTCACTGCAACCTCCTCCACCTCCTGGGTTCAGGTGATTCTCCTGCCTCAGCCTCCCAAGTAGCTGGGATTACAGGTGCATGCCACCACACCCGGCTAATTTTTGTAATTTTAGTAGAGATGGGGTTTTGCCATGTTGGCCATGCTGGTCTTGAACTCATGACCTCAAGTGATCCACCCATCTCGGCCTCACAGAGTGCTGGGATTACAGGGGTGAGCCACCACGTCCAGCCTTGAACAGCCTCTTTATGTCAAACACCACCAAAAATCATGAATCCAGGAGCATCTTTTCTCCTAGTTATGTCCTTCAAAAATATGTCAAATGCTACTTCAAGGCCTCCCAGCTCAAAAAGAGAGTGGAGGATGCAGGTAGATGGGCTGTAAAGTTTTGGCATCTT
This sequence comes from Homo sapiens, assembly GCF_000001405.40. Classification (NCBI taxonomy): domain Eukaryota; kingdom Metazoa; phylum Chordata; class Mammalia; order Primates; family Hominidae; genus Homo; species Homo sapiens. The sequence goes on along the minus strand of NC_000002.12, from coordinate 224,929,753 downwards.
CCCATGCTCATTTAAATTGAGGAGTGTCTCTGATTACTCCTTGATCTTTATCATTCTTGGCAGCGTAACAGACAATACAAGAATAACTCTTTGTTTTTCCAGTGTGAACATTCCAATAAATACACTGAACTATTTTATTCCATGGCTGCTTAAAACCCTTCTGTGGCTCCCCCACTGCCTTCAAAATGAAGTGCAATCACCTCGGCATGACCCAATGCCTGCTTCGAGATGTGGTCCTTGCCCATTTCTCAAAGCCATAGCCTACCCTCTCCCACCCCATCCCGGCCCATCATACACCGTCACCCTCATTCCCAACTGGGGTAAAAGATCAGCACAGTTCCAAACATACTATTCTATAACACACCCCAAACCATTTCCTTCCTTTATTCATTCAGCAAATACATGATGTATAATACTGAATACTGGGCATTATTTGATGAATGGAGACAGGAGTGATTAGACAGAAATCACCTGGGGTTCTAAGGGAGCTTACCTTTTGGTGGGTTTACTTATTAAAGATTTACTTATTCCAAACAAAAAGGTAAACCAATTAATTTACCAGATAATTCAGATAAAGACCAATTCTATGAGGAAAATAAAACTAGGCAGAATCTGATGATAGAATCTGAGTAGGGTAAGAGCTGTGTTGGTCTAGGTGACCAGGGACAAGCCTCTCTAAGAAGGCGACATTTAAGCTGAGTTCTGAGTTCTCAAGAAGGATCAGCCATGCTGGGGAAAGCATGTTTCAGGCTAAAGGGGTAGCTGGTGCAAAGGCCCTGAAGAGCTCCAAGATTGGAGATTGGTATGGCTGGACAGGATAAGGCGTTTGCATCTTATTCTAACTATAGGCAAGGGCAAGTCACAGGAGTGTTTCAAGAAGGAAAACAAATGACTGAGTGTGGATTCCTAAATATTAAAAGTTCATCTGGGCTCTGTGTGGAAAACACAAAACAAGGCCTAGACAAAGTGGGGAGTGTGATCCAAAGAATCATTTCCAATTAATCTCTGCCCAAGAGATTTTCAATGCTACCTAATCCTTACTATCAGCAAATGTCACATCCTCCAAATGGCTAAATTTTAATTTGCATTAAGCAACTGACAAACAAAAGGATAGTGTTAGATATTATCTCTACATAAAATTGCCTATTTTTGAATAATAGTGGAGATTGTTCCTCATTTTAACTGCTCTACAGAGTACAGCTTGGCAAACTGTCGCCCATGGGTGACCTGCTGCCTATTTTTTATGTCCCATGAGCTAAGAATGGTTTTTATGGTTGTTAAAATAGCTTAGGGAAAAAAAGATGATATTTCAAAACACATTAAAATTATCTGAAATTCAAATTCTGATACCCATAAAGAAAGTTTTATTGAACACGGACACCATTCCTTGACCTCTTGTCAGTGGCTGCTTTCATGATGTAAAGGCAGGGTTGCAACAGAGTTGCAGTAGAAGCAACAGAGACATTCAGCCGGAAAAGATTTATTCTTTGACGCTTTACAGAAAAAGTTGGCTGACATAGAGTACAACTGCATGCATTTTTGGTTTTTATCCTCACACTCTTTGTGGAATATAGGCGTGTCTGTAAATCTCTGATGTTACCTGCTTCACCCACAGCCTATGTCACATTTTAGGGACGTGGCGCACCAACAGGAAGTGTCCATGCAGTCAGCAAGCATGTCATTTCATCAGCTCTCCCTTCAGCAGTGGGTGAGGCTCCTCTGGGGTGTGTGGAGTCAATCTCCACGGAGTCAATGTGAAGTGGTCATAGAATGACCACCCCAATCCCAAGGCATTGAGGGATGGAAGGAGAGGGGCCGCTCCAAGCTTCCCACCCCCACCTCTAAATGTCTTTCATCCAGTTTCTGCCCTGCAGATTGGAGAATCCAGCTCACTTGTATGTTTCCACGTTACCAAGCACCCACACTTGCAGCACACATGATTCATTACTCGGTTTGTTTAATCAATATTTATTCAGCACCCACGAGCTGCTGAATATAGAACAGCACTTCCTAGACTAGTGAGACTGACAAGAAAAGCAAAAGCCCTGTGTTTAAGGAGCTCATGCCCTTTTATGGATGAAAAAGCAAGTTGATTTAGAATGCTTATGGTTAAGAAATACCGAGAATCAGAGACTTCGTCTGGTATCTGGTACACGAGAAAGATTACTTTTCACCAAGGCAGTATTCTTATATTGTGACTGTATATATTAAAAGTTTTTCTCTATTCACTCTGCTGTCCCAAGCCACAAATACCCTCATTTGCCTGGACCATACCTCCCCTCCAAGAAGTGGTTTTGTAACTGGTCCTCCTGCTTTCTTCTTTGCTCCGCTTTGATTCGTTCACACACAGTACTCAATGGAAGCTGTTAGGAACACAAATTAGATAACGCCATGCCTCTGGTTAAAACTTCTCAGTGGCTTCCCATTGCCTTAAGAGTCAAATCCAGCTCCTCCCATAACCCCTGTCATCTGGTTCCCCATGTTCTCTGAGCTCTCATCTAGCCTACTTTCCTCAGTCACTGCACAGACATCAAGCATTCTTTCTGTTCCCCCAACTTGCCAAGCTCATCCTCTCGGTAGGGCCTTTACACTCTCTGTATAGCTGGTTCCTATTTTTCAGTCACAACTCAGTTTAAATGTCACCTCTACAAAGAAGCATCCCTGACTTCCAAGCTACATTGCCCTCACACCCAGTTACTTTATAACATGACCCCACCTGCTTCTCTTGATAACACTTATCACCACTGGGAAATATCTTGGTTTGCTTTTTCACTCCTCTGTCACTTGTTTCTCACTGTTAGACAGTAGCCTCTAGCAGGACAGAGACTTCTTCTGTCTTGATTGTTGAAAGATTTTCAGCAGCTAAAGCAGAACTTGGCACAAAGCAGATGGAAAATAAATATTTATTTCATGAATTATCTTTCAGAAACATCTAGATTGCTATTTTATAACATAATGTTGATCCCTTGAGTACCTTGAGGAACCAAAAGGCTTTTCTGAAACAAAATTCTTGAGAACAAAGAGGATGAAGTAATTGGCTTTGCTTGATGGTAAGGAAAATACTTCCTGCTTTGGCACAACTCAACTCAACATATCACCTTAAAAAACAGCACTAAGAACACGTTTCCCTTTTTAAAGAGGCCCATTCCTTCTAACATAGTGCCTGGCTCATAGCTGATATCAGCAAAGCTTAGTTTCCTCCTTTTAACACTTTTTTTTAAAGAGATGGAGTCTCGCTCTGTTATCCAGGCTGGAGTGTAGTGGGAAGTCACTGCAGCCTCAAACTTGGCCTCTCAAAGTGCTGGGATTACAGGCGTGAGCCACTGCACCCAGCCCTCTAACACTTTAGTGTACTTCTTCACTTACTCATTCACTTCCTTTCTGTTACTAGACAAGGGACAAATCAGTTCATATCTGTACTTCAAGTACCCAACACAATGTCTGATTCATAGGCATTCAATAGATTATCAAACATTGAATTAAAATAGTTTTCTTCCAGGTTGAGGGCCTGACACAGAAGCACTTTCCTTTATTTTGGCACACCAGGTAGAAGCTAGTCCTCCTTGTATGTGGGTTCTGGGACTAAGCAGTATGAACTCCTGCACTACATGTGTCCTAATGATTCACTAAAATAAGCAGTATTGATGTATTTATTAAGCCATTCATTGCAAAAACTTGTACTGCTTCAATAATTGTATTTGCTACTTTTTTTCATCTTTCTTTTTCAAGCTGGTAGTAATAGAAACTTTAAAACAAAACAAAAAATAAAGAACTTAGTCACCAAAGTGTGTGACTCAGTAAAGTGGCAAAGAAAGTAAGAAAAGAAAGCAAGGGCTAAGAAAAATGGTTTCAAGGACACATTGAATCATATTGTCAAATGATTCAGTTTAAGAAAAGACTGATGCAAAATAGCAGAAAAAAAGTTGAGAAAGTCAGAAATGAGTTTCTTCCTGAGCAAAAGATGTAGAAAGCCTGAGATGGGATCATTTCTGGGAAGTACAAAACCATAAATAAGAAAGTTCTGATGTCTGAAAGCTGGTAAGACTGTACACTGTGTAGGAAGACCACCTATCAACTATACTTCAATTTTGTCCACACCAGTAAAACTCTATTTCAATTTACCTTCATGGACCACCTTTGGTGATCTAAGCTGTTTATATCCAGGACACCAATACGAATAAGAAGCAGACCTTACACTTGAACAGTTAGACTTTCAACACCGGGCAGTGCAATTTTCAAAGTCAAAAGTCTATGTCACATGACTACAGTCACCTAAGAGTCTCATTATCTTCTCAAATTCCATCTTCATATTAGTAGGTCAGAATTGTGTCCCAGGGTACTCAAAGGCATTCTGCACTTTTCACTGGCTATTAAAACTCAGAATAGTGGATATCATAATATACCAATGGCTTGTTCTTTTCATAGTATGTCTTTAGCAATGAAAAGCAAATGGTATATGGGGACTTCTAGACTCAACCACAAGGGTCATTCTAGGAAAGGAAGCAGAAAGATTTGAATATGTTTTAAACTGCAAATCAGTAAGGTCATGAGTTTTCTTTCTTTTTTTTTTTCTGAGACAAAGGTTAACATTTTATAAGAATCTCAACCTCTTTTAAATCTGTGGCTTTTGAGCCTGAAAAGCAGGCTTTTAAACGGCTCCTGGTGTTCATGTAAGAACATTGTAATTTCAATTTGAAAACTGAGTAATAGTCTTTGTCGAATTAGATTCTTTCTATGTTATAATATTCCTCTCATTTACAAGCTAATGAAGTTAAGATTTGGAAAGGCTGTTGTTCAAGGAAATAGAGCAACTGGAAGGACAAACACCTAACATAAGCACCTTGACTTTTACTATTAGTTTCTGTCTAAACAGCATGCTTTTGGCCGACGCTTCTTAGAAAAAAAAGGCACACAAGTTGGGGGAAATATTAACTTCCTGAATCCCACAGTGAGTGATGCCATTAGAAAATAAGTACTGTAGTGAAACAGTTCTGGTTGTTTATTTCATTTCAGTAAGAATGTGTGTGGAGACCCTGGTCTGTGTTTGATTGTGCTAAGAATGTATGTCCACACCAGACTTGGACACAAATGTTCATAGAAGCATTATTCATAATAGCCCCAAAATGAGAATAACCCAAATAATCTATCAACTGATGAATGGGTAAACAGAATGTGGTATATCCATAAAATGGAATGTCATTATTATTCAGCCATAAAAAGGAATGAAATGTTGATACATGCTGCAATTTAGATCAACCTTGAATATATTGTATTAAGTGAAAGAAGCCAGTCCCAAAAGACCATATAGTCCACGTATAGGAAATGTTCAAAATAGGCAAATCCATAGAGAGAGAAAGGAGATTAGTGGTTGCCATGGGCTGGGGAGATGGGAAAATGAGAAGAGAATGCTAGTGGATATGGGGTTTCTTTTGGGCATGATGAAAATGTTCTGTAATTAAATCGTGGTAATGGTTGCACAACTCTGTGAATATACCAAAAACCACTCAATTCTATACTTTTAAAGGATAAATTTTATGACAGATCAGTTATATCTCAATTAGATGGTTTTTTTAAAAAGCCATTCTATGTGTTAGGATAGAGGTGGTGCACGTGATCACAGGAAGGATACAAAGGAATCATGAAAGCATATATGTAGATACGAGCACTTTATTCTTTAAAAGGAATGAATGGAACATAGCAAAGGAGTAATAAGGAACATGGCAAAACTTATTTTACAGTTGTTATATTTTACCCCCAAAGCAGATGTAATGTGGCTTGCTTATAAACAATAAAACACACAGGTAAAATGACCGGCTGAATTCATCAGCAGCATAACCTTTCGGCCTAAAATATTCTATGGGTAAGCTGCAGACTTCATGTGTGCTACAGAGAGTAAATAACAGCATTCAGGGAAGAAAAATGTGTGTTGGATGAATTAGAAAGCTTTTGAAAAGGAGCTGGCACCTATACAAAACCTGAGATTTCTAAAGAATGAGGAAAGAAAAAGACTTTTGGAGAGGCAGAGGAGCATGGGCAAAGGCCCTGTGCAGGAATGAGGCTGGCCCTGAAGGAGAAATGCGGGCAGCCAGGTGGGATGGAGCCGGTGAGAGCTGGCAGTGCTGGGCCGCTCTTCAGTCCATTTCTCTTCCCTAGACCATGTCTGCAGGCCTCGCAGCAGGCAACCCTCTTCACTGGGCTTTCTTGGATGGTAAACTCAGACCACAGACCTCAGAGTCTTTGCCAGGGGGAGGTCCTGGTGCAGTAGGTGTCTTTATATTGTTGGAGCACCTCGTTTCTATTAATGCTCACATCTTCCCATATGTAGAATGTTTGGTCCTCACCTCTTTAGAGGAGATGAGACATGTTTTGGAGCCTGGAAAATAAGTCACAAAAAAGAAGTGAAATGACTGGCTCAGTAGTTTGTCAATCCAAGAGTAAAACACCTTGAAGTTCTTCTTATAGGATTCTATCACTACTATATACCTAAATACTACAACACTGTGTCTTCATGCTTAACTTGGCTGGAATGACTGCTATCAAGTAATAGACAACTGTTCATTATTTGTATATTTGCCATACAGTTCAACCCCAGCAAAACAAGAAGGGCCTTCCCTTTAAAGCACAAGTCAGGTACTAAAGTAATATTCTCATATATTTAAACAATAAGTAAAATAAAATCACAACAATACTCTTCTGAATGTGGTAAAAGATGTTTTTCAAGAAACTAATGTAATCTAAGGACATTCTCTAATAGAATAAAAGACAATATCGATGTCTGAGAAATTTAGGTTAAAATCACTTTTAAACACATGCTGAGGGTCATTAATCACAAAGTTTTAGTTAATAGTTCTTATTGTGAGGCTTATAACTCCCCAAGCTTAGACTGATTGATTACTTTAAACACCATCATTTTGTCCTCCTTTTTGAACAGGGGGAAGCTACAATACTGTCAGAGGAAGCTTTTCTCAGCCCCAAGATAGGATAAGCAGCCCTTTTTTAGACTTTTACAGTGACCTTTGGCCAATTGAGAGATAGTCCTGATGTGCTTGGAAGGAAGTCTTCTGTAGCCAGTATAGCCAGCAGATTGGTGGCTGTAACGAAACCTCCAAGACCATCCACTGCAGGCTACAAGAAACCAGAAAGTGACAGGGCTGCAAGGGAGGATGTCTGAATCTCATGGACCTGAAACTATAAACACAGGCCTGCATGCATCATTTCAGGACAGTTTTTATTTCCAAATGCCTGATCTCTGGACAATAGATAGGCTCCTTATGAAATCCTACCACCAAAGGAGAAGCTCAGCTGAGTTCCACTGCAGTTTCAGATCCCTTTTATGCTATTGAGCTATACTAATTGTTGACCAGAGTTTTATAAAAGAGAACAGGAAATCTCTTGTGGTCAAGACAATTTGTAGTGGTCTGAAAGCATCTGATTCTCAGAAAAGAAAAAATTCTTTGTAACCATATTAAAACCCTTACCAAATATGATTGTTTACAGTTTTCTTTGTATTCGATCAATTCATTTTTGCTTCAGTGGAGACACATTAAAGAGATCTAAAATGAGAAGAAGTGCCACAGTTTTTAAAGTGGAAACTTGTGGAGTCCTTGCACTTTTTTTTTTTTTTTTTTTTTTTTGAGATGGAGTTTTGCTCTTGCTGCCCGGGCTGGAGTACAGTGGCGCCATCTCGACTCACCGCAACCTCCGCCACCCGGGTTCAAGCGATTCTCCTGCCTCAGCCTCTCGAGTAGCTGGGATTGCAGGCATGTGCCACCATGCCCAGCTAATTTTTATTTTATTTTATTTTATTTTTATTTTTAGTAGAGACGGGGTTTCTTCGTGTTGGTCAGGCTGGTCTCACACTCCCAACCTCAGGTGATCCACCCGCCTCAGCCTCCCAAAGCGCTGGGATTATAGGCATGAGCCACAGCGCCTGGCTGTCCTTGCACTTTTTCAGACAAATGCTCCAGCATTATAATAAAATACAACTAAGATCAATAGCACGTTATGGGCATACATCATACATGTATTCTCTTTCCTATACCTTGTGTAACCTGCACAGGATATTAGATATGCAATAACTGCACATATTGTAAAATAATGTTTTAGATTTATCACATGGTTCCAAGAGCATAATTCAGCCTGTTGTCTTATTTAGTAAAAAGTCAACATCATTTTATAACAAGAGACCACCAGGCATTGTACACGTGATTAAGCAATTTTTGTAACTCGGCCTGAATTAATTCGCAGTCTCATAAATTGGATGTGAACATTACCTTATGTATTTGGGGGCCTATCTAACTATAGGACATTACTAATCTAGTAGCCATGTGATTACTGTTATGGGGAACCCAAGCCTACATTCCAGAAACTTACCAATAAAACAAGCAAACAAACAAAAAACTTCTTAAATTAGCTAAGTGTTCACGTTAGTATTATTATTTATTGAAATGGAGTTTTGCTGTTGTTGCCCAGCAACATTGCTGGAGTGCAATGGCATGATCTTGGTTCATTGCAACCTCCCCCTCCCAGGTTCGAGTGATTCTCCTGCCTCAGCCTCCTGAGTAGCTGGGATTACAGGTGCCCGCCACCATGCCCGGCTATTTTTTGTGTATATACATTATATATATATATATATATATATTTTTTTTTTTTTTTTTTTTTAATAGAGACGGTGTTTTCCCATGTTGGCCAGGCTGGTCTCAAACTCTTGACCTCAATTGGTCTGCCCACCTCAGCCTCCCAAAGGGCTGGGATTACAGGCATGAGCCACCGTGCCCAGCCCACTTTATTTTATTATGTCACAGAGCAGTGATCGTAGTGGGACAGTAAGTTTACTACATAGATGGAACAGGGAGTGGTTGTGTCACATGCAAAATATGATGGAGCCAATTTGGATCTTATTATTTATGTTTTACTTAATTATAAGCTTAATTCTGGGCCATGTTACTCTACTCTCCATCAGACTTAAAGTATTTTTTTAAAAAGTCAAGAAAGCAATGGAGACTCTAGTGGAAAATGGAAAAGAGGAATAGCTTGCATTTTTGTATAAAAATTTTATTAATAATGGCCATAATATAGAATTTTTTTTTAATTAGAAAGAAAAATGTCTAATGTTCCCAGTAGATTATAATATGTAATATTCCCTGGAAACCAAGCAACACCATATATCTGTAAATTATCCATCCGAATAGGAAACAAAGGCATCCCAGATCATTTAAATTCAGCAGTAATCCCCAAAGCTCAATTTAGGCATGGTTCTTAATATTCTACTCCAAAACTTCAATATAGTTTATTTACTATTTATCTTCTAACAGAGTGAATAGCATAAAATAAGCAACTTGAAGAAGGGAACTCTAAAGGAATTAAAAATGTAAAATGTAGGCCAGGCACAGTGGCTCATGCCTGTAATCCCAGCACTTTGAGAAGCCGAGACAGGCAGATCACTTGAGTCCAGGAGCTGGAGACCATCCTGGACAACATGGTGAGACCCTGTCTCTACAAAAAAAAAAAAAAAAAAGTGAAAATTAGCCAGGCATAGTGGTGCGCACCTGTAGTCTCAACTACTGGGGAGGCTGATCACTGGAGCCCCGGAGGTCGAGGCTGCTGTGAGCTGTGATTGTACCACTGCACTGCAACCTGGCCAACAGAATGAGACCCTGTCTCAACAACAACAGCAACAAAAAGTAAAATGTAAATAATAAGATCCAAATTGGCTCTATCTTACTTTGCATGCAAAGCAACGGCTCCCTGTTCCATCCGTGGCACTATGCTTGCTCCCTGCACCTATGCCTGGTTTGAATTGGTAGCCACAGCCTCTTCTGAGTATACAGCTGCAGTTAAATCCTGGAGCAAGTGCAGTGGCCCAGGGAGCTCAGTCCACAGCTGTGCTTTAGGGCGAGCATTCATTTTCATCATTGATGTCTCTAGATCCTAGTTTTCTCATTATTTTTCATCCTCTGATCTTATTAAATCTACATGGCATTCTTCCTCTTTCACAGGATACAAACCCCGTGCTTCCCGACATGCATGTGCACATGCACACACACTCACACCAACACATCACACCCATTCACACGTGGACAGACACACGCACACTCTACACACACACAACACTCACCACACACATTCACACCACACATACACACTGACACATCACATTCATTCACACATGTACACACATACACATGCAGACACACTCCACACACATTCACATACCAGACACACCACACACATTCACACCACACGTACACACTCACACCACACATACACACCATCCACACTCACACTGACACATCACACCCATTCACATGTGTACAGACCTACACATGCAGACACACTCTACACACATTCATATACCACACACACCACATACATTCACACCACCTATACAGACACACATCACACATACTCATACCACACATACACCACACACTCACACTGACACATCACACCCATTCACATGTGTACAGACATACACATGCAGACAAACCTACACACATTCACATACCACACACCCACATACATTCACACCACACATACACACCACACACCCTCATACCACACATACACATCACACACATACAAACCCACCACACACCACACATACACACACCACACATATACGTGCCACACATACACATAAACTCACCACACATACATACACACACTCCCCACACACACACACCACACATACACCACACAGACCACACATACACTCACCACACACACCCTGTGCGTATATACATCACACATACACATACACTTACCACAAACACACACACCACACATACACACACACACCACACACATTCACACCACACATACACACCACACATACCACACACACCATACACACATTCACACCACACATACATATACACACACTCACACACGCCACACACACACCACACATGCCCACATTCACACCACACATACACTCACACCACACATACACTACCACACTCACATTACACATACACATGCACTCAAATGCGACACACTCATGTATACACACTAACACACATACTCATTGCACATACACACTACACTCAATTGCACATGCTCACAGACCCAAACCACACTCATACTCACACCATATACACACCACACACACACCACAAGTACATACATACACACACCCCACATACACACGCACCACACACACTCATACCACATACACATACACACTCACCACACACACTCACACATATACACATTCGTCACACACTCTAACACTACACATACACGCACACCACACACACACACACCGCACCACAAACTCACCACACATGCTCACATAACACATACACACACCATACGAACACACGCACTCAAATGCAACACACTCTCATGCACACACACTCCACACACTCATTGCACAGACACACCCACCCAATTGCACATGCTCACACACACACACCCCACACACACTCATATATGCTCCCACACACTCTCATCCTCTTATGGAATACACATGTACACACAGTCAATAAATTCAACAAAGAATCATTTAGGTATCCAACTAGCACTGAGGTTATAAGTGAACAAAATAAAATGTCCTGCACTTACATCAGGAGTGAAGAAAGGAGAGATTTGGAGAAAATAAGAGTCCAGGATTGGAAGAGAAGGAATGATGGGAAGGACGCCGCCCTTGGTGGCAGAGCTGCCAGCAAGGTCTGTGAACTCGGAAGACAAAACTCCCTTGACCCCTCCCTACCCATCTTCTCCAATACTGAGGATGGGTTTGGAGATTCTTATCTGTTCCAACAGCTAATCTAGAGCAGTTTAAATGAATAGCTGTGATTTGGGGGATGTGCAATATACGAGATCTCAGCTGTTGGTACCATGGATGTCACAGACTCATCACCTGAGAATCCCTGTAACTACTGAGGTGCACAGACTAAAGGAAGCAGATGGCTGGAAGTGGAAACTTGCTGTTTTAGGGCATTTCATTCTCCTGTGCTTCATGGACTGAAGACATATAAGAGGCAATAATCTATGAAATTCTGTTTGTGATGTTTTGTTTTAAGAAGTACTTTATATATTAATTAACATATATTCATTTAAAAGAATATTGTTTATTTAGCATGGAAGTTGAAAAAGTTTTCTTATTTCAGCAAAAATAAAGACACCAAAAACACAACCTATTTTTTTCAAGGTTCAGATTTACTAAACACTCCTTCTTCCTTCCCACCCCTAACTACAACTACATGTGCACACACAGGCACACGCACACACGCACAGTTAGCTTCTAAAAGGGACTGTGTTTATCCTTTGATATTTGAGATTATTTACGATATTATTAAAATAATGCTGACTTTGTAAGTTTTCTTCTTCATTTCAAATTTATTTTAGCCTTAGCAGCAATAATAAAAAAGATTCCACTTTGGGAGGCCGAGGCGGGTGGATTACCTGAGGTCAGGAGTTCAGGACCAGCCTGGCCAACATGGTGAAACCCTGTCTCTACTAAAAAATACAAAAATTAGCTGGGGGTGGTGGTGGGCACCTGTAATCCCAGCTACTAGGGAGGCTGCAACAGGAGAATCGCTTGAACCTGGGAGGCGGAGGTTGCAGTGAGCCAAGATCACGCCATTGCACTCCAGCCTGGGCGACAGAGCAAGACTCCGTCTCAAAAAAAAAAAAAAAAAAAAAAGATTCCAATAGAAATCAGCTAAATTGAAAACATATAGATGCCTAAATTTTTGTTTTCTGCAAAGGGGGAACAGCTTAAAACTATGAGCTACACTAATAAAACAGTAACTGTTGTAAAAATACTAGTACTGGTAATCAAATAAATGTCCACATCTTCTCTCCTAGAGATTAAATTGGGAAGAACTACAGAAGTGTCTCTGTCTTCTGTTAACTTTAAATACTAAGATCTAAAAGACTTCCCTTTTGTGTGTTCAGTGTGCTGGTCTGCTCGACACTTCTAAGCCGGAGGACTCAATTTCTTTTCATTGTTCGTTTCAGGCAGCCACAGTTTCCTGGGATATCCGCACGTTGTACTCAACAGTACCTGAAGATGCAGAGCACAAGGCAGAAAATTTACTGGTTAAGGAGGTAAATGTGATGCTTCCAATGCTTTATTTTAAGGCTTTTGCTTTTTCCCAGGGGATTCTCAATGCAATTTACTATTATTATCTTCCTGTCATTTTCAATAGATAATTCCAAATATTCTAACTAGTGGATGTCTTTTTTTTTTTTTTTTTTTTTTGAGGGAGGGTGTCACTCTGTCACCCAGGCTGGAGTGTGGTGGCACCACCTCTGCTCACAGCAGCCTCCGCCTCCCAGGTTCAAGCAATTCTTGTGCCTCAGCTTCCCAAGTAGCTGGGATTACAGGCACACGCCATCACACCTGGCTAATTTTTGTATTTTTAGTAGAGACAGGGTTTCGCCATGTTGGCCAGGCTGCTCTCGAACTCTTGACCTCAAGTGATCCACCCACCTCAGCTTCCTGAAGTGCTGGGATTACAGGCATGAGCCACCGCGTCCGGCCATGCCAGGCTAATTTTTGTATTTTTAGTAGAGATGGGGTTTCACCATATTGGCTAGGCTGGTTTCAAACTCCTGACCTTAAGTGATCTGCCCACCTTGGCCTCCCAAAGTGCTGGGATTACAGGCATGAGCCACTGTGCCCAGCCAAATGGCCAGATCTCATGTGAACTCAGAGCTAGGGCTCATGTATCACCAAGGGGATGGCACAAGCCTTTCATGAGGGATCCACCCCCATGATCCAAACGCTTCCCACCAGGCCACACCTTCAACATTGGAGATTACATTTCATCATGAGATTTGGGTGGGAACGCATAGCCAAACTACATCAGGGACTGATAGAACATCTCTGGGTATAGCATTGACTTGCATTTTATTGGTGTATAAGAGGCCTACAAAACAGCTTCTTTCTCTTCTAACCAGACTCCAGGCAGCTTTAGAGCAGGAATTGAGCCAGTGCATAGCAGCTACTTAGCAGATGTTTACTGAATAAATAAATGATGCTTATCCTTTCCTTATAGAAAATATGGTGACAAAATTTAGCCCAGCACAGGTCAAACTGAAAGTAGTGGAATCTAAGTTCAGTCTTGAATCCTGAGAAAGTGGTGTGTCCCAACTAGGAATTCATTAAAGCTGCATACGATAGCAATATCTTTTCTCGGCTCTTAACATATTTATGTTACATAAGCTAGCCTTATTAATGTACATATTAATACAAATATGACTGTACATATTTTCTGTTGTACTGTTCAGTTCAGATCATTGTTTTATCGGTCTTTTTTTTCCCAATTCCATTATTTTGAATGTATTTCCCAAAGTTCACATTGCATTACAATACCTTTTAAGGAGATAGAAAAAAGAAAAAATGCAGACTCAGATAACATCAGGATATCTGAGAATACTGTTTTCACATTTACTGATAAAAATAGTGTGTGATATCAGTATGATAATATTTTGTTTAGAGTTGCCTTAGAGAAAGTCTTAGCATACAGTAGGGTGTCACTATTCTTTAAAAAAGTTGGCAAATAATTTTTTATACCAGACAATCAGACTTATTCAAACCAGGTCTGCAATAAATATGTGTTAACTTAGGCAGGATTTGACATTTTTATAACATTGACTTCCTAATGGGGAAGTTTAACCAGGTCTTGTGCATTCTTCAGAAATACATTGCATTTTCTTCATAAAGATCTTTAACTTTGTTGTAAAATTTATTCTAAGGTCCTTATAACTTTGTCACAAATCTGAGTGGAATTTTAAAACTCCATTTCTTTTTCTTACTGTTAATTACTTAATGAATTAATTCTTACTGTTAATTACTGATATTTTTCAAAAGCTGTTGATTTCCTAATATGAATAACTAGCTTGCTAAACTCTTATCCTAATAGTTCGTATTTAATTTCTTAGGTGTGTAGGCGTAAACAAGTAAAATTTTCTTCTTTTCTAATAAGTATATTGTTTCTTTGATTTTTATCTTATTCTATTATTTTATATCCCTAAAACAATATTGAATAATAATGCTAATACCAGGCAATATGTCTTTTTCTTGAATTTAGGGGGAGACCTTAGTATTCTTTCATCCTTTATGAAAGATGGTGTTTTATGTTCGTTTCTGGCGTTTCTTTATTGTGTTTTAAAAGGTGTCTCTCTATGAAATTTTAGAGTGTTTATAAAGACTGGCTGCCCTGTTATCACATGCATATGCGTCCTATTAATACAACAGCTTTTCTGTTTTAGTTAGCACTGTAATAAAATCAATGGGCTTTTGTCCTGTGGATCCCTACTTGTATTTCTGGTATAAACTTTCTACTTCAAGTTGTATTATTACCTTAATACCGAGTTGCCTTCTAATTGTTTTTACTTTATTTCAAATTTTGGAGTTTATATTATGAGTGAAATTTGGCTCTTGTTTTCTTTTTTCCTTTCCTTAGAGAGATGCTAGCTTTAAAAAATAAATTGGGGCACTCTACATCTTTTTCTGTGTTCTGGAATGAACAAATAAACCAGTGAAACAAAAAATACCTAAAACAAATTTAAGTGCATAGTATTATTTAAGAAATAGTAAAGATGGCACTTCAAAGTCTCTGGGGAAGAGTGGCCAATTCAACAAATACTACTCAACTATCCATTTTGGAAGAAAATAAAGTTGTGTCCATATCTCATATTACATACAAAAATAAATTCCAGATGAAAAAAAGAATCTAAGTTTTAAAAACAAAGGTTATAGGCCGGGTGAGGTGGCTCATGCCTGTAATCCCAGCACTTTGGGAGGCCAAGGCAGGCGGATCACGAGGTCAGGAGATCGAGACCATCTGGCTAACATGGTGAAACCCCGTCTCTACTAAAAATACAAAAAAAAACCAAAAAATTAGCCAGACGTGGTGGCGGGTGCCTGTAGTCCCAACTACTCAGCAGGGGGAGGCCAGAGAATGGTGTGAACCTGGGAGGCGGAGCTTGCAGTGATCTGAGATTGTGCCACTGCACTCCAGCCTGGGCAACAGAGGGAGACTCTGTCTCAAATAAATAAATAAATAAATAAATAAACAGACAAACAAACAAAATAAAAACAAAGGTTATAAAAATGTAGGAAAACATTTTTAAGTGGGAAGTTAGGGAAAACTGACAGATTTAACCAAATAAAAAATTAAAATTTGTATATGACAAATGTACAGTACCATACACAGAGTCAAAATAAAATATTTAATCAGAGAAATCATTTGTAACTCATTATGTCTTTTGCTGAACACACACACTCACACACACTCACATATAAATACATACATTCCTAGTATTCAAAATCCTACAAATTAATTTTTAAAAAGACAAATAACCGGAGAAAATATGAGCAAAAGATATGGCCAGGCTGCTTAAAAGAAGAAATGCAGTAGGCTAAGAGACATACAAGGTTGCTCAGCCTCACTAGTAGTCATGGAAATAGAAATTAAAAGAATAATTTTAGGGAAGAAAAAATTTAAGATAAATACCATTTAGCAATAATAACAATATAGTGAAAGAAACACGATCACATGATGTTTGAAATACTCACATCTGTAACTTTTGAAATGTAATTCATAAGACATATATGCTGCATTGGAAATTTTGAATTATCAATTAATAAGGGTGAGGCTAAAATTTTTTCACATTTATATTTTGTAATAATATAAAACAAATAAAAAATTATATCTATTTAAATAGCTTAGTTTTGATGCCCATGATTTTTTTTTCTTTCTTTTTTGGAGATGGAGTCTTTCCTCTGTCACCCAGGCTGGAGAGCACTGGCACGATCTCTGCTCACTGCAACCCCCACCTCCTGGGCTCAAGCGATTTTCCTGCTTTAGCCTCCCAAGTAGTTGGGATTGCAGGCGCCCACCACCATGCCTGGCTAACTTTTGTATTTTTAGTAGAGATGGGGTTTCACCATGTTGGCCACACTGGTCTCAAACTCCTGACCTCAAGTGATCCACCCACCTCAGCCTCCCAAAGTGCTGGGATTACAGGCGTGAGCCACCATGCCCGGCCTGATGCCCATAATATATTGTTAGGAGAAAAAAGCAAGTCACAGAATTGTAGTATGATATCACGAAAGATATAAAACCTATACATATATACACAAATATGTTTATATAAGGCTAGGAAAAGTATAAAAGAATGCACACATCAAACTCATAACATTGGCTACCTCACAAGTTTGGGACTCTAGTGGGAGGGGAGAGATTGATTTTCAACTTATATAATTCTCTTCTGTTGTGCTATTACACATAAATTTTGTAATTTAAAAGCTATTTTGGAAAAAATTAGTTAGAATATATTTTTAGTAGAGATGGGGGCAGCTGGGCATGGTGGCTCACTCCTGTAATCCCAGCACCTTGGGAAGCCGAGGCGGGTGGATCACCTGAGCTCAGGAGTTTGAGACCAGCCTGACCAACATGGTGAAACCCTGTCTCTACTAAAAATACAAAATTACCCGGGAGTAGTGGCACATGCGTGTAATCCCAGCTATTTGGGATGCTGAGGCAGGAGAATCACTTGAACCTAGAAGGCGGAGGTTGCAGTGATCTGAGATCGCGTCATTCCAGCCTGGGCAACAAGAGCAAAACTCCACTCAAAAAAAAAAAAAAATGTATTTTTAAATGCTGCCAGAATTGGAAGCAACTGAAGCCTGTTGCCTAAACTTGTCTGCAAAAGTTAAAAATCCAACATAATTCTTCAAGTCATTAGATAAATACCTAAAAGACTACTTCAGATTCTTTATTATTATTATTATTGTTTTAGTTTGCTGATGAAAATGGCATGTGGAGCACTCAAAATCTCATGCGTGTCTTGCTTTAGGATTCCATCTGTTGGGCTTGTCTTTCTGTCATAGAAGTCAATTACATTCAGCAAACATAGTCCATTATCAGTTGTTTTTAATCCAACTACAACGGATTTATAAATGTTTCTATCGTTTTAGGAACTTTTCATTTCATGGTCCTTTTGCTCTCTTTGGGGGTGTATACGGCATTTGTATATTTCCAGCTTTCAGCAGTTTCCAATTGCTCTCACATGAACAAATGTTCCTAGCTTGTGGCTCTGAGTCTCTAGAACCCAAGGCTTTCAGAGCCTTGGATTTGGCTGCCAGCCTCCTTCAGCTCCTGCCTATTAACACTGCCTCATTTTATTGCCAGGCATGCTTTCAAGATAGGGGCCAGTTAGCCTGAACTCTAAATTCTGGGACCATTCAGAACCTTCACCCCCAATCTCTAGATCCAACCAAGTTTCAAGTGTAGCTACTTTTCCAGGGGAAAGATAGCATGAAAAGCAGATAAGTGGATCCATACAACACAAGAGACTTCAAAGGACTATTCTAGGGTTCCCAGAGGCCTTCAGTTTTGCTTGTGCTTCAAGAGCTTCTACCTCACAACTTCAAATGTCCAGATAGATCTTTTCATCTATCCGTAGTTCTCTGAGAATGTCACCTTCAGCTGAGGACAAGTTGACAACAAAATTTGCCTTTATTTTATTATTGCTCCTTGGGGGAAATTTCTCACCTTCACTTTTGTTCCCACCTTAATTCCCTTTCAACTGCTTGTAGACTTCTTTTCTCTCTTGTACCTCAGCGTCTTACTTCTCTAAGAACTGCTCCAAGGAGAAACCAAGTAGAGTGCCTTTCGCCCTAGATCCCAAATATATGCTAAACTTTTATGTTGCAAAGCTCAGGACAGAACATTCAACTCTCTTGGGCAACATGAATGAATCTTCTTATCATATTTTTTCTCAACTGTATGGATCTAAAATAGAAAAAAAAAAGGGAGAGAGAAAGGAGGAAGACTGGGACAAAACTACCTTATTCCCTGCTAATTTTTCTGTGTCACTAGTACTGAAAACCCTGCAAAAACTCCCATAGTAGTCCTTGATTTTAAGGATAAAGATAAAGTGAAACCTGTGCTTCATAGGATGGGAAGAAGATAAGCCCTGCTTACAAATATCCCGTGATGATAATGGAACATGAATAGTCAGGCCTGGAGACAGCAGATAAGAAGAAAGAGGTCACCAAAGAGCTGAGCTAAGACTGGGAAATGGTCCCAGAGAATTACACTGCAAAAAGTCTTGACCCCAATTGCTAATAGCAGCTAACCTTTATTGACTGCTTACTTTGTGCCAGATACACTTCTAAGCCCTTTACTTGTAGCAATTACAAACATATGTTTGTTATTATCATCATTATCACCTTTTAATAACAAGGAAACTATGTCATAGAAATATTAAGAAACTTGCCCAGCCAGCATTAGACAACCAGGAATAGACAGATCCAACATCTGGACACATGCCACCAGCTCCGTCCCTGGGCTCCTAACTGCGATGCTAACTGCCAATAGGGTGTTTTGCTATAAAATTGCTATGTTCCTCTGGAAAGAAAACTTCTCTGAGTCTTCACCCTCACAGCCCCACTGTGGTTTCTGCTCAGGTGACTCTGATGCATACAGTCAGTGGGCCACACTTTCAGGAACATTGGCTGGATTTTTGAAACTAGATTATGCTAGCACTGAAATGAATTCATTGACGTTTGTAGAGCTTTGTAGAAACACTTGCTTGACCTACCACAAGTGTATTAAGCAACGTTATTGGTCCACCCTGTGCTACATTGCCCTGCGGCTCACTGTGGGGTGGCAAGGGCAAATACCATGGTTGCTAGGCAACAGATTGGCAAGAATCTAGTTTCAACACATCCAGCTCAGTAAAAAATTTGAGTTTTCTCTCACTGCTCTCTACTTTGACAATTCTCAGCTTCTCATGAAAGGCATTAGGCATTCTTTTCTTTTTTTTAATCTTCAATGACATCATATTTTAATGGAAGTTCACTAAAATGAACAGCTTCTTCCTTTTCTGTTTTATCTGTTATTAATTCTCCTCCCTATCTCTTAAATGTAAAATTAAACATTCCCCACACAAAAGCATAGGCTTATTTCACATCCATTAAAACACTGCATGTTAACATCAAGCTCTAGTTGAGTACACAGTTGCTTATACATTGTGTGTATGTGAAAACTTTTGAGAACTCTGTGAAATAGGTATTACTACCTCATTTTGCAGCCTAGAAAACAGGCTCTGAGTGAATAATGAACTCGCCCAAGTTCACACAGAGCCAGAATTAAGGCTTTGCTATCTTTGACATAATATTCCATGTTCTTACACATTTTATTGTCTCTGATCCTTTGATAAGTTCCTTTATACCACATGCTCACTAGCCTGACTGGATGAGGGTACTTCCACTCCTCACAAGGGAACGTATCCTTCATTTTGGCAAACTATTAACTTTTCTGCCTTAGTTTTTCCATCTTTAAATAGGGATATGAAAAATCCTAATGCTGTGATTCTGAAAATAAATATAGCAATAGTATGAAAACACTTGGAAAACAACTACTGGAGAGCATTGTCTTTATCTGAATCTGCTTAAGTGGCTTAAAATGAACATCCATAACCATAAAAAATATCTAAACACTTCCGTGATAAAACAAGCACCACTCCCACAAGGGGTTTGAGGAGGAGAGGGGGGCAATTAAAGTGATCTAGAAATAGGATGCAAACTTCCTAAGCAAAACTTCTATAACGAAGCTTTTATTTTAATATACACAAAGGGATCATATAAAGTTGGAAGAAAGCTCAGCATACTAATTAAAACCAAGCTCTTGGTTCAGTCTCTCTTAACAAAAGGAGATGAGGGAGCAAAGAATTGAGAACAATACAGTGGCTCAAGAGGGAACAAAGGTCTAGGGACCACTTCAGCTGAATGGCTGAGAGAAATACTGACAAAGTACTAAGGTAGCAAGTTACTCTGACAACAAAGCCCTCTCTGATTTCTGAAAACCAATGCTGCTGCGGGAGTAGAATAATGATAAGTGAGGAGACTTCATCCAAGTCTCATTTTGATCATGGCATAAAACTCTTGGGGACTTAGGAGGTATGATAACATTGAAAGAACAGAAGCAGGCTGGGTGCAATGGCTTATACCAGTAATCCCAGCACTTTGGGAAGCCAAGGCAAGAGGATCACTTGATCTCAGGAGTTCAAGACCAGCTTGGGCCATATAGTGAGACTCTATCTCTAAAAAAAACTTTTTAATTAGCTGGGCATGATGGTGTGCACCTGCAGTCCCAAATACTCAGGAGGCCGATGCAGGAGGATGGCTTGAGCTCAGGAATTTGAGACTGCATGACTGAGCCATGCGTATGCCACTGAGCTTCAGCCTGGGCAACAGAGTGAGACTCTGTCCGTAGAAAAATAAAAAAGAATAAAAGCAAATACTTATCTCTACAGCCACATCTACACATGTACACACACACACACACACACACACACACACACACACAAACGATGATGATTATGTACTGTCTTCATCCAAATAGTACTAGGCTACCGGGGCAAGGAAAAGTTCAGATTTTAAGCAAGGGGTTCAAACCAGAAATGAATTCTGGAAAGGAAAAAACAAAAATGAAAACAGGACCCAAGACTAAATGGTAAATACAAATATGATTTAAGGCGAAGTAAATGTTGTTGAAATCTCTAGCTGTCCATAAAAAATACACACACACACACACACATACACACACACACACACAACTCATTTAAATCAGGGCAGAAGCCAACTTTATGTAGGCACAGAACGTTCGGCAAGAGGCTAGGTCTGCACGATGTTCCTAAGTGTCTCACACACATAGAAACATACACACACACACACACACATTCAGAGTCTTTAATTAGCTAATATCCATCAAGACTGTCTTAGAAGGGGATATGAAATGAAACATTTCTAAAATGTATTTGACCATGTAGAAATTCTGTCCATTTTTCTCCAAGTATCTTTAAGAAACACCTTTGAGAAATGCTAATGTAAATGTGATCCAAGGAGATCACCAGAAACTAGAGGCACAATGTAGTTCAAGTAAAACAGAAATCAACAATTGGGTGAACCGGCATGTGCATTTCATTCAGGCTGATTCTAATGCAGAAAAAGAAAATATTAAACCCTCCAGGAGATCAGATAAATTAGTTGTTTTCTTTTCATGGCCAAACCTCTATTCTTTTTTTTTTTTTTTTTGAGGTGGAGTCTCGCTCTGTCGCCCAGGTTGGAGTGCAGTGGCGCAATCTCAGCTCTCTGCAAGCTCCGCCTCCCTGGTTCACACCATTCTCCTGCCTCAGCCTCCTGAGTAGCTGGGACTACAGGGGCCCGCCACCACACCCGGCTAATTTTTTTGTATTTTTAGTAGAGACAGGGTTTCACCATGTTAGCCAGGATGGTCTTGATCTCCTGACCTCGTGATCTGCCCGCCTCAGCCTCCCAAAGTGCTGAGATTACAGGCGTGAGCCACCGCGCCTGGCCCTCTATTCTTAATTCTTACTGTTAGCATCGAAAATGTCTACCTGTGTTCAGGGAGGTCATGCAATTCTAAGACACAATTCGGCACAAGCCCCAGTGATGGTAGTTCTATGTACTTACCCTCATACAGCAAATTATAAGTATAAATAATGTTACTCTCAGAGTTTGAAGTAATTAACAATGATCATAAATGTCAGTGTAATACTCTTTTAGCCCTTAAATTTCTCCCTTCATTCCCCTACCTAATTATCAGATTAGCCTTTCTCTTGTCCTAGGGGCAACTGTGAATCCGGTGGCATAAACGAGGTATATAAGACTCTGCTAATTGCAATTCAGTTAGGTGGAGCTAATTATCTTTACAAAGAGTGAAATTTACATAGAAATTTCTTGTCCCACTGATTTACTGTTACTACAGATCACATTGTGTTGAAATTATGTGATAAAGAGAATCAACCATTGGATGAAAGATTAGAGGAGGTTCATTATCCAACATGGGCTTAACCACTGGCTAAACACAGTCCCTGCCCTCAAGGTGCATACCATCAGGCAAGAAGTTACAGACCTCTGATTAGATTTCTACGACACACTCTGACAAGTACCCCCTGGAGTATACTACTTTAAGATAAACAAGGCCGGGTGCGGTGACTGACGCCTGTAATCCCAGCACTTTGGGAGGCCAAGGCGGGCGGATCACCAGGTCAGGAGATCAAGACCATCCTGGCTAATATGGTGAAACCCTGTCTCTACTAAAAATACAAAATAATTAGCTGGGCATGGTGGCAGGTGCCTGTAGTCCCAGCTACTCGGGAGGCTGAGGCAGGAGAATGGCGTGAATCCAGGAGGTGGAGCTTGCAGTGAGCTGAGATCACACTACTGCACTCCAGCACACTGCACTCCAGCCTGGGAGACAGAGTGAGATTCCATCTAAAAATAAATAAATAAATAAATGAAGATAAACAAGGTCAGGTTTGCCTGTCAGAAGAAACAACTAAAAGCATACCAGAGTATGGATTGGTCGGCTTGGGAAGGAATAAGATTGAAGAAAAATTGGACAGATAGAAGACTATTTGTTTTAATAGTCCAGATGCATGATTACAAAGAGCTGTACTAACAGATAGGAGACTATTTGTTTTAATAGTCCAGGTGCATGATTACAAAGAGCTGTGTGGCTATGCGATTGTGGTACTGGTAAAGACCTATTAAGGAGATAGCATTGACAGGAGTTGGGGACTGAAAATAAAGTAAAGAAGAGGAATGTGTTTATGATGACTCCCATAATTATGGCTTGGGCTATTACCTAGATGGTTGTGCCATTCATTTAAATAAGGTGCCCAGAAGAGAGTGAAGATTGCTGGAAGGATGAAGCAAAGAAGATAACCTTATTTGCCAACATGCAGAGAGAGATCCAAGAAGAAGATAAATACATAGGTCTGGAGCACAGGAAAGTGTGGGCAGTTACTCTAGATTTGAAAATTCAAGCTTTAAACCTGGAAGAGTATGCCCATGAACACCAGAGAATTGGGCTGGAACTGAGAAGGCAGGTCCCTGAGCCACACTCTCACTAAGGGGCAGGCAAAGAGGACCCTGTGTAAAGAATGGAGAAGGAGTGGGCAGAGAGGAAAGCGGGGAACAAGGAGATACCGATATCTCAGAATTAAGGAAGAAGGGTCAATAGCGAGAGAAAGTGCATCAATGGCATAAAATGCCAAAGAAGAATCAAGATGGGGGCTCACTGGATTTGGGTATTGGTGTCCCTTTACTTGCAAAGCATAAACCCACTTCAGGAATAAACCCAATAAAAATATTAGAATTCTTCAGGCAGAGTGCCCAAAGCATACCAAAGTTAAAAATAGTTCCATAGGCCGGGCGCGGTGGCTCACGCCTGTAATCCCAGCACTTTGGGAGGCCGAGGCGGGTGGATCATGAGGTCAGGAGATCGAGACCATCCTGGCTAACAAGGTGAAACCCCGTCTCTACTAAAAATACAAAAAAAATTAGCCGGGCGCGGTGGCGGGCGCCTGTAGTCCCAGCTACTCAGGAGGCTGAGGCAGGAGAATGGCGTGAACCCGGGAAGCGGAGCTTGCAGTGAGCCGAGATCGCGCCGCTGCAGTCCGCAGTCCGGCCTGGGCGATAGAGCGAGACTCCGTCTCAAAAAAAAAAAAAAAAAAAAAAAATAGTTCCATAGGCCGTTTATTGATCTTTAAATTGTGTACCAAAATACTGCTTAATGTATTGCAGAGCAAAATTCTGTAAACATGAAAAACAATAAGATCCAATGAGTATAATATTGAAAATGAAATCTCTTTGTCTTCCTCTTCTTCCCTTGCACATTTGGACTCAGACAAGTGGCATTTAATTAATTCAGGAGAAAATTATGAATATTCAAGATAAGACTTGCGTCCTAAACATAGTGAAGAAAATTACAGAGGAGGGGGAGTTGGCTATAATTTAAAAGTACTTCATGCTGCTCATTTTTAACTGAAAGAAATATATCTAACTAGAATGAAATTTATCTTGTCTCAAGAAAACATGGGGAATTTCTTTTTTTACTTTTATAGTTAAAATAATTCTATATGCTTTGTGTTTAATTTTGGACCACATATTATGTAAGCTGACAAAGAAACCATTCTTTTGACCAAAATGCCTTTGTTTAGTATGCTTCATACTAATTTTTGAATCTCATGTGTAGAATACTGTGCACTCACACTTGCCCATATATAAGAATGTCTCTTACTAGTTGATTTGGGAGAGTGGGTTGCATGTATAAATAAATTAAGTAAAAATGAATGCTGTTTTCTGATCCTGAAACACTGGGCAGCAAATGAATGACTCATATGTATTTAACTTTAGACCAGAGCACAGTTAGTGTGGAGTTTCTCATCCTAGAACTAACTCCTATAGTGTGACCTCAGGGCTATATGAACAATTGAAATTTCTACAGCATATTGAGAAAAAAATGAAACCACAAACGTTGCTTCAAAATTTTTAAAAGGTTACATTCTTTCTTAATAAAATTCATGTAGATAAAAATATTTGTATGTATGTTTTATTTTTATTTTGGTTTTGTTTTGGGGGTTTTGGATTTTTATTTTTTGAAAAATAAGGCTCTTCATTCACTAATGAAGGTCTTGCTGATGAAAATCTTGTTGGAAGTTAAGGAACTTTTTATTGGGTGTGTACTTTTTACAAAATAAATTTAAAGCCATGTTTATTTAATGACTTTAAAAATGTAATGGAAAAATTAAGATATTAAAATCTGTTGTCTTACATTTGGCCTAGATGTGTTCATATGTGGTGACTATATTCCTATCATGGCCAAAACAAAATGGATCGCCCCAATTTTTTTACACTAAATGTATAACACTAAAGGTAATAAATACACAAAAAATGATTAAGATAAATTCAAGTGCATGTATTATTTACTGAACTTAGGATAAAATATATCTGGAAAAACAGTTGAAAAATGAAAACAAAATGGTTACGTGTTTCACATTAAGAACTCTGAAGAAACTTATTTTCTATTCACTAAAATTTCTAGAATAATAGTCTTGTTTCCAAATATGAAAACCTCCTCCAACTCTAAATTGGCTTTCCCTTCTCCACAATAAAAATCCCCCTAAAATGTTTGGCAGTAAATCAGTAAAACACAAATGTACAAGTTAGAGGCTTTGGAGCATAAGAATAAAAAAGAACCCATTTTTAAGTTTGAACCTAAAATTTCAATTGCACTGAAAAATGACCCAGTTTTTATGCCTTACATGAGAGCAATGATTGGATCATAATAGTACCAAGGTGTTTTAGTACCATCCATCATTCATGTCCTGACAAATGACTTGTGAGATCTAGCTGGGAAATTACAGTGCATGTTCCCAGGTCAAAAAGTCTACTTTTATAATTTATTCAACTGCCTTAACACAGCACATTTTGAAAAGAGAAACCAAATATTTTGGTTCACTTTCAATTTACCATGAATAAAATACTGAATGAAAATTTAGGCTACTGTAGTTCAAAGCAACAAAATCGTCTTAAAATGATTTTCCCCTGGATTGGCCCTTGATATGACATTATATTTTACAAATGGGCATGCATGCTTATATATATTGTAACACCATCTTATATCAAGTAGTATTTTTTAAAAACCAGAATCAGTTAAATTAGATCTATTAAATTAGATCGTGCTGTGATTTCTGAAACTGAGACATTCTTATATTTACATTATTTATTTTGCCCAAATTCATTATTTGTACTTCTGCCTCAAGAGTGTGTGGTATAAGTTTTTTTGTTTGTTTGTTTGTTTTGTTTTGGTTTTTTGAGACGGAGTCTCGCTCTGTCGCCCAGGCTGGAGAGCAGTGGCGCAATCTCGGCTCACTGCAAGCTCCGCCTCCCGGGTTCACGCCGTTCTCCCGCCTCAGCCTCCCGAGTAGCTGGGACTACAGGCGCCTGCCACCACAACCGGCTAATTTTTTTTTTTGTATTTTTAGTAGAGACGGGGTTTCACTGTGTTAGCCAGGATGGTCTCGGTCTCCTGACCTCATGATCTGCCCGCGTTGGCCTCCCTAAGTGCTGGGATTACAAGCGTGAGCCACCGCGCCCAGCCAAGTTTTTAAATATTAACTGTTCAACTGGTTTGTATACTGCAGAAACTAATTATTACACTTTAAAAGAACACATGGTGTGATCTAGTTGAAGACCAAAAAAAAAAAAATGTTTTCAGTGCCTTTTCTCTTTTTCACTAAAATGTCAATGTGTTGGGTGACCCACACATCCTGGTTTGCAGGAACAGTCTCATGTTCTAAGGGTCAACCTTGCTAATAGTGCCTCTTTTCACTCTGAAATGTCTCAGTGTGAACAATAAATTATCTGGCCACTCTTTCAATGCATAATTTGCCTAAACTCAATTTCATGATGCTTCATTTTCAACATTTATACAATAGCCACAATTACTTCTCAACTTTATAAAGAACGGCATGAATACTAAAATTGCCACCATCGTTTTACAAATACAGAATTATTTCCAGTGGTGACTAAGGGCCAAAATGAACACCATTTATGCTTGCATTAATCTTTCTGGCAAGAACCTAGTCAGGTAATTAAATAAACCTCTATAGCCAGAAAGAAAAATAATTTTGCATCTGAAAAAAAAATGTTACTTGCTTATTACTATGTAGCCAGAATTCAATAATCAACCCTTTTACGAGATGAACAAATTGCATTGCCAAACCCAAATTGCTATTTGAGGTATGTAACATGATTTGAATTGATTCTAATGATTATCTGGAGCAGAGGAACAAGGAGAAAAATGAAATATTTTCTTTACAGCACCTTAGGGTGTTCTTTATAATAGCCCACTCATTTTTAAACATTTAGATTTTTAGAACTTTCAAAGTATCATTTGTTGTCATTTCCAGAAGAAAATGATACAGATGATCATTGATTTAACAAATAAATATTGAACGTCCACTATAAATAAAACCTCATACTGGAGTTGATATGTCCTTTTAAAAGGCTGTGTCTAGATGAGTGAAAACAAGAAGATAATTCCAGCTACTAGAATCCACTGTGTGAAACTAGGACCCCAAGGCTCTCCGTTCATGGTCAGACAAGGACTGGACCACATTATCACTCATGTGGAATCATGGAATCTACCTGGTGAAGTAGCAACATTTCTCTATGTCCTTCAGAATCACCTGTAGTACTTTTTACAATGTAGATTTCTTGGCACTCCCTCTAGAGATTCTGATTCCGTGGATCTCAAGTGAGACCCAGGAGCCTGAATTTTAATTATCCACTCCAAGGACCATGGACATATACGTTTTAGGAAACTCTATCCTCATGGCACAAAAGCCTTTGACCATGTTGACTTTGGCCTGCTTTTTGGTGTCTAAACACATACAGGCAGAGATGGCAAGCATAAAAGCTAACTAAGCAAACATAATAAATGAAAAAAGATGAGCCAGGACATCGCTGTTTGGAGTAATTAACCATCTCAGAAAGCTCTTGCTCAATATTCACAGCCTTTGCCTTTGAAGCTGACTGTGGCAGCCTCCAGTTGAAAGGGGATGAGGAGCTGGCATTTTGAAACAGGTGCCGTGGGCTGGGAAGTCAGTAGGGGAAAATTGGAGTCATTGTCTTACTGTACCAAGCAGAGTTGTAGCCTGTGACTTTGAATTTGCAACAGATCATTTCAGCTTAGATTTTGGACAAAGAGGAGCTGTAGTCATAATTATAATAGTTTTTAATGATCTCCTTAGAGTGACTGTGTGGGCTGGAACAAAGAATAGAGAATAATTTTCTATGCGTAACATTTCCAAAATGCCATAACTATGTAGGAGAAATGGTTATGTGTTTGTAAAATGCACTGGCTTTCTCAAAATCACAGAAATCACAGATTTAGAAGCATTCTTAGGAGTCATCTAGTCTAACTGTGATTCTCATCTACCCACCACCAGATATATAAAGCCTAGCAAATAAAATCAGAAGTAATTTCATTAAACAGAACCCTTTGATAATCAGACCTAATATATTTCTCAAATACTTCATTTTTAATAATCAAGGAATATAAATTGTTATTATTAACTGTTGTGAATGTGAATTATAGATTGAAACAAACTTGCTGAGAAAACTGATGTTGTTAAGCAAGTACTTATTGAGGGCTTACACTATGCTAGGCGCTTCACACAAATTATTTGATCCTAGCGAAGGTGGTATTACTTAGGCAGATAAAAGCATTTAGAGATATTAAGCTATTTGAGATCCCACAGCTATTAAATGGCAGAACCAAAATTCAAAACTAGGTCTGTCTGATTCTAAAACAGAAACAGAAATATTACACAAAACATCCAGAATGATGGTCCAAATGTGCGGTTCATTTTTAAGGTTTGCAACCATCAAACAATTTATAAATTAGCTGAATAGACTTTTAGAATCAGACAAATCCAGTTTGAAATTGTATTTCTACCACCTATGGGGCCTAGGTCAAAGATCTGAACCTCTGCTTGCCTCTCTAATCTATAAAATGGGAATAATAGTCTCAAAGAATGCTTGTTAAGACTGTATGCAAAGTGCTTAGTAGTACAGTATCTGACAAACATTTATAGCTTTAAAAAAAGAAAGTTTTGTGTTTTTTTTTTTACTAGTATCATACTAATATAAGAAAGTGCCACATTCATTTTTGTCAGTGAAATTCAAGACTAGCATATCTTAGATTCGGCTACACCTGTGGCATATTGTGAACATCATGCATAACATGCATGAGTGTACATGTTTATCATGGTCAAACATAGGTACCATCAATAGCAAGAAAGGGCAGTGAGTAAGTCATTGCATCTGTGTCCCATTGAAACCTCCAGATCAGAAAGTGTGGAGATAGAAATGATGCTGCAGAAATTTCTAATCCAGTCCAATATTGTGAATGCCCAAGAACTAAATCTGAGATCCAAACAAATAAAATGTCTCGACCAAGATCACATCAGGAGTCAGTCCTAGTCCCAGGACAAGAATAAAGCCTTCTATCCCCTAGTTCCCAAGGCTGTACCCTCTATTTTCATTTTGCTAACTTAGAATATACACTGGTTTGGCAATTTTCTATTTTTATCAAAGAATCCTTAAAATACTTTGAGCATTCTATCCTAAGAAAATAATCAAAATAGGGTGGTATAGGGGGAGAGTAGGAGGGCCATATGCATGACGATATACTCTGGGGCATTTTTTTTCTATAATATCCCAAAATTGGAAGTAGCCATAAAAACGACTCACTTTGTTCTCTCCTTTACATCTTTGCTCAAGTCTCACCTTTCTTGTGAGCTCCATGCTAACCAGCCTATATAAATTAATTCCCTTGTTCCAAATCTCCCAGCCCCTTTCCTTTGTTTTATTTTTCCCATGACACCACCATTTTCTAACATATAACACAATTTACTTAGTTTTTAGTTTATTGATCAGCTCTTCACAAGGAGGTCAATCCAAGAGGGCATGGAATTTTGTTTTTTGTTAACTGCTATATTCACACTACCCAGAGCAACTCCGGGTAACCTAGTAGGGCTCAATGTTTGTTCAATGAATTCATGGATGAATGATCTCCAAAATGAGGAGACTGGGCTAGGGAATTAGGGGATAATATTTTATTCTACTTAGTTAAAGTGGTTATAAAATTAGAAAGCAAGTGTAAAAATCTATAGAATATGTTATGAAGTAAATAAAAAACAATATTCATATTCAAATAAATACTTAGGGGGAACTACATTAAACTATGCAACAGAAAAAGGATTGAAAGGGAATGCAAAAAGGGAGTGGGTTTTATGCTCTTCTTTTTCCATTTTAAAATGGATTTTGTTTCATTTGAGAACCACAGCAAGGTAGAAAGAAAGAAAAGGAAAGGAAGAGAGAGGGGATGAGAAAGAATTATAACCATGAAAGTTCTGTCTCCTTGGCTTGGATACTGTTGACCTGTATGTTCCTTGTCTAAATCCCTGGCATCTTTATCCAAAATGAAGATAAAACATTTCAGCAAAGGAGCATATTAAGGCTCAATTATCAGCCCGGTGCGGTGGCTCACGCCTGTAATTCCAGCACTTTTGGAGGCCAAGGCAGGCGGATCACGAGGTCAGGAGATCGAGACCATCCTGGCTAACACGGTGAACCCCGTCTCTACTAAAAATACAAAAAATTAGCCCGGCGTGGTGGCGGGCACCTGTAGTCCTGGCTACTCCGGAGGCGGAGGCAGGAGAATGGTGTGAACCCGGCAGGAGGAGCTTGCAGTGAGCTGAGATCGCGCCACTGCACTCCAGCCTCGGCGACAGAGCGAGACTCCGTCTCAAAAAAAAGGCTCAATTTTCCTCTTATTTCCAGAAACACGTGCTTTGCAGAATTGGCTCAGGCATTGGCAAGTTGCTACAGCTCACCATACTGTTTTGCTCAAATTCCCCATCCATTCCAGTACTTCCAGATCCCCTGACTTCCCTTTTACTATTCTTCTCTACATTCGTCTGTCTTGCCACTGTTTCGTTTTTAAGTTCTCCTTTTGTCCTGCCTTCATAGCTGTCATCCTCCTATGCCCACCTCTGTCCCAGGGTCACTCCTTGTTTTGTCCTCAGTCCCCAGTTTGTGTATGGGCACCTCCCTGAACAAATAAAGCCGTGGTACTGAGAGAACTCCAGGCCAGAAAAATCCAGAACAGCCCCGTCCCCTCGCCCTGCGTTTTTCATGCATCTCGAGCCTCTTGCCTGGAACATGTGTTCTCCGTCCACCTTTCTATGATGTGCACTAGGCCACCCCCCTCCATCCTTTCTGCAAAGGCAGTGCTAACGCTTTCTTTGCTGCAGCAGTCCTGCACCTTACCTATTCCCTTCTTGCTTACAAAGACAATCACAGGTCTTTACTCCTCACAGTGCAATAGGTTTATTACTCTTCATTTTCCCCCTAATGCTAAAGAACAGGTGTTCATATAATCCCAATGATAGCTGCTTACTCCCCAGAATCATGTAATTTTAGAATAGAAAGGAGTCTCAAAAGCCATCAGGTGAAATCCCATTACAGATCTATGATCAGTACAGTGCTAGGTGCATGGTAGGTGTTTGGAAAATATTTCCATCCATAAATATTATATAATCCGTCATTACGTACCACTATATGATAACTATTTTGTGCCATTAATGTTTCTAAATCATTTTTGCTTATCAGTTATTCACATCTGTTTATAAAATCTATGAATAAACTGGAGATCATTATGTTAAGTGAAATAAGCCAGGCACAGAAAGAGAAACATCACATGTTCTTACTTACTTATGGGATCCAAAAATGAAAACAATTCAACCCACAGAGAAAGGGAGTAGAAGGGTGGTTACCGGAGGCTGGGGTGGAGGGGAGGTGGGGATGGCTAATGGGTACCAAAAAATAGCTAGAATGAATGAATAAGGCCTACTATTTGATAGCACAACTGGGTGGCTATAGTCAATAATAATTTAATTGTACATTTAAAAATAACTAAAAGAGTATAATTGGATGGTTCATAACACAAACGATAAATGCTTGAGGGGATGGACACCCCATTTTCCATGATGTGGTTATTACACATTACATGCCTGTATCAAACCATCTCATGTACCCTGTAAATATATACACCTGCAATGTACCCACAAAAATTAAAAATAAAATAAAACAAAATAGAACTATGAATAATCACAGAGAAAGACTGTGCCTTAGAAGGCATGAGATAAAACTGAAAAGCTAGTTTCAGGCTAACAGGAGCAATGATACAAAATGGAAAAGATTGGTTACTGAAGTAAGGACAAGAAGGAATGGGCTAAAATCATGACAAAAGGCTCTTATATAAATAATAACATCTTTTCCTACTAAGAACTCTTAGATCATGTCAGGGCTTGCCAAAGGAAGCTGAAAAATGATGGTTCTTGAGGTTAGCAGCATATCTGGTAGGATTCAGGGGCAATTAAACTAGTTTTTTGATAAAGTAAAATAGAATAAATATGTTAAATAGTTCCCCCTATTTAATGGAAGAATGGAATGGAAATGGTTAGATTTCCATGGGAAATTGAAAATGATTGGAAAGAGCAAGCTCCTTATCTACCTTTAAGTTGCTAGCTTTCACAGCACCCCAGAGGCACAAGACCTGTCTTCATGGTACTTTTTGCTTAGGCAGTTGATTATTTTTAATGATTTCTTTTTTCTTTTTTTTGTGAGACGAAGTCTCACTCTGTCACTCAAGCTGGAGTGCAGTGGCGTGATCTCGGCTCACTGCAACCTCCACCTCCTGGGTTCAACCTATTCTCATGTCTCAGCCTCCCGAGTAGGTGGGATTACAGGCACCCGCCACCAGGCCCGGCTAATTTTTGTATTTTTAGTAGAGATGGAGTTTTGGGGTTTTGCCATATTGGTCAGGTTGGCCTCGAACTCCTGATCTCAGGTGATCTACCCGCCTCAGACTCTCAAAGTGCTGGGATTACAGGCAAGCGCCACCGCGCCCAGCCTTTTAATGATAATTTTTATATTAATAATTGTCATTTTTCTTTCTTTCAGGCTTGTAAATTTTATAGTTCCCAGTGGCATGTGGTAAACTACAAATATGAACAATATTCTGGAGACATTCGACAGCTACCCCGGTAAGAACCTGTTATGAGCACTTATTGGTCTTTTCCAAATATAGATGACATCCTCTGTTCTAGTCCTGCCATTGTTCATGAATACACGTACATTAATCTTCTGTCAAGGCACATTTTCCAAAATGTATAAGTAAGAGTCAAGATAGGACATTTTGTTCAACATGTGTAGTTTGCATCATCACAGAGTTTGGATTCAGATATAAATATACTCTGATTTAATTTTTTAATGTAGTTTTGACGTTCATTTATCATTGTATTATTATTCTGTGAGCTGTTTTTTCAATAGCAGGCACAAGAAGATTAGAAAAGTACCATATGGCCAAATAGTTTTTCTGACAATATTCTGTATAGCATTCATATTTGTTACTTGTTTCATGTATTTTCATGCTGGGATATCAGAAGTCATGAAAATAAACAACTTCCACAAAAGACATATATATATATATATATATACACACACACGCACACACACACACACACAACCAAAAGGAAAATAAACACCTGATTTTTTCCTGACTCTCAGGAACATAAGCCTTTGGAGAAAGTAATTTTGTTCTGCTTCTGCTCAAAAGTCACCTCCACAGAAAAGCTCACCTGACTACCTGAACAAAAATAGAAATTAATTCAGTGTCTGTTTCCCCTTCTAAAGTAAAAATCCCCAAAGGGCAGGGACTTTTCCCTGCAGAATCCCCTGCAGGCCTGTAAGAAGAATGCCTGGCACATAGTAGGTGTGCAGTACTATAATTACTTATTGGACGAACAAACAGAGTAAATGGCAAATTTTAAAATATAATATTCCTGGATGGGTTTGGAGTTGCTCATATTTAAAGAACTTCCTTGAACTGGTTCTACCCAACTCACTGGTTCATCAAGCTAAGATTATGTAAATAATTCAGAAAAACACTTGAAACAATCAAAAGTTAAGTTTGTATTAACACTCTCCTCAAGTGAAGCACTGATATGATACACATTGGATCTAATTTTTAATAGACACATGGTACAGAATTGGGAACCACTTTGCTATATTTCCTGTGGCCCCAGAAGCACCTTTTCAAGACTTGTATACTTGGAAGCATTGCTCTCAATTTCCGAATGCGGAATTTGAAAGAGGGATTATGAACTAGATTTAAGAAGGTGACATTTGATCTTGGATATGAATCGGCAGTAGCTGCCAACACAGGCATCTTGGGAAAGGATTCTGGAGAAGCAGCAAGGCAAAGACCCTGAAGTGGTGGGAACCAGTATGGTCACTTGAGTCAGGAAGGCTAGAGCTTAAGGATGAAAGGGGCGTAATAAGATGAAACCAAGGACCTTAGGCAAGGGACCCTGTGTGCCCTGGAAAGGAGCTTGGATTTTACTTTCATTGCAACAAAAGCCTTTGGAAATTTCAACCAGGGGTGTGGCATGATCTGGTTTACCTCTTTGAAAGAACTCTTGGGCTACTCTATGGAGAATGGGACTGCAGGGGTGGCAATCGAAGAAAAAGACAGGAGGAGGCCATTTATTTTGGGGTTTCATTACCGTGAAGAGAAAAAAAGTATGTCCCTTCTAAACTGCAAATCTTTTTTCAAAACACTGAACAGTAACGTTTACCAGATCTTTGAGCATTCTTTTTGACTTGAATCCCTGCTGATAGACAAGCTCTTGCAACTTCATGTTGGGAAGGTTTACCACACCCTAAGCTTTCATGAGTAATTGTTACATTCAGAATGTCTGGGTGTTCATGACACAGTTTTTGTAGGCACAACTGAAAAGCAAAGCATCTTTTAACATCAGGACTTCCTCTTTCTGAAAATAGTTCTGAGAAGTGGTTACAACTCGGAAGTTGGGAGACTGCATCTCAAGTTGAGAGGATGGAGACAGCCGTATTTAGCCATCCTTTTAACTAAATGTGTTCCCACCATCTTTAGGTCCATTACACTCTTCAGTGGCTGTATCCCCAAACACTGTTCATCTTTCCTTATATTCATGATGCTGTAAAGAAAGAAAGCAAATTAGAGATTTCACATTCACAGTATTCTTCCTCTGTTAAAACAATGGAGAAAGCATCTCTAGAAAAAACCAATCCCGGACATTATTGCTTAATTGCAATTCTCATAGTTTGCAAGATTAATCTCATGAGAAGAAATAAAAAAAATTAACTGAAGTATTGTTGAGAATTTCCCTTACTTTAACTAAAGAAAGTGGAAGTTAATACCAAGAAAGGGAAGAATCAGACTGCCACAAAGTAAGAAACTTTATGTATTCAAACTGAAAATCAGAAGTTCAAAAATATAACCCTTTCAGATATACCCCAGAACAATGAAGATGAGCACTGAACAGCAGAATTATTCTTTAAAATGATTTTACAAAGCTAAGCATTCCCCTCTAAAGACTACATGTATTTAGGTCAGTAATGGAAACAGACAATTTACTTGGGTCTTCCGAGGCTAATAGAAGTAAATCATTTTCATACCTCCTGGATTAGAAGAATTCTCCTATGTCTGCTACCAATTTAAATTGCTTATTTCTTTTTATGAGTTGCTGAGACTGCAAAATGAAAATTTGCAATTATAGAAAAGCAAAAAAAAAGGTGAAATTTATTCTTTAAATTTAAATGTGTATTATTGACTCTTAAGATTTTCACTTTTTTTATTTTTAAGCGAGGGTCCATAGGAAGATACTGAAGAAATAGATGACTTCAGGCTAGAATGGAAAATGTAAGCCTTTACACACTAGGAATAGAAATCAGCACTAACTTGGAGATCCCAGAAGAAAAAAGCAGCATAAAAATATATGATGCCACTGATTTCATTAATCCACTGGGTAAAATACAGAGATGTGTGACATATTAAAATTTTTTACCATGGTCGATTTGATAGAAAGAAGATGTAAGGAAGAAAAATTCATAAGAGTATAAATTGTGACTAAAGATCAAATAAAGTGTGACCAGCTTAGCTGGGCTGAAATAGAACAGTTTTTGTTTTTTTTTTAATAAAAGAGCATTTTTTTGAGTGTCTACAGTGAGCCAGAATGTGCTGGGTGTCATACATGCATTATCTCATTTAATACTCATAACCCTATGGAATAGGAACTGTTATCCTCATTTTATAGCAGAAACTCGGAAACTGAGAGGGAATTTACCCCAAAACTTACAGCTGATAACTGATGGGGCACTCAGGCATCCCACACTGGGTAATCCAGGTCATTTGGTCAGAGAAAAGAGAAATGAGGCTGCCTATAGTTATCACCAATGTCGGATGCAAACACCAAAGGGTAAGGTCTGGGATGAGCCCTTTATCTTGGTATCCCCGAGGCTCTTAGAGACCACGCAATGGTCCTGGGGGAAGAATTTTAAAGTCAATAGCCACAGGTGCTGATCTTTTCATGACCTTTAAAAGAGAGAAGTCATTGCATAGTAGCCCCACAGACATGTGACTGAGCTTGAAGATTGCTCTTTAAAGGCAGGAGGCTGTGCCTTGTGGCTTATTAAAAACCGGATTGGGAAATAAGAATCTTCAGTAGCCCTCAAGCCTCAGCAATGATCCAAGCACTGTCTGCCTTCCCTGCCCAAGGGCATTGGACAGGCCTCCCTCCCGCAGCCCTCCCTCCTGCACTGTTTCCAGCCCCTACAGCCTTCCTTCCTGGATGCTCCACACTTGGCCCCTCCTCAGAACCTGTACTCTTGCAGCTCCCTCTGCCAGGGGATTTTCTCCTAGGTCATCACACAACCAGCTGCTTCTCCTCCTCAATTTAAATGTTACCTCTCGAGAGAGGCCATCCTTGAAGAGTCTTTCTACACGTGGCCTTTGCCATTTCCACAAGGATCACTCATCGCTCTTCTCCTCTTTCTCCTCTTCGATTTTTTTCTTTTCTTTTCTTTTCTTTCTTTCTTTTTTTTTTTTTTTTTTTTTTTTTGAGACAGGGTCTCACTTCGTCCCCAGGCTGGAGTGCAGTGACACAATCTCAGCTCACCGCAACCTCCACCTCTCGGGTTCAAAGGATCCTCCTGCCTTAGCCTCCCAATTAGGTGGGATTACAGGTGTAGGCCACCATGCCTGGCTAATTTTTTTGTGTTTTTAGTGGAGACAGGGTTTCACTATGTTGGCCAGGCTGGTCTTTAACTCCTGACCTCAAGCGATCCACCAGCCTCGGCCTCCCAAAGTGCTGGGATTACAGCCGTGAGCTGCTACACCCAGCCTTGATTTTCTTAACAACCATTTTCACTCAGAGAAATTATCTTATTTCTGCTTAATTCATGATTGACTCTCTCCTCCCCTAGAATGCAAGCTTCCTCAGTTCAGGAACTTATTTTCTGATATGTGGTTGACATTATTGCAGCTCTTCTGGGAGCCAGGTAATATCTGGAAACTGGAATGTTGAATGGCAAAGGAGAATGGCCCCCAAGAATTAAGACAGTTCTCAATAATGCACTTTGAATTTGATCAAGCAAACTCAGAATTAAGAAAAACCACCAGTGAAGTGGCACGCTTACATTCACTACAACCCTAGCCCCAGATCTGACTTAAATTGACAGTCTCTGGTCTGCATAATTTTTAAAAGTGAAGATTAAGATCAGCATGGATGTGGCTAGGGACTACTGGGGTTGACTGAGTTTTGCTATTGACTTCGTTGGTATTCTTTGTCTCATATCTTCTGAGTTTTGCTATTGACTTCATTGGTATTCTCTGTCTCATATCTTCTGAGTTATTTTTGAATCATTAATACTTAAAGTGGATGTTTAAATAAAGTTTTATTTTATTAAAGAAAGAGTATGGAAATGTCATAAGTTGTAATATAGCGTTAAATATGACATTTGGGAAATTCCTAAAAACGTTTCCAATCATTTGTCTGAAGCTCTCTTCTCTCTTTTCTAAATCATCTATTCTTCAAAAATATCAGGGAAAAATCACTGAGAAATTTTTACTCAACCTTTACTTTGAGAATAGTTTATATGTATCTGTTGTACAATTTTTTATTATCTTTACTATAAAAAAGAATCAGTTCAGAAGACATCACTTTTGGTCACTCTATGTATAATTTCAACACTTTCAAATTTTTCACACATCACTTTAAAAGTTTTCTGCAAATTTTAAACCTAGGAAAAAGTTAAAAGATTGGTGTACAATGAATCCCACTATTCCCATCACCTAGAATGTGTCTTTCATGTTTTGCTGTATTTGTTTTATTACACAACCTGTCCATCCATCCACCCATCCATCCATCCATCCATCCATCCATCATCCATCCTTCTAGACATCTATCAATTTGGTTTATTTTTTGGTCATTTTAAAGTGGAATTTAAAACATTGACACACTGCCTCTCTAGACTCTTCGGAATGCACGCCTTTAAATACAGCTATAGATGTCTGCAGTTCATTTTTTCTCTTTTGATATAAAATGTACATACAAGAAAACATGCAAATTGTAAGTGAACCATTTGATAACTTTTGACCACAGTACACGTGTGCAACTCAAACCTCTGTTGAGATAACAGAACAATGTTATCACCCCCAAAGAGTTAACTACCACCCCTCCCTGGTTAACCCTCACCTCTCCTTTTCTCTCCCCCAAGAGACAATCAGTGCTCTGATTTTCATAACCATGGAATCATACCATGTGTGTTCCTGTTTCTAGCTTTTCTTACTCAGCACAATGCTTCTGAGTGATATCCACGTTGTTGCACGTATCAGTAGCTTCTTTTCCTTTCTGAGTAACATTCCTGTGTGTGGATCTACTGTAGTTTGTTTAGACATCCTCCAGTGACAGACACTTCTGCGGCATTCTGAGCTGAGTTGGTCATAAGTCACTAAATCTATGGGCTTTTTTGTGAAATTTATAGTCTATCTCAGTCATTAGTTCCACTTCTCAACTGGGAGATTTGTGAAAAAAACTTTCACAAGCATTTAGCCTTTTACATTGAAATTCAAGAGAACCTTACTTTGTTTCATCACATTTTTGTTTTTACATCGTTACTAGTTTGAAAGGCTTTCTCTCCTCCTTGTTTATAAGTATCTTGCGGAAATTTACATTAATGCGACGCCTGGCCTGTATTGTGATCCACAGTTATTGAGAACAAATACCTACAAAATTATTCTTTTGGAAGGAAGGATAAGCCATGCTGGCCAAAGAGGACAGAATAGGAGGTTCAGAAACAAATACCATTGCATCAAGGTCAAATGAAACTGATGGGAAATGACTAGCACGGGGCCAAATGTTGACATTCCACTTTCAAGTTTGTCTTTGTTGCCTCTTCCTTGGTTTTCCCGATTCACTCTTTTTTCATTCACTTGGGATGTTTCCTCCGTTCTTTCTTTACTGCTGTGCCACCATTTTAAGAATCCTGGAACACTCATCTTCTGTTCTCTGCAGACAGGGTACCTGGAGCAATTGCTCTGAAATCAACCATTGGAACCTTCCTCTGAATCTCAGGCAACATGTCACCTCTCACAGGAGTGGGGGAGAGGGAAGGGTTGTATTTACAGGCTTTATTTTTGCCAATCAAATTAAAAGGTGAGAGAGACTGCTTCTTGTTCAGAGCATGTTAGATGGTATTAAGGAGAAAAGGAATATTTTTGGTGGGGTAGCAAGAATTTCCCAGTGATCCTAAAAGAACTCTGTCTTCTGCTACTTCCTCTGCCATCCCATAAAGTTGACCCTGACCAAAAGAGGCAGAACAAGTTAACATCAGTGCAGGCAGCAGTGATAGGCTTGACTATCTCTAAGACTCTACAAGAAGAAAGGATAACCTCCTTTGGAAGAGAGAAATGGCAGCAATCTTACTTAATGTGCTTATTAAAGATTCACCTTTCCTAAATGCAGGCTTCTAATACCATCTCTTGAAAGTGATTACAATGATAAATTTCCATGTTATGTCTATTTTATCACAATAAAAAACACTTCTTATCAGGAATGGAGAACATGGTTCTGATCTCAGGCTTTTCATAGTTTAACAGTGAGGCCAATGTTCCTTTTGTGCTCTAACTTTCCCTGCTGAAAATGAAGGGAGGGTAAGCATATTTTGAAGCCCTCACTTAACACCTATGTGAGTGCACAGAATAGCAATTTTATGCATACTTAAGTCTAAAGAGCTCTGATCATTCACCTTCCTATCTGGAGTACCATCAACATAGGAAATAATTTCTGATGTGAATACCAAATGCACTTCTGATCTTTCCTTTCTCAATAGTCAGATTCAGAGGTTGCTTTTACACAATATAAATAATCTTAAAACAAATACCGTTTTATTATCTCTGCATATTTAATTTTTTTAAGATTCCACATATAAATGAGATCCTACAATTTTTTTCTCCACGTCTGGC
This sequence comes from Homo sapiens, assembly GCF_000001405.40. Lineage (NCBI taxonomy): Eukaryota > Metazoa > Chordata > Mammalia > Primates > Hominidae > Homo > Homo sapiens. The sequence continues at coordinate 224,888,993 of NC_000002.12, read as the reverse complement.
TTATTTCATTTAGCATAGTGTCCTCCAGGTCCATCCATATCATGGCAAATGGCAGAATCCCTACTTTTTAAGGCTGAATAATATTCCATTTTACACACACACACATTAATATATACATACACACATATGTAGTCACACACAAATATATTCACACATACATATTCACACACATACATACACACATATATATTCACACATACAAAAACATATATTCACACACATACATACACATATATATTCACACACACATACACACATATATTCACACACATACATACACATATTCACACCACATATACATACACACATATATATTCACACATATATACATGCACACACATATATTCACATAAATATATACACACATATATTCACACACATATACATACAAACACATATATATTCACACACGTATATACATACACACACAGACAAACACACATATACATTGAAACCTCCTAAGTGTCCATTGACAGAGGAATGAATAAAGAGAATGCTATACACACACATGTATTCACACACATATATACATACATGCATGTATATTCACACACATATATACATACACTCATATATATTCATATATACATGCACACACATATATATTCACACACATATACATACAATACATACAGACACACACATATGTATTCACACATGTATACACACGCACACGCACACACATATATGGAAACGTCCTAAGTGTCCATTGACAGAGGAATAGATAAGAGAATGCTAGACACACACACACACACACACACACACACACACACAGGCCTATATTAATATATTAAACATTCTCTTTATCCATTCCTCTTTCAATGGACACTTAGAATGTTTCCATATATTGGCTAGTATGAATAATGCCACAATGATGATGGGAGTGCAGATATCTTTATAAGCTGGCGACTTTATCTCCTTCAAATATATACCCAGAGGAGGAATTGCTGGGTCATATGCTAGTTCTATTTTTAATTTACTTAGAAACCTCCATACTGTTTCCCATAATGCTTGTAGCAATCTACATTCTCACCAACAGTTACCAGGGGTGAGAGGAAACAGGGAGAAGTCAATGAACTGATGCAAAGTAGCACATGTGCAGGATGAAGTCTAGAGAGCTAATGTACAACAAGAGGACTAAAGTTAGTGAAATCAGATTGCATTAGTGATTTTGCTTAAATCAGTAGATTTTACTGCTCTTATTACAAAAAAGTAACTATTGAGATGATAGTTATGTTAATTTGCTTCACTATAATACCATTTTACTATCTACATGTATCCCTCCCATACCACCATGTTGTAAACCTCAAGCATATCCAATAAAATTTACTTTAAAAAAGAAAAACATCCCATGAAATTTTTATACATGGGAGTTTATATAGTAAAGGGGGCCAAACAGCTAGACATCAAGAAATGCCCATACTTTGGATGGTATTGTCTGGTTTCCATTCAACCATTAGTTATGAGATAGAATCAAGCCAAAGAAAACTTATTTGTGGTTTATTTTCCATTTATAAAACCAGATGCACACTCTTGTTTCTCTGAGCTGGTCGGAGATGTTGCAACTTGAATAGGCATTTCTAGGATACCATGGAAATGCACAAAGTAAGTGTAATTGCTACCAGTCCCTTTGGTGCACATTTTTGAGGAGGCCATGGTTAGGGAGCAACACAGCCTAGTGGCCACAGTACAGACTGGTTCTCAGGGTCATGGTTCTTCAGGGCTGGGGCTCTTCCAGTGACTACTGTGTACCCTTGAGTATGTCACATACAGATGACACAGAAATGACAATGAAAATATCACTACTTATTAAGTAGTGATTCCACCTACAAATGTGGGGGAAGGAAAATAGAAACTCCCCAACCTTTCAAATTGTCCTGCTTGCCTACATCTAACTCAAAAAGATATGTGTAAGTTTATGTAATTAGAAGGCCAAACGCCAGTGGCTCATGCCTATAATTCCAGCACTTTGGGAGACTGAGGTGGGAGGATAGTTTGAGGCCAGGAGTTCAAGACCAGCCTGACCAACATCACAAAACCCCATCCCCACAAAAAATACAAAAATGGTGGTACATGCCTGTAATCCCAGGTACTACTTGGGGGGGTGTTGGGGGTGCTGCATGCAGCATGAGAATCGCTTCAACCCGGGAGGTGGAGGTTGCAGTGAGCCGAGATCATGCCACTGCACTTTAGCCTGAGCGACAGAGTGAGACTGTCTCAAATATATATATATAATTAGTAACTCCATGGTTTAAAATAGAGATTTATATACTGGAGATAAGATATCATGGCAGAGGAAAGTTAATACTTTCAAAGGAAATGAGACACTCAAAAGATTACATTATTTTACAGAAATTTGTAAGAACACCAGCACCATAGTTGTTATTGTTACCTGGGGAGCAACTTAAAATGAAAGCTGTCTCCAATGACAAATCAGAATCTTTTTTTTTTTTTAATATCAGAGCAGAATACAAACCAGAGAAGCTTCCTTCACATTCCTTTGAGATTGACCATGAAGATGCTGATAAGGATGAAGTAAGTAAATAGTTGAAAGTGAGATGTTTAAAACATGAGGATAATTAGTTTCTGTCTTGCACTGAAAGTTTCGAGTTCTGACCGGTTTGTTGTAAGCTGTAGTAGCTGTTGGTGGTAGGGCTTTTAGTCAAAATGAGTCACGTTTGTTTTGAAATTGAACATGCTTATTTAAGATGAGTCAAAGAGAGGAAGAGGAGTCTCTTTTTTAAATGCAGTGTCTAGGATCTAGGATCCACAAAAGATGGCTGTCATGCTACTATGCCTTTCCTACAGGATACCACTTCCCACTCGTCTTCCAAGGGGGGTGGAGGAGCGGGAGGAACTGGTGTTTTCAAGTCCGGCTGGCTCTACAAGGGGAATTTTAACAGCACCGTGAACAACACCGTTACTGTTCGGGTAAGGAGATATCAAGACTCATCTTTATCTCTGTCACCCTTCTTAACACTCCCTCCTCTGGTCACAGCACAGAAGAGAGCCATTTGCATTGAGTTTATGTTTCATATAATATTTTATTTATGAGGAAGTAGGATGCTCTTCTCTAGAAAAATGTCCTAGAAATATAGCACTCCTGAAGGAATTAGAATAATTCTAATTTCTATGAGTAATAGCACATTACAATTTGAATATCTCCTTATATCTTTTCCTTTATTTAGTCATTCAAAAAGCGCTACTTCCAGCTGACTCAGTTACCAGATAACTCCTACATTATGAACTTTTACAAAGATGAGAAAATATCCAAAGAACCCAAAGGATGCATCTTTTTGGATTCCTGTACAGGAGTGGTGCAGGTGAGTAGACATCCCTTTTCCTCCTTGGGATTTTTTTTTATTTGAAAAGTATATTTAACAAATATTCATGGAGTATCTGATATGAGCCAAGAGCTGCTCTAGATTCTAAGAATTCTGTGAAAAACAAGGCAGCCTGGATCTCTACTTTCACAAATCTTACTTTCCAGAGAGAAAGAAAAACAGGAATTAAGCAAAGACATGAATAAGCAGAATGGAATCAGCTGGTAAATTTTTCAATAAAGAAAATAAACAGAGAAACAAAAGGGAGACAGAAGAGTGGTGAGGTTGAAAAGGAATATTAATACTCAATAAGGGAGAAGAGCATTTTTGAAGAGAGATCATTTGATCTACAGACCAAAGAATGAGCAGAGGGCCAGGCGCAGGGGCTCACACCTGTAATCCCAACACTTTGGGAGGCCAAGGCGGGTGGATCACTTGAGGTCAGGAGTTGGAGACTAGCTAGGCCAACATGGTGAAACCCCATCTCTACTAAAAATACAAAAATTAGCCAGATGCGGTGGCACAGGCCTGTAATCCCAGCTACTGGGGAGGCTAAGGCAGGAGAATCACTTGAACCCAGGAGGCGGAGGTTGCAGTGAGCCGAGATCGTGCCACTGCACTCCAGACTGGGTGACAGAGAGAGACTCTGTCTCAAAAAACAAACAAACAACAAAAAAAGAATAAGCAAAGGCAGCAAGTTCAAAGGCCCTGCGGCAGGGGCAAGTCTCAGATATTCAAAGACAAGCAGATAATTAGCACCCATGTTTGCTGCCATGTAGAGAACCCCTGAGATAATGAAATTCAGTAAAATAATATGCAAATGACATGGTATTAACATACGCACTTCAAATATGTTATTTTATAATTAAGTAATAATGATAGAGTAAGTTGACAGTGTACATATGCAGCATCTTTCTTCTAAGAGGTGGCTGTCTTCAAAGACAAGGATTCCACTGATTCCAGAGAGTCTAATTTCAGAAGCAGACATAGTGCTTTTAACAAATAATGTTCTCTATAAGCTCTTGGTCTTCAAATTATTGTCCTTAGTATGAAATTCAGCACGGGCCACTGTGGCAAAGGGAAGCAGAATAATTCCATAGACCCCATTTGGACATTTGGCTTTCGAATCGCTGCTTCCTACTCTGATGAAATAACTGACCTTATTCCCTTTTATGTAATCATGGGAGCAATCAAAAGTGTTTTAGCAACCTTCCCTCAAATTTCACAATGGCACTGGCTCACTGAGGTCCAGGACTCTATTTCTGGTCACAGGCCAGTAGAGAAGTACTTTCTGTTACCCTCAAACCTCAGCATTCACCTAGCTTGTTACGAGCTGAAATTACATCACAGACCACTCCTGGAGGCCCTTGGATATGTGGATGCAAGTAGAGTTCTCTCCAGTCATTTAGTCCCGGCCTATTTCTGGATGGTTTATCTGTTAAAATCTGGAATTCTTCCAGGAAGTAATAAAGCTGAACTTTAAAAGGAAAAAATTAACTGTTTCTGAGCACTCTGCTGCAAGTGAAAGATAATTGCATTTTAACACAGATGCCAGCTTTCCATATGGAAAGGGCAATAATGACCTTAATGGAGGGTGGAGGCTATTTTCTACTGTTGGTCACAAAGGACACCTTTTGGCCTTAGAAACATGAAGTAAAACGTTAGCAGTAAAGATCAATAACTGCATTTTATAGACATTGAGCAGAAAATGTTAAATATTATCCTTTCCATTTGTACTTGAAAGCTTTCTCTAGCAAATGAGTCATCATTTTTTAAGAAGTACCATTGTAGTCTTTTGTTATATATTAAGTTTGCAGAAACCCAGGTTAATATGCAATATTTTTCTTCTTCAAAGAATCATAGAACTTATTGCTCTAATCTGACCTTCCTATGGAGGAACTGCTTCTCCATCATCTCTTACTTAGATTGTGTTTCAGTCTCTGCTTAAACATTGTCATGGAAAAAAAGGAGTATTGAAGGGAAAACACAAGCTTGGGATTCATGCAAGTCCGCATTCAAATCCTAGTTTTACCATTTACTACCCAAAGACTTTGAGTAAGTTACTTGACCAATTTGATCTCAGGTTCCTCATCTGTAAAACTAGAACAATGTGCTAATATGTGAAAAGAACTGGGAGATAGTGTATTTAGCCTTTCTCCCCTAATTCTTCCATTAATTTCAAAGGTCACAACCTAGGATATAGACATTCCATTATGGGAAAGTCTTCCTAGAAAACCTTGATTTACGTTCCGGATATTTTTTCCTAAGTGTGTTAATTTATCTATGTCTTTATTTATTCATTAACCTACTGATTCATTCAACAAACCCACTTAGTGCCTATGACATGCTAGAAACTACACCCAGGTGTGGGGAAGTCAATTCTTTATTGAAGTCAGAATCAGAGAGGGGCATCGCTACTTGCTCACTATCACACGATATCTCGAGAGCGATGATGGAGGTATGAATGGCAGAGACCATGGAATGCTCTGGGAACATGAAACAATGATGAACTCTTTCAGCTCAGGCTGTAAGTCTGTACAGAAAAAGCTGGGCCTGTCTATAATATTCCCCAAGGTAGATTTGGCATATGTATCTTTTAAAGAGTTCACCTCTATCCCTGCATTTATATTCCTCTTCATCAAGAAGCTTTATCCAGTATTCTCTACATCCTTTGTAGAGGCAGGGACCAGTTTCTTGGGATCACTCTGGGGAGACAAAACCTGGGTCACTTGTCACTTTGTGTGTGGGTCCCAGTTCTTACATATTTGCTTATAGTTCTTCCAGATGTGTAAGTTTTTACATCTGGAGAGAATTTGAGTGAAATAGTGCCAGTTTAACCATAGTTCTAGTAAGCTCTCAGGCATGAAATGTGCCTGAAGATGAATCATGTACACACAAAAGCACAGAGCAAATGAATAACTAGGATGAATCAGACCAGTTTTATGAAGAATCATTGCCAGGTTCCGTTGAATCAAACAAAAAAGAGGAACAACGTCTCTGCCTCAGAAAGTACTACTTAGCATCCAGCATTCTTAGGGAGTTCAAGTTCATTATAATCTTTAGTGAATATGCCATTTCAGTTTGATTCATTCAGACTTAATCCATATCATCGTTTTCCTTAGAATACTTTGGAATTCTTAGACGTATATTACAAGGGTGGCTCAAGTAGAGAGAAACTCCTTCCCAGCTTTCTCAGAGACTTTAGGTAATGTTTATGACTGACAATTTCCTGAATCTTGGCCAAAAAAAACACAAAACAAAACAAAGCCTAATCATGGTTTTCTATTTTTTCATAATATCATCAAAGAGTATTAGATATTTTTTATGGGCCTATGCTCCCAATCTGGAAAAGAACTTGGTTTTTGCTGCTTCAAGTTTTTTCTTCTGGGACTAAGAGATATTTAGGCCTGTGTTATCCTATCTTGTTCCTTCAGTTCATGTATTCATTCATTCATTCTCACATTCATTCATCTATCCATCCATTCATTCCAGGTTCTGCCACTGTAGAAGAGAATGAACAGCCCAAGAATCTCATCTGTTTTAGGTCCCTATCTCAGCAATGATAATAAGCTGATGTCACTTTAGACAGGCTTACATGGGTGTGGACAGTGTGGTGGACAAGGCTCATTTCCTTGAGTCTGCCACCATGTGGATATGGGTTCCAAGACAGTGGCTTCATGTGACTAACCAAAGGCTAGAAATGCAGATACCTCCTGTAGGTCAAGCAGCCCCCTGCATGCATGAAGAGAGGCCAGGTGTGAGAAACAGATGCAGCTTGGACTATGTAGACGTGGAGAATGCCTGCCTACAGAAAGCAAGTCATATTGGGAGCAGGGGAAAGAACATTACAAGGAAAACAAATCTAGAAGCCAAATATGACCCGTAAGCCTCGCATTAGCAACTCAAGTTCTGAAAATCTCACTTCCGAGAACAATAAGAACCAAAATTATACTTGTGGTTTTCTTCATCTAATATATTATTTGACAGCACTTGATGGAACATGAACTATGATTGTTCCATTTATTAAAATAAAATTCAGAGAGGTAGAGTGTCTTTCACAGGTCACAGAGCTAATGAATTGCAAAGTTTAACTTGAGGCAGAGGAATGTCCAAAATTACAGACAGATGCCCAAAGAAATGATGTATTATCATATGTAAAGTAGGCATACCCACATACATACATTTATTCTACCTACATAAGCTATGTGGGCAGAAAAAACACTACAAAGATATGTTCATGTGGAGCTTTAAGCAGTGAATTTTAGATATGGGATTCATTTCAGCAAATACTAGTATATATTGGAAAACTTGCAATGTGCAAACCATTGTGAAAAGAGCAAACTCTGAAAATAGGTGTGGCTCATGTCTTCAAAAAGCTTCCAGGATGTGGGAAGGATGCACAGAAAAAAAAACAAAACAAATATGGTACATGCAAAGAAAACAAGTAACACACTTCAAGCAATAAGTCCTGATAACATATGCAAGAATGAAATTACATTTATCACTGCATGATGCCATATCATATTACACACCTATTATATACATATATGTGTATATATATGTTACATATGTTGTCTTTCTGCTTATTTGCTTACTGACATTTCATTACACTAGAAGGTAAGTTCAATGAGGGAAAGCACTTTACTTGAATTTTTTCAGTTCTGTGTGACTGAAACATAGGAGGTACCCATTTAATTTTCACTGAATGAATGAACAAATAAACCTACAGAGAGTGGAGAGGATTTCATGGAAGGGAGCCATCGATACCAGAAACCTGGATTTGATGTTGTATGATTCCCTTAAGACTCTTCTTTTGTTCCTGCAAAATTCTATACAAGATACTAGCCACATAATAGGTATAATTAAATATTTGATTTGGGTAGCTTCCCTCTTTGATATTCAGTCCACCATTGGCTTGAGTGATTTTCTTGGAGTATCTACAGTTTGGAACTTTTTCAGATGAACATTGTGGAAGCAGAACAGTTTGCCACAACTCACTAAACATATCATGACAATAAGACATATTCACAGGTTCCTACTATTTATGAAGTCATGTAAATATACTATGGTAAGGTTGACTGAACAAAGTAGTTGCACTGGCTGCAAAGGACACTGATATATGAGAAATAGAGGAAAATTTGGGGGAGCAAAAACAAGAATATGATTACTTCTTGATTACCATTTTAATGACTTAACAATCATACTTCAAAATTATTAAAACTTCCTATTGAAATATCCCATTGATTTTCAATTTTTGCCCTTTTTGCTATTCTATATGACATTATCTTTGAGATTACAGACAGCAAGATCGAAAACCACTCAGACATCTTAATCTTTCCCAACATAAGCTTCTCTGGGCTGCAAATGGTTCTATTTCTCTTGAAATAGAAGAAGGTAATTTAGTTCTTGAGACATTTCAAATCGAATATTTATTTTAATTATAAATGTCCCTTTTTGAGAAACAAGATTGTAATACTTTGCTCAAATTTTTAAGAATATTTGTGATTATATTGTTGAAGCCGGCAATCATATTTAATTCATTTGAAGTACTGAATGCAGTTTAGACAATCAAATCAACTCGTTTATATTTTGTAATGTTTCATTTCAAAATTTTGTTAGTGTTCGGCATCTTCATTCGAAAGCAGGTTGCAACTCAATCCACCTTTAATTTGGACCCAATATAAGCATTTTAGGTTGCTTTTTATCTCCCTTTTAACATTATTTGCAGCATCAAATTCATCACTCAAATTCTTTCATTTGTTTGTTTTCAAGATAACACTGAGATTTGCTTGCATTTTTCTATAATCAAATACTTAAAAATGTCCTTGCAAAAGTTGTGCACCAAACTCTGGACATTTACAGTTCTTTTATGAGTGTCTATTTCTTTCTTTTTTAATTTTTTTTTTTATTTTGAGACAGAGACTCGCTCTGTCACCCAGGCTGGGAGTGCAGTGGTGCAATTTCGGCTCACTGCAACCTCTACCTCCTGGGTTCAAGTAACTTTCCTGCCTCAGCCTCCCAAATAGCTGGGAATACAGGCATGCACCACCATGCCCAGCTAATTTTTGTATTTTTAGTAGAGACAGGGTTTCACCATGTTGTCCAGGCTGGTCTTAAACTCCTGGCCTCAAGTGAGCTGCCCGCCTTGGCCTCCTAAAGCGCTGGGATTACAGGAGTGAGACACTACGCCCAGCCCTGAGTGTCTATTTCTATTCCTGTTGTTTTTTTGAAGGAAATTGTGCTGTGATAGAACACCTGTCTTTCCTTTTATACCTGCTCTGCAGCCATCTTGTCTTTGCCCTTAGACTGTCCATCAGTGAAGGTCGCAGGTGATTTTGTAGCCCTTCTTCGTCAGAACATCCCAGAGCTGTGTGTGAGGACACGTGGAGGACATCTACCCCAGTCCTCCTGGGGAGAGTGGGGCGTCTAGGAATTTGCCTTCGGAAGGAAGCTGCCTAGATGTTTGCTTTGCACACTGAAGTTTGAGGCCATGGGCTTTCTGAGTACCCTCCACTTTGTTTACACTGCAGTCAAAATGATTTTTTCAAAATGCAACTCTGACCTTTTACTTGTCCACATACTTCTATTCTATGTTCTCATAGAACCCAGTACCTCTTTTTCAAAACATTTGTACAAAATTTAAATATATTTGTTTTCTGATTTCACATTTGTCTGATTAATTGCTTAATGCCTGTCATTCCTATTCTGCAAGAGCAGGGACTGGCTATGTTTTTGTCCAACACAAAGTATGAACACAACAGATATCTCTTTGATAGTCAATTATATCGCTGCACTTAGCACTGAGGATACAAATTTAGGTTCTGCCCTTCTAAGACTTGTGGACTATAAAGAGCCAGGCCTGGGACTGCCATTATAAGGCAAAGAAATAAATAATACTTGATGGTAATACAAAAGTATGGACAGGAGCAAAGGGCTCATCCTTGGAAGTCTAGAAAGTGATGTTTGAGCTGTGAATTTCCACATGAGAACCATAGTTAGCATTTTAGCCAATTCTTTCTCCTTTGGTTCCTGAACTTTACTTTTTCTCAAGACTATGTGTTGCCCCACTATGTGTTCTTGAGCACTGAGAGAAACCACAACTCCCAGGCCACAGATGCCCCTTTGTTGTGCCGGGGCAATGTCAAGTAAGGAGACCAGCATCAGCTGAGCATCTTCTGTGTCCCTGGCTCTGTGCAATGCATAAGGCAGCTCAGTGGGTGGGATTAGGAGCACAGTTGTTAGAGTATATAGGGCTTATTTTCCCTTCTCTACCATTTGCTATCAATATAATCCCAAACACATTTTAATTAATCTCCCCAAAACTCAGTTTCACTACATGTGAAATGGAATAATGTGATTGGTCCCACAGGGTTGTTATGACATTTAAATTAAATAATGACCATAAAGTACAGAGCCAGTATTTAGTAATTGTTGTGTTTGCACTAGTAATCTTGTTGTTGTGATTGTTGAAAGAAACAGCTATCTGGGGACAGTCTGTGAGAGTATCCCAAAGAAAGAGAACATTGCCGGAGGGGTATTAGAAATTTTTGCTTGTCACCAAGAAATAGCAATCCTGTTCCCCAAAAGAATTTTATACCTTGTTATTTAGCCACAATCCCACACTATTGATCTCATTTTATGGCTCTTCTCTTATTTGTATTCTACTTAATAGAGTTGTCCTAAGTGTTAGGGTTTGCTCTATTACAATTATGAGTAAGCTACAGGTTTTAGAACATATTGATAAAAGCTGGACACCGGTATAGGAATTGCCTGGAGTAAATCAAAGATGAAGTATCTTCAGTAATCTTTCCAACAACCACCCCCTTAAATAACACTAGTTTGTGTCACTAGGGGAAAGTTTCCACTTTGAATGTATGTTCCAATCTCATACCAGGAATATATAAAATTGTAACAATTTGTTCTTGGGTTCCCCCGCTTTAAATGTCCTTCCCTGAACTTTCAATAGCCCATTTCTCCTTTCTACAGATTTCAAATCAGAGATCTTCTTTGGGGAAAGGCCTGCTTCTGACCACCCAATCTAAAGTACCTACTCATCACACTGGCTTATTTTAGTTCTCTGCACAATGGAGAACCTTTGTTTTTCAATTGTTTGTTCATTCCTTCAATTATTCATCCATTCACCTCTTCTCTACTAGAATGTCAACTTGGAATAGGAACCTATTCCAATAGAATAGGAACCTATTCCAATAGAATAGGAACCTATTCCAATAGAATAGGAACCTATTATGTTCCATTCATAAAATATGACTGGTTTTGAACCCACCACTATTGAATCCTTCAAGTGTCCGTACTATTACATGATATGGTGGTTAGGAAAACTGACCCAGTCCTCATGGAGGTAGCCTTAAGGGAGACATGTATTTGTCAAAACAAACAAAAATGGATAAGCAGATAATTTCAAATCATGGTAAGTGCTCTGGAGGACAAGAACTTTGTCCCTTTGTCCTAGACTGGAAAATTGAGGAAAGTTTCAATTGAGATCTGAAGAGTGGATACAAATCATATAAGTACATGGGGGCACACACCATGCTCACTATGCTTTTGAGCGCATGTGTGGTGGAGGGGGCCAGCCTGTCTCAGGCCTTCCTTGTGGCAGCAATAAGAACATGACAGGAACACATTCGGGAACTAGAAAAAGGCTTTGTGGGTTGGTCACAAAATGCAAAGTAGAGATGTCAAGCTAGAGAAGAATCTGGAGGTTGGTGAAGCCAGAGCCAGGAAAGGAATTGGGATGTCACTGCACATGGATGTCGTTTGAAGCCATTGGAATAGATGAGAAATAAAGGAGAGAAAGGAGTCTGAGGCATAGCCAGGATTCTCACTAGAGGTCATGAGAAGAAGGAACAGCTGGCAGAGGAGATCGAAAAAAGGCAGCCACACTCAGAATAGAGTGTGCTCGTGGCAACTGAAGGAAGGTGAGTTTCAGAAAGGAGGAAGTGGCCATTGTGTTAATTCTGCTGCAAGGACAAGGAAGATACGAAGAAAGAAATAGTCCTTAAGATAGTATGGCAACATAGGGCCTGTTAGTGACCTTGGTAAGAGCTGCCTCTGGGATGCGATAGGGTCAGACGCCCACCTGGAATGAATCACAGAATATAAGGTGAGAAAGTCAAGGCAGAAACTCAAAGAAACTCTTACAAGGAGTTAAGAATATACTCAAGCACATGCCCGTGATGAAATGTTCAAGCTAACGTGTCCATCCAATCAACAAAACCCTAAATAAGATATTTCTTAGTACAAAAAGCTTTGAAAGAAATCAAACAAAATGATCAGACCCATCTAAAATTTTGTCTTGTTCTGGAAAATTTTCTTTATGTTATCTATCTGTATGGAAAGACTTTTGGAACCTCAAGCCCACATAAATGATCTCTCTCTCGAAGGCTTATTTTTTGGTATTCTCTTTTTCTTTCTTTCTTTTTATACCACAGAATAACAGACTAAGAAAATATGCCTTTGAATTGAAAATGAATGATCTGACCTATTTTGTGCTGGCAGCTGAAACAGAGTCAGATATGGATGAATGGATCCACACCCTCAACCGCATTCTGCAAATCAGTCCTGAGGGGCCCCTCCAAGGGAGGAGGAGCACAGAGCTCACTGATCTGGGTCTGGGTGAGAGCATATGAAGCCGTCTTCCTTCCTTTGTCCAGTGTGACCTGTGTTTTTGGTTCACTAAAGCTGCTAGGCATTGTAGTTGCTGTCTGGTCTAGCTCATCCATCCTGGGGCTGTTTGTTCCAAGAATCACTAAATCACTCCTAAATCTTTACTGCACAGTAATGGCCACCACACATAAGTACAATTCAGAGTCAACTGGCAACGATCTGAGGCTTTCCCCCAGCAAATGATGTTGGGAATCATTTGTCACAGCATCCAAAATGTGCTCATGTCCAATGGGACATTACCTTATAGGGGGCATTTTGTGGTATTTTAGCCTTTCATTAAATTTAATTAATGAATCTTATGCTCTGTAAAGGCAAATATGAATTCCTTCCTTTTAGTGAAAAAGCATCTTTCATTTCTGCTTTTTGATCATACTGTGATCATCTTATATGTGAAAGTTTCAAAAATTATACATGGTGATAGAATTTTTATAAAATTAAATTTTTTTTCTCCCCATCCTAATTCCTTCATAAGGGTCTACTTCATTTTATGCAAAGAGAAGGGAACAAGAGAGAGGAAAGAAAAGGTGAAAAGGTTAGAAAAGCAAGTCTGTAGCTACATAGAAGGCAAGTTCAACACCAGCAAAGTCAGTCACTCCTCCCAAAACAAAACTATTTTCAGACATTTTGCATAGCACATGGTACATTAGAAACCAAAGCATCTTTAAGTTCCCCTAGTCTAAGTCTCAGGCTGTAGAGTGAAAGAGCCATGGAGTAATATGGAAAAAAACTATTGCTGATTTTGTTGATTTTAACACAACTACTGTATGCCATAGTAGGTGTTTTACACTTAGGATTTCCTTAATAATAACAACGATAGTATTAATGTTTACAGTGTCTTACAGAGTTTAAGTAGCTGAAGCAAGAAGGTGGATTCTAAATTGATAGCCTGAGAGCCAGAATTACCAAAAATACATACATATTTAAGAAAACTTTAGTATGCATTAATGAAGTAAGTCAAGACAACCCCAAGTATAAATGTAGTGTAAAAATCCAAAGTTCTTGTGGACACAAGATGGTATCATAGCAAGAATCCCAAAATGATCATCAGAGGGTCTGATTTCCAGGCCCAGATCACTCAACAATGTGGAGTTCAGGAGTCAGAACACAATGAAAGCTTAGGCTCACCAACGTCCCTCTTAGCTCTTAAGCCTAACTTAGTTTTGCATGTCACAGGCTAGAAGAATGTGTGACTCGTGAGTAATATTTAATAACCTGACTTGGTATATCTTTTTAAGATTCGCTGGATAATTCTGTAACTTGTGAATGCACGCCAGAGGAAACAGATTCTTCAGAGAACAACCTACACGCAGACTTTGCAAAGGTAATAAAGTTGGCATTGTACTTGCAAAACCAATTTGAATTATTTGTTAGTTATTGCTTTCATGGAAAAGACGTAAATGCTTTCTTTTAAGATTTAGACCAAGAAGCTAATTTGGAACTTCCCGTTAACCTATGTGTTTTCATTAACATACACATAGGGCTCAAAAAGGAAACATACTTTTACAAGATTTGCCAAGTGTTAATGGGTAATACTAAAATGGTGATAATACTAAGGGGCTGCTTCTTGGCCATGTGGATGTGTCAGGGGCTGTATCTGGATATTTAGATACCAAGGACTAACACAATTTTCTCTGTAGTACCTCACAGAAACAGAAGATACTGTAAAAACAACTCGAAACATGGAGAGGCTAAATCTGTTCTCTCTAGATCCAGACATAGATGTAAGTCAAAATTTTTTCTAAGCAGATATGAACTTGATCCATACAGTTGGGGATTATAATTTAGAATTTCTTTTTTATGTTGGATGTTTGGTGACTCATTCAAAACTTTTTTAGACCTTGAAACTTCAAAAAAAAGATCTCTTGGAACCTGAGTCTGTGATCAAACCATTTGAAGAAAAAGCTGCCAAGAGAATCATGATCATCTGTAAAGCCCTCAACTCAAATCTTCAGGGATGTGTTACGGAGAATGAAAATGATCCGATAACGAATGTAAGTTTCTCCTCTGTTACATCCTATACCATTAAGCCAACATTACACCACCCTAGTCAAAAATCTTTTCTATTCCTGCTAATTCCAGGCACTGATTTCTCACTCTCTAGTGTACCAGGGAATATTATTAACAGCCTTTTCCCACATTACACAAGTGTACAAGTTCTAAAGTGGAACACTTTATAATATACTGTATGAATAAAGCCTAATAAAATATTAATATACTATACTTTATCAATATACTGCCATAAAATTTTCCTTTTAACTTAAAGAAAAAGCATTAAAGGACTGTGTTTGGGGATTCTATGAAATCAGCACAGTGGTTTAGAGTTTCCTATGGCATTGTGTGTATCCTCTTAGTAGTACTCAAGATGGCTTTTTTTTTTTTTTTTTTTTTTTTTGAGATGGTCTTGCTCTGTTGCCCAGGCTGGAGTGCAGTTGCGCAGTCTCGGCTCACTGCAGCCTCAGCTCAGTGCAGCCGCAGCTTCCAGGGCTCAAGCGATCCTTCCACCTAAGCCTTCCAAGTAATGGACTACAGGCACGCACCACCATGGCCGCCTAGCTAATTTTTTTGTATTTCTTATACAGATGAGGTTTTGCCATGATGGCCAGACTGGTTTAGAACTCCTAGGCTCAAGCTACCTGCCTGCCTCAACCTCTCAAAGTGCTGGGATTACAGGCATGAGCTACCACACCTGGCCAGAGATGGCTTTTACAGGGACATTTTTATTTTACTATTTCTATGTTTATTTTCATGTGTATTAGAGAAAAATCAAAGCTAACAAACCCTGTGACTTCCCAGCCATTATTGCTGAGGACAAGACTAAACAGTGTATCAAGTAAAGTAATATTAGATGGATGTTAAATAAATACTAGTAGGATGGGACATGTAAATATCAGAAATGACAAAGGAGCTTCACTGATATTTGTGTGAGTTCTCTTGAAAACTTCGTCTTAGTACTTTAGCAGGCAGTCCCACTAGATTGTTAATGTATGTGTGGGAAGGGAACTTTTTATGAGCATAAACGTTATTAAATGTTGAATTATTTTTTAAAATCACTCATAATTCTATATCAATCTTGATTATGTTAATATCCTAATCAATATAAGGCACAGTTAATATTTTGGCATATCTTCTTTCATTCTTTTTTAATGCGTTCTGTTCAAATTTCTAATCCATCATCCCTCAATTGTCATCTTTCACCTCAAAGAGGAAAACTGATTTCCAGATCCTTGATAGGAGTCACATTGGCTTTCGAAGGCAGAAACCCCATTAAGTTTTCACTGTAAACTGGGTCCACACAGTCTCATGCCTTCATCCATTTATGATCCAGGGAAACTAGCCTTGCTAGTTGTGACAGTGAGTGGATGGCAGAAAGAATTAACCCTTTCAGAAGACTTTACTTGATACCTACTGACCTGTGTCTTTAGCACCTCAGTGATTTGCTTTGAGCCTCCTACCCCAGGTGTAGAGCAGGATAAGGTCCATGCTGTGGACCTCTGATTTAATGAGGAGACTCAAATGAGATGTGCCGTTCTGGGATCAGATTGCCTGGCTCTCCAACTCACAAGTTGTGCCACTCTGGGCAACTGGCCTACTGTCAGTCTTCACTCCTTTAAATGGAGATAATAACAATGCCTATTTCAAGTGATTGTTGTGGTTACACATGGTACCATATCAAAGGTACTCAGACATTGCTTGGTACAAAGTAAGCATTCGTTAAATACTTAACTGTCATCTAAATATGTGAGAAATTGCATTGAAATTTATCAAAACTGCATGCAAGTTATTGATATTTGTATTGATATATGTGAGATTCTTGTTGACAGGTAAGCTAAAATGGAAATGTGTCACCAATAAGAATCTTGTCAAAAAATGAAGCTGTTTTATATTCTATAACTTTGACTGTGTACTAGGTGTGAGTAGAAATGAAAGTAGTTGAAGTCAGGTTTATTCATTCTCCAAATATACTTATTCCAAGTGTCTACTGTGAGCCAAACTTGTCCTAAGAACTGGGAAAACAGGAAGTAACTAGATAAGCAAGGTCCCTAGTGTCTTGAAGATTAGATTCTTTTTGAAAACGGCAGAAAGTAAACAAGAAAACTCACAATTTAAGTGCACATTATGCAAAGTTCTTTAAAAGAAATAAATATGGAGAGATGTGTTCCAGAGGAATTCAGGAAAGGGTTACTTTAGACAGGATGGTCATGGAAGGCCCTCTCGGCAGAGGTGATTTTGAACAGAGACCTAAAGGTTGGGAAGGATAAAAAGGCAGGTCAGGGGAGAACATTCTAGGCAGAAGAAAGAGAAGTACAAATGCACCAAGACAGGTAAGCTTTAGCAAGTTCTAGGAACTGAAAAGAGTTAGGGAGGTGAAGGGTATACCAAGATGATGTAGAAGAAACAGAGATAAGATGATGTAGGGCCTTAAGCCATAGTAAAGAGTTTGAATTTATCCTAAGTGTGATTGGAAGCTATTCAATGGTTTAAAGCACTTTAAAAACAAGAGTTGTCCAAGAAGAAGAATTAGGAGGCTACTACCACCGTTTATTGCATGGCTTGAACAAGGGCTGGCAAGGGAGAAGGAGAGAAATGGGTGGATTGGACTGGTGTTTTGTAAATTGGGCTGATAAGCTTTCCTAATGTATTGGATATACTGGATAATGGAAAAAGAAATCTCAAGGGTGAGTACTGGTTTTTGTTTTGGACGGTTTTACACATTGTGATGCCATTTACTAAAATGGTAACACGGGAGGGAGATTTGCACAATACAGGTCAAAAATACCATTATGAACATGTTTCACTTGTTGGTACTATTAGATATCCAAAGAGAGATGTCTTAGGGACAGATTCAAATGCAAGTTTGGCGGCCAGGCACGGTGGCTCACACCTGTAATCCCAGCACTTTGGGAGGCCAAGGCAGGCAGATCACCTGAGGTCAGGAGTTCAAGACCAGCCTGTCCAACATGGCAAAACCTTGTCTCTACAAAAAATACAAAAATTAGCTGTACACAGTGGCACACGCCTGTAGTCCCAGCTACTTAGGAGGCTGAGGCAGAAGAATCGCCTGAACCCAGGAGGTGGAGGTTGCAGTAAGCCGAGATCATGCCACTGCACTCCAGCCTGGGTGACACAGTGAGACTCCGTCTCAAAAAAAAAAAAAAAAAAAAAAAAAAAAATGGAGTGGCCATGAATGGAAATACAAATTTGGAAGTCTAGTTCAGACAATGATGTTGGTTGGGGGGAGAGGGGCGGGATCTAAAAATATCTATGACCATAGAGAAGGGGCCAGGAACCAAATAAAATATCTGAAGAATGAATAGAGAAGTGACCAAAGAAGACTAAACAGGGATGGCTGTTGGGATAAAGATAAACCAAGGAATACTGTATCATGAAACCAAGAGCAAATGGGTAGCTATGGGATTGGTGCCAAGAAGCTGAGGAACATGAAGTGAAAGAGGAGTCCATCTGGTAGACATGGCAAAGTGGAGGATGTTGATGACTATGGCAAGAGCAGCTCCCATGGAATGCAAAGTGTTAGGAGTAATCTGATCATGCTTTCAGGCAGGATTTTAAAATAAAAACAAAACAAAAATCTAGAAACTTAGTCCTTGAAACCATTTGGAAATACCTGTATTAGTCTGTTCTCATGCTGCTAAGAAAGACATACCCAAGACTGTAATTTATAAAGGAAGGAGGTTTAATTGACTCACAGTTCAGCATGACTGGTGAGGCCTCAAGAAACTTACAATCATCATGGAAGGGGAATCAAACATGTCCTTCTTCACATGGCGGCAGCAAAGGGAAATGCCAAGCAAAAGGGGGAAAAGCCCCTTATAAAACCATCAGATATTATGAGAACTCACTCACTATCATGAGAACAGCATGAGGGTAACTGCCCCCATAATTCAATTACTTCCCACTGGGTCCCTCCTATGACATGTGAGGATTATGAGAACTACAATTTAAGATGAGATTTGGGTGGTGACACAGCCAAATCATATCATTACCTCAAATGGTAATGTCACTTAGTCACCTTGTTAAATAAAAATAGATGCTTTTTTTGACCCAGAACATATTTAAATGTAATTTAAAATGCAATTTAGAAACTGAAAATCAAAGATAGTGGGCTTTTCTTTCTACTGCCAGGGGCATATGACTCCTTCCACGTGAATTCCTTTCTTTGTACTAAGACCCATATTCAGAAGCCAAATGTTTGTATTTGGGCCAATCTCCCCAGGCAAGAGAACACAGCCAAGTACAGAGAACCAAGTTAGTGTGTCCTTTGGTATCTGTCAGGCCAAAGGGTTAAGTTGATTTGGAGTGTTTTGTACGTCAGTGTTGTTTTTCATTTTACAGTTGATACATATGTTGAAAAACTAGGAAATTACTTTAGAAAAATAATTTCATTGTGCCTATAAGCAATAACACAAAAAATAATGTCAGCCTCACCTTCACAGCAGTTTGTTATTTAATACCATTGTTTTTTAAAAATCAGTGTTTATTTATTCACTGACACTCTTTCATTAATGAATCTATTTTTAAACTCATTGTTCTTAATTCAATGAGCATGTTTTAAATTAATTGAAATATTTCTCCAAGCTGCTTAGGAGCCAACTACTGCATTTAATGAATGAGATTCTGAAGACTCCCTGAAATAACATCCTCATGATGAGAAAACAATGTTTGACAGCATGTAATTTTTTAGTCAGTAAATTGAAAACCAAATTCAAGTTGATGGTTTTGTAGTATAAAATATTTCTTTGAAAATAGAAATTGACTCCAAAAATCTGAACTAATAAAGCTACATCACAGTAGAACTACATTTAAAATTTTATCTTTGCGAGTTTTTTTCAGAAGAGTACAGAATTCTAAACACAAGAAACCTATGAATTAATTTGTTAGGCTTTGCAGATGCTTTGTTAAATCCTCACTGGAAAGCCAGTGATTTGACATTTATTTTGAAAAGGTGGATTGGAAGAAAGAAATGAATCACCACATGAGCTTTAATTTTTGATGGGTTATCAAAGTAGGTATTTATTTCCATTCACAAAGTAGAAATGAAAATCAAAATGCAACAATTCAGGAAAAAAGATGGGTTTTGCTTTGACCTTCAATGTGTTTTGAGTTCCCACTTTAGTTGTTTTTCTGTAATTTTTGCATTTTTCAACTCTTGGCAGACTACTACTACCACAAAACAAGAGTTTTTCTGTATTAATTTAAATTGGTATACTATAAACTTTTACTTTGTAATTGCTTTATATTTTAAAAAATAATTTATTGAATTTATCTTATATGCAAAAACTTTTTTCTAACAGTAAGGGAGCTGGCAAGTATTGCTAATATTAAGAAATTGGACTTGTCCCCCCCGTATAAACTAGTCACATTACTACATTTCAAAAGATAGGAGATACTGTTAAGCATTTAACAAAACCCACAGTGTGAGTGAGTCTGTGTAGTAATAAACTGGATCACAATAGGGTGTTTCACTATAATCTGTTTGCCCCTAGAATACTGGTAGAGATTGGCATCAACTCA
The DNA here is from genome assembly GCF_000001405.40 of Homo sapiens. Classification (NCBI taxonomy): domain Eukaryota; kingdom Metazoa; phylum Chordata; class Mammalia; order Primates; family Hominidae; genus Homo; species Homo sapiens. The sequence goes on along the minus strand of NC_000002.12, from coordinate 224,868,456 downwards.
AACTTAAGTAGCATTTTAAAACAGTAAAAATGCTAGTTTTTATAGGCGTATTCCAACTTTAATCACATAAATGTGTAACTACATATATGTGCATGTATGCAATATATGTATATATGTACATATATGTATGTAATTACATATGCATATATTAATTTGGTCTTTGTCTCTGTTGTATGTGACATTTTTCTAGTTGACCATTCTTTCCTTCTTGAATCTTTCTTTGCTTCTGTGATACTCTGGCAACATTTAAAATTTTTTCATTTGTTTTGTAAAATTTTTCCCTACTTCCCAATCCATTTTATAAGTTGTTTTCCCTACTCCCATCTCCATCCTTTGCATGTTGATACTTTCCAGAATCCTGTTCTGATTTTCTTCTATTTCATGGATTCAACAGGACCCCACACACAAAAAAAACCTCTCAGGCCCAGCTCTTCAGCCCAGTTTCCTTGACTTGGCTCAAAACACACATCCAACTGCCACTGGGATGTCCCGCAGATGACTTTCTATATCCCATTTGGAATTCATCTTTGTATCTTTATCCCCTATATCAGCCAATGGTATGACCATCCACTTCATTTCCTTTATCCTCAAACCTGGGAATTTTCTGTATTCATGCCCCTGTGAAACATTTTCTCCAATCAACCAAGACAAACACATGCAAAGAATATCCAAGCTCTTTGGTCATACTTCCTTAATGTTTCTCAAATGCCTCTCCCACAAACGCTTCCTACCAATTTTTCATTTTCCTCCACTCTGATCCCACTCTAATGTTCTTTTCCTGTGCTCTTTGATGTCTTATGTCTTTGCACATGTCACACACCCTACCTAGAAATCCCTTCTAACCAACTCTGTACCTAATTCCTACTTCTTTAAAACTTGACCAAGAAATGTCCCCTTCTTCTCATCTTCCATATCTTTCCCATTTTCACATCTTCCACTTCCTAGCCTGGGGGCAAGAGGTTAAGAGGAAAGCCACATAGAGGCATGGATTTGGGTGAGCACCCAAGAATTGATGGGGAGAGAAAGCCATGAAGAGGGACAGAAGCAGCCTGTCGTGGGTGTGTTGTGATACAGGTGCAGGGCAGCCCAGAGGAGGCAACTAGAAAAGATGGCTGATATGGTTGGGAGACTGGTTACTTTGAACCAATAAGTAACTGGTTGAACAAGTAAGTAAACAGATTCATGGTAATGAGATCCCGCATTCTCACTGTTGGAGGACCTACTTACCAATATTAAAAATGGAAAGGCTAGAATGAACCCTTGAGTGTTTGTATCGGAAGCAGAGGTATAAACATGAACTAACTGGTTTTTAATAAGTATTCATACACAGATAGAGATAAATAAATTTTGTGTGTGTGTGTGTGTGTGTGTGTGTGTGTGTATTTCTTAGCTCTGTATGATCGGAGGGCAGAGAAGCAATGATATCCCTGTGACAGTGAGCACAACAAGCACCCAGATCGTGGTTTGTAAATGTCACCCTCACTGTAAGGAACCAGGGCTCCTTGGAGAAATATCTGGAGCATGAGTAGTATAGGATAAGCCTGGAACATCCTATTTGATAAAGAAGTACTCAAAAAATGATGGAGACTTGCCAAAAATATACCCAGAAGTTACCTTGAATGAGTGCCTCTAGCCAAATCTGGGACAATTTCAGCATCACACTAACACTAATTATCGTAAGAGCAAAACCCATTGAGTAAAACAGTAATCCATGAGTCTATACTTGTATTAATAAATTAATTAATTAATATCAAAATAAGAGAGAAGGGAAAGCTCATCCGTATGATGGAATACTAGCTAATACGTGTAGAAAGAATGATGGAACTGAAAAATCACCATTGGTCGCCATCATGGTGGTAGTTGACTGCAATGGAAGTTATCAATGGAGATGAAGACTAGGGTGGGTTGTGTTTGGTGAGTAGCAAGACCTGGGGGTAATCTCAGAACATATTTCCACAAATACAAATCAATTGCCAAAGGGAAAATGGTGACCTTTATAATGGAGAAAACCAGCAGATAAGGCTAACATCACAGTTGCTGAAGGAGTTGACACTGTGTGCTCTAGACACAATGAAGTATGAAAATCAAGCATCAGTCTGAGATTTTACTGCCATAAAAGCATGACCTGAATCCTGTCACGAGGACACATACAACAGACCCAGATTGAATTTATGTCAGAATATATGTCCTGTACTCTTTAAAAGGCCAAAAACCTGAAAGAGAGAAAAAGACTGAGGAACAGTTTTGACTGAATTAAATTGAAGGGAAATAGCAGAAAAATACAATGAGTAGTCCTAGATGGGATTCTGGACCAGAAAGAAAAACAGAGGCATTATTGAGTCAACTGGCAGCATCGAAAGGGGCATGTGAGTTGCACAGTTTGGGCCAATATCACTTTCCTGACTTGGATGGCTGCACGGTGATTAGGCAGGTAAGTGTCCTCATTTCGGGAAAACACTCGCTGGAGTATTTAGGAGAGGAATAATATGGGAAACTTGCTCTCAAAGCATTCAGACTGGTTATAATAGGTGACTGTTAGAGAGAGAGAGAGTGTGTGTGTATGTGTGTAAGAGAGAGAGAGAGAGTGTGTGTGTGTGTGTGAGAGAGAGAGAGAGAGAGAGAAACAGGAGGTTAACAGTTGAATCTGGGCAAGGGGGATAATTAAGGTGGTTTTATGCACCTTTTACACAACCTTTCTCTCTATTCAAAATTATTTCAATATAAGAGAAAAAATAGTTAATATCTGTTTTAAAAATTCAACTAAGATATCAACTCCTCTTAGGAAACTTCCTGCCCTCTCTGCCAACAGACTCCCTCACAACCTGATGCTCACCTACCTACTTGCCACAGTGTTTTGTGTTTTAATATGTATCTGCGACACTAATGTATTAGGAGTGCCTTAGAACAGTGGCAAACACGTAATAAATGCTCAATAACTGTTAGCTATTATTATGATTCTATCAAGCTGTGATAAAAAACAGAGATGTGGTTGGCCTAGTGAAGTTCAACCACAGTGCAGTCTCGAAACTTCTAGGATTTCATTACAGATTTTCAAGGGCCTTGGAGACTTAGGTGGCATGTATTTTCTAAGACTGTAAGGGAAATAACTGGAAGGATTTGTAAGGCCCAACCATGCATGTAAATGCAACATAAGAAGAGAGTTCTTGGCAGGGAAACTAAAGAACCAATGAGATACAGTACTGGGATCTAAGGCACTTGCTGGAGGACAGGATTCCGGGTCACTGAGTCAAGGGGAGCTTGCCTGCTGCATGTATTTTATCTACTGCTTTGTTAAATGATGTACTAACGAGGCTGTCTCATGGATAATGATTTTATATCAAAAACATCTGTTCTTTCTTTTTCATGCAGATTGAGCCTTTTTTTGTGAGTGTGGCACTTTATGACCTCAGAGACAGCAGGAAGATTTCTGCTGATTTTCATGTGGATCTAAACCATGCTGCTGTCAGACAGATGCTCTTGGGGGCTTCTGTGGCTTTGGAAAATGGCAACATCGACACCATCACTCCAAGACAATCAGAAGAACCTCACATCAAGGGACTTCCAGAGGAATGGCTAAAATTTCCAAAGCAGGTGGCACTTTGTTTACTTGTGATGAGATGGAAAATGCTTGTACCATTATTCTTACCAATAGATCATATAAGATGAGCAATTTCCTGAATAAAAATTCCCTTAAAGCTGTCCTTTTTTAAAAAAATGGAATTTTGTAAATGTCTACAATGTGGTTTCTTCCATGCTTATTAGCTGCTTTCTTTGTACACAGGCTGTATTTTCTGTAAGCAATCCACATTCTGAAATTGTTTTGGTGGCCAAAATCGAAAAAGTCTTGATGGGAAACATTGCAAGTGGTGCCGAACCTTATATTAAGAACCCAGACTCCAACAAGGTAATGTATAATCTTATAAATAACTTCACTTCCTTTTTTTTTTTTAATAGAGTCTCTCCCTGTCACCCAGGCTGGAGTGCAGTGGCACAATCGCAGCTCACTGCAACCTCTGTCTCCTGGGTTCAAGTGATTCTCTTGCCTCAGCCTCCCCAGTAGCTGGGATTAGAGGTGCATGCCACCACGCCCAGCTAATTTTTTGTATTTTATAGTAGAGATGGGGTTTCACCATGTTGACCAGGCTGGTCTCGAACTCCTGACTTCAAGTGATCGGCCTGCCTTGGACTCCCAAAGTGCTGGGATTACAGGCATGAGCCACCATGCCCAGCCAACTTCATTTGCTTTTAAGACAGAAAGCCACACTTTCTTGCTGAATTATCAAATTTGTATGTCTTGAAATACTCACTTATTGGTGAAATGAATATCCACCAGAAATTTTTTTAAGCTTATCTTTTTGCTTTACTTTCTTTTGACCCAGTAATTTCTGACCTCTGAGAATCTAATGGTAGAAATAAATTCAAATGTGGATAAAGCTTTCACCCCAAGGATCAGAGTATTAATAATAATGAAACCTTAGGAATATTCTGAGTAAAAGCAAGTGAATGAGACATCAGCAATGCTGATGATGAACAAAGTGAGATAAATAATTGTAAATCAAATTATAATACCACTTAAGTGAAAAAGAGGAAAGAGAATGCTGTGCTTTGAATGGTGGAACTACAGGTAATATGTTTCTACTTTCTTCTTTTCTATTAGATTTTCTTTAATAATCAAATATTACTGTTTAATAGAAAATGAATATTAAGGCCGGGCGCAGTGGCTCACGCCTGTAATCCCAGCACTTTGGGAGGTTGAGGCAGGCGATCACGAGGTCAAGAGATGGAGACCATCCTGGCTAACATGGTGAAACCCCGTCTCTACTAAAAATACAAAAAATTAGCCAGGCGTGGTGGCGGGCGCCTGTAGTCCCAGCTACTCGGGAGGCTGAGGCAGGAGAATGGCGTGAACCCGGGAGGCGGAGCTTGCAGTGAGCCAAGATCCTGCCACTGCACTCCAGCCTGGGCGGGCGACAGAGCGAGACTCCGTCTAAAAAAAAAAGAAAAGAAAAGAAATATTAAAAGTCTATATTTTCCATGCCAAAGAAATATACTGAGGAAATAACTTACAAGAATTGAATCTTAGCATGTATGACAATTTAGGAAGGAGTTTAACATATTTATGAGAGTCCCATAATTCAGTGTTTGGCAAACTATGGTGTGCAGGCCAAATCCAGCCTACCTTCTGTTTTGATAAATAAAGTTTTATTGAAACACAGTCACATTCATTTATGGATTGTCTATGGCCATTTCCCTGCTACAGAAACAGAGTTGAAAACTTGTGACAGAGACTATATGGCCCATGAAACCCATTGTGTTTACTATATGACTCTTTACAGAACCAGTCTCCTGCCCTCTGCCATAACAAATAAAAGGGGATATAGAATGGACTGTAAATGTAAATGTACTAATACTTTCCATTCAAGATTTTAAAATCTTTTAAGTCAAAAAAAGGAAAAAAGTTGATATTCCAAGACATGGATTATTTTCTACATTTGAAATTTCCAAACTAAGAAGAAAGAAAGAAAAACATTATACAATAGTTTGAACACATAGGACACCATTTGGCTCTTTATAAGGTAATAGGGGCTAGTAAGACACAGTTACGCTGAGTTTCAGTATAAAATAATATGAAAAAGTATTTAGTATTATTTTATATGTACAGTTTATAAAGTGCTATTCTAAACAATATTTGTATTTATTTTTTCTTTAGTATGCACAAAAGATACTAAAATCCAACAGACAATTCTGCAGCAAATTGGGAAAATACCGTATGCCTTTTGCTTGGGCAGTAAGGTATGTTGACAGTTGCAGCCAACAGACTAGAAATACATTTAATGGTGGCATTGGAAGCTTCAGTTTTGAACGTTTTTGTGTTGCCTATTATTTTTAATGTGTCTACACCTAGAAAATCCTAATATGGTCATCTTCATAAACATCTTGAGCTTCTCTGAGACATACATTTCACAAGACAGTTTAGCAATACAGTTTATAATAGAGGGCCGTGACACATGTACCCTGCATGCATGACCAGATATGCTATGGGTTCTTGGTAGATATCAAATCAATGTCATAAATTGTTTATTATGTATATTTGACTTAACAAACCTTTGACATTATGTCAGTCCTGAGAGTCTGGTGTGCCTAAAATTCAGATAGATGCACTGTAATTTCTTATGCAGCTGTTTGTTTTCATTTATGCGTAGAGCTCAGGTCTATATATGGACGTCCAAATGAAACCATCAAACCAATCATTTAAACTCATTTTGATTTTGATACTGTTTAGCCCAGCCAAATTTATCAGTACCAGTTGCCTCTGAAAGAAAGTCTGAGTTCTGTGGACATAGATGGACACATCATTCACTTGGATGCATGACCTCTTCATGAAGAACCATAATTGCTTTTCAGAACTGTTTAATCATCAATTATGATTGTCCTCATCAATCTCTTTACATCTTTATTAGTGTAAGAATTTCTTAAGTGAGGAAGAGCCTGGCATAGACTCATAAGGCTAAAAGGTCATCAATGTACACACTGAATGAACTAAGAAAGGTTAGAGCTACCAGCCGGGCATGGTAGCTCACGCCTGTAATCCCAGCACTTTGGGAGGCCAAGACAGGCGGATCCCGAGGTCAGGAGTTCGAGACCAGCTTGGCCAACATGGTGAAGCTCTGTCTCTACTAAAAATACAAAAATTAGCCAGGTGTGGTGGCAAATAAGACAGCCCATCAAGTATTCATTTGAACTTTGCTGACATTATCTCAATGTATCCAACTTTAGCATCCAGAAGGAAGAGAGAACCTGTTAATTATGCCATTTTTAAGTCTCACAGTTCCCAGTGATGTATATTCAGAGTAAACTCACCAATATTTGTCATAATTTTGAGGTTGTTATTTAAAGTTGGAGATGAGTAGGTGTAGGAAGGAGAAATGTGGAAGTTTGGGCAGCAGTAAATCAAGATAGATTCATGCAGTCTCCAGGAATTCGTTTGCCCTAAGGCAGCGTCATAGCAAGGGAGGGAGAGTCCAGGCCTGGGAGTCTAATAAACGTTGCAGATCAGGCCACTACTTACTGTGACTTGGAACAAGTTTCTTCTCCATGTCTCTGGGTCCCCAGCTATAAATTGAAGCTGACAATACCTGTGTTATGAGCAGTATGTGCAATCTCAAGTGCACAAGCATTTGGCGTAAAATAGATCATGAATAGTACTTTATCCTCCCTTTTCTATCTCTTTCTATAGGAACAACTAATGCCAGGACATTCTGCATGAAAAAGATGGTATTTAGATTTGCAGAACCCTTTATAATGAATTTGTTTTTATTTCTCATAAGCTTTAAGACAAAGGTTAACTAATTATAATTCACTGATTAAACATTTTTGGTATTGTTAAGCATTCTCAGTTCCCTCCAGAAAACCTACTGGGGCAAGTAGAGGCAAGATGTCTGTTGTGAAATATTCCAGTATAACAAAATTACAATAGTGCACACATTTTTCACTTTAAGGATCCAACATTGCTCTGAGGTTTTAGAAACAGGCATTTTAGAACCAGACAGAGCTGAGCTCAAAATATCCTAACTCTGGCCAGGCATGGTGGGGCATGCCTATAATCCCAATACTTTAGGAGGCCAAGGTCTCCTGGAGGTTCACTTAAGGTCAGGAATTCTAGACCAGCCTGGGCAACATAGTGAGACCCAATCTCTAAAAACAACTTTTAAAAAATTAACCAAGGGTGGTAGCATACACCTGTAGTCCTAGCTACTCAGGAGGCTGAGATGGGAGTATCAGAATCATCAGAGATGAGCCCAGAAGCTGGAAGTTGCAATGAACTATGATAGCACCACTGCACTCCAGCCTGGGCAACAGAGTGAGACCCTGTCTCTAAAAAAAAGAAAAAAAAAACGCTCTATCCTTTATTAGCCAAGTGAGCTTGGGCAAGTTACTTATAACCTGACTTTATCTATTTTTTTAATCTACAAAAGAGGAAAATAAGAATATCTAATTTACTGTTATAAGGATTAAGGAGCACAGATATGTACCCAATAAAAGATTGTTATTTTTAGAAATTATTTTTTCTAATATTATTATTACTAAAAGTCACTTGCAGAGATCATATCTATCTCACCAAGTCCCCTTTTCTGATAAATTTGGGGCAGTGAAGAACAATATAAAGGAGAGAAGTCAAAGAATTACCCATTATTGAAAGAACCTGAGAAGTTAGGAGAAGTGACAATCCTGCTTTGAAGTTGTCTAGTTAAATATGCTGGAAGAAAGACAGATGAAGTCTCTAGGGAGGCTGACAGTATTACTGACTATTGAAATTATTCCTTGGATAGGAAAGCTAATGAAACCACAAGCTTAGACCATATTAATGCCCAATTAGTGGTCTGGTTGTAGGTTAGGAAACACCACCAACCTGTGTATATACATATGTGATTTACTTCCACATAAATTTCTCACAACTGAGAAAAATAGTTAGCAGCACAATTCTAAAGATACCATGTCAGACCACTTGGATTACCTAACCACAAAAAAGTATAAAAGATCCAGCCAAAGATTTTAATTTCTCTTTCACAATGTGGAAACTGCTTCAAATAAATGTGCACAGCATCAGAGGAAGGCCGGTTGTTGCCCATGTCTTTACCAGCTTCCTGACATACTTCAATACCTAATTGATACCCTGATTCTGAGGCTACTGCTCCTTCCTGTTACGCTTTCTAGATTGCAGTTTGTTTCGCAGTGTAGATTTCAGTGTGCCCTAAGACATGTTGGCCCTTACAATCAACTGTCATTAGAAGAGTAGAACTGACAATTTAGATTATGACCATATTTTTACCCACATTTAATCATCCCACCCACTGCAGTATGCACAGATGCTCATCACTGTGAACAACATTTTTTTCTGAAATTAATTTGGTATTCTTATATTTGGCACCAGCTGCAGTACCATTTTACAGTGAAAAGGTTATCCTTGGGGGAGGAATAGAGAACACATACAGATGACTACACAGGGTATTTTATACTCATTGACTCGGGAGAAAATTGACCCTTCCAAATGTGTCAGGTTGTGAATGGATCTCTTTCCATGCATATCAGCCCCAGAATCCTAGGTGCCAGCATCCTTGCCAGGACTCTTTTGTGATTTCCTTGACTACCTCATTTGATATTCTAAGTGGACCAGCACTCAACACTGAATTTTTTTAATTAAGCAAAATTAAAATAAACATTTCATTCTCGTATCTCTACAATTATGGAAGGTGCACAGTGCAGCTGTCATTTAAGATTCCCATACTGACAACGTCTTTAACAAATGGTCATCCAACTTCTGTTTGACTCTTTCCAGGGACAAAAACCCAAGTACATCCCACAGTGCTTCCTTCTGTCTGTCTCTTTAGAGGTCTAATTATTAAATAATCTATTTTTCAAAATAATCTTCAGCTATCTGAAAACCACTTTTATGTGTTTTCTTCCATAGCCACACACACACAAAAAATATGTCTGCTTCATTCTGCACATCATGGTTATTCATGCTGTTTGTGAATGAATCTATCGGGGACACCTAAGGTTCTTTTCCTTTGGGCAAGAAAACGAAAAGCTTACACAAAGGGTTTTCGAATGGCTGGGCCATATTTCATGATTCCTACAATCATACCCCAAAGATCATGGTGCTGAGATCCTCACAATATACTGATCATTGCTCAACTGTAGCAGTTGGAACTAGGCACAGCGTTCCAGCCATCACAAAACCATCTATGTAAATGAATCAGTTCTTTTTTCTCCTGCCAGATATATATATATACACATTTTTTTGAGACGGAGTCTCGCTCTGTCACCAGGCTGAAGTGCAGTGGCACAATCTCGGCTCACTGCAACCTTCGCCCCCCAGGTTCAAGCGATTCTCCTGCCTCAGCCTAACTAGTTGGGATTACAGGTGCATGCCACCATGCCCGGCTAATTTTTGTATTTTTAGTAGAGACGGGGTTTCACCATGTTAACCAGGCTGGTCTGAGTCTCCTGACCTCGTGATCCCCCCACCTCAGCCTTCCAAAGTGCCGGGATTACAGGCGTGAGCCACCGCGCCCAGCCACCAGTTATATATTTATTGAGCAACCACATGTTGTATGGCACTGTGAGCAAAACTTCTCCCATGGTGCTGTACTCTTCATTCTCTTTATGAAAAGTGTCCAATGTAAGTGAGCAATTTCCATGACAGAGTTGTGGATAAGGGCAAATCGAGTTCCACAATTCACATCTATCAATAAATGGAAGTCACTAATTAAAAAGCTATTGTTCAAGCTCAGTTTAACTTCCTTTCATATTGGGAATTGTATCATGTTAGTTTCAACATGTGATGCACTGAAACAAACGCCCTTTATAATATTTAAATAAAAATAATATTCATGTTTAATATTTTTATTCTGTCTCCCCAACGTTATTTGCCTTTTTACCTTCCCTCATTCACTACTTAACAGAGAAAAAATGAGGAGGCAAGTTGAAGGAGTCTAAAAATATCATTCTGATAAAATCTTGGCCTATTTTCTTTTGGTGTTCTATTTAACACTAAAGCTATTTAATCTGATATCCATTTAAATGGCCATTTCAGCCTGTGCAATGAATTCTTCAGTTAACTTAAAGAGTGATAAAACATTACATTAAAAGAAGTAAGAATTCAATATTTCTCTAACACTGAAGTAAAAAAAAAAAATTCTATTTTTTTTTGACCACACATTGTGTAATGAGATATGAGGAATTTCATGTAAAACTGACATCTAAGCATGGTACCTATGTGAAGCAAGTATTGCCTGACATTACTATATTATTTGGACAAAAGCTATTTATGTGTTTCAACTAAGCCTAACTTTTCTTGGTTCCAATGAAACAGACCAAGGAAGGAAATAAGTGGCTCAGATTCATAGTGTTCTCTTTCTTTAAAACAACAGTCTGACTCAGGTGCCTTCCGTATTATCTTTGTCTCTGTCCTAAAAGTTAGGACATGGGCACATTTAGCTCCATGAAAATGTGTCAAGAGTATGGCCTTCCACACTCACATATACAACCTTCTCCCTGTTCCACCACTCGTAAATCCTAGTAGTGCCACCCAAATTGAAGTGACTCTGTCCTGCCCAGGTTTAAGGTGTCTTGGAAACATAATTTAAAAGAGTAACTTGTGTTCCTATTCTTCTCCACTTCCCTGATACTCCAAGGTTTTGATACAAGTTATTAAATGTGAGACATCATAAAAAATATAGTTGTAATATGGAATGTTATCACTTCGGATACAGAGTTAAAAATAATAAATTAAAGATAACAAAAATAAACTGTATAAATGAAGCATTTGTAAAAGTTTTTGGTCTTTTTATTTTATAAGTTCTTAGAGTTTCTCTGATTATAAATGAGAAGTTTAATTAATATAGTCACGTTAAAAACACAACTTTATAAACAATATCCAACTACCAACCTGAATAAATATTTTCTTTTAGATCAGTATTTAAGGACAACCAGGGAAATGTGGACAGAGACTCAAGATTTTCACCATTGTTTAGACAAGAAAGTAGCAAGATTTCAACTGAGGACCTAGTTAAACTAGTATCAGATTATAGAAGGTATGTTTTTTTTATACTCTCGAAATTAACATAAATCAGCCATGTTGATTTTTTATCACTTCATAAATACCTGAGGATCTCATTCTCGAACACCCAAACCTCCAGAAAGCAGATATTTTTCAGGTGACTTCACATATGCCCAAATAGCACCACAAAAGTAAAAATTGCTAGAATTATATGGAAGGACTGTGAAATGTTAAACTATGTCAGTTATTTACTGCTGTGTAACAAACCACCTCAAAACTTAATGGTTTAAAATAACAACACTGCTATAGTAATTGTACTCCTGAGTCCACAATTTGAGCACATCTGAGTGAGAAGAGCTTATCTCTTCCACACATGGCATGGGCTGAGAGAGATCAGCTGGGGTCAGAGGATCCACTTCAGAGACTCCCCTTTAAAGTAATCAAACATCCTGGCCAAAATCCATACCATAGGCTTCCTAAGGCCCGGCCTTTCCTCTTTACTTTTTGCCAGTATGCTGAAGCATGAAAGGCTGTAATGCTGAGCAGAGGAGAATAGGCAGAAGGTTCTGGGGTGATCTGTTATAAACATAAAAAAAAAACTCTTACAAAACCCATGTTATCAGTGAATAGCAAGGAAAATTATTACTGTCTAATTTAAGGGGGCACCCTAGAATACACAATGCAACGCTGACATTAAATTATTCATGTCAGCCTCACACTTTATGGCCTTTATTCTCAGTGATGTGCTGACAAATGTTTCACAAGCAACTCTTTAAGGAAACAACGGACTTCTACTGATGGCCAGTGTCTATGGTGTAAACTCTCCTACCATTGCTGATTCCAACCTATCAATGAGGCTTCACTGAACATAGGGTTAGGAAGAGATGTGCACCCTAATAGAGCATTTCCACCATACACTTAGAGATGTACAGATAATCTTACCATGTAGTAAAATAATCAGAAAGTGGTGAATTTTGAATACTTATTACCTTTGTGTTTAATATAATTTCTTTAATGGTAAGTTTATGTAACTTAATTTTTATTAACGGCTGTGTTTAGCTGTCAAGCAAAATTCCTAAAAATTGAACATTCAGCTCTCACAAGCTGAGAAGAGCTGACTCTGACCCATCACTGTAATTATCCCACCTTTCAAAGTAGATTTCCTGAGAAGGATAACACTTGCGACTGTTACCAGCAGCTTCCACTTTACTCTAAAGGAAGATTGGCGAGAGGTTTTAATAGAGAGAGAGTGGGAGGGAAATGCAAGGACTTGAGCCGGGGAGTGCATGTGAGTGGGAGACAGGTGGGGAAGGGGTGTCCGCATACACTATAGGAGTGGGAGAGAGCAGAAGAAACAGGGCTCAGGGAAGGGTCCCTGTCCTCCTTGTTTGTTGGTGAAGAGGAAGAATATGGACCATCCACTTAGCGATTGTAGCAAAGACCAAGCTTGCTCTCAAAACTTCTTAAAATTCATTATGAGAGTGTGTTACTTAAGCCAGTTTAAATACTATTAGCTTTTGTTAATAAAAACTCTATAATTTACTCTTGTACTTTTTTGATTTTTGTGTTATCTGAAGTAGAAGGAAATAAATTTAAAATTTTTCAGAAAATCTGTCACTTGACCCCTCCCTGATTTGTATTTTTATTTGCAATATCACATGTATTTTAGTTTGCAAAATTAAACTAGCTAAATAAAATCATTCACAAGATTATTTGGGAGTCTGCTGTTTACCCTTAACAAAGCTCAGAATTATAGATGACTGCTTTTTCCTTGAAAATTGGAATAATACTCTGTGTGTGTGTGTGTGTGTGTGTGTGTGTGTGTGTGTCCTTGCTCATGCACTCTTACAGGGCCGACAGAATAAGCAAAATGCAGACCATTCCTGGAAGCCTGGATATTGCTGTTGACAACGTTCCCTTGGAGCATCCAAGTATGATGATGATGTCATGGTTTGGTTGCAGAGTTTTGAATATTGAATATTTAGTGGGTTTGTTTTGGTTGGTTGGTTGGTTGGTTGGTTGGTTGGTTGGTTGGTTGGCTAGTTGGTTGGTTACAAGGTTTTGGGTTTTTTTTTTCCCAAAAGTTGAAATATATGGAATTCATGATGCTACAGAAATGTGGAGCTTCTTTTTGCTTCACTAAGACAGATGATGAGTTTTGTAGGGCAAGAACTATATTCAGGGTAACCTAACACTTACTTACCTGGTATGCACCATGCACCTAACAAGGTATTAAATTATGTCATTTAATCCTCAAAACCCCGGAGGGTTTCAGAGGAGGAAAGTCAGATTTGGATAGATTAACAAACCAATAATCCATAATGGGACAATATATTCTCCCATTGAGGGAGTTCCTCTCACTCAAAATAGAGGCTAGTTCTGCCATATTGTGCTGCCAGAGGGTTACTCTGAACACTGCGTAGCCACTCAAGTGGCCATGCAATGATTATAACTGAAATGTTGTCAGACTCTGTTATTATACAGAGAACATATATTTTTTTCAGAATATGGTCAAAAGTATTGTCATTAAAATCTCAATTTTAGAAGGAGTTTTTTAAACTTTATTTATAAAAGAGTTTCAGAATTTAATTTTTAAGTGGTAAAATTGGTTTGTTTGGTTATTTCTGATTCTACCCTTTAGTGACTTTTTCAGCAATGTGAAAAAAAAAAAAGAATAAAGGCCTCCTATAATGAACTCTAAACAGGGAAAGGACTATTGCCATGGGATATTTGGATTGCCACTGCAGTATTAAGTTTTCCATCCTTGTAACTTTCTACAAGTCATTTTAATATGAAATGTAATGAGCATTCTAACTTAAGCCATGGTTCAAAATCATTTTTATATTGATTGGTGTGAAAAAGCAGAGGATAAACCAAGTCATTTCCTCTACCTGATATGGAAATGAAACACGACAAATGAGGCACTCAATATTCTCTTTGGAAGAATGGTAGAATCTTAGAGAAATTTGAACATATAATAAAAATATCATAATTGGTTTTTGAAAAAAGAAAACAGTAATCTGATTCTCAAGCATTCGTAGCTAATCATTTTGCTTTTTAGAACACAGTCAGATTCCAGGTGGGGTAAAGGGAGGTAGAAGGCCTTGGTCTTTCAGTACCACAACTTCAGGCTTCAAACTGTTTGGTGACAGAAGTTTTGATTTATAAATTCCTAATCACTATTTCTTAAGCTGTTCCTCCAAGGGTAGGTTTTAAAAGGTGGTAGAAACTGAAGAGAAAAATAAATAAACCGTATCTACTGATGAAGAGAGGGGCTTCAGGCCCATGCTGTGAAATCCATTCTGTAGAGAGATATTTAGAGAGATATTGCTATTAATCTATCTGGTACTATCAGTAATAGATCTATTGGACAAAGCTTTTTTCAGTCATGTATCAGAATATGCATTATTTTTATAGTGTTATAGCAAAGATTGGTGGATTATTTCTTATAATATCTGGCTACTATGTTCAGAGGTTCATTAGTTAAAATTTATTTTTATGGAAAGCTTAATACAAAAAGAAAATAGTTATAAATCCGTCTAAAAGATTTACTGTTTTTTTCTGAGACATCAGTTTTAATATTAAATACGTAGCTTGTTAATCTGCCATGCCCACCTCCTACAAATTTTTCATGCTAGCGTAAGCTAATATCAATTGGTGTACAAGCCAGGAGTTTCTATCTTGAGTGGGTTCATTTTAAAACATGTTAACTATTGTTCACTTTAAAAGAACCATATTAAATGACAAACTCTTATTTTCTGATTTTTTAAGATTGTGTAACATCGTCCTTTATCCCTGTCAAGCCTTTCAACATGATGGCTCAAACAGAACCCACAGTGGAGGTGGAAGAATTTGTTTACGATTCAACAAAGTATTGTCGGCCTTACAGAGTATATAAAAATCAAATTTATATTTACCCCAAACACCTCAAGTATGATAGCCAGAAATGCTTCAACAAGGTATGATATAAGTTCCAGAGATATCATCTTTTCTTTTCACCGTATTTAGACCATATAAGATAGTTCCTGAATGTGCAAATACAAATTACTATGGGGCAACACTCTGTCATAGAAAACCGTTTGGAGAAGATGTTTAGTAAGAGGCACTGATGAGTTTTATCTTAGAAGTGTTTAAGGATGCAGTTTCGTAGCATATTAATAATCTTTTCTAAATCAGTCTTAAATAATTTTGTTCGACTATTTTTTTTAGTTTCTTAAGATATTCTAAAAATAGCATGCCTGCCCCCTTTCAATATGAGCTTTTTACTTCCCTTTTAAGTACACTCTCCAGATCCTTCTGTTATTTCAAAAGATTATGGATAATGTCACAAGAAAATGTTGGGTATTTTACATTTTTTGGATTAATTAGAAGCTACTTATTTTAGGCACTTGGGTTTTTTATGTTATTTGATAGGAAATTACAATTTCCATTTTTTCTCTCCGTAATTTCAGGCACGGAATATAACTGTGTGCATTGAATTCAAAAATTCAGATGAAGAAAGTGCCAAGCCCCTGAAGGTGAGCCAAGTCAGCAAAGGGACCCAGCATAAAGTGGGAAGGCAGGTGCAGGGATTCTTTCCACCATTGCAGGGCTTTTTATGTGAGTGTGGTTGAAAGAGCAGTAATTTAATACATTTGTTTTAGATCTGAAACATACCTGATTTAACAGTCCTCATTAACTAGATCTATTAGAAATTCCTCTCTCATAGCTCTTTTAGCTTTTCACGACTTGGGAAAAAAGGAAACCATTCTCATGTGAAATAAATGCCAAGACTCCCCTGTGGAAAATGTTGCCTTTTTCAAAGATTAGCCTGCCTCTCGATTCGGCGTGCTTGATTTAAAACAGAACACCCCAGCCGGCCCTCGTATGGTCTACGCAGAACTGCCGCATACTGGCCCAATAGCTAATGTGGGGGACCCGTGGGATGCTCACATTATGGAAGGTGCACGTGGCCAAGTGCCTGAGGAACTGGAAAAATGGCTCTGGGAAGTCAGTCCCGGTTGCTGATCACATGATTTAGTAAGATCCATAAAACTATGAGGTTTGTAGGAACTGTGGTGTTTCACTCTACAAAGCTGCAACGGGATGGCATTTTTTAGAGTTCATATTTGATATATAGTATGTGGTTTTTATTTTAGGGATTTCAAACAACATAAAGTAACCCATAAAAAATGAGGGGGAAATTATTTGTAGTGGGCCTGCTGCCAATCTTACCAGCTTCGGCAAATCAAAGGAATGAGGTAGTAGAGGACAAAACTAATTTCTAACTAACCCCCACCATTCTCTGTGGTAGTCTCTTAAAGCACTCTGCCTGGTACAAATTGAGTCCTCTAATTTGTAGCATTATTCAGAAGAACAATAATCAATTTGAGTGATTGAATTAATCAAGCAATTAATTCAGGTAAATATAAAAAAGAGTCTTTTTTTTTTTTTTTAAAAAAAAAAAGAAGGTCTTGAGCCACTGTCAGCATCCACTGGCACCCAACTCCAAAATAGTGTTAGCATCAGGAGAGAAAAATTCAAGTGAAATATAATTGTCAGGCAAACAGAGGCAATGATCAGATGGCAAGCACGTTTGGCCTGTAGAGCAGTGTTTTTGTGAGGAAAATTCTAGAAAAGAATAACAATCACATGTGCGTCCCTTGCTTCACTGCATTCTAAAATACCACACAGAGATACAGCAAAGCTAACTGTCAGACTCCAGAAGAGGGGTCCTGAGCTTTGGACAAAGGGGGCTTATAAGTTATAAGGAAGTGCCATATCACAGCCCTGGCCTGATTTGGGGCTGGACAGAATAGTAGCATGCTGTGGTGGAGATGGTAACCAGCCCTATCCTGGAAGCTGGCGTATCAGGAGCTGGGGTCCATCCAAGCCTTGTGGTTGCACAAGACCTTAACTCTAGACCAGAGCTGGTTCCATGGGGCCTGTATCACTCCATTCTCACACTGCTATAAAGATACTACCCGAGACTGGGTAATTTATAAAGAAAAGAGATTTAATAGACTCACAGTTTCTGCATGGCTGAGGAGGCCTCAGCAAACTTACAGTCATGGTGGAAGGGAAAGAGGCATGTCTTACATGGTGGCAGGTGAGAGAGAGAGAGCATGTGTGAGTGCAGGAAAAACTGCCATTTATAAAACTATCAGATTGCTTGAGAATTCATTCACTGTCATGAGAACAGCATGGGGGAAGCGGCCCCAGGATCCAGTCACTTCCTCTCCTTGGCATGTCGGGATTATAATTCAAGATGAGATTCGGGTGGGGAGAAAAGCCTGACCATATCAAGGCCTGTTCAGGAAGCCATTCTAAAGGAATCAGTCTTAAACAAGTTAGCCCTTATTCCATGTAAATCAAGAGTCAGATTGGTCCAGGTGATACCCATAGGCTAGGGGAGGTCCGCAAACACTGACCGTTGTCCCAGGTCATTGTCTGAGTCATTGTTATTTTCCTGGGGTTGGTAACTGAAGAGTTATGGCCTTTTATTTTCACTCAGGGATAATTTCAGACCCTCATAATTGTTCAATTCATAACTTCTTCAACAGTGTATTTGGGATCCCAGCCCCAGCCGGTGAATAGGCTCTTGACACTGTCATGAGAAGGATTTCAAGGATGACTCAGAAAATAGTGAAAGTACAGAGATTTACTGCAAAGCAAAAAGAACACACTCAGGAAAGAAGAGTGTGGGTGTACTCAAGAGAGATAGTCATCTGCAAAAAGGTTTAGGGCTTCTACCTTTATGGGTTTCTTTATATTCATGAAGATTTCTAAAGAAACTTTAGAACTGCCCAGGTACTGGGGGGAGTGTGATTTAGTATGTCAATGAGCATATAATGAGGTCCTAGGAGAAACCTAGGTCAAATCCAGCACCATGCTGGGTACAGTTGGTCTTAACCAGCTTGGCCCGCATCTCATTTTTTAGGGTCTTATTGGCCACTGACTTTTGCAGCTATTTCAACAGTATCCTTTTTGCTAGGCATGTGAAACCTCTGCCTGGAATTTTCTGTTCTCCTGTGGCCACCCTGTATTATTCCTGTCCCACAGGTATTTGGCCCTGGCGTATTAACTATATGATGAATGAAAGCCATCAAATTATCTTCAGCAGCTTTCATTGTATAATAAATGCAGGGTAGTAGGCCAAAGAAGTTCAAGGTTAATTAGATGCCAGCTTAGCCTGGCAAGTTATCACAAAGTTTGCCATTGTCCCAGGGTTGGTACTGAAGAGTTATGGACTTTTTTTTCACCCAGGGATAATTTCAGACACTCATAATTGTTCAACTCATAACTTTTCAAACAGTGTATTTATGGAAAACCTGGAGGGCCCCTCTTCACCTCAGCCGCCTACACAGCAGTTCTGCACCACTCTCAGAATCCGGATTTCTCAGATGAGGTAAGAGCTAGCCCTCCACTGCCCCCAGCGGTTCCTAAGAAAGGTGGGTAAATGTTCAGATAACCGTGCAGTGAAAAACACTCTCTCTAGACCTCATCAGACTAAGGACATGCCTTGGCAGGTATGTACTTACCAATATTTCTAAACTATATTAATTGGCAGTTGTTCCAGGAGTACGTTGCAAATTCATGTATTTCAGGACAGGAGTGACCTTTTAAAAAAAATGGAATGCTGGCCGGGTATAGTGGCTCACGCCTGTAATCCCAGCACTTTGGGAGGCCAAGGCAGGCGGATCACAAGGTCAGGAGATCAAGACCATCCTGGCCAACATGGTGAAACCCCGTCTCTACTAAAAATACAAAAATTAGCTGGGCGTGGTGGCACGTGCCTGTAATCCCAGCTACTCGGGAGGCTGAGGCAGGAGACTCGCTTGAACCAGGGAGTCGGAGATTGTGGTAAGCTGAGATCATGCCACTCACTGCACTCCATCCTGGCAACAGAGCAAGACTCCATCTCAACTAAAAAAATTAAAATTTAAATTTAAAAAAAAGATGCTTTTAGTGCTGGGATATATCTTGTCTTCTTTTCTTTTTCAGTGAATAATTTTTTTTCTTTTATTTCACTGACTAGTGAAGAGATTGTGTTAAATAGCTTTACCAATGAATGGCAGCATTTCATGTCATAAGGAAGAGAACAGAGAACTAGAGCCTGAGCCAATTCCATGGCTTATAACATGCCTGAACTTAAGGGAGCTTGGATCCCGTCATCTCTAAACATGACAGGGAACAAGCCTTGCCCTGGCAGACTTCCAAGACTCCTGCTGTGTGCCAAGCCTCAAGCTAAATTCCATGCACACATCATCTCCCTTAATCCCCACAGTAATTCCAAGAAGTTGGCACTATTATTACCTCCCTATTTGATGGATGAGAAAACTGTGGCTCAGAGAAGTCAAGTAACTTTACCAAGGGCACATAATAAGTGAGAGAAATCAAACCAGACCATGTGACTCCACAGCCTGAAGCTTCACCATTCTGCTCTAACACATAGAAAGTCATTGGGCTCATGGTCAATTACTATATACATGTTAGCTTACGTTACAAACAACTTTAGACAAAGAAGTTTCAGTGAAAAAATTTAATTTCTAACCATAAAGTGAAGGTCTGACTAGTGCAGCCTGCTGATGGGATGCCTGAGATTCACAATATCACAGCTTTTGTAGACGTTTTCTATGGCTGCTTTCACACATTATCACCATTTAGCAGCTTAAAACAGTATGCAATTGTTATCTTGCTGTTTTGGTGGTACGAAGTCTGAAATGACTCACAGGGCTAAAATCGAGCTTGCAGCAGGGTGACGAACCTTCAGGAGGTTCTAGGGAAGGTTCCAGTTCATCTCCTTTTCCAGCTTCCAGAGGCTGCCCACATTTCTTGGCTTTTGAGCCTTCCCAACAATCCCATCACTCTGACCTCGGCTTCTGTATCATTTCTCTTATGACTCTGCCTTCCTCTTATAAGGACTTTTGTGATGACACTGTGCTCATTTGGAAAATCCAGGATAATCTCCCCATTTCATGGTCCTTAACTTAATCACATCTGCTAAGTCCTACTTACCAGGTAAGGTGGCATATTGGCAGGATTAGAACATTCAGGACATCTAGTGGGTGCTGTCTTTCTGTCTCCCACACTGTGCACATTAATCATTTAAAAACCAATTAAAGGAACATCAGTGAAACTACCTGCCTGACATTCTTTCACTCTTCCATATGCGTTTAGTGCTCTTTAATTTTTCCCCCACAAATTCAGGACAGAAAGTGAAAAACAGTTAAGCAAAAACCATGACCACATTACACAATATTTACTGCTATTGGTTGGCCAAAGGGTCAACTGGTTGACAAAGCCCATCTGGAAGATGCATTTTCTGTAGATATATGATTTTTAAAAAAATTAATATTCTTACTGTTGTTAACTGTTTTAATCTTTCTCATTCTCATGTGTTTCCTGGAAGCCTCATGAAAGCCATGAGCTTTTTCACATGAGAATATGGACAGTTCTGGGAACTACTCAGTTGCTGAGATTGAGCTGCCTGCAGCTTACCGGAGTTCCAATGCAAAGTGATCATCCCAAGATGTGGGTTCTTGTCCTGAAAGATCCTCTTTTACTGACCACACCACCTGCACAGTAACTCAGAGCCCCCTAACATGTGCAGCCCTGCTTCCTAACACTGTGCCATGCTACTTCACAAGGCTACTGGGGAAAATGAAATGATGGTGTACGTGGCAGGGCTTTGAAAACTCAAAAGCACAATAAAATGTAAACAGTTAGTTGAAAACAATTCTTTCCAGAAATAGGGAGTATGCCCTTCATTCAGTATATTGTTTACCTAGATCCATTTTTATTTTATTTGCATTCAGAAGCATTATTTGTATAGCTACGGCATGGTCAGTTCCCAAAATGTCTCATTAGTTCTCACAGTAACACAGATATGTTTGTTAGTTTTAAAAAAAGAGATCAATTCCATGCCGAAGCTGCATCATTTACTATACCATATTACTCAACAATGTGCATATGAATTGTCTGGGGATCCTGTGAAAGGGCAGATTGCAATTGAGTGTGTCTAGGTTAATGTCTGAGACTCCAGCCTAGGCAACAAAGTAAGACATCTGTCTCTACAACAAGAACAACAACAAAAATCAAAAAGTTAGCCAGAGGTCATGGCCAGCCACAGTGGCTCATGCCTGTAATCCCAGCACTTCGGGAGGCCGAGACGGGTGGATCACAAGGTCAAGAGATTGAGACCATCCTGGCCAACATGGTGAAACCCTATCTCTACAAAAAATACAAAAATTATCTAGGTGTGGTGGCGTGCTCCTGTAGTCCCAGCTACTCGGGAGGCTGAGGCAGGAGAATCACTTGAACCCAGGAAGCGGAGGTTGCAGTGAGCTATCGTGCCACTGCACTGTAGCCTGGTGACAGAGCAAGACTCCATCTCAAAAAAAAAAAAAAAAAAGCCAGAGGTCAAGGCTGCAGTGAGCTGTGTTCGTACCACTGCACTCTAGTCTGGGCAACAAATGCAAGACCCTGTCTCCAAAATGAAAAAAAAACTTCTGCATTTCTAATGAACTGCCAAGTGATGCTTATGCAACTGGTCCCCAGCCGCACTTTGGGAGGCACGGACTTACTGTTTATTCAATTCGTGTCCCTTAATGACAGTTCCTTGATGTGTGTCTTATCTATATTCTGCAGTTACATTTGTGTGTGTGTTTATGCATATGTATGTGCATGTATTTAGTCCATACCCTAGTAGCATGAATTATCTAATGAGAAACACTAAGTATTCTAAATTATCATCATCCATCACAATAAAAAAGTAAAAATATCAACATGTGAATACATCACTGCTAGCAGAAACAATATTTATTGAGCATTAAATGAGTGCATCCAGCACTATTAAACATGGACCTAGATTTCAGTTAAAGAATTTTTAGGCCTGGTTTGGTGGCTCATGCCTGTAATCCCAGCACTTTGGGAGGCCAAGGCGGGCGGATCACTTGAGGTCAGGAGTTTGAGACCAGCCTGGCCAACATGGTGAAACCCCGTCTCTACTAAAAATACAAAAATTAGCTTGGCATGATAGTGTGTGCCTGTAATCCCAGCTACTGGGGAGACTAAGGCAGGAGAATTGCTTGAACCCAGGAGGCAGAGGTTGCAGTGAGCCTAGATCGTGCCATTGCACTCCAGCGTAGGTGACAGAGTAAGACGCAGTCTCAAAAAAAAAAAAGATTGTTTAAAAAGCTATGCTTTGTCTTGCTCTGATATTGAGCAAATGATTTTAATCTCAGTCCAACTATGGTTTCTTTCGTTGCAGGTGAAAATTGAGCTACCAACACAACTCCATGAGAAACACCATATTTTGTTTTCTTTTTATCACGTCACCTGTGACATCAATGCAAAAGCTAATGCCAAAAAGAAGGAGGCTCTGGAAACGTCAGGTACTGCCAGGAAGAAATCTGAGGCAGAGTCACATGTCTTCTGTTTGAATTGGTTTGGAGAGTGTTTTCAAAGCCCTGATTTATTGAATTATTTTTCATGAAATTTAGTGTTCGTAAATAATAAATAGCATTATTGTGACTTCTTACCATGGAGGTTTGTACTCAGAATTTTTGTTGGTTATTCTTTTGCACAGTTGGATATGCTTGGCTTCCTCTGATGAAACACGATCAGATAGCTTCTCAAGAGTACAACATCCCAATAGCAACAAGTCTGCCTCCTAATTATTTAAGCTTTCAAGATTCTGCAAGTGGAAAGGTATTGAATAATGTGTAATTTAAGATTTTAAAAAAGCACACCAGCTTAATGGCATAAGATTATCTTCTTTCTCTGCTACTTAAGATCATAGTGGACATGTCCCTTGTAGCTATGAATCAAGTGTACCTATGCCACATCTCTTGTTTAGCTTATGGCCACTGGAAATGATATGTTAAAAATGATCCCGATGTCATATTGGTCTCATCTACCAATAGTGCTAAATGTATTTGCATCTTTTATTTTCCACCTGTAGCTGATATAAGATTAATGGATCAGAACAGCACATTAACATAAACTAAACAATCTATTTATTTTCTTTCTCTCGAATTGTCCCAGTGACAGTAAACAAACTTTATTTTGCAGCATGGTGGGAGTGACATTAAATGGGTTGATGGTGGCAAACCACTTTTCAAAGTGTCGACATTTGTTGTATCAACAGTAAATACTCAGGTGAGTATGTTGACCTGAAATACTAGCATCTTCTCTAACTCACAGCATCATGAGGTAATTCCCCTATTTACAGGATGAGACTAATCATTTCATGAAGTGTCAGAAAGGCAGGTGTTTGAATACTACAAAGGAAGAATGTTAAGGGCATAATTTGATGCCTCCCTCAAGACAGATAGAATGTCCTAATCCCTTAAGCCCAGACACCATAAAACTTCAGACCAAAATACCAGAAGTGTGTTTAATAGGATCACACTCCCCTTGGAGTATGGTTTGCTTCCACTGACCACACTCATGTGTTAAAAATGTTAAATGTTAAAAATAAAGGCCAGGCCCGGTGGCTCACTCCTGTAATCCCAGCACTTTGGGAGGCCGAGGCGGGCAGATTACCTGAGGTCGGGGGTTCAAGACCAGCCTGACCAACATGGAGAAACCCCATCTCTACTAAAAATACAAAATTAGTCAGGCATGGTGACGCATGCCTGTAATCCCAGCCACTTGGGAGGCTGAGGCAGGAGAATCTCTTGAACTCGGGAGGCAGAGGTTGCGTTGAGCTGAGATCGTGCCATTGCACTCCAGCCTGGGCAACAAAAGCGAAACTGCATCTCAAAAATAATAATAAAAAAATAAAGACAGACTTCAGATCTTTACCTGAAAACCAAGTCCAATCCCCAATGCCTTCCCAGGGCTCACCTAATTGGAAGGCCATGAGGTTGGCAGAACTGCATTTGAGAGCCACCCCACCTAATTTCTGGCTCCATTACCCTGGGCAAGTCACTTTACCTCTGATATCCTTATTTCCTCATCAAGAAATGATATCAACAGAGTCTCTGCTACCTAAGGTTGTAGCAAATGTGATCCAAAGGAGAAATATTTCAAAATGTGATCAAAATGAGAAATATTTCATGAAGTGCGAAAGTCTATACACGTATAATTATTACCATTGTTAAATTACCACAAACTCATTCCTTCCGTGGCAAGGCAGCTTATTTTACCACAATGTGAGTTTTCTGGCAACAGATATAAACTATACATTATTATAAGTACATAAAATATGTATTTCTCCTTTCTTAAGTTTAATGTGTATCTGCTTTTCATTTTTTGCTTCATGCTGCTTTATCTGTAAGCCATACTTGATCCATAAGAAAAATGAAATAATCCAGGCATCGTATATACATTGGACCAAAATTTCTCTCGGCAACCTCTGAGGCTTCAAGTCCAATTGACTTCTTATCCCTAGCCCTGCACCCACAATGATTTAAACCCATCTTTTCTCTGATGCCATCAGCCCTGGTCAAGTTCCACAAAACACTCAATCTCCACCAAACCCTATATTTTTGTATATCTCAGCAGCTCCTCAGTTTCTCTTTCTCATGCTTCCAGCTGCTTTCTCCAAATAGCTGAGGTCTCTGACTCACCACAACACACCCTCTCTCTACCTCGACTCTCACTACCCATGCACTGGCAGCATTTACCTCAGTTTTCAAACACCCAAGGCCCTCCAGCCAAACAATATCCACCTAGTTCCCGCAAGACCCAGTGATCCCTTTGACACTCAGCCCCTCCTCAGTGGAGAAGGGAAGCTCTCCCACTCTCCCTCCCTGGCTATTATGAACCATATCACAGGGGTGGACACTCCCCGCAATATGGGGAGTAATTGCACTCCCCTTTCCCCGCCACCCCCACCCGCACCGTGGCTATTACAAACCATATTGCAGGGGGTGGATACCCCCCTTCCCCTTGTTGGTCTGGTTGGTTCCTACCCATCCTTCAGATCTTAGCTCAGTTGTCACTTCCTCTAAGAAGCCTTCCCTGTTCCCTGACCCAACAGACAAAGCTGGGCCATCTTGTCACTCATCCAGATGGCACCTGCTTTGTGTTTGAAGTGCTCATCAAATGTGATTACATAGGTGTGTGTGGAAGTAGTGGTGTCGTGCTGGCCTCCCCGCCTTAATGGAAGGTACACAGAGGAAGGGGTTGGGCCTTCCTTGCCCTCTGCTCTGTCCTCCCTCAGTGCCTGCTAAGACCCTGGTATGCAGTCAGCTTTCCATAAATAATGAGCAAATAGACGAATCAATGAATTGATACTTAAAGGGAAAACAGTTGTCTCTAGTCAAAAAAGAGCTACACTTAGAAAAGAGAAAATAGGGCACACACACACACGCGCACACACACAGTGGCCTGAGGGAAATGAGGAAAACCCAAGCTACAAATGCCTTTCTGGAATCATAGAAAGCCAGGGAAACATTCAGAGTGTGTCCTCACACAAGTTCTTTATCTCACTGCCTGACTGTGTAGCTCCCACCCTCAGGGCAGAACTTAGAGAATTTTCCAGGTACCACCTTCTGGAAGTAAATTTCAAGTGTTATAGTCAGTTCTATCCTAAGATAATGAGTTGTGGACTTTCTAATCTGGGGCTAATTCAGGCATTCTAAGCCTAAAAATATGCCCTGTAGATATTAAAGAGTACGCATTGTCATGTGTGTCAAGGATGGTATAGAAGAAATTGGTAGAAGTCTATGGAAGAAGCAGGAGTGGGAAGATAAATGAAGAAAATTTTTCTAAACACAAAAAGCACAACCAAGGGAAGTAATTCTCCAGCCATTGTCATGTGGTTGAATAGAACAACAAAACCTCTTAGAATGAAATAGAAGAGAGAGTGGGCTTTGTAGTTCATGCAGAGCCTTCACTAGGCCAGAAATGTCCACATCAAAGCTTTGTTCCTCTGACTCCTTAATAAAGCATTTGCACTTCGAGGCATCAATCCTACAGAAATGCTTACCTCACATCACAGTGGTTTGTGTTTGTAACACGGTTTACGTGTCATCAGAAATAAATACTTTTTTTTTGCTGTTGTAGGATCCACATGTGAATGCATTTTTCCAAGAGTGCCAAAAAAGAGAGAAAGATATGTCTCAGTCACCTACCTCAAATTTCATCCGCTCTTGTAAGGTAACATGACATGCAAGCAGTTTCAGTGATCTCCAGGGTAAAAATGTGCAAAAGAGACTTTTACATTTTCCACCGATGGGCAAACTGGGAGATGATTATTACTCAAGATTTTTTAATACCTTATCAATTCAGAGAGTAAATGATTTT
Organism: Homo sapiens; assembly: GCF_000001405.40. Classification (NCBI taxonomy): domain Eukaryota; kingdom Metazoa; phylum Chordata; class Mammalia; order Primates; family Hominidae; genus Homo; species Homo sapiens. The sequence continues at coordinate 224,841,656 of NC_000002.12, read as the reverse complement.
ATTTCATAATTTCTGAATAGTTTCTGTTTCTTGACTTAAAAGACAAGCAAAAATCAGTTTTTTCCAAAATAAAAATAATTGAAAATCAGAATCAATTTATTCTAAATTAATTATTAAATCACGAGTCCTTGCAACATTACCATCATGCCTATATTCCATACTAATTGCAATAAAGAATAAAGCCAGATAAAGGTGGGCTACAGTGTTCATACTCAAGTTCTGAAAAAAATACCAGCAGAATATACTTTATTTTTTTCTAACGTATTCATTTTTTAATTAACAAAGAAAAATTATATACCTTTATTGTATACAGTATGATGTTTGGAAATATGTATACATTATGTAACAGCTTCATTGAGTTAATTACTGTATTTATTATATCACATACTTATAATTTTTAAGGTTATAACACTTAATATCCACTCTCTTAGAGATTTTTAAGAATATAACACATTTTTATTAACTATAGTGACCATGTTGTGCAATATTCCTCCTATCTATCTAGCTGAAATTTTGTATCCTTTGATCAACATCTCCCAGCACTCCCCTCCCTAGCCCCTGGTAACCACCATTCCACTCTCTACTTCTATGAATTCAACTTTTTTAGATCCCACATATAAATGAGATCATGCGGTATTTGTCTTTCTGTGCCTGGCTCATTTCACTTAGCATAATATACTCCGGGTTCCTCCATGTTGTTGCAAATGACCTAATTTCCTTCCTTTTTAAGGCTGTATAGTATTCCATTATGTTTATGTACCACATTTTCTTTACCCATTTCATCGGTTGATGGACACTTGGATTGATTCTGTATCTTGGCTGCAGTGAATAGTGCTGCAGTAAAGATGGGAATAGACATCTTCAGCATACTGATCTCATTTCCTTTGGATATACATCCAGTAGTGGGATTGCTAGATTATATGGTAGTGCTATTTTTAATTTTTTGAGGAACCTTCATATTGTTTTCCATAGTGGCTCTTCTGATTTACATTCTTACCAGCAATGTGCAAGTGTTCCTTCTCCTCCACACCCTCTCCAATAATTATTATCTTTCACCTTTTTTGACAACAGCCATTTTAACAGATATGAGGTGATGTCCCACTGTGGTTTTAATTTGCATTTCTCCAATGATTAATGACGTTGAACATTTTTTATATATCTGTTGGCCATTTGTACACCCTCTTTTGAGAAATGTCTATTTGGGTCCCTTGCCCATTTTTTCATTGGGTTATTTGTTTTCTTACTATTGAGTTGTTTGAGTTCCTTATATATTTTGGATATTAACCCTTTCTAAGATGTATGGTTTGCAAATATTTTCCTCCATTCAATGGAGTAAAGTTGTCTCTTTACTCCATTGAGTGTTTCCTTGGCTGTGCTGAAACCTTTTAGTTTGATATGCCATTTGTCTGTTTTCACTTTGCTGCCTGAGCTTTGAGGGTCATATCCAAAAAATCATTGCCCAGTCTAATGTCACGAAGTTTTTCTCCTTATGTTTTCTTCTCATAGATTTATAGTTTCAGGTCTTGAATGTAGGACATGCTTCAAATTTAATTGGTATCCTTTTTTTCTGCCAATTTACTACAGAACTTATTGAATGTGGAAAAGATTCATGCAATCATGAGTTTTCTGCCTATAATTTTGAATCAGCTCTTCAAAGTTCTGGTACAGAATGAGGAAGATGAAATAACTACAACTGTCACCAGGTATCCATAACACAACCTTAAGAGGAGAGACTTTATAATGTGTAGTTACATAAACTCTTAATTATAACTAAACAGTCATCTACTGTTGTGTGTTTACATTTCATTTGAACACATCTCAAATTTAAGCATTTTCCACTCTTGACTCCTTACCTTCTAATCTCTTATTATTAGTAGTAAAGTGTTAGACCTCTTTTTCTTTGATTTTTAAATTAAACTTTTTCTTTTGAGATCACGGTAGATTCATGTGCAATTGTAAAACATAATTCAGAGTTTCCCATGTGCCCTTTACCTGGTTTTCCCCACTGGCAACATCTTCCATACAGGTGTAGAATCATACAGTAGGTAAATGTTTGTAATTGGCTTTTTCATGTAACATAATTCTCTGGAGATTCATCCAGATCATTGCATCTATCAGTAGTTCACTCCTTTTCATTGCAGAGTAGTATTCCACGATGTGGATGCACCACATATGTTTAATTATTCACCTGTTGAAGGACATTTGGAGTGTCTCTAGTTTAGGGCTGTTATGAATAAAAGTGCTATGAACGGCTGGGCCCGGTGGCTCACGCCTGTCATCCCAGCACTTTGGGAGGCCGAGGCCGGTGGATCACAAGGACAGGAGATCGAGACCATCCTGCCTAACATGTAACAGTAGAGTTGGTGAAACCCCAACTCTACTAAAAAAAAAAAAAAAAAAATTACAAAAAATTAGCCGGGCGTGGTGGTGGGTGCCTGTAGTCCCAGCTACTCGGGAGGCTGAGGCAGGAGAATGGCATGAACCCAGGAGGCGGAGCTTGCAGTGAGCTGAGATTGCACCACTGCACTCCAGCCTGGGTGAAAGAGCAAGACTCCGTCTCAAAAAAAAAGAAGTGCTATGAACATTCATGTAGAGGTTTTGTGTAAACATAAGTCTTCGTTTCTCTTAAGTAAATGCCCAAAGTGTAATTGCTGGGGGGCAGGGTGGTTGCATGTTTGATATTTAAGAAAGTGCCTATTCTCCAGAGTGGCTGTATAATTTTGCATTCCCACAAGAACCTTTTTTTTAAGTATTAAATGCTTTAACTGTTCTCACTTTAAATTTGGCTATACTGAATTCTTCCAACATCTCTAATCTGGCCAATGCCTTCACAAATCACAATTTCTTCTTTATAGAGATAGTGCTTTGAATTAATTATTAAATTATATATTTGTGCTGTTCATTTTTTTAAAAAATTTAGTCATAGCATTCTGGAAAAAAATGTTACTTTTGGCATTGAAATGTTTCCAGTATCTTTCTAACTCACAGGCATATTACTGACCTCTTTCTGAATGAGGGTTTGTAGCCTAGTTTTTAAAGCAGAGCCTGAAATTCTGGACAATTTAAATATCTCTAATGGCTTCACAACCATCCAGTTCTGGACCTGCATCAAAAGTCCCCAGCTGTGCCTTCAACTCATGCTCTTTTCAGCATGTGAATGTGTCTCTGTGTTGGCAAGACTCCTAGATATTGCAGCTGATAGATCTGTTGAAATTCTGAGATATTCCTAAGCACTATAGCCATGGAGCAGCTGGTAGTGTTAATGTGAAAAAAGATCCACCTGTACATCATTGCTGCTAGAAACCCCAACCCAGCTAAGGGAAAAACAAAGCAAAACAAAACAACTGCATCTTAACCTAATTACTTTTTCCAAAAGCATATATAGTGCCTATAGGTTGGAAGGCAAGCCCTCTTCAAATGAAATATGATTATTAATTTGAAATTAAAAGTCTAAAATTTTAATTAGGCACTAAAAATAATCCCTTTTGCAAAAAGATAATGTCAAAAACGCACAGACCATAATTAGCACATTCAACTTGGACAAAAAGTCTCCATTGTGATATTACAACACTACTTACATCTTTGTGTTTCAAAGTTTCAAAGTTGGAAATGGCTAATCGATGGAAATGGCTCATTGATGCTATAGATATTAAATGCCCAGTATTGGATATGGGGCTGAGGAGGGCAAGGAAGGAGTCAGAGATTGGTTCATTCATTCACCCAGTAATTATTAAATACCCAATTTACAAAGCACTGTAATGACAAACTAAAGCGGGGTTTTTCTGCCCTCTCCAGAAAGGCCACTGAACAGCTTTGCTTTTGCAGGGTTCTGACCGACATTGTGGCCAAGTGCCATGAGGAGCAGCTGGATCATTCTGTCCAGTCATATATTAAGGTATGAAATGCCTCTTGGAAATTGCTCATATCCCCTTGTGCTGTGTGACTTGTCTCATTTCCTGTCTGCAGTAAGTGGGAAGTTTTCTCCCTTTAACTGAGTGGCGCCCACCACAGTAATATCAGGAATTTGCCTTAGCTACTTAGAATTCCATCTCTTTGCATTAATGGGCTAGGTGAATTTTTAAATGTATAAATAATGTGTACCTGTGCACATAAATAATTAAATGGGGAGAGAGAGGAAAGAAAAAGATAGAGGAGAAAACTAAAGTGCTGTCCTTTTGAAGTCAACATTACAAGTACATGAGATTCCTGTGTTAATTTAAGGAAGACTTTCCTGTTGGTTTGTTGAATGCTCTGTGTTTCCTCTGTAATGCTTTCTTAGCTCTTTCTATTGTTTCCTCAGGCATTATTTCATTTTCCCAGTTACTGTATATTTGTACCTGCTTCTGGTATGTTAAGTCCTTTATCTTCTGGCATGAACCACTTGCCCATTCCATCAGTGTGCACTGCTTCTTCCAGTGTCCTACGTCAAGTGTTCACTCAGAGACGCTTCTATTCTCATTTCCAGTTGGCCTGTGGATTAATGCCAGTGAACTTGTGATGATGTTTGCACTTTCATAGTTCCCACCTAAATGTCATCCTCTTGAATGAAAAGAAAGAACCCATCCAGAAATACAGAAGAGTATCTTAAATTACTTTATAATACATAGAGGACCTAAATCTCTTATTTTTTTTCCTATGCATAGATTAAATCTTTTTGAGACATAGCTTTTTCATCAAAAAACTGTATTCTCTTAATATGTATGCACAGACAGATACTCATATATTCAAGATGTCTAGAAACTTGTTAAAAAAAAAATCGGCCAAGCGTGGTGGCTCACGCCTGTAATCCAAGCACTTTGGGAGGCCGAGGCGGGCGGATCACGAGGTCAGGAGATTGAGACCATCCTGGCTAACACAGTGAAACCCTGTCTCTACTAAAAATACAAAAAATTAGCCAGGCGTGGTGGTGGGCGCCTGTAGTCCCAGCTACTTGGGAGGCTGAGGCTGCAGAATGGCGTGAACCCGGGAGGCAGAGCTTGCAGTGAGCCAAGATTGTGCCACTGCACTCCAGCCTGGGCAACAGAGCAAGACTCCATCTCAAAAAAAAAAAAAAAATTCCACACTCCCATAAAAGGAAGTAACCAGAAATTGCATTCTGGAGTGAACCCCTCTGAGATACCATCTGTAAGGAAATTTTTTTCATTACAGTTTTTATATCCATATGTTTTCTATCTGCCAGAAATGTTAGTTGTCTTCCCAAATGCCAAAGCATGAGTATGTGCCCTTTTTAAACATAGGCTATATGCCAAAAATAGTTATTTCACAATAATTTCTCTATTGTATAATTTTACCCAATAAGATCCACATCTCAACTGCAAAAAGCCAGTTCCACCTACACAAGCCTTTTTAGTTTGCTCCCTAAGATAGGGTCATAGCTTAGTTTTATAGAGTATCGATGAATTTACCATTCAACAGAATCACCTGGAGAACTTTCACCCTCTCAATGCTTCATTACCCGAATGTTTCATTTCAATCCTTAAAGGGACTGAGAAAGAGAAAAAAAGTTACTGATCCATCTTACACACAGGCATCTCCATTTCAACACATATTATTTTCCTCATGTCAGTGGGATCATTGAAAATTACATTAAGAACCCTCCGGTGTTGTGACTATTTTTGTGATTACCAAGGCTAGCTCTTTGTGAATACCTCAAATCTCAGACTTTCTACCGGTGACGCTCCTGGAGAGATGCATTAGAAATGCATCCTGGCGTGACCTTTATTTTTAACCAGGGTATCTGAAATACCCAACAAGACCATCTCACTTTATAATACAGGAGATTATCTACTTAGCTTGCTTTAAGTGATTCAAATCCAAAAATACACCTATGTGGAATTTTAGGCTGATAACAATTTTATAATAAATTTTAACATATCTAAAACAAATACCTCCTAATAAATGTAATCAACTCGCATTTTACTCGGGAAAGAACACTAAGCTGGCAAGTAAGAGACTAGATTCTAGTCAATTCTAGACTTAAGCAGTCAGCCTCTCTGAACCTCAGTTTTCTCCTGTGACATGAGATGAAATGACCAAAGGAACATTCAGTTCTATCATCCTGTGATTGGACTCTTGTTACAGTGCGTGCTTGAATGTCCTCCAAAGATGTGATATTCAATACAATTTGTATTTATTTAGAAGTTATCTAAACACCATTTCAAGTTCAGTGGTGCTAAATGCTGCTAACTCACTTCGTCTACAATATGCAAAATGCACACATACACCGTGTCTTTTTCAAAGATGCGTGTCTAAAGCCAGTCTAATTAAATGCCATGGTTAACAGTGATTTGTAGCACTGATGGGTTACAGTCAAAATTTTAAAATAAGAATATTTCAGTGCCAGTTTAAATGCCCTTCAGGCTAAATAACTGTGCATGGCATGAGCTCATTGATGATGACGTTACTCACATCTGAGGTATAACCCATGAGAGGGAAAAATTGTATTACTCTTGATTTTATCTAGTTTCATGCATCCATTAACTTCATCTTTCTCCTTTGAGATGAGCTTGGAGAAGTCAAATCCCACCATGACAAGTTAGGTGCCAATGTGCTACAAAGTTTAAAGAAACAGTTACAGATCCAAAAGCTAATGTGCCTCTACATTAAGCCATTCCTTCTCTTTCCTGCCTTCACTCTCAATTACGGTGAAATCCGAATTGTGAAAATTATGAAGAAATGTCCTTCCACGAGGCAAACCCAATTCATAAGTGAAATATTATAATTCAGTAATAAGCATTTTATATTTGAACTTTATGTATGTGCATAAATTGATACTGATATTCTTAAGAGATGAAGAAATACTGAAAACTAGCCATTATGTGCCCTCAGTGGTGCATGCCAAAACCAATTTTTTGAGGAAAAAAAATAAGTATGCAGCATTTGTTATCTTACTGATGGCCAATGTTCATGAACGCCTTGATAGTGTGTCTAAGCATGGGATCATAGACCCTGGGCTTGTGGGGAGCTCACGTACTGGCATCTGGAAGGCACTGGCTTCCCCACTTGGCTATTTGAGTGGGTGCTCTACCCTTTCAGGATGAAGAATTGCTACCATGCCACCTGTTACCAGTGGAGGAAGGAGAAGGGGAATGTGTCCTAAGTAGGTGGGTCAAAGCCCTCCATGTTTCCTTGAACGTGCTAAATGGCTCTCTGGCTCTTTCTCTTGATTTCTACAAAGAGTTTCAAGGAGAGCTTAGGTGAGCAAGGCCCTACTTCTGCAAAGCCCTAAATAGGAACAGGTGTGTACTGCTCTTATCATTGGGCCTGCATTTATCTCATGGCAAAATCTGGCATGAGCAGATAATTTAGAGACATAAGTTATTCACATGACATAGTTTTTGAAGCTTCATTTTTCAAAGTATTTAACTTTATTCACTTTTTGGATTTTCTTCAGTTCGTGTTCAAGACCAGGGCATGCAAGGAGAGGACTGTACATGAGGAACTGGCTAAAAATGTGACTGGTCTTTTGAAATCAAATGACTCAACAACAGTAAAGCATGTCCTAAAGGTAAGAATTTAAAGATGGTCCTTTAACTGTGAGTACTAGGCATGGGTCACGCTTACTCCTGGAAAATGATAGGAGTCATGGATTTTCATAGACTTTTTCTCTTGCAGTTTCCAGCATAAGGTTCATATTGAAACTTAGCATATAAAGATACTAAGCAAAAGAGATCTATATCGAGACAACATAGAAAAAAGTAGAGTGGGCCAGGTGCAGTGGCTCACCTCTGTAATCCCAGCATTTTAGGAGGCTGAGATGGGCAGATCACCTGAAGTCAGGAGTTCAAGACCAGCCTGGCCAACATGGTGAAACCCCATCTCTACTAAAAATACAAAAACAAAATTAGCCAGGAGTGGTGACAGATGCCTGTAATCCCAGCTACTCAGGAGGCAGAGGCAGGGGAATCGCTTGAACCCGGGAGGCAGAGGTTGCAGTGAGCCGAGATCATGCCATTGCACTCCAGCCTGGGCAACAAGACCAGAGAGAGAGAGAGAGAGAGATACATAGATAGATATTGTATGTTAGAAAAGAAGATGCATTAGAAAAATTGTAGAACAGGTAAGAATTGGGCATTGTGAGTGCTGAAGGTGCAGGGGAGATTTGAAGTTTTAAATAGAATGGTCAGGATATCTGATGGAGGAGGTAATTCTTGAGCAAAAAAAAAAAAAATTTGAAGGCGAAGAGGGTGCTGGCCATGGGGATGCTCAGAGGGAAAGACCTGTGTGAAGTCATCAGGCAGCAGCATGGCTGGTGTGTCTGCAGGAGACAGGGAGGACACTGTGGCAGGAGACAGGGAGGACACTGTGGCTGGAGCCAAGTGAGCAGAAAGAAAAAAAAAAGATGGACGATGAAGTCATGGAAGCCACTGGAGGCTTGGGAGTTAGCATAGGCCAGGCGTTCCCACTCAGAGCAGAACTGGGAGTTGTGTCGTTGGAGGGTTTTGCACAGAGGAGTAATGTTTTAAACCAAGCTGACCTTGGTTTAAAAGGATCCCTCTGATTGCTGTGTTGAGAATCGACTACAGTGGGATAAAAATGGAGACCACAACCACTTGAGGGGCTATCAGAGAAGCAGGATCCTCTGGGGAGAGTCACTGCTCAGTTAAAATATGGAGTGAAGGGAATGCTCGGAGAAGAATTGCATCTTCAAGAGATTGTGCTAACGATGGACCATGTGCTCTGGAAGGTGGGGTGGGTGGGTTTCAGGAGATTGGAAGCAGTGGAATGTGCAGATATATAAGGGAATATGTGGAGAGGGCAGTAGAGGAGTTGAGGCTTCATCTGTCATCAGACGTGAACAGGCAAAAGCTCAATTTCATTAGTGCTGGTGGTTTCAAGGAAAATAGTGGAGGCAGGCCAGAGTGCTAAGGGATGGAGAGGGGTAGGAGTCTGTTGAATTAAGAGACAAATGTTGGAACACTTGACACGATGGCTCAAAATATTTTGGACAAGATTAGGGAAAGAGGATTGCAGCAGTGTGCCTGGGATTCATTCATATTCCTAACAACATGTTTCACTTCTAATAGCCATTAGAATGCTATTGGAGTGCTAGAATAGTATTGGTAGCCATTTCCATTTCTTCTTACTAAGAAGTGACCACTTCATTAAGCCATAGCTGCCTTTGTAGAATATCAATCCCTTCTCTTTTTTATCTGAGTCAGTCTTCTGGAATTAGGACTGTCTTGTCAAAAGTTTATCGCAGCATTGTTTGTATGACTTAAAACAGGATATAATCCAAATGCCCATTGACAGTAGAGCAGATAAGTACATGGTGATTATATATGTCATGTGGTGACCATATGTGATCCCCCCAGCTACGTGCTTCAACATAAACGAACCACAGAACAGAATTTGTTGAATGAAAAAGGCAATCTCAGAAGAATACATAGAGGATAGTTCCATTCTTATGAAGTTCAGTGGCCAGATGAACTAAATATCCCTTCATTGTATAAGTATTCGTAGCAAAATTGTGAAGTAAAGCAAAGGAATGATTAGCACAAAATTTAAAACTGTTATCTGTGGTGGAAGGAGTAGGAAGCAGAGAGGATGCAAGGGGTGCGTTCTTGAAACTATACATATACAATATGACTTTTTGTAGCTGAGATAAGTGTCACCCTTAGGCCCAAGAAAGAAGGGTGCCCATCCTGGGATGAGCTTTGTTCTTCTCATACTGCACCTGTCCTCACAGGCCAAGGTTTAAGAGGAGCTAAGAGAACAAGCCCACCAGGAGCCCCTACCTCCCCTTCTAGACCTGTAAGGAACCCCAAGACCCTCTTGCTCAAGGTCCTATAGGTGGATTTCCAGGCCTGCTTCAATCTCTGTCCCAAGCCCTCCAGGACCTCCAGAGGACAGGTCTTGATGCCTGAGTGCAACCCTAGACCCCATTAAGGAGCTATTTGCGGCAGGGAGGAGGGCCAGGTTGTGGACAGCACTCAGATGTGCAGGCTGGACAGTTTCCAAAAGAGCTCAGGCGTACAAGGCCCTACCTCTGCAAAGCCCTAAGTAGGAACAGGTGTGTACTGCTCTTATCATTGGGCCTGCATTTATTTCATGACAAAATCTGGCATGAGCAGATAATTTTGAGATTGAGTTATTTAGGTGACATAAGTTTTGAAGCTTTGTTTTTTAAAGTATTTAACACATGCGCACCAGGCCCCTCAAGGGGCAGGACGGAGCCTTGGGCGAGAAGAAAAGGGGCAGGCCAGGCCCTGTGCCCCCCAGGACCTCACACCCTGGGGCAGCATTCCAAGGTGTTATGAAGTTTTGTTTCTCGAGGTAGGAGGATCAAACATATTTTATTTAACACATTTTCAGCTTGACTTCCAACTTCTAGATATCTAGACATATGACCTTCCATTTTCACCCTTACCTCTAACCTTTGAAATTTGAGGGGTGAGCTTGGTACAATAAAAAGTTTGTTTAGGTCAGGCTTGGTGGCTCTCAACTGTAATCCCAGGACTTTGGGAGGCTGAGGCGGGAGGATCACCTAAGCCCAGGAGTTCAAGACCAGCCTGGGCACCATGGTAAAACCCTGTCTCTACGAAAAAACACAAAAAGTTAGCTGGGCATGGTGACCACATCTGTAGTCGCAGCTGTCCGGGAGACTGAGGTGGGAGAATCACCTGAGCCGGAGAGTTCAAGACTGCAGTGAGCTGTGATTGCACCACTGCACTCCAGCCTGGCAACAGAGTGAGACTGTCTCAAAAAATAAATAAATAAATAAATAAATAAATAAAAGTTTGTTTAGTTTTGTTTAACTAGGTGAAACAACTAGAACATCCCTTGAATAAATATTTTGTAAAACAACTGCTTAGTCAGTCATGCCAAATAAACTTGTAACTTGTTTTAGTTTAAACATTTTTTGAGAGGATTGAGATAAAAATCATCCCACTATAATAGAGAATATTTTACTGCTCTAATTCATTTAGTTTCAAAGAATACATTTTAACATAACAATGTTATAGTATTACATATTGCAAAGAAAAAATTATCATTATTTTGCCATAGGATAATAAATGTCTCGTTGCCTTTTTTTTCCCAACAGCATTCCTGGTTCTTCTTTGCAATTATCCTAAAATCGATGGCACAGCACTTGATTGACACAAATAAAATCCAGGTAAGAACATAAGTAATATAATATTATAATATTTTTACAATATTATCCAACAATTACACTAATGATTATGCTGTCATGAGTTCCATTTTTATTTGCTTTATAAACCTTAGCAGTTTACAATAATTACTTTATAAGTAGAAGAAATGATTGTGTACACCAACCGGCACAGGCCCTTCAGAAGCAGATGCCAAGACAATATTGGAAGTGCAAAAGATGTATTGGAGGGAAATAACTATAAAGGATAAAAGGAACAGGAAAAAGAAATGGGAAAGTCTGATACCTGTAAATGAAAAGGGGGAAGGAAGGAGGATTGGCTAGGAAGAGTCTCACAGTGACAAGGTTTTAGCTGGGCTGATGGGAAGTCTGAGAGCAAAGAGTTGTCATTAGAGGAACCCTGCACTGGGAAGGCCATCGGCCTCCAGGACCTTTGCAAGCTAAGTCGTTGACTGGGAGCAGCCTGGGGGGAGGGTAGCCTTGGCATGAATGCTGGAGCATATTGCAAGATACAGCAACTCTTTATATTCTTCCCACTAGATTCTGTCTTGAAGGAACATTTGAGCGATGTGCATTCCTGGCTGCCACAGTCCAAGTTTGCATGACATATTGTACAAGTTCATGAATCTGCTTCCCTGCAGTTCCCATGGGCCTCCCCTCCTGAAAGGAAGCTTAGAAGAGGGACCCTGATGGAATTAATTACAGCCCCTTCCATGGCTTTTCAGGAGCCTATGTATTACTCATCATCTCCCATCCCAACTCTCCATTCTAGATCCCTCTCACTCTAACTAGCAGCTCCGAAGGTCTTGGTGACTCACCTGGTGATATGACCCAAACCCTCATTCTAGAGTGGTCTCAGCCTCTGGTCATCATACTCTACTCACACCAGAGTTGGTACCTATGGCCATTCACAGTTACAATGGAGTGAGGAAGACCAAGAAGCAGCCAGGTAGATCACCTGAGTTCCACACACATTTCTCTGAGCCCCCATTGTGGGTAAGGCCAAGGGAAGACCTCTGGCATTGCCCCTGCCCCACGTGGAGGGTAAATCATAACAATGCTGCATGAGGTGGGGTTGGTGGTGTACAGTTATATTATTTTGATTTACTCTTTTGGTGGGGAAGAAGCAGTGTCAGAAGCTCCCACCTGGCCTCCCCCACTAGGATACCTCCACAGACCAAGCACCCGTGCAAGCTTACTCCAAATGCCAGTTTTATTAATACAAATTATACATTTGGGACCAGTTACATGACTATTGGGGGGATCTTTGAACCCAGTGGATCTACTGTTAACAGAACTTTAGTCAGGACTCCACCTTTAATCCCTGTAAGTCCCCACTCTATCAGGGCAGACATGGTGATGCTTTTCATTTCTGGATATCAATGTCAACTCAGATTCTGTGTGCAACAGTCCTTGAACTATATGCCCTTCTTCTCAGTGTACAGTAGCCTGAGTAAATGGCTATAGGGCCCTTTGGAGAAGAATTGATAGACTCATTACAGTATGTATCTACTGCATTGTTGCAGTGGGGGCTTTCCTTTAGGGACCCCATCACCTCTTCAGTCAATGTGTACCAGATCTGAATTGTGACTCAGGTCCAGGAACAGACAAAGGAACCATGACTATTCATTGGAATGAACATCCCCATCTTCCAGTTGCCCATTCTTGCCTTCTTTGTTAATATGATGTACCACCATTGTTGGTTGCTCTCTGTTTTGTCCCTAGGAGTTCCAGTCATCATTAACCAGCTCTACAACTCCCTGAGAGTCGGTCCCTCTTGGCTTCCCCACCAGTCTTGTCATTTGTCATGATACTCACAGCCCCCTGGCTCCTGGAGATTAAGCACAGCACATGGCCTCTGTTGTTTTGGTGATCCCTGATCCCCATGGCTGCTCATGAGCCAAGACTGTGACTGCTCCTCCTGCCAACAGATGGGAAACACCCCTGACCTTCTTAATGATATTGGTCCCCAGCACCTTCTTAGTGGCCATGGTGCATGCTGTCTTCTGGGCCTGCCTGGGGAACTTGATACACTGGTGGATCTTCCAGTCTCAATTAATGTCCATTCCTGTATATCCACCTCCCTCCACCTCTTTATTTTTTCCTCTATCCTCTGCCAGGACAACCAGACATTTCGACTTTGCTTAAAGTAGGCCATCTCTAGATTCTCAGAGCAACCCTAGCAGTGAGTTGCTCATCCCGTGAGTCCTTATTTAATCCCATGTTCTGAAAAAGCACACCCATGTCAATGCATTCTAAGTTACCTGCCCTTACTTTCTGGCCCACATCCTCAATGTACAATTGCAGAGGTTCTGCCCTACCTCCTGGTGGTACATGATAGCTAATTTTTATAGCCTCTTTGGGTATATTCTCTTTCCTGCTTTATTAGGCCCAGCAAGCCCCCAGCTGGGTTAAGCTAGGATTTAACCTCCAGGTATTGCCCTGATCACCAGAAGGAGAGGCGGGACAACTCCTCAAGGGTTTGCCTGATTTCTAGCAGGGAGAGGCCTTTGCAATATCATCTTGCATGGGAGGAGTGCTGACACTTAATAGGGAGGAATTAAACTTCTGCTAGCACTAAGGCTTCAGGGAAGTGTGCAGAGCCACTTCCTCAGAGTCATCCATCCAGAGGTCCTCATCCATGCTTCTAGGCCCCAGGTCTATGTAACCATGGCCTTGATCTTAGTATGACAGAAATGGCTTGCTGGACCTTTAATCATCTGTGGAGTTCCATAACTCTTAACTCGCAAATCCTATTTTTGCTTTTCTGCTATTTCTGCTCTCCACTTCTGGAGATGAGAGCCTCCTACCTGGGAGGGAGAGAAAATCTAACACAAAGGTAAAAATGGTTCGTATCTCTCTGTTGTTAAGCTCTACTGGGGTCAGGAAACCTCACTGTTGCAATTCCTGCTCTGTCACTAACTTGTTAGCTGACGAAAACGACGCTTAACATCTCAGTGCCTGTTTTCTCATCTGTAAGAAGAGTGGATTGGACTAAAATTCTCTTCTAGTTCCTACCAGTATGCATCTGCTTGTATAGACAGGTCACAAAACACACCTGTGAGCAGCCTAAGAATAAATGAACTGATAATAGCCAGCATGATTGTGTCCAGCAGTTTATCTTCCCCGATTGAGGTTTGCTTTCCGTGACCCCTTTCAGTGGTAACCCTCACACCCTAGTTTTCTTTCAGGAGCCCTGCACCTTCCACTCTAACCATCTCTAATCATCACAGTGGGAAAAGACCTGATATCATCTTTTTTCTTTACTTTTTTTTTTTTTTTTTGAGACGGAGTTTCGCTCTGTCGCCCACACTGGAGTGCAGTGGCACGATCTCGGCTCACTGCAAGCTCCACCTCCTGGGTTGAAGTGGTTCTCCTGCCTCAGCCTCCCAAGCAGCTTGGATTACAGGTGCATGCCACCACACCCAGCTAATTTTTGCATTTTTAGTAGAGACGGGGTTTCACCATGTTGGCCAGACTGGTCTCCAACTCCTGACCTTAGGTGATCCACCCACCTCAGCCTCCCAAAGTGCTGGAATTACAGGCATGAGCCACCACGCATGGCCCATTTTTTTTTCCCCTTGATACACGGTCTCACTCCTGTTGCCCAGGCTGGAGTGCAGTGGCACAATCATAGCTCACTGCAGCCTCAACTTCCCCAACTTAGGTGATTCTCTCACCTCAGCATCCCTAGTAGCTGGGACTACAGGCATGGCCACCAAGCCCAGCTAATTTCATATAGATGATTGATAGATGATAGATAGATAGATAGATAGATAGATAGATAGATAGATAGATAGATAGATAATTATATATATTTAGTAAAGATGGGGTTTCGTCATGTTGCCCAGGCTGGTCTCGAACTCTTGGGCTCAAGTGATCTGCCCATCTCAGCCTCCCAAAGTACTGGGATTACAGGCGTGAGCCATTGTACCCAGCCCTGATATTATCATTTGACACCAAAGCATTCACAGTAAACTTTTCCCAAGCTATTTGTATTTTCTTTTTTTTTTCTTTTTAAATTGTGAAGTGAATGGTTTTCTCCACTATTAAAGGAATTTCCATCATCCAAGGAGTAAGTGTGGAAGATCTGAGGAAGTCAGGGGAGATATCTGGTTTAGTCCTCTAAAAGGTGCAATGTTGTTGGGCACTTGGCCAGCGTGAGTTCCAGTTTCCTGGGAATGGCTGGGTGTAGTTGCTCATGCCTGTAATCCCAGCACTTTGGGAGGCTGAGGTGGGCAGATCACCTGAGGTCAGGAGTTCAAGACTAGCCTGGCCAAAATGGCAAAACCCCATCTCTATTAAAAATACAAAAGTTAGCTGGATGTGGTGGCACACACCTGTAATCCCAGCTACTCAGGAGGCTGAGGCACGAGAATTGCTTAAACCCGGGAGGTGGAGTTTGCAGTGAGCTGAGATTGCACCACTGCACTCCAGCCTGGGCCACAGAGACTCTGTCTCAAACAAAACAAAACACAAACAAACTAAAACAATTTCCTGGGAACCACTGAATGTTTTCTCAACATTATTCTCTAGTAGCAAAAGGATCATTGAACCAGCTAAACCTTTTGTTTCCCATCATCCTCCTTGTTTCTAACAAAACTCCCAAAAGCCTACAGTTCTGCCCATGCATCCCAGGCCTGTTCCCCTTGACCTCGCCATGCTGTAGCTCAGATTCATCATGGTCCAGCTCTGCAGCTTGGGAAGTGTGCCACCATCTCACTCCCTTCATCTCCTGAGACAAAAAATTCACAATCTCCAGTGCAGGAATTCTTCCACCTCGAGTCTTTAGGATATACTTCGGGAAAACAGTTTTAAAAGTACTCATATATTTATTAGGCAGACATCTTTGGGTTCAGAGTGAGAGTAGGCCACAGGAGACTTTGAGAGGAAGGTGTAAAGAGGAAGGAACAAATGGAATATTAAAGCCCAAGGCATTCATGCATATGCATGTGGGGAAAATGTACGTATGATATGCTTAAGGAATTTTAGAGGACTAACAAAACGAAAATTGAAAATTAAAAGTGTGCTTTGATTCTTTAAAAGGTGACTGTTGCTTTTTGTAGGTGAATTGTTTACCTTTATTACCCAAGTTTTATGGAAGAGAATTTAAAAATGCTGTGTGTGATCAAATCAGTTAAGTTCATTAGTTGTTAATTTATTTGATTTCAACAATAAATTTTAAATATATAGAGAGTAACCATGAAATTTTCAAAAATATCCATGCAGTGATGTCCTGGTAAAGTGGCTTAAAAATAGAAGCCAGTCTGGCCAGGCGGGGTGGCTCAAGCCTGTAATCCCAGCACTTTGGGAAGCTGAGGCTGGTGGATCATGAGGTCAGGAGTTTAAGACCAGCCTGGCCAAGATGGTGAAACCCCATCTCTACTAAAAAATACAAAAATTAGCCAGGTGTGGTGGCAGGTGCCTGTAATCCCAGCTACTCAGGAGGCTGAAGCAGAGAATTGCTTGAACCCAGGAGGCGGAGGTTGCAGTGATCTGAGATCGTACCACTGCACTCCAGCCTGGACAACAGAGCGAAACTCCATCTCAAAAAAAAAAAAAAAAAAATAGAAGCCAGCCTAAACCAGCTCCAACATCCCGTTAAATTCCATTAAATATCTGTTTCATACAACTCCTGTAACTTCAGCCTTCATGATTTTTATCCTTGCAGCATGGAAGTCTGGGTGCTCACAATTTAGAAATACACAGTTCAGTGTAACTCTAAATTCCATGATTCTATCTATAGTGAAAATGTGTCTGGGTCTAATTTTTAAAGCCAGCTGGTAAAGATGAATGAATCTTATCAGAAGTAAGGCTGGGCACGGGGGCTCACACTTGTAATCCTAGCAGTTTGGGAGGCCAAGGCAAGCAGATCACTTGAGGTCAGGAGTTCAAGACCAACCTGGCCAACATGACGAAACCCTGTCACTACTAAAAATTAGCTGGGTATGGACTACAGGAGGGCGCCTGTAGTCCTAGCCACTTGGGAGGCTGAGGTGGGACAATTACTTAAACTGAGGAGGTAGAGGTTGCAGTGAGCTGAGATCACACCATTGCACTCCAATCTGGGTGACACAGAAAGACCCTGTCTCCAAAAAAAAAAAAAAAAAAAAAAAAGCAGAGTCTGAGATGGAAGAACTCGGCTGCCTCAAATGTTCCCCTCATATGCAGGAGTCCAAACAGGAGGGATGGATATCTGGACCTGAAATGGTCTTTTGAGATCCATAGAGCTTTATTCAGTGGATGTAATGTCATCTCACAGCCAAGCCCTTCTTTATCTTGACTTGTGAGGTCCCACTGGTGTCTCTTAACTGTGGCATATACTGGGACCAGGGAGTTAAAACTAGCTGGGACTCACCAAATGTCAGAGGACATTTCAAACCAATATCTGTATTCATTCAGTTATTCATTTATTAATTTCTTAGACTAGTTTATTGGGGGCATTCCTAGTTGTAAAAAAATCAAAATAATTTATTTTTAAATGAAATAGAGAACTACATGTCCAAAATATCTAGAATAATGTTCATTAACCATTAATAGTAGCTATTCCCTGAGAGGGAAGGAGGGAAAGTAAGATATGAGAGGCCACAGAGAAGGTTCACATTTTACTTTGTACATTGCTACATTGTTTCAATAGTTTGCAATTAATATTTGTTATGATTGACTTTTATTATAAAGTGAAAATTTTATTGACCAAAATTGAAGGAAACACTAAATATTAATGATGGAAATCATGACCTTGAAAGTAAAAGGCTTCTATTTTATTACTGCTTTCAAGTTTTCAAAAGGATTCTTTTTCTTTAATGACCTATAAAATAAAGTAAATATTTCAGTTGATACTTCCTCGGCTTAATATTTCACATGCCACATTAGAAAGATATAATCCGTTCTTTCCTTAGCTTCCCCGGCCTCAGAGATTTCCTGAATCTTACCAAAATGAATTGGACAATCTTGTCATGGTCCTATCCGACCATGTGATTTGGAAATACAAGGATGCACTTGAAGAAACAAGAAGGGCAAACCACAGCGTTGCCAGATTTCTCAAGGTACAGTTATATGAGATCGCAGTTCTATTCAAGGCCCCATGTTGGTGGATGCAAGATAGTCTAAACTTTCATCAGTTCACATCTTCATGTATGATGAAAAATCAAAACTAGCACTGTCAGATGAAAACTTTCATTTATACATCTTTATTGCTTGAAATACTTTTTAATTTTTTTTTTCAATTTGAAGTCTTATTGAATAAAGACTAAGGTTAGAAGGCCGGGCGCGATGGCTTATGCTTGTAATCCCAGCACTTTGGGAGGCCAAGGCGGGCAGATCATGAGGTCAAGAGATAGAGACCATCCTGGCCAACATGGTGAAACCCCGTGTCTACTAAAAATACAAAAATTAGCTGGGCGTGGTGGTGCGTGCCTGTAGTCCTAGCTATTTGGGAGGCTGAGGCAGGAGAATCACTTGAACCTGGGAGGCGGAGGTTGCAGTGAGCCGAGATCACACCACTGCACTCTAGCCTGGTGACAGAGAGAGACTGTCTCAAAAAAAAAAAAGACAGGAAGAAAGAAAAAAAAAACTAAGGTTAGAGAAAAGTATCCATTTGAGTGCAGTCAAATCATAGTATTTCTAAATATATTTTAAGAGAAAAAATGAAATTTTTAAAAAGGAAGCTGCACTACAGTAATATTATTCTCTTGGACATTTCTGCCTTTGAAAGTGATGTTATAATGGCTTTAGCTCTGACAGTGATACCAAATAGCCACTTTGGGAAACGCTTCAGGAATTTAGCATTTTTGTTTATTATCTCCAGGCTCTTTTTTTTCTTTATTTCTTTTTGAGACAGGATCTCACTCTGTCAACCCAAGCTGGAGCACACTGGCATGATCACAACTCACTGTAGCCTCAACCTCCCTGGGCTCAGGCGATCCTCCCACCTCAGCCTCCTGAGTAGGACACAGACACAAACCTGGCTAATTTTTGTATTTTTTGTAGAGACGGGGTTTTGCCACGTAGCCCAGGCTGGTTTCAAACTCCTGAGCTCAAGAGATTGGCCTCCCTAAGTGCTGGGATGACAGGTGTGAGCCACCAAGGTTGACCCACGCTGTTTTTTACATTATGGAAAGATCACACTGATCCCATGAAAGAAAAATTATCAAGTAAAGTATTGAGTAGCTACTTACTAAACTGGATATGTATGGAAATTAGTTATATTTCATTGGGTTACAACCATTTATATTGAGCTGAGAGGAAAGAAATGCAAAGTCGAAGAAAAAACTAAGATACATAATTACAGTATACCATTTAACAGATAATGCAAGCAATTAGAAAGATAATAGTTTTCTGTGCCTCCTTCTTTAGTCTAACTCTTGACTACTATAACCTTTATGAAGTCATTTGACTTGTTTCTTAATGGTAGTCACCAGAACATATGGGTGAGTGTGAGAATGTATAAATAAATGCTAATAATATACAGTTAAAAGCCTATAGAAGTGGAAAATGGGCCCAACTTGTCACTGGTGAGCTTTAATCCAGCCTAATTTCTTTTTTTTAATGTGTTAAAAACTATTTCAAATTATACACTGTATGTGTTCTTATCCTGAATTTATTTTTTTCTTCAAGGTTTTGTCTCTGATTTTTACTTTTTTCTTGCTTCCAGAAAGAGACAAGAATGATAAGTGTTAAAGGGGAAAAGTTTAAAGGGGGGAAAAGTTACTGTAGTTTTCTACCACATTTTAAGACCTATGGGAATAAAGTTTATTGCTATGCTAATAGTTTACTAGGAAACTTAGAAAGAATTATGTATAGTTCAGTTTGCAAATAAAATATATTGAAAGAAACATCTGAAATATTCTTCCCTAAACTGCAAAAAATGACGAATAAGCAAGTCTCTAAAAAAGGGAAAAGACCTCATAGTTACCCTCCTTATTACTAATTTGAAGTTTTAATGGCATTTATTTGACACATAATATTAAAAAAAATTGGAACACTTATTAGATGAATCATTTGAGCTAGGAGAGAAAAAAAAGAAAGGAAAAGAAAGTGATTTTTGAAAATGTAAAACTGAACGTAGTCATTTGGTGCAATTCCAATAAATTTGAGTTTTCAGATGCTCAACACAGCCCACTCCTAGTGCTGATGTCATAAATCTCTTATATTTCCAGCAAACAATAGTTATTTGCTCAATTGGGGCTTCAAATGACTGCTACCTCTTTTTGTTATTGAAGTCTACATTAGCAAATACTGTGAATTAGTCAACATTGGAATTTAACAATTAAAATATTATTGTAACTCCATGGGTTGCTCAAAATTGGTCTCCAAGAATCAAGAAGAACCTCTGGGAACCAGTGTGTGGGCATATAAAAATGTTCTACATTAAAAGGTAGCCTCCCTTACCCCACATTATGGGAAAGTAATATTTTTTCAGCAATTATGCCAAAAAGCTTGTACATTTCTCAACTATTCTCTCAGTGAAGTAAATAGGATTCAAATGATTGCAGCTTTTGTCATTTTTCTTTTTGCCACCCACCTGGGTCACAGCTCTACTTATCTGAACATACCTATTTAGACACTCTTTTTATGAAGCACAATACCAAGATGGTAGCAAAGGCTGATTCATTCTGATTTTTATTTTGCTGATTGGATAGCCGTATCTTTTAGCCCATTCGCCTGACTAACCACTGCTTTGTTTCAATGAGCTGTTGAAAACCATTTGGAAATCACCTAATATTAGAGAGAGACTTGGTTTAAACATCTGTGGTATTTCTCTCTAAATATCAGATAAGGATGGATAAGCAAGTCTCTAAAAAGTGAAAACCCTTCATATCTACTCTACTTGGCTTAAATAGCTTGTGCTTTTGGAATAAATGAATGTTTTCCATAGAGCTCTTGGTCCACTCTCCATAGCAAGATTTTATGTGTAGTCCTGTCTGTGAGTAAAATTGAGGAGAGACTCCAAGAAATGCAAAACCATTTTAATGGATCATCCTGGACACTTTCGACAAGAAAGAAGCACTCCACACCAGCTGTGGAATTTTCCCAAGCAGCATGTTTACTCACACCCACGTGGGTGAATAGAATGAGACTCACACACCAAGTAATGAGCTGCAGATCCACTATGGGAGGCACCTGCTCTAGTGCCTCCCCAGATCCTGCGTTGGGAACTATGGTCCCTTCCTCCTGCTCCACACTTTGCCTGTGCAGTCTTTGGCCGTGGTAGCTTGGTTACTGGTTACATGACCATCCGTCTTTTGGAGAGAGAGCAAGTGCTCCTCCAAGCCTACTTACTGTTTAAGACTCTCCTTGATACAGTAAAGAGAATTTGACCACAGAATAAGAAAGGTAGTAAGCAGCTCGCTGATAGAAATCTTACGATCTCCTTCCTTCAGCCTTCAAATGCAAGCTTCCTCAGCTGATAAGGAGAGGAGCTACTCTGTCAAAAGGGGCCAGTGAGATTTAAAAGGCTTTCCTGACTCGTCTCTACCACTCCTCATTATG
Organism: Homo sapiens; assembly: GCF_000001405.40. NCBI lineage: Eukaryota > Metazoa > Chordata > Mammalia > Primates > Hominidae > Homo > Homo sapiens. The sequence continues at coordinate 224,820,055 of NC_000002.12, read as the reverse complement.
ACCCAGTGTGTACAGGAGAAGATTTACAACCCCATAAGTGTGAAATGGAATTATTAAAAGAAAATAATAAAATGTAACTAAGTGGTTAAAAAAGTAGACAACCGAAAGCTAAAGCTTTCTGTATAAAAAAGAAGGGGCTATAATATTTCATTGCAAAGCTCCAGTGACATTTTATAAAATCAATATAGATTTATAACTTTCTGATTGATATTTTTGTTTTATTCATTTATGCTTTCATTCTGTTTTTCCTTTCAATTTTTCTTGTTTTCTTCTGAATTTTTAAATGTACCTATTCTCTGTTAGTATATTGCCCTGTTTCATTTTCATTTTTAATATAAATTGTAGTTATTTTAGTTGCCATATGTGGATGACTGCTTAAACATCTTTAGAAGATTTTTTAAATACCTAATTATACAACACATTTAGTTTAGTGTTATTTTACTTCAATATATTTAATCATATTTTCTAAAATCTTTAATGATTCTTCAAGTAAAAGTGTTTAAATTTAGAATTTTATCTATTTTAGCGCTGCTTTACATTTATGGACCGAGGGTATGTGTTTAAGATGGTCAACAATTACATCAGCATGTTCTCCTCCGGTGACCTTAAGGTAAGAACCACGTACAGGAGTGATTGTTTTCTAAACTATGGCATTGTAAATAAATAAAGTAGTCTCTGTGGATACCTGCTTAAGTCCATTCTCTGTATCAGAAAGTGATTTCTATGCCAAGGAGAGGCAGCCTTTTAATGTTTCATCTGCTGAGTGTGCCTACCAAGTCCTTCCTTAATGGGGACAAAGGAGAGTGGAATGAAAGTGTTTACATTTCATTTCTATTTCCTGTGGGTGGTGAAGAGAATGGCTCTTTGCAGCTACAATTCCTACAGTCCAGTTTGCCCTAGACTGGCTTGGTTTCAGCACTGAAAGTCCTACTTCCCTGGAAACCTTTAAGTCCTGGGCAAAATGGGACAGTTGAATACCCTACCCAAATAGGGGTATACGCTGGGGAGATGTAAAGAGAACTCTAGAGCAGTGGTTCCTAGACCAGAGAGGTAGCATCACTTGGGAACTGAACTGCTGCTAATGGAGCCCAGAAATTTGTTTTAACAGGACCTCTAGGTGATTGTTTTGCACTCTCAGGTTTGAGAACCACTGAGCTATGGTTATGGCATATGCTGGAGGGAACTAAGACTGGAAATGGGCCAGATGATGAAAGCTGGATCAGTTAACTGTTCTTTGGGTTGAAAGCAACAGAAACTGACTCCAATTTGAGCAAAAGGGAATTGATTGGAAAGATAATTGGGAGTAAATAGCATTGATGAAGCAGCTGCAGAAGCAGGCTTTGAAAAGAGCAGGGGCTGGCAGGGCGCGGTGGCTCACGCCTGTAATCCCAGCACTTTGGGAGGCCGAGGTGGGCGGATCACGAGGTCAGGAAATCGAGACCATCCTGGCTAACACGGTGAAACCCTGTCTCTACTAAAAATACAAAAAAATTAGCCGGGCGTGGTTGCGGGCACCTGTAGCTCCAGCTACTCAGGATGCTGAGGCAGGAGAATGGGGTGAACCCGGGAGTCGAGCTTGCAGTGAGCCGAGATCGCGCCACTGCATTCCAACCTGGGCGACGGAGCAAGACTCCGTCTCAAAAAAAAAAAAAAAAAAGGCAGGGGCCAGGCCTTTTCAAGCACAAGGAATACAGTCATGCGTCACTTAACGACAGAGACACATACTGAGAAAAGCATTGTTAGGCAATTTCGTCACTGTGTGACTATCATAGAGTGTACTTACACAAACCCAGCTAGTATATATCCTACTCCATTACATAGCTCTGTTCTCATTGTATGGAACCACCATTGTATATATGGTCTGTCTTTCACCAAAACGTTACGTGGGGCCTGACAGTAATTGCAAATGAAGAACCATTTGGCCGAGGTGCTGCTGCATCTGCTTAAATGAATCAACTGAAGCCATTTTCTCCCCCCAACACTGCTTCAGATTCACCTTCCATAGAGGAAGTGTGTGAGCAACCTGCTTTGGGTCACATGCTTGCCTCTTAAGGAGAGAAGACAGGGCATATGAATTAATAATTCTCTGTTAACCTTTACCCACTGTGAAGGAGGCCAGTCCTCAAGGGGAAATTATCTAGGTATTTGAAAAGAACAATGGATTTAGACCAGCCAAAAATAAATCATGAGATTCTTACAGCCTTTCACGTCATGCTTAGTTGCTTAAACATTATTTTTGGGAGATGGGGTGCAGTGGAGATTTTGACCAGAGGAGTTACATGATTTTATGTCATCTGGTTTTGAAAATCCAATTCTCTCTCTCAATTTTTTTTGAAAGTATATTCTTCATTTGTGCTCCTGTCATGCATGAAATTTGCAGAATATCCATTTAATTGCAGCAGACCTAAATTATGTATTTTCAAAGACCAAACAGAATGTTCTCAATGTAAAATAGTTAACATATAATTTAATAATGCTCCTGTTCACTTTGATGTACAAAGGTTTAAGTCAAATATTATCCTTTTTGAAATGGCAGTATTTTAAATTATTAACTAAAGTTGCCACAAGATATAATTCTAAAATATCTGAGTAAATGGGATATATTTTATTTTGTGAGCTGAGATTAGTGAATATAATGATGATCATCGAACTTAGTCTTAAAACATGGTTACTTAGCATGCATGAGAGTAAAAATAGAGCAGTCAGGAACATGCTTATTTTTCCTACTGATGTGGCTGTTCTTGACTCCTGTGTTACTTTGACCGTGCCTGGACTCCATTTCTCTCCATCTAACTCAAACATTATTGCAAAGACAGACCTATTTGCAAGGGCAGGGAGGAAAGACGAATTAATTAATGTACTATGAGAACATGTGGCATACAGGGTTTCACTCTAATTTTACGTGATACACACCATTGTCTTCCTTAGCTCTGGATGGTAGGAGCTCATTGTAGAAGTCTGTTTCATTATCTGAGTGTAGTTTTTGAGAGAATTCTGTGCATGTGTTACAGCAGGAATTTTTTTCAGAATAAATGTGTCATGATTCATGCTAAAAGAAGCTAAAAAATATGACTCAGTAGGATCTTATCTCATAGAAGCTACATGTAGGTTACAAATGGGATTATTTCCTGAAGAGGCCTTGACCAGTCTCCAAAAGTAGGGAGCTTAACTGCAGTTCGGAGGGGACAAAATCCTTTCAACTTAATTACCTAGTGGTCCGACAAGTGTATGGTAACTACTTTTTCTTTTTAGGGATAAGATTCAAGTGCAGATTTTGTTTGTTTGTTTTTATTCAGTTTCTTGGTCTGTAAGTCATAGTCATTTAGTTTGCCTCTCTTTCAGACCTTGTGCCAGTATAAATTTGATTTTCTTCAAGAAGTATGTCAACATGAACACTTTATCCCTTTGTGTCTGCCCATAAGATCAGCAAACATTCCAGGTAATAAAATTCCCAGAATTTTCCTCAGTTCCTGCAAAGTGAATGCTTTTGTTTGTTCGTTTTACCTTTTGTTTATTATTATTTTCCTGTTTCTTCAGTCATAATTTTGTTTGAAGCTGTCACATGGGTATCAGACCCAGGTAATCAGAATTAAATTAAAATGCAAAAGAAGTTGTTGGCATGTGGTGATGAATATGGCTTCATATTCCTCAATTTTTGTCTGTTTCCCTTTTTATTAAAGAGAAGGCCAACAAAATTATAAACCCGATGATTGTTAATCAAATAATTTGAACCTAGAGGCACTTTACGGGCTCCAAAAGACAGCTTTCCTTTCATTTTGAGACATAAAATTATAGGGAGGAAAAGTACTATATATATAATTTATAAATATTATATATATAAATATATATGTATTATGGTAGAGAGTATTACCCATGTAGACATCAAAAACTAATCAAATATCAAGATGCAAATAAAATAATAAAATTATTTAGGAGCATGAAATACTTTATTACCAACCAATGAGTAAACTATTTATGAGGTACAGTTTTTTTCTTGCGGGGGAGGGGGTTGTTTTGTTTTTGAGGTAGAGTCTCACTCTGTCACCCAGGCTGGGAGTACAGTGGCATGATCTTGGCTCGCTGCAACCTCTGCCTCCCAGGTTTGAGGGATTCTCCCACCTCAGCCTGAGTAGCTGGGACTACAGGTGTGTGCCACCACACCTGGCTAATTTTGGTATTTTTAGTAGAGAAGAGGTTTCACCATGTTGGCCAGGCTGGTCTCCAACTCCTGACCTCAGGTGATCCGCCTACGTCGGCCTCTGAAAGTGCTGGGATTACAGGTGTGAGCCGCCACACCCAGCTGAGAGGCATATTTGCTTTGATATTCATGAACACAAACACTAAGATTGGTAAAGAGCCTCATTATACTTCCTTAACCTATTAGCTTACACTAGTATTCTGGAGGGAAAATTACATTATCAAGCCTATAAAAGTTTTGCCATTTTAATCTTAAATATAATCTATATAATATTATTCCAATTTTTTCTAATTTATGAAGCATATTTCATAGAAAATAGGGTAGAAATGGCATATTAGATAATAACACTTTAAGGTGTTTACGTTGTTCTGAATGTATTTTTGTTTTATAAATTACTGCCAAGTTATTATTGGTTAGCCAGGCTGATTGAGATATTCAAGAGGACCAAATCTTTATTTGGTCATTTTTATTTCAGTTGCTTACTGTCTTAGTCCATTGTCACACTGCTATAAAGAACTACCTAAGACTAGGTAATTTATGAAAAAAAGAGGTTGAATTGACTCACAGTGCCATATGGCTGGGGAGCCCTCAGGAAACTTACAATCAAGGCAGAAGGTGAAGGGGAAGTAAGGACCTTCTTCACATGGCGGCAGGAGAGAGAAAGGGAGAGAGCAGGAAGTGCCACACTTTAAAACCATCGGCTCTCAAGAGAACTCACTTACTGTCATGAGAACAGCACGGGGGAAACTGTCCCCATGATCAAATCACCTCCCACCAGGTACCTCCCCTAACGTGTGTGGATTACAATTCAAGATGAAATTTGGGTGGGGACACAGAGTCAAACTATATTACTTACTATTAGTCAGTAGCTCAGAGAAAAGCCTGACAGTCTCTTTGTAGATCTGATACTATAAATAATGAACATAAAAATATGTTTCATAGCAGGCAAAATTCTGATAGAAAAATAGATGCTCAAGTAGAAAGCTAACAATTAGAATAATTCTGCTCATGACCCTCTTTTTTAAGAAAACAAATAGGCTGAGGGTGGTGGCTCATGCCTGTAATCCCAGCACTTTGGGAGGTCAAGGCAGGCAGATCACCTGAGGTCAGGAGTTTGAGACCAGCCTAGCCAACATGGCAAAACCCCATCTCTACTAAAAATACAAAAATCAGCCAGGTGCAGTGGCGGGCACCTGTAATCCCAGCTACTTGGGAGACTGAGGCAGGAAAATCGCTTGAATCCAGGAGGCAGAGGTTGCAGTCAGCCAAGATTGTGCTACTGCACTCCAGCCTGAGCGACAGAGCCAGATTCTGTTTCAAAAAAAAAGGAAACAAATAACCTAAGACATTCTCCTTGAAAACTGGCAATACTGAAGACTCACATTTTTAAATAATATAGTTTAATTGTTCAGTATAAACTACACATAATGAATACATATGTATCTGAGTATGTATATGTATATATCTGAACTTTTTATTTATATTAAATTCAGATCCTTTGACACCTTCAGAATCGACTCAAGAGTTACATGCATCAGGTAAGTGATATTACCTTACCTAAGCATCAGTAACCACCTGTAATCCAATAATATTGACAACTATAAATTTCCAGTTTCTGGGTGCTAATAAATATTCACATATTTAATATCATATGATAAAAATATTCAAAAAGTTGACTGAATTGTTTGCTTGTCACAGATAGTTTAATGATTGCCTAATTTCAATTCTTTCGTATTTTATTCTCCAGAGGTTGGCAATATTTTTTAATTTCCCAAAGCATCTGAAATTTCCTTAATTTGTATCATAAATGAAATTCCCAGATATATATAATAACATGCTTGTTCAATGTAACTGACTTTATATGATGTATGTCTTTTGCTAAACCACAGCCTGGTTTGATCAATCTTGTTAAGACAGAGGATATTAGTATAAGTTTATTTTTATCTGAAATGGGTTAGTAACTTAAAATGGTCTAGGCAAACCTTTTCTGTAGTCATAGATGGAAATTTAAAAGTTGTGTTCTATTCCTGGATCCTCAATATTACTATGTCAGTGAGAAATGTATTTAGCCTGAAGCCCTGTGATTTTAGTCTCCTGAACTTCTGCATTCCTGAATTTCCACATTCAGTAGCTTCTTTATGGACTAAAAAAGTCAGTATGTTTAATTTGCTATTGGTCATTTATGAGCTGGAATATTCTAATAGTTAATTATATTAATCATACCTCCCTTACGGGTTGTCCTGCAGATCAAATGGGATAATGCACATAAAGTGCTTAGCCTAGTGCTAGCAGACAGCAGGTTGTATACACGGGTGCTAGTACTACTGTTTTCCCCCAGCCTTATTGAGGTAAAATTGACAAAAATTGGGCGCGGTGGATCATGCCTGTAATCTCAACACTTTGGGAGGCCGAGGCAGGCAGATCACTTGAGGCCAGGAGTTCGACATCACCCTGGCCAACATGGTGAAACCCCATCTCTACTAAAAATAGAAAAATCAGCTGGGCATGGTGGCACATGTCTGTAACCTCAGCTTCTCAGAAGGCTGAGGCACAATAATCGCTTGAACCCTGGAGGCAGAGGTTACAGTGAGCCAAGATCGTGCCACTGCACTCCAGCCTGGACAACACAGTGAGACTCTGTCTCAAAAAATAATAAAAATTTTGTATATTTAAGGTGGAAAACATGTTTTGATATATGTATGCGTTGTGAAATGATTACTACAATCAAGCTAACACCTCATATAGTTCTATTTTTTAAGTCTGTGCGATGAGAACAATTAAGGCCTACTCACTTAATAGATTTCAAATGTACATTCCAATCAATAGAAAAAGAGGGAATCCTCCCTAACTCATTTTATGAGGCCAGCATCATCCTGATACCAAAGCCTAGCAGAGACACAACCAAAAGAGAGAATTTTAGACCAATATCCTTGATGAACATTGATGCAAAAATCCTCAATAAAATACTGGCAAACCGAATCCAGCAGCACATCAAAAAGCTTATCCACCATGATCAAGTGGGCTTCATCCCTGGGATGCAAGGCTGGTTCAACATACGCAAATCAATAAGTGTAATCCAGCATATAAACAGAACCAAAGACAAAAACCACATGATTATCTCAAGAGATGCAGAAAAGGCCTTTGACAAAATTCAACAATGCTTCATGCTAAAAACTCTCAATAAATTAGGTATTGATGGGACGTATCTCAAAATAATAAGAGCTAACTATGACAAACCCACAGCCAATATCATACTGAATGGGCAAAAACTGGAAGCATTCCCTTTGAAAACTGGCACAAGACAGGGATGCCCTCCCTCACCACTCCTATTCAACATAGTGCTGGAAGTTCTGGCCAGGGCAATTAGGCAGGAGAAGGAAATAAAGGGTATTCAATTAGGAAAAGAGGAAGTCAAATTGTCCCTGTTTGCAGTTGACATGATTGTGTATCTAGAAAACCTCATTGTCTCAGCCCAAAATCTCCTCAATCTGATAAGCAACTTCAACAAAGTCTCAGGATACAAAATCAATGTACAAAAATCACAAGCATTCTTATACACCAAGAACAGACAAACAGAGAGCCAAATCATGAGTGAACTACCATTCACAATTACTTCAAAGAGAATAAAATACCTAGGAATCAAACTTACAAGGGATGTGAAGGATATCTTCAAGGAGAACTACAAACCACTGCTCAGTGAAATAAAAGAGGATACAAACAAATGGAAGAACATTCCATGCTCATGGGTAGGAAGAATCAATATTGTGAAAATGGCCATACTGCCCAAGGTAATTTATAGATTCAATGCCATCCCCATCAAGCTACCAATGACTTTCTTCACAGAATTGGAAAAAACTACTTTAAAGTTCATATGCAACCAAAAAAGAGCCCACATTGCCAAGTCAATCCTAAGCCAAAAGAACAAAGCCGGAGGCATCACGCTACCTGACTTCAAACTATACTACAAGGCTACAGTAACCAAAACAGCATGGTACTGGTACCAAAACAGAGATATAGATCAATGGAACAGAACAGAGCCCTCAGAAATAATGCCGCATATCTACAACCATCTGATCTTTGACAAACCTGAGAAAAACAAGCAATGGGGAAAGGATTCCCTATTTAATAAATGGTGCTGGGAAAACTGGCTAGCCATATATAGAAAGCTGAAACTGGATCCCTTCCTTACACCTTATACAAAAATCAATTCAAGATGGATTAAAGACTTACATGTTAGACCTGAAACCATAAAAACCCTAGAAGAAAACCTAGGCATTACCATTCAGGACATAGGCATGGGCAAGGACTTCATGTCTAAAACACCAAAAGCAATGGCAACAAAAGCCAAAATTGACAAATGGGATCTAATTAAACTAAAGAGCTTCTGCACAGCAAAAGAAACTACCATCAGAGTCAACAGGCAACCTACAAAATGGGAGAAAATTTTCACAACCTACTCATTTGACAAAGGGCTAATATCCAGAATCTACAATGAACTCAAACAAATTTACAAGAAAAAAACAAACAACCCCATCAAAAAGTGGGCAAAGCATATGAACAGACACTTCTCAAAAGAAGACATTTATGCAGCCAAAAAACACACGAAAAAATGCTCATCGTCACTGGCCATCAGAGAAATGCAGATCAAAACCACAATGAGATATCATCTCACACCAGCTAGAATGGCGATCATTAAAAAGTCAGGAAACAACAGGTGCTGGAGAGGATGTGGAGAAACAGGAACACTTTTACACTGTTGGTGGGAGTGTAAACTAGTTCAACCATTGTGGAAGTCAGTGTGGCGATTCCTCAGGGATCTCGAACTAGAAATACCATTTGACCCAGCCATCCCATTACTGGGTATATACCCAAAGGATTATAAATCATGCTGCTGTAAAGACACATGCACACGTATGTTTATTGCGGCACTATTCACAATAGCAAAGACTTGGAGCCAACCCAAATGTCCAACAATGATAGACTGGATTAAGAAAATGTGGCACATATACACCATGGAATACAATGCAGCCATAAAAAATGATGAGTTCACGTCCTTTGTAGGGACATGGATGAAACTGGAAACCATCATTCTCAGCAAACTATCGCAAGGACAAAAAACCAAACACTGCATGTTCTCACTCATAGGTGGAAATTGAACAATGAGAACACATGGACACAGGAAGGGGAACATCACACTCTGGGGACTGTTGTGGGGTGGGGGGAGGGGGGAGGGATAGCATTAGGAGATAAACCTAATGCTAAATGACGAGTTAATGGGTGCAGCACACCAACATGGCACATGTATACATATGTAACAAACCTGCACATTGTGCACATGTACCCTAAAACTTAAAGTATAATAATAATAAAATTTAAAAAAAGAAAAAAATAGATTTCAAATATACAATATTGTATTATTAACGATTCTTACTATGCTACGTATTTGACCTCCACAATTTATTCATCTTATAACTGAAAGTTTGTACCCTTTGACTAAAATCCACCTCCCATTTCTCCCATTCCCCAGCCCATGGCAGCCATCTTTCTACTCTGTGCTTCTATGAGGTTAACTTCTTTAATTTTTTTGCAGAAACTTAGAGGGGTACAAGTGTAATTTTGTTACATGCATAGATTGCATAGTGGTGAAGTTAAGGCTTTTAGGATATCCATCATCCAAATAATGTACATCGTACCTATCAAGTATTCTCTTATTGTCCACCAGAGTTTGATTTCTTTAGATTCCACATATTAACTGAGATCATGCAGTATTTGTCCTTCTGTGTTTGGCTTATTTCACTTAGCATAATGACTCTTAGGTTCACCTGTATTGTCACAAATGGTAGGATTTCTTTTTTTTTTTTTTTTTTTGAGGCTGAATAATACTCCATCGTATGTATATACCATTTTTAATCCATTCATCTATAGATGGTCACCTAGGTTTCCATAGCTTAGCTATTGTGAATAATGCTGCAATGTATCTCTTCAACATAATGATCTGAATTCTTTTGGATGTATACCCAGAAGTTGGATTGCTAGATCATATGGTAGCTCTATTTTTACTTTTTTGAGGACCTTCTATACTGTTTCCTATAATGACCGTATTCCACCAACAGTGTACAAGGATTCCCTTTTCTTTACACCAATACTTGTTCTCATTTGACTTTCTGATAATAGCCATCCTAAAAACTATGAGGTAATAGTGCATTGTGGTTTTGATTTGCATTTCCCTGATGATCCGTGATATTGAACACTTTTTCTATATCTTTTGGCCATTTGTATGTCTTCTTTCAAAAAATGTCTATTCAGATCCTTTGCCCATTTTTAAAACTTGGCGGGTTGTTTTTGTTTGTTTGTTTGTTGCTATTATGTTGTATGAGTTCCTTGTAGAGTTTGGATATCAGCCCCCTGTCAGGTATATGGTTTGCAAGCATTTTCTCCCAATCTGTAGTTTGCTTTTTCATTTTGTTGATTGCTTCCTTTGCTGTCCAGAAACTTTTAAATTTGATATAATCCTACTTGTTTATTTTTGCTTTTATTGACTGTGTTTTTGGGGTGATATTCATAAAATCATTGTGAATGCCACTGTCAAAGAGCTTTCTCCCTATGTTTTCTTGTACGTGCAAGTACTACTATTAATGGTTACATTTTAAAAACCCTTTGGACAATTTGAATAAATCCATTATTACTGGAAATTTTTAACATTCTTTTCTCTGTAATTCAGGCTCAAAATTTGGCAGGGCCTTTTCTCTATAATTCAGGCTCAAAATTTGGCAGTGTCTTTTCTCTATAATTCAGGCTCAAAATTTGGCAGTGTCTTTTCCCTATAATTCAGGCTCAAAATTTGGCAGTGCCATTTCTCTCTCCTTGCTCCCTCAAATACTTCAGTCAACTTTTCCTAGTGAGTTACTCTTGTCACTCAGTTTCTGCTACCCCAGCCCAGATATCACGTTGTCACTTGCCCCCTCCCTCCCCCATTGCTACAATGTCCTGTATTGTATCCCTCACCCCACATCTCCCCACAGTCTAATTCATTTACACCCTGCCACACCATATTAATAAGTCAGTAAAGCATGAGCCTTATCAGGGCACTGATCTCAAAGCTATCGGTGTGTTAACATTCCTTACAGAATTAAATACAAATGGAGAGGGACCTAGATGGCAGCTAAGGAAATTGTACTGTTCTCCATCATCTAGCCCCAGCCTCTCAAGCCTAATTCTCTCACCATTCCTCTTTTAGCCACTGTGCTTATTGACTCCCACATACTCGTGCTCCCCTCCATACCTGCTCCCTTCCACACCTGCGCTTTCAGAATTCTGTGCCATCGAAAATCCAATCGCTTCTCCCAGCCTCCTGTCCTTTCTCCATTGCCTCTGTCTGTTCCCACAAAGATCTGCACCTCCAAACTTCAAGTATCCTCAAAGACTCATCTTGATGGATTCCTACTTATAACATATCCTGATTCCTCCAAGCAGAAAATGTGTTTTTCCCCCTCTCAAATCCTGTAATCCTGTAAATATGCTGTTATTATGGAATTCAAAAGTTGATGTTGTGTGTTAGTTTGTACCTGTATTTGTGTTTGTCTACACAGAATAGTCCCCTTACTGAATGCTCCTTGAGGATACAACACACCTCATTTCTGTAGCAAGACTGTATTCCTGAATCCCTCCTAGTGGTGGAAGAAGTTGATGGTAGTTGTTTGGTATATCTGTCTCAATTATAAAGTGATCATTTGATTTTCAATAACATGAGTTATTTTCCTTCCTCACAAAGATATGCCTGAATATTCAGTCACAAATGAATTTTGTCGCAAACACTTCTTAATCGGAATTCTGCTCCGAGAAGTTGGCTTTGCCCTGCAGGAAGACCAAGATGTCAGACACTTAGCTTTAGCTGTCCTAAAAAATCTAATGGCTAAGCATTCATTTGATGATCGATACAGAGAGCCAGTAAGTGATCTTCCTTTCTCCCTTCCCTAAACACCATTTAATGGCTCACTGCATTAAATGCATATGAAACCGACAAGCCTATTGATTTTTACATGAATCATTTCTTTTGGCTACCTTTTCTCCTAGAGAAAGCAGGCCCAGATAGCAAGTTTATACATGCCCCTGTACGGCATGCTCCTGGACAATATGCCAAGGATTTATCTGAAGGACCTGTATCCTTTTACTGTCAATACATCTAATCAGGTACGTTTGCACAATATGTCACATTTCTATGTTAATAAAGAATTTGTCTTTTTTTAATTATTTTTTGCCCTGGATAACCATTTCTTCTCATCTGTGAACATACTAGGCATTGAACAACACTTTCTGCTATGTACTCACATCAATGTGTCATTTGTTCCAGATAGGTCCCTTTAGCCTCCACCTGATCCACCCTTCAGCATTTTGCTTTCATTTCTCTCTGTTCTCTGTATCAGCTTCCAATTCTTTCCAGCTTTTACAGGTTCCTCTGTTGCAATTATGACCCCTTCCTCAGTGGACACCTTCTCCTACCACTTTCTACATTCCCTACATCCCCCCCTGGTGTCAGAATAAATAGCCAAGTGCCTTATTTGTAGTCACAACCCAGGAGTGACTATAATCCTTCCTCCACTGAGGCACCACAGTGACTACGCACAATCCATTAAAGATCCGTTGCCTATGTTCAAATCTCAGATGAAATAACCCACTGCTGAATCCAGTATCTAAGGAAGGTATTACCATCTAGGAGTTAGGAGCTATGCCTATGGATTTTTTTTTTACCTTTTTCAAATCCCAGCAGTATCAGTGACTATCTGGGTGACTGGAAATAAGTTAGCCAACCTCCTTAAGACTCCATTTCCTTCATTATAAAATGGGATAAAATACCTAAATCACAGTGTCTTTATGAGGATTAAATTGTGTACTAGAAAACATTTATTTTAGAGCCTGGCAAGCAATAAATATTTAAAACATAGTTTTAGGCCAGGTATGGTGACTCACATCTCTAATCCCATCAACTTTGGGAGCCCAAGATGGGAGGATCCCTTGAGGCCAAGAGTTCAAGACCAACCTGGGCAACATAGCAAGACCCCACCTGTACAAATAAGAAATTTAAAAAATTAGCTGGGCATGGTGGCACATACCTGTAGTCCCAGCTACTCAGGAGGTTAAGGGCAGGAGGATCGCTTGAGCCAGGAGGTTGAGGCTGCAGTGAACTATAATCATGCCATTGCACTGTAGTCTGGGTAACAGTAAGACGCTGCCTGTTAGATAATGAAATAGAATAATTAAAATAAAATAAAATGTAGTTGCTAATAATAGTAATGTACATAAGATAACTCATGGTAATAATTATATCTATAATGTGATCCATGAATATATCAATAACCAATCCAGCCATGTAGTCTGTATATCTGTATCTAAAAGATTGTTTCTACAACATTGTAAAAAAGTCACATAAATCAAATTATAACTACGAGTATGGTTTTGGCTGTATTTGTTTTCACTGCCTACTTTAGCAGAAAACCTGTAAGGGGATATAAAAGAACAAATTAAATATCACTTAATTGGAAGTGTAACGAAGAAGGCATATGTGGGTTAACAATGTTGAAATGCCATGATTCCCATTAATCTTTACTATACTTTGAATACAGGGGTCTAGAGATGATCTAAGCACCAATGGAGGATTTCAAAGCCAGACAGCTATCAAACATGCAAACTCTGTGGATACATCATTTTCTAAAGATGTTTTAAATTCCATAGCAGGTACTTGAGATCTTCTGAGAACACTTATTTTTAACACTCATCCACCTTTACATTGTATATCATTGTGCTTTTTACTCAGTCCGTAATTTATTATGCATAATCTACGTGGCAAAGTATACTACATTTATACAACCAAAGAGTCTTTTTACATATTTCTTTGAATTCCATCCAGTGACTTCCTCTTCTACTTAGTGTTCAGTATTACTTGGCTTAAGGAGCAGCCTACTTGGATGTTATCAAATTACTTTATTCTGGAAACCGTCTTTAAGTTTTCATTGCAGACAGCCTTTTAAGATATAATGGCTTTTCAACTTCAAGTATTATTTTTAAGAACTGTTTTGGAAATGTCATTTCAGTTTCTCATAAACAGTCAAAAGTTGAAAGCCCCTTCCCAAAAGTATCTTTATGAACTTTTACTAAAGCATTTTTAAAACAAGAGCTGGCTTTAATGCCAATCCCAGACGCTGTTATGTTGGTCTTTGACAACACTGCTGCTACCTCAGTATCAACATCTTTTTGGTTCATCATGTGAACCTTTTGTGTGTGTGTGCCCATACATCTCATTCCCATACGTGTGCTGTGGCTTGTGTTTACAGCATTTTCATCAATAGCTATTTCTACAGTAAACCATGCTGACTCCAGAGCATCTTTAGCAAGTCTTGACTCCAATCCAAGTACCAATGAGAAGAGCAGTGAGAAGACGGACAACTGTGAAAAGGTATGACTTCCCTCTCAAACCTACTGATCATTACAAGGCAGAGGTCACTCACTCTCACTCAATCCTGATTGGTTCTTGAATTCCCAGATCCCAAGACCCTTGTCTTTGATTGGCTCAACTCTTCGATTTGACAAGTTAGATCAAGCAGAAACCAGGAGTCTCCTGATGTGTTTTCTTCACATTATGAAAACGATTTCGTACGGTAAAGAGAATTCTTTAATTTTTTTGAAAAAAGGAAAAAGAAAACCTTCAGATTCTCATACTACCTGGTGTTTCCTTTTAGAGACTCTGATTGCCTACTGGCAGAGAGCTCCCAGCCCAGAGGTGTCCGACTTCTTCAGCATCTTGGAGTAAGTTTTAGAGTTGATGACTTAACACTTTTTTCTGGAAATTTCTAAATAGTCCACTATACCATGTTTCATTTCAAGAACCCATATAGTAAGTTATCAATAATATATGAACTATTTAAAGAAAATTTAATATTTTTCTTTCAATATACTTAGATGAACAGTTTGTATAATAAAAGAATATGAATAATTAAAATGTGGTTTTTTTCTCCTTTCTAGCGTTTGTCTTCAAAATTTCAGATACCTAGGAAAACGCAACATAATAAGGTACTAATTTTAAATTCCAATAGGTTAATCTGGTCTTTTAAAAAGCATATGACATGTATTAATGTGTCAGGTTAGAGTTACAAATATATATTAGAAATCTTAAAATGCAAATAAGGATTGTTAGGTTGACGTCACATTAGACACAGTAAGTTTGAAGATTGCCTCATACGCATTGTAGATCTAGGAATAGTTCATGTTGTCTAGGGAGAAAAGCACAAAAACACAAATTTTTGAAAGAAAACCACATTTCATGTATCTTCAGAATGAATTTATCATTATATAGATATAACTTGGAAGATACCTATTTCAGAAAACATTTCCAGTAAACTAAAAAAAAAAAAAAACAAGTAATCTGGAATAACTTCGTACTGTCATCATTTTCTCATGAGACAACAACGTTTGAAGCACCTTCACTAAATCCCAATTTCTGATTTCCGAAAGAAAACAGGGTTTTATTTTTGATTAATTCACAGCATGTGAAATATTTCATTGTGCAGTAATCGTTTTGTCAGTTGCCATTCATTTTTATATGTAAATTACAAACACTGAGCTATGATTAAAACTTCCATTTTCATTGCAGAAAAATTGCTGCTGCATTTAAATTTGTGCAGTCCACCCAGAACAATGGAACTCTCAAAGGATCCAATCCTTCCTGCCAGACATCAGGTCTCTTGTCACAATGGTAATGTCACATTTGCTTGGTATTTAAAATTATATATAGCTGTGTGTGTGTGTCTGTATATGCACATGTCAGGGGTAGACACACACACACACACACACACACACACACACATATTTCTATTTATATATTCAAACCAAGTGCAGATTTCAAGTAACTATATGTCTACCTAAAGAAACTTCTTAGATACTTTACTGTCTGCCCTACTAGCTGGTAGAGACCAAAGAGATAAGGAGTACACCATATATGTGTGCACTTAGAGCACAATCCCTTGCATAGACTGAACATTAATGAGTATTTTCATTTAATGAAACCTGAGACATAGGCCCAATAAATGCCTCTTTTAATGCTAGCTAATCTTCCAGTGACAAACGGAAATGTGGAATCATGTCTCCCTAGGCTTTTCAGTAATTATAATTTTTTGCAATGTTCTTGAAGCTGAAATTGTTTTTTAAAGGGTCAAAGGCAATGAGGAAGCATGGATAGTCCCATAACCTCACTTTAGATTTCCTAGTCATTAGACTGGTTTGACTAGCAGATAGGACCTGGAGTCATCCTTCACCGGCCTAACCAATGGGAAACATTTGCCCTGAAATTCTACCTCGGAGCTCCTCTGGGTCTTGTAAATGAGAATTCTTTGCTAAAATTATCTCCACTTTGATTTATTCTTCCCAGAGGTATCATCATAATATATATTATGAATATTTTAGAAAGGGTTTTAGAAAGAAATATAAGAGTCGTACATAGCGAATAAATCATAGAATAAATTGTGCCTCCCTCCATGCCCTTTGAAATTGCCCCCTTGTGAGAAAGTAAATGAAAAAAAATGTAATGGACATTTTTTGCAAAAAATAATAGAGGACAGTAAAGAATTAGTTTCCATGTTTAATAATAATAGTGAGCCACCTGAGGTCACTGAAGTTTTGTAGATGTGTGGTGGGTTAGATTTCAGGCTGCTCCTGAGACATCTGGATGGGTCCTGGCCATTTCTGTCCCTCGCCTCCTAGAAACCAGGGCTTTTCCTCCACAAGTTCAGACTGTACTACACTCAAAACCTAGAAATAAGCCAATCCAAATGCCTAAAGCCTAGAGCCAAGGAATCACGCACTCCTTCTAGCTTCAGGAATGACCCAGGCTCCCCTGGCTATTGAAAGCCAAAGTCTCATCTCCTTGGCCTCCACCCATCCAGGTTTTCTGATTTAGCCAGAACCAAAACAGCCTTGAAAAGTGGGAGAAAGAGAAGACCACTGCCTCATTTTTAGGTA
This sequence comes from Homo sapiens, assembly GCF_000001405.40. Taxonomy (NCBI): domain Eukaryota; kingdom Metazoa; phylum Chordata; class Mammalia; order Primates; family Hominidae; genus Homo; species Homo sapiens. The sequence continues at coordinate 224,802,849 of NC_000002.12, read as the reverse complement.
AAGGCCTAAAGGAGGAATTAGGAGATACTTCAGGGTATTTCCAAATGCTGCTTTCTTTCCATAAGTGTTGTTATAAATAGTTTTTATGACAGCACATATCCCAAGAATTATCAACCTATTTCCTTGGCCAAATGATAAAGTCAGCAGTAGGAAATATTCCTATTTCCACAGTAACACTGGCTCATTTTTCCCAGCTGGAAATGCTATGGGGTGTTGAATGAGTCATTGCAGGCCATTGTCATTGCCCTGGAAGCACAGAGGCACAGAGGTCCTTTAACTACCTACCTCCCACAACCATCACATGTCAGCCCCCTGTGGACATGACATCAGTGAAATGACAAATCAACAGGAATTTCCAGATACAAATACCTCGGAAAGCAAGAGTTGTTTTAGAACCTGATTTTACACTTATCTCTTCAAAAATAATTTGATGCATCTGAGCTGTACAATATTGTACTTTTTAATGTCCACCACTGTGCCTTCCTGATCAGCCAGTAGCCAACTTAACATTCACAGAATCCCATTATTTCATAAATAATAATGATATGCTTGAATAGATTTCACTCAATGACCTGTTATTCTACAGATTACCCTTGTGAACACTATTTTGGCTTAAATAAAATTTCTCCAAAAGTACTTTAAAAAGTCTCTCTCATCATGTCACCTATAATTAATATTTGTAATAAAAAGTTGCTTTCCAAACTAGTTTTTAATATTTGACTCAATCTAGAACATTTGAGAATGAACAAGTGTTATTTGGCTATAACATCCCCAAATAACTCTAACCACTTTTCTTTTTTTGTTTTCAGGATGCACTCCACTTCCAGTCATGAAGGCCATAAGCAGCACAGATCACAAACTTTACCTATAATTCGAGGCAAAAATGCACTTTCTAACCCCAAACTCTTACAGATGTTAGACAATACCATGACCAGTAAGTAAACTGAAATAATAGGAACAAGATGGTTACCAGTTTTTCTCTAGGTATGTGTAGGACATGAAATGCACTAAAACCACAGTTTTTAAGGTTTGCTGTACCTCTGGGAATATTTCTTAAGGGAAAGACTCACCAGGGAGTGGTTAAAAAAAAATGTAGTGCCCTATGGTGAAGAAAGGGGAGAGGCAAAACCCTCAATATCATATGTTTAGCATAGCTCCCTTGGAAACAAGTTACTTTCAGCATTGTGCAGGTTATGGGGGCTGCTGTCAAACAGATGATTACTGCTTCCTCTGTGGGGAGGGGATAAAGTTGCCCATGTCCCAGAAGCAGCAAGGGTGACCTCTTGAACTTAGAGATGCACACACTCCAGCTTGTGAATGAGGGTAAAATGGAGGCCAGCGTTTTGTAAGCATGTAACTTGAGGACTAAACTCTGACCTTTTCTCTTCTCTTGCCCAAATTCTTCAGGGGCCTGGAAAGTCACACCAGTCTCATCAGAGGGGTTTTAGTTAACCCTATATAACATGGCTTACTTTCCAACCTGACTCTGGCATAACATCACATGACAGATAAGGAAAGAAATCAAAATATTTTATCCCCAAATATGTTTTTTTTTTTTTTTTTTTTTGCCATGTCTTGAAACAGCCCTGCAGAGTTGTCTCTTGTGGGGAAAATTTTGCATTCTGTAAAGAATCCCCTTTCCCTCTTCAGGACCTTTTCTTGATCCAGGAGAGAATCAACTGAGAGTCTGGCACCTTTTTCAGTCTGATAAGAAACATTTACAATCTCTTCTCTCTGAAGTCTGCCATCTGGAGGCTTCATCTACATAATAAGAATGTTGGTCTCCACAATTGCCTTTCTTAACCCAGACATTTCCTTTCTATTGATTCCAGGTCTCTAGATAAACTCTTTCTACCAATCGCCAATCAGAAAATCTTTGAATACACCTATAACCTGGAAGTGCCCCTCTCCCCCACTTTCAGTTGTCCTGCCTTTCCAGACCAAACCAACGTACATCTTACACGTATTGATTGATGTCTTATGTGCCCCTAAAGCATATAAAACCTAGCTGTAGCCCAAACACCTTGGGCACATGTTCTCAGGGTTTCCTGAGGGCTGTGTCACAGGCCATTGTCACTCATATTTGGCTCACAATAAATCTCTTCAAATATTTTACAGAATTTGACTCTTTTCATTGACAGATTGTTAGCAATTATGGGCACATGGCCCACAGTTACTTGTTTGAAAGTATATGCCTTAACCGATAAAGACACTTTGTGACTTTCCGAGGGGACATAAAGACTGTCCACTGAGACTGTACATTTGGTCTATTAGCCCAGAAGTTTAGAACTTGAGACAGCCTGATTATGAAAGAAATATGACCCTGTCTTTGGCCAAATTAACGGAAAAGAACTCAGAAACAATGGAAACCCCGCAACTGATATATGGAAAGGGCACACACACTAAAGACTCTAGTACTTTTAATTCAGTCAATGAAGAAACTGAACAAACAAAAACACTTTGATTTAATAAATTATTAATCAAAATGCCAGCAAACTTTGAATATATTGTAATGAAAGGAAATCCTTTATAGGGTACAAAGCATTGTCTTAGACTTTTACGCATGTTTTATTTTGTATTTTATAGGCAACTCCAATGAAATAGACATCGTGCATCATGTAGACACTGAGGCCAATATAGCTACGGAGGTTTGCCTCACTATTCTGGACCTGTTATCCCTCTTCACACAGACTCATCAGGTGAATATGATGATAACATTTTCTGCAAAAAATGATGAAATATGAGGTAGAAAAACCATGTGAAGTCAAAAACATGGTTTTTTTTAATTATTTATGAAATCAATTAACCTTATATAAATCAACCTAAGTGTGAGTGGAAAACATGTTAAAGATGAGATTTTGATTTTATCACAGGTTGACTAATGTTTGTTTGATATGTACACGTGTGCATTTCACTATTGTCAAATAGTCTTTCTTCCTCATTTATCTTGCTTCACTCTCAGGCAAGCTGGGCTGAGTGATAGTGTGACTCTGTACTTTTTCAGTAGAAGAGGAAGAGATAAATGGGCCTATATATTAAATTTACAACTAGATCTAAAGAAAACTAATAATGTTGAGCATCTTTTTGTGTGCTTATTTGACATTCAGATATCTTTGATGAAATGATTATCACTACTTAGAATGGCTAAAGTTAAAAAGACTGACCATCCAAAGTTTTGGCAAGGGTGTGGAGAAACTAGAACTCCTATTTATTGACAGTGGGAATGCGAAATGGTAAAAACATGTTGGAGAACAGTATGGCAGTCTCTGAAAAAGTTAATCATACATCTGTCCTGTGACCAGCCATTCCAATACTGTAATAGGTATTTGCCCAGGAGAAGTGAAAACATATCTCCACATAAAACTTTATACACAAATATGCATGACAGCTTTATTTTAATAGCAAAAAAAGAAACTACAAACAACTCAAGTATACATCAACAGGTGAATAGATTTAAAAATCTGTGGTATATCCATACAATAGACTACTACTCAGCAGTTAAAAGAAATAAACTACTGATACATGCTGTAACATGGGTGAAACCCAAGAAACCAAATTTAAAAAGAGTATATACCGTATTACTCAGTGTATATTATTCCATTTATATGAAATTTTAGAAAATGCAAACTATAGGAACAAAAAGCAGATCAGTGGTTGCCTAGGGATGTGGAGGAAGGATGGGAGGAAGGAATTACAAAAAAAAGTATTTAAAAACTTTTGAGAGTGATAGATACGTTCATTATCTTGATTGTGGTGATGGTTTCATGGGTGTATGACAGTGTTAAACTTATTAAATTATACATATCACAGTTCAATTTATTGTATGTCAATTATACTTCAATAAAACTATTAAAAACATTTGCAGCTCTACCAAATGAGCTTAAACACCTAGGCTAGTACATTACGGATTGAGCCGGGGCAGGTGTGGTGGCTCATGCCTGTAATTCCAGCACTTTGGGAGGCCAAGGAGGGAGGATCACTTGAGCCCAGGAGTTCAAGACCAACCTGGGCAATATAGTGAAGCTTCATCTTTACAAAAAAATTTAAAAAATTAGTCAACTATGGTGGCACATGCCTGTAGTCCCAGCTATTCGGAAGGCTGAGGTGGGAGGATCACTGGAGCCCTGGAAGTGGAGGCTGCCGTGAGCTATGATGGTGCCACGACACTCCTGCTTAGGTGACAGAGTGAGACCTTGTCTCAAAAAAAAAAAAAAAGATTGAGCCAGGAAAACTTGGATTCTTTGAATAAAGTCTACACAGAACAGCATAATTATGCCAAGAAAGCCCTATTTCAGATGAAATGTCAGCATGGTGGTAGAGAAAGTAATGACTATATTGATTCTTATTGGGCCATGAAAATGTCACTCAAATCTCACAAATTTTAAGGATTTTACTAGTGCCTTCAAGAACCTGTGACCTCTCTCCCATTTCTCCCCGGCCCCACCCAACTCGCCATTGCATCAGCTACTTTTCTTTCTCAACCTTGAACTCATAAGCTCCTTTCCAAATCAAGGCCCTTTTACTAGCTGTTTCTCCCCCACAGGACAGTCCTCCCAGATCTCTCCAGGGCAGGCCCCTTTGAGCTCACATGCCAATTTTCCATTAGAGAGGTCTTTGCTGACTACCCTATGGAAGTAATCCTACCCCCAAAGCAACTACTTTCAATCACATCATCCTAGTCTATTTCCATTTGTCATGTTTTTTTCAATCACTGCTATGTAAGTTTCACAGTAAACATGAACTGTGTCTCCTTGTTCAATCCTTTATTTCTAGCACTCAAAATAGTGCCTTACCACATGACAGGTTCACAATAAATATTTTTTGATAGAATGAAAATTTTCTTTCACTTATCCTGAATAACATCTGCATTGAATTTCCAGAGACAACTCCAACAATGTGACTGTCAAAATTCATTGATGAAAAGGGTCTTTGATACCTACATGCTCTTTTTCCAAGTCAATCAGTCAGCCACAGCGCTGAAGCATGTGTTTGCCTCCTTGAGACTGTTTGTATGCAAGGTAAGGATCTCCAGGTTTCAATGAAGTTTAGGTAGGATGACAGTAAACCCATAGAATAGTAAACCTATAGGAATCCTTGCGTTTCTCAGTAGGGAGGGAAGAAGGATTGTTTTCTTCAATTTGGGTTTTATTAGACATTGATTCCTGGTCTCAAAATGAGTGCACAGCCTTGACAATCTGTCTGCTCAAATACCAGAAGATATTAGCATCTGGTGACAATTAGCATCTGGTCACCAATTCTTTGAGTTATCTGTGTTTGCGGCACCAAGTTAGGTAAAATGCACCCCTTGAACTTAAAGGGGTGCATATCAAGTTAAAGATTCCACATTAAAGTGGATACAGCCACCGCCTTTGAGGACGCTTGTAAATAACACCTGTGATCTTAACAATGTCAGGTGAATTGAGGTCATTTCAAAGCTCTCACTGTTATTTTGGATTGTCATCAGTTACTGATACAAAGGATACTTATACAATGTAGAGAATAATTCTATCTAGGAAAAAAGACAAATGCTAACATAGGCCTTAACAAATTCTATCCTCCTCACTTGCAAATGAAAAAAAAAAAATAGACCAAGTTAAAAAAAAAAAGGAGAGGGATTTTGTTTTAGGGAATTTTAAAATATGAGAATGAACAGAGCAAAATGAAGGCATGTTGCTCCCTTCACCCGTTCTTCCATTTCTGCAGTTTCCTTCAGCGTTCTTTCAAGGGCCTGCTGACCTCTGTGGATCATTCTGTTACGAAGTCCTAAAATGCTGTAACCACAGGTCACGGTCAACTCAGACAGAAGCCTCAGCCCTTCTGTACTTTTTCATGAGGAAGAATTTTGAATTTAACAAGCAGAAGTCAATTGTCCGGTCCCACTTACAAGTAAGTGCTGCCAATTTTCATTAATGCTGTTGTTAAAACCACTGATCTGTTTCAGCAGTGCTTAAAGCCTACTGTCCTCAGGGCAAGCCGTCACTAACTCCTCCACTAGCGTCCTCCTTAAAGACGCCCACAGCATTCAGTTCTGTTTAATAGTAGGGGCACAGCTGGGCAGAAATCAGCAGAGCCCTATCTCCACTTGTACTTTCCTTTCTTCTGCCAGGAAATAGAATCATATGGAGTAAACAACTCAGGAAACCATGGCTAGCTCCAACAGGTCAAACCCCGCCAAATTCCAAACGTAATTTTTTTTCTTCTAGGCATCCCAAGATTCCAAGATTCCTGCAGCCTCTCTTAGGTATTTAAGATTATAGGAAACACCCTAGATTTAATAATACGTTCTGGAGCTTTAATACATAAACACTTCTTTTATTGGACCTACAGGGAGAAACTAATAATACATTTACCCAGCCCAGTGGATTTCTTTAAGAAGACTATTTCTGGTCTTGTTTTTGAGAGTTCATTTTTTTTCTTTTCTAGCTCATCAAAGCTGTGAGCCAGTTAATAGCCGATGCTGGGATTGGAGGCTCTCGGTTTCAACATTCGCTTGCAATTACCAATAATTTCGCCAATGGAGATAAGCAAATGAAAGTAAGAAATGCTTTGTGGGCTTTTACTGCAGAATTTTTTTAAATCTGAAGTGGATTCTTTTTGTGAGATATCAAAATCATAAAAATAGATTGGGTACAGTGGTTCACGCCTGTATTCCCAACACTTTGAGAAGCCAAGGCAGGAGGATCGCTTGAGGCCAGGAGTTTGAGTTGAGGCTGCAGTGAGCTATGATGGCACCATTGCACTCCAGCATGGGTAACAGAGCAAGACCTTGTCTCTAAAATAATAATAATAATAATAATAATAATTGTTTATTTTGTTTATTGAGACTTTGAGCTTTGAGCACTCCTCAAAGTAAACTATCAAGTTTATTGTTTGAATCGTTAAGCAGCTCTTACACTTTAAGCATGTGATCTGTTAAGAGGCATTCCCAATATGTGTGGTTGAATGGCCTAGAACAAGAGGATTTACCATAAATATCCAGAAATACAATGACACTCCTAACTCTATTTGGGGGAAAATTCATCTTATCTTTTGTTTAGCACTTTCTGAAGACTTCTCCTGTAGTCATTATACTGAAAAGTCCAAGTCTAGAGCCAGGCTTCAGTCATGGCTGGACCCAGGGATTAAAATAATTTTCAGACCCATCCCTCTACTGCCTCGATCTTGCCTCTCTCACTGTCTGTCAGCTCAGCTTTCCTCTTTGTTTACTTCATTTCCAGACAGGCTATCCCCCTGGGCATGTTCTCAGAAATTCTGAGGACCTTGGTAGTATCTTATGAGTAGAAAATCACCTTGTTTGATAGTTCCAATTAAAGTCCCACAACTGAATCTCTTTGATCCAAGCTTAAATAATATGCTTATCCCTAAACCAATCACTGTAGCTTGGAGGATCAAAAAATAGAATTGGCCAGGCCAGTGTTATATGCCATCCATGGTCTCTAGGAGTAAAGTCAGACCTGTTCAAATCACATGAGCTAGAGTCAGGAAGGGGAATATATCTCAAAGACAATCAGGACGTTTCACCAGAAGAAGGTGTTCTTGAAGACAAAAGAATAGAGGCTCCTGAAATGTTTATCTTCAAATGTGTGTATCCACAGTCACAAAACATAGAATGCACATATATAGAATGCACTCATTTATAACTATATATAGAATGCTCCAAACTGTGATGCGTAGCCATAATTAATAGCATAACTTAAAGTCAGTTAACCTATAGATTCTAAACAGATAATGACCCAGGCTCTCTCTTTTCCAAAGAACAGCAATTTCCCAGCAGAGGTGAAGGACCTGACTAAGCGTATAAGGACTGTTTTGATGGCCACAGCTCAGATGAAGGAGCACGAGAAGGACCCCGAGATGCTGGTGGATCTCCAGTACAGCCTGGCAAACTCCTACGCAAGCACTCCTGAACTACGCAGGACCTGGCTGGAAAGTATGGCCAAGATTCATGCCAGAAACGGAGATTTATCTGAGGTGATTAGCCAAGGCTTGGTCATTTACCATCAGTATTGTCCTCTTTATCAGGAAAATTGGATTTTCATTTACAGCATGGACTAGAAAAGGATGCCATGTTTTTCAACTAATCTAGAAATGACTCAGTTATATATCATATACAATACATTTCCATATAGCATTCAAGGATACCTAACGCTAAGTAAATGATATCAAATAAAGGCCAGAGTCAGTGGGGGCAACTGCAGGTGTAGAAATTGTAATGCAACGCTGAATGCTAAAAACCTGAGGCTAAGGAGGGGTGTGGTAAGGGTGTCTGGGAATTGAGTCGTTAAATTAATGTTCTGTGTTTTAAAACTTCTTCTCTGCAACTAGAGTTGAATGGGGAAGCTTGCCACCATAGTGAGTTAACTCAGGCAGGGGGAATCAGTCCTCATTTACAGCTAGTTTGAACTGGCCATGGAAAAATGAATGATCCTTAGCACCATGTGAGGAGAGTCCACTGCACGAGGATTATAAGTCAACACTTAACTTTTTATGTCAGTTTCAATACTGGGTGGATCATAAGCAGCAATTCATAGCACCCAAGGTCTTCTTAGTACCAAATGGGAAGTTCTACGCTATTCTGGAACTATGTCCCTTTGGGGAAGAGATTAATTTGTCTAGGATAGTCCTAAACTCTGAAGCTCTTCTAAACACATGTGGTAATCAGGGACTCTGGAATGGAAACCAGAAGGCTGGCTTGGCAGCAATTTAGTGAGGACAAGAATGAGAAGCCCTTGGGCTGCTCTGAAAATGATGAAATTTCTCCATAAAACCTCAAAAGGAAAAAGCTGAAGTCATTTGGAATCTTTAGCAAGTCGAGTTTTAATATGTGTTCAGCAACGTTCAGGGCTTCATAAGAGACAGATTAAAATATAACATCAGCCATATAATCTAGTTTGTGGGGAGCACGGGTGTTACATTGTGTCACACTAGTCAATCAAGTACTCGTGAGGTGACCATTTTAAAGGCAACACAAATTCAGAGGGGCTATTCCAGGAGGTTAAAAAAAAACTTATTTAGAAGGCAGATATTTTTATTTCCACTTTATATCTAAATACTAGAGTTATAGTTTTAATTTTAAAAGGAGACTTATGATTTATTTTTAATCTAGGCTTAGACTTTAAGGGAGGAAGAGAATTCTATGGGAAAATTCTTTGGGCCAGCTCCTTCACCCATCTCCAAACTAACCAAGAACAAACAAACAAAAACCCAAATATTCATTTTATTCTTGATGGTGAATTTTTTTGGAAATACAATTGATCCTTGCTTTCAATTTGGTGATTACAAAGGATCCTTCTAACATATTCTGATATGGAATACTGACTCGCCTTGGAAGATTAGCCCTAATTATATTAAACTCCATCCCCTGAGCCTCTTTATTTTCTTTCTCATTACAGGCTGCCATGTGTTACATCCATATTGCTGCTCTCATTGCAGAGTATCTGAAAAGAAAGGGTAAGATGACCACATGAGGGAGGCAAAAAGCCTAGATATCAACACATTGAAGCCTAATAGAAATAATGTATTAATTTTACATTTTATTAATCTGTTATGTTTAAGTAATAATCGCTTTCACAGATACTTCTAATTATGCTGTACTTTAAACATTTTAAGTCTATCATGCCATTGACTTATTTATTCTATGTACAGCAAAGGCTAACTGGATGGTCAACTTCTTAGTTCAAAACGAGAATGCATCATTGGCTAACGATTTGTAGTCTCTAAAGCTTGTATTAACATAAACATGTAGCAATGTCCTAACCTCATCTTGCACTACCATAGGTTACTGGAAAGTGGAAAAGATTTGCACAGCATCCCTGCTCTCGGAGGATACCCACCCCTGTGATAGCAACTCATTACTAACAACTCCCAGTGGAGGAAGTGAGTGACCTAACTGCTCATTTATCCCAATGCAGAGGAAATCCACTTGCTGCTCAAATTCTACTTCAGTGAAACCTTCTTAAATATATTCTTAGAAGCAAAAACTGTCTCAGATCTACCCAACTTACTCTGCAAAAAACTTAAACTCCTGCCATTCAGAAATCCCATCCAAAATTTATAAAATTTAAATAACTGAAAAGTTGTCAGCAAATAGAACTGTATGTTCTCCAACATTCAAGTTTATGAGTTACAGCCATATTTAGCTACCAATCTGCATGCCAGTCTGCCATAGGGATGTTTATTCTGAAATTGGTAAATTGTTTGAAATTGCAAGAGGAATCTATTTTAATTTTTAAATGTAATAAAACTGTTTATTCCAAATAAAAGATAGGGCCAGGCGCGGTGGCTCACGCCTGTAATCCCAGCACTTGGGAGGCCAAGGTGAGCAGATCACTTGAAGTCAGAAGTCCGAGACCAGCCTGGCCAACATGGTGAAGCCTGGTCTCTACTAAAAATACAAAATTTAGCTGGGCATGGTGGCAGGCACCTGTTATCCCAGCTACTTGGGAGACTGAAGCAGGAGAATCACTTGAACCCAGGAGGCGGAGGTTGCAGTGAGCCAAGATAGCACCACTGTACACCAGCCTGGGCAACAGAGTGAGACTCCGTCTCCAAAAAAATAAAAAGAAAAATGAAGATATATACATATATATATTCTATATATGTAGGACTTTATAATCAGCATGTTCCATTTCATTTTTAAAAAGTATAAACTGACAATTTATAACATATGGCTTATGGTACAGATTTCCTTTAGAAATATTCCATCATTAATGTCTGATTTTTTGAAATTATAATAATGACTAAAGAGTTACTCTTTGCACAAAAAAGTGAGTGATATAGTTTACACATTAAATCTACATTCAATTGCAAAAATTTGTTTGAATCCAAATTTTATGAACTGTAGTCTCTTTGATAACACTGGTTTAACTTTCCAAATGCAGTGGAAAACTCCGTGTACAAACAACATTTTTAGATGTTGAAATACATTTTTAGATGTTGAAAATCAAAAGACTTAAACGAAATGTAAATGGACTTTACTTGCTATATTTCAGAAACATAATTCATCCCTTATTCATTTAAATATTTGTATGTTTTCTAAAAGGTCTCACTGGATTTTGCATATAAGACATTTGAACTGGCCAGGTGCCATGACTCACGCCTGTAATCCCAGCACTTTGGGAGACCAAGGCAGGTGGATCACAAGGTCAGGAGTTCAAGACCAGCCTGGCCAAGATGATGAAACCCCGTCTCTACTAAAAATACAAAAAAAAAAAAAAAATTAGCCGGGCGTGGTGGCAGGTGCCTATAAATCCCAGCTACTCAGGAGGCTGAGGCAGAGAATTGCTTGAACCCAGGAGGTGGAGGTTGCAGCGAGCTGAGATCACGCCACTGCACTCTAGCCTGGACAACAGAGCAAGACTCCATCTCAAAAAAAAAAAAAAGACTTTTGAACCAAATGACCAAAGCAAACTGAGAGACAGTGAGGTCACTTGTTTAAGGACCTTGGAGAAGAAGCCAGATGTGGCACCCTATGGCACCCATGGCTCATGTCCACCCAAAAATTCAGGAATCTTCTTGCTTAGTGTCACACTTCCTATGTAGCCTGATATTTATATGCATGTCATCAAACACATCATTGCCTTATTTAACATGCCCTTCCTCCTCATCTATTGCTTATCATAACCAGATGCCGTAACGTTCCATAAAGACTTTCAAATTCTAAGAACAAAATTGAAGAAAACCAGTAAAGGCAGGTGTTAGTTTGAGAACTTGTGGAAACTTAGATACCAAAAAGTTGTGTGAATCTTTAATATTCAAAATGCTTTAAATGCCCAATGTTAGACCTAAGGTGATATGAGAATATAATGTATGTCCATCAAGAAAAGGATATATTTGTTGAGTAAACTTTAAAATTAGGAAGGTGATCATCTATGATACATTAACATATATCTGATGATACATTAGCTGATGATATATGCTATGATATATTAGCATATTCTAATTAGCATATATCATCAGCATATATGGGAATGTCATTGGCATGTATTTGAAGCCCTTAATATACTTTTCTATTTTGATATTTTTGAGTCAAAGGAGTAAATTATCCCTTCCCTACAATGTTCACAATTGTATGAATATAGGTGAAGATAGGCGACCCCAGAAAGTACAGCTGCTTCAGTTGTACTAATAAGTAATCATCATCCTGCAAGAAGTATGTTGTGACTTCTCCTACAATTAACTATCATATAGTTTAATATATGTTTAATATTATTATAAAAAGTAGAAAAATAAAATTTATTTAGAAGCAAGGATTAGATTGCAATAATTATTATATTTATAATTTCTAGCATGTTTGGGGAGTGATCATTTAGTTACATAACCAATGAGCTGATTATTAAAAACAAAAACATGCCACAAAAGTATTAGCTATAACTTAAAAAGCACTTGCTACATAGAAGGCACCACACTAAGCCCTGTACCAGCAATGTCTCAGTTAGTTGCCAGTTACAAATCTGTGAGTTAGGTGCTATTATCACCTCCTGTTTATGGGTGAGAAAAACAAGAGAAGCTAAACAATCTGCCCCAAATGTCATGGTTAGCTTGTGTTGGAGCCAAAGTGCAGGGGCTGGTCTGTCACTCCGGCTAGTGCTCCTAGTCACTCACATTCCCCACAATTCAGATCTATCTCTCCTCTGGGAATGTTACCCATTATCAACTGTTTTCACATGTATCTGTAGAGACAGACCTTTTAAAATCTTGGTGCCTAAGATACTAAGAAAATTTGAAAAGGTTTCTACATAATGTAAAAGAGTGAAATATAGCAAGTATTGGCCAGGCGCAGTGGCTCACGCCTGTAATCCCAACACTTCAGGAGGCTGAGGCGGGCAGATCACCTGAGGTCAGTAGTTTAAGACCAGCCTAGCCAACATGGTGAAACCCCGTCTCTACTAAAAATACAAAAATTAGCTGGGCGTGGTGGCGGGCACCTGTAATGCCAGCTACTCAGGAGGCTGAGGCAGGAGAATCGCTTGAACCCGGGAGGCGGAGGTTGCAGTGAGCCGAGATGGCACCATTGCACTCCAGCCTGGGCAACAAGAGTGAAACTCCGTCTCAAAAAAAAAAAAAGCAAGTATTGGGCATTGTCTTGTCTTTTTGGGGGCCACTGTGGGAGAGATAGGGTCTCACTCCGTCACCCAGGCTGGAGTACAATGGCATGGTGATAGCTCACTCCAGCCCCAAACTCCTAGGCTCAAGCAATCCTCCTGTCTCAGCCTCCTAAGTAGCTGGGATTACAGGCACCCACACACCCACCTACAAGCATTGTCTTTATAATGTGCTGAGTGTACTGGGTATTTTCTCAAATATTAATGTTTTGAATCCTTTCAACATCCTTTGAGAGAGATATTAATGTCCCCAGTTTAACAAGAGAGGGACACAGTCTCCGAGATTAAACCAGAAGATTGGAACCGCAACATCTACCCACGAATCTTATGTTCTATCCATAATCCCATGCTATTTCTTTATAAAAAATGCCACCTGAAAATGATACAAAAATTATAAAAAGGGGAATATTGTTTGCCTGGCAGAGCGCATTTATCAATAGTCATAATCTAACCATCTTGTTGATTGTGTGAGCTTTGTAATACTACCACTTGGTAACATCATGAAGAAAGGCATTATCTAATCTAAGCAAAATTTGTCTCAAATAATAATGTTTTATTCTGCTTGGTCCTCCCAAGGCATGTTCTCTATGGGATGGCCAGCTTTTTTGAGCATTACACCAAACATTAAGGAAGAAGGAGCGATGAAAGAGGATTCTGGAATGCAAGATACACCATACAATGAGGTTAGACCAAAATTATCTCATGTACAGTAACGAAGGAAAGAGATGCATTGGCTTGTGACATTAAGCTAAATAAGGGGGAAACAAGCTTACAGCTATTTTATAATATAACTTAATTAGACAAAATGAAATGCAGGCTAAAATTAAGCCAAGATTAGTAGATACCAGATTTCAGCGAAAATTTAAACTAAGTCTTACTTCTCTAAGATGGACTCAAATGTATATTATCAGCTCTTCTATCAGATAAAATCTTGGCTTTTTGGTAAAGGTGATAAGGGATGCTAAATTTTGCGAACTGATCATAGCTTTCTTTCTAAAAGCATTAGCAAGTTTATTTACAAATGCAGGTGGACGTAAAAGTTCACTAGTTTCTTTAGAAAACCTTCTGTTATGGAAAATAACCAGAGTTATTTTTCATTAATTAAAAAAAGAAACTTTCTACTGAGAATTACTTAGCAATAGTTCTGGTGAAGAAAATAGAACTCCTCTCATTAAGTAAAATATTTTATAAGCTGATTTTTAGGTCAGTATTACATAAATGGAAAAAATTATACAGAAAGTAAATTTTCAGATGAATTTTAATACAATTTTACAAATGGTTCTACACCAATTTAGCATATATTGCAAATAAACGAAGTAAATATAATTACATATTTATGTTAACTACTTTAAATAATGTTTAAGAACCTTTTCTTAAAACAAATTGTTGAAAACATTCCAATAATATCATACATTTGCTTTAAAGCTTATATAACTTTATTCAGTTGAAAATTTATTAAACCACTAGTATATGAAAGGAATTGAGGTAAGGGCTGGGAAAAAAAATAAGGCATAATTCCTGCTCTCAAAGAATTTAGGATCTTGAGAAAGACAGAGTTCCTACAGGGTGGGGAATGGCCAGGCAAAAACAGATGCCCAGTGGCCAAATCTAGGTATCATATACAGTTGCAATCAGAAGGGGAACTTTTTTTTTTACATGGAAGTGTTGAAATGGTGATGAATGGAATGTAAATAAAAGCTCTTCATTTTTTTTTGTGCTGAGTCTTGATAGGACTTGAAGGTGTGAAATAAGGTTCTTATAGGTGCATCTATAACACAGATAAAAGTATGGAGGTCAGAGGGTATTCTAATAATGGAGTGGTATATGGTATGGCCAAGGTGCAAAGTCAGTGACAGAGCATTGAAAGAAGGGGTCACTGAGAGGGAGGTTGGTGCCTGATTGTGGAGCTTCTTGAAGGCCATGCTAGAGTTTGGACAGCAGTTTACATACTGGAGTTCCCACAAAGGTTTAAGGCACTGGAGATCTCATGATCAGATTTATGTTTTACAAAGAAAGATTACAGGAGAGCAGCAATTGGAGAGGGAAAACAGACTCGCTCAAAACTATAGCAGGGGTCAGGGAGTACGAAGTCAGTAGCAGTGGGAATGGGAAGAAGGAGACAGATCTGAAGGCATTTCACAGATTTAAATTAGCACTTTTGGGGCACGAATTAGGTAACGGCAGTGCGGGATAGGCAAGAATCCAAGATGACACCACGATCCCCTGCTGGGTTTTAAATGCCAGTAACAGAGGGAAAAGTTTGACAATGCAACAGCTTGGAAACCAAGTTTCAGGCATGAGCCACAACCCTAATCATGTAAAATCTTATTTTGATTGGGGGAATTGCAGAATATCCTGGTGGAGCAGCTATACATGTGTGTGGAGTTTCTCTGGAAGTCTGAGCGATATGAACTCATTGCTGATGTCAACAAGCCCATCATTGCTGTCTTTGAGAAACAACGAGACTTCAAAGTATGTATTCCAACCCCCTAGAAGTTAATTAAAATATCCTATGTTGAATTGGAAAATTACTTACAGTTTTCAAAATTAAAAACTCCCTTATTTGTATGACAGCATCATCTTCATGAAACTCTTTCACTTATGGTTTCAGAAATTGTCAGATCTCTACTACGACATTCATCGGTCATATCTGAAAGTGGCAGAGGTGGTGAATTCGGAGAAGCGGCTGTTTGGTCGCTACTATCGTGTGGCATTTTATGGGCAGGTAAGTTCACCAGAAATAACACGGCCCATAAATTCTGCTGAGCAGTTGAATGTTGTCTTTCATTCTTTATGAGACATCTGTGTGTACCAGTGAATGGAGAGGTGTGGGTGTGTCTGACTATACTTGAGTGTTTCTCTGGATGTGATGGTCTATATGTTTATCCATAGGAATGTACAAAGTTGGGAAACAAGTGAGCAAAGAAATCCATGGGTTGAGTTAACAGTGATTTCTAACTTCTTGAAGAAAGAGGGCATTTATTTTTCAACACTCTCTTCTTTCCAGCTCACCCTAAAATATCTAATTATAAGTTTACGCCATATATTAAAGTGAAATTAAATTGAATATGTTTTAAGAAATAACATTCCTAATATTCTAGGAAATAAGAGAATTCCTAGGGGCTCCACCATATCAAACCTTTGATTTTACTATCACACAATTTCTTTTCTCCTATTTTCGAACTACCACTGTTTCTAGACAAAATACCAGATGGTTATTTTGTTTCCTATATTGCAAGTCAATGTAATTTCAAAGTTGTTTTTCCCAGTTTGCTGCATAAGCAATGAAGAAGATGGAAAATATTACTTAGCCACAGTGTTGGCCTGAAAGTGAACATACTATATATTAATTATGAATGTCTCTGAGCAACATTTTCAATGGGCTAAACCCAGGCACCATTCATTTTCTTTTCAGGAAGGCTTATAACGCTATTATATTTCAGCAGACGTATTTTAGACTGTTGCTTGTGTGGATAGACATCCCATGCTTTTATTTTCGGAATGGCAGTGGCTCTCAGACCTCACACTTCCTCTGCCCCCAGCCCATCATCTCGCTCAGTAGCCCAGGCTGGAGTGCAGTGCAGTGGCGTGATCTCGGCTCACTGCAACCTCCGCCTCCTGGGTCCCGGTTCAAGCAATTCTCCTGCCTCAGCCTCCCGAGTAGCTGGGATTACAGGCAGGTGCCACCATGCCCAGCTAATTTTTGTATTTTTTAGTAGAGACAGGGTTTCATTATGTTGGCCAGGCTGGTCTTGAACTCCTGACCTCATGATCCACCCACCTTAGTCTTCCAAAATGCTGGGATTACAGGCGTGAGCCACCACACCCGGCCTCAGCTTCTTGTTCTTAAGGTTGCAGCTGAAGGAGTCAACTCCAGCATGTTCATTCTAGGTCAATCCCCATTGAAGTCGTTTGAAAAATACATATTTTCCTCTGCTCACCAAAGGCAGCTTAAAAACTAACCTCTGGGCTGGGCGCCATGGCTCACGCCTGTAATCCAGTACTTTGAGAGGCTGAGGCGGGCGGATCACGAGGTCAGGAGATCGAGACCATCCTGGCTAACATGGTGAAACCCCATCTCTACTAAAAATACAAAAAATTAGCCGGGTGTGGTGGCAGGCGTCTGTAGTCCCAGCTACTCAGGAGACTGAGGCAGGAGAATGGCGTGAACCCAGGAGGCAGAGCTTGCAGTGAGCCGAGATCGCGCCACTGCACTCTAGACTGGGTGACAGAGTGAGACTCCATCAAAGAAAGAAAAAGCTAACCTTTGAATTAATAAAGGCAGATACTTTCTACCTGGAAAAGATAAGTATCACCAAGTAGCCATTTATTATAAACAAATTAATCCAGCCGGGATTTTTCTCAGGACACAGGAATATCAGGATAGTGGAGACAGAGAAACGAATGGTCTGAAAAATGGGGATCTGCATAAACAATCTATACCAAAAAAAAAAGCAAATTTAGACATTTTTGGGGTCCATGGAAAAGAATCTGAACTATCTGAAGTGAGAACACACATTGGGAGAGAGAGAAGTGTGAGAACCTTCAGAAGAGGAAGAGAGAGAAGAGAAAATGGCATTTTGGAGCCATTTTGGAAGCCATGAAGAAAATATACAATTTGTGACATTGGTGAGACAGCAAGAAAAATGGCAGAAAATGCTATGAGTCGGGAAGGGGATGTGGGAGCAGAAGAATTGAAAGGGAAAAACAGAGTTTCAAGGGAGATGGCCACAGGCTAACTGAGCAGCACAGAAGTAGCACAAAAGATGTGCTTCTGGGTCACCAAGACATGACTCTATAAAGCCTCAGGCATTCCTTCCAATGAAAAAGTAAAAAACCCCGTTAATAACCTGATCATGAAAACAGGATTGCCTACCAGATGGTTTCTGCAACCAATATATGAGATATGGGCTCTAAAGCAGGTAGAAGTGAATCACGCTGCTTTTCAAATAGTTTTTAATGCAGATGTTTACTCTTTTCTTCTTTTGGTCTTGATTGTTCCAGGCTGTGGTAAGTTCTCACTCACTCTCGCTCTCCATTTGCATGCTCTAACACCCCTCACACTTCCCTCTGTATGGTTTTACTGAACCTTAACCTTTTTGTGCAAATCACCATTTGGTACAAAGGGAGAGATAATCCTGCTTTCATTCATTTTTGGAGTCATCCTGCATTTCTTTAACTAAGTTGTGTTTATGCCAGTTATCTGAATTACAAAAATGTATCCTTTGTTTTTCATACATGCTTTCTGCCTAAAGGTAGATGTAGTCTGAAAGCCTTACATACACAAACACACACAGAGATAAGTATGGGTACCACGTATCTTAAATATATGTAGCATAGACTTGGTATTGTAGATCGTCTACTTATTTCAGGCCACTATGAGTTGCAGCTTATTAAGGAGACCAGAATGGTCAGAATTTTGGAAGTTGGAGTGATGGTTATTGGTAAGCACCTCCCAAGATATTGAAAAAACTGTGTTTTTTCTGAAGGAGTGTCTTAGAGTGATGGGGGTCTATGGTGGTGAGCTCTAAGCATTCTCAGAGGTGATGGGACTAATTCCAAACATAAAAGATGAACCAGGGAATAAATCTTTACCCAATATGTCTGGGTAAGTCTCCAGAGATGGAGAAAGGAGCAAGGTAAGAAATTTGGAGAACAAGCCATGTCCAAAATAACCTGCCAGTACCCAGAGCTCTATGACAAAGGATTTTCTTCATATTATTTTGAGTCATATGAAATTGCCTATATTCAACCACTTTTTTATGTACAAAAATGGCAACTTTATATGGTTCAACCTAATTATTGTCAGTTAAGCTGGAAAGAGAAAGCATTTAATATCTACACATTGTCCATATTCAGCCCTACTTGTCTGACCAGTACATACTTTTTTGTAATTCTTTAAATTCCTTCCCACATTCATACCATACCAGCATTTTCTATGTTCATTTATAAATTTGGGATTATGGGCCCTTAACTCACCTACTAAAAGAATACTTGAAAACCCCTGTACTAAATAGACTGAGGGGGGGCAGTGGGGAAGTATTGGGGGGAGCCCTTGCAAATGACCTAACTTTATTCTTCTTTCAGACTCCTCAGTAAAGTGTGCTGATTTTACACCTGATTTTTTTTTTAATGCTGCAGTACTCTCACTTGTCTTTATAAAAAAATTCCAAGGCTGGGCGCGGTGGCTCACACCTGTAATCCCAGCACTTTGGGAGGCCGAGGTGGGCAGATCACAAGGTCAGGAGATGAAGACCATCCTGGCTAACACAGTGAAACCCTGTCTCTACTAAAAATACAAAAAATTAGTAGGACGTGGTGGCGAGCGCCTGTAATCCCAGCTACTCGGGAGGCTGAAGCAGGAGAATGGCGTGAACCCTGGAGGTGGAGCTTGCAGTGAGCCAAGATCGTGCCACTGCACTCCAGCCTGGGAGACAGAGTGAGACTCTGCCTCAAGAAAAAAAAAAAAAAAATTCCAGTCTGAGCTTAAAAGGCAAAGTGTTTTGTTAAATTCTCTGACTGAGAACCTGCCTAAGCACGACACTCCATAAGTTCAAACTCAGCCACCTTTGAACAAGGAGAACCAATGGAGGTCATCCTGATAAGCAGCAAATTAGAGCCTCATTCATCATTGCTCAGATGAGATTCAAATGCCTGTCTCAAGACACCACATGGAGAGTGAGAACTATGGGATTCAACAGGAGCAGACAGCACATATCACTTCACATTCCATGATAAATAAATACCAAGTAGACTTGAGCATTCCCCCGAACGTGTACAGAATGAAGGTTCCGAAGATTTAAGATAAAATCTTGACTACTTGATTAGCATAATCTCCATGGTCAGAAATGATTTCTTATTCATAATGGTGCTTTATGTCCCTGTAAAACTTACCTTTTAATATCCAAGTTGACGTGTCTTGCAATGATGTTAAAAAGATTATGGAAATATGATATGCAATAGGCTCTTTGCCTGCACAAAGGCCTTTGGGTACAATTTTTTAGTGTCCCACGCAGACCACTGCTCTCATTTTATAGTTTTGGCTGGGGTATTTAATACTAATTGTGTCTGTAATGAGCCAGACACTAGAAAACAAGTTTAAAACTGATCGTTCATAGCAGGAACTTTAAAAAAATGCAAGTCTTGCACAACATGAATTGTCTAATGCAACACCCGGCATCAGCATCAATATGGAAATTTGACATATAGCAGCCTATACAAAGTGTCCTCCAAAGTGTCCCTGAGGTATTGATTTCCATAGTAATGAAACAGCAGCAGTGAGCAAACATCGACTATAATCAATGAAGTCCTTAGGCCCTGGTATTTAACATGAAAGCAAGTGAATACCCATTACATAACTTAAAATATCAGATGCCCCTGGAATTAATTAAGTAAAAGACCTGGAAGAATTTTATTCTATCCACCAAAGGCCATAGATTCCATAATTTGCAGTCATGCCTATATGGGTGTACTTGCATCTCAGGATCTTAATAAAAAAGGAGTTTGGGGGAGGAGGGAAGGTGCAGGCGTAGTATGGAAAACCATCATCTCCACTTTGGGACATGATATAGCTCTCCACCTATAGGAAAGTCGCTGATCTAGGCCACATATCTATACTGTATAATTAAATGTCATAATTGAGTTCAGATTTATATGCTAAGAGAAGCTACATGAATGCAGAGAAATTCATTCATGTAGCTTCTCTTCTCTTAGCATTTAGCCTAGTATTGACATTTTCTGGCCTGTCTTTTGTATACTAGATTCCTCCTCAAATACATTCTTCTCTTTGTGAACTTTGAATGAGTCTAATAAAATACCAGGGGCCCTAATATTTGACAACACAGTGATGATCCAGGGACATTGCAAGATTCTGAAGTACCTGCAAAAGCATCTGAGGAGGAGTCAATGCTTTTAGTTGTCAGTTTATTGAAGTACATTTTTACCATAATGTATTGCCTTAAAGTTTCATAATCCATGCAGTCCTTGTTTAACTAGTGTGTGTTCTTTCTTGACCAGAGCAGAAGAAGGTGTTTACTGCATTGCAAAATGACATTTTAAAAATCAAACTAGCAAGGGAAGTGCAGAGATCACATTTCCCATTGCCTTGAAATGCAGTCAGCTTATAACCTTGGGGCTAAAGCAAAAGAGAAACTGACCCTGGTTTTCATAACTCTGTGTCCCTGTTTGTAAATCATTTATATCATAGACAGAGCTGAAATTGAAGCCTTCCTTCAGATAGTGTCTGTAGCTCAGTGGGCTTTGCTTTGATAGTTTCCCTGGGTATAAGGTAAGCATGCATTCCAAACATTTTCAGAGCTGCCATTTGTCTGGCTTCAAAACTCTTTACAGAAACCCCAGTGGACAGCAGAGTAAATGGTTTATTCTGCTCCTCCATCTCCTTCTTATTCATTTTACAAAACAGGTTTACATTTCCAAGCTCTTTAGAAAAAGGTTCCAATCACCAATTGATCACTTGCCAAAATATTGTAATGAGCTTCAACAGACCTTTTATAATAAGAAAAACTCAGTTGCCCAGGCAAGAGAAGCTGAAAGTATGTATTTTCGAGCACTGAAAACTGAGTTAAGCTGCATAAAAGCCAGAACTCAAATTGCTTTATAGATACAGAGATTTTTCATCATTGTTGTCATCACCACCAGCGTCATGATCATTACCATCCTCAACATAGCTAGCACTCACCAAAGGCCATCTGTTTACCAAGCGCGGTCCTTACAGCCTCCCAGTAAGTAGGTTGCTGAGTCTGAATTTTCCCATCCCACAGCCCAAGGAGGAGGGATGAAAGAAAGTCACAGGTTATGAGCAAGGCCGCAATACATTTTTTTTTTTTTTAGACAGAGTCTCACTGTGTCACCCAGGCTGGAGTGCAGTGGCTCGAACTTGGCTCACTGCAACCTCCGCCTCCTGGATTCAAGCGATTCTCCTGCCTCAGCCTCCTGAGTAGCTGGGACTACAGGCGTGTGTCACCATGCCCAGCTAATTTTTGTATTTTTAGAGAGACGGGGTTTCACTGTGTTGGCCAGGATGGTCTCGATCTCTTGTACTTTGTGATCCGCCCACCTCGGACTCCCAAAGTGCTGGGATTGCAGGCGTGAACCACCGCACCCAGCCGATGATGACAATTTTTACCTGCCTCCCACCACTCATTTTCTGCTCACTCTAGATTCGGAAATTTGTCAGGGGAAAAATTTTACAGTGAAAATGTGTCTTTGTACTAGTTTTCACACTATGGTGAAAAAGAAAAAATCTTTTCCTGAACCTTAGAGACATTTTTCTACTTGAAATTGAAGTTGCAAATGTTGCTTCAGCTTTAGCCCCATGAGGATTCGCCTGAAAGCTTCAGAAGCCTTATTTCTCTGATGTGTCAGTCTGTCAATTGTAGCCACTAACTCCTGACCTTGAATCAGACAAAACTCCACAAAGACAGCAACAGAAAAAAAACATAGC
This sequence comes from Homo sapiens, assembly GCF_000001405.40. Taxonomy (NCBI): domain Eukaryota; kingdom Metazoa; phylum Chordata; class Mammalia; order Primates; family Hominidae; genus Homo; species Homo sapiens. The sequence goes on along the minus strand of NC_000002.12, from coordinate 224,780,283 downwards.
AGGCTGGAAGTCATGTGGGAGTGGAGTCAGACCTCACTACCCCTACAAAGTCTACAGGAATGACAGGAGCTGCTTTACATGCTTTCAACATCATATGACACTTTGTAGCAGTTTGGGGTCAAGGCATTTATAATTACTTGCATTTTGTCTTGAACATTTCTCGAAGAAATTGTTCAATAAAAACATCTTTATTTAAAGCCGTGGACTATTTTCCAGTTATGCCTGGTACACATACGCCTTTTTAAGATGTGTGCCCTTTAAGAACTCTTTCATTCATCTGCTTGTTCAACAAATAGAGTGACCTCCTCCTAAAGACCAGGCATTGTGCTAAACACTGGGCATGCAATGTTGAAGACACATTTCCCACCTTTAGAAAGCCCAAAGTCAATTAGGGAGATGTGCAAGGAAGCAGGTGATTACCTGATTGCCAAGAATTCTGCTATGGAGTAGACCTTGTTCATTGGCTTCTGCAAAGGTACAGCCACAGCCCACTTAGAATAAAAATTACCCTGTTAAAGATGATCCTATTTACATGTATGAAAGTGCTTTTGAAGTATAAAGCATCATACAGATGTGAGTTTAATCAATATTCTTATATTGTCTCACCATGAAAAAATAATAGCACTGGAACACTTTGCCTATGCTTTTTTTAACAATTAATATTTTTAAATAGTCAAAACTGATTTTTTAATATGGGTAAGTTTCCTTTTGACATCCAGTGTCTTCACCCAGACCTCAAAAGGCATTTCCTTATGGGTCAACTCTACAATTAGAAGAAACCAGATATAGCCTGTAATCCCAGCACTTTAGGAGGCCGAGGTGGGTGGATCATCTGAGGTCAAGAGTTTGAGACCAGCCTGGCCAACATGGCGAAACTCCACCTTAATTAAAAACACAAAAATTAGCCGGGCGTGGTGGTACACATCTGCAGTCCCAGCTACTTGGGAGGCCAAAGTAGGAGAATCGCTTGAACCCAGGAGGCAGAGGTTGCAGTGAGCCAAGGTCACACCTCTGCACTCCAGCCTGGGCAACAGAGCAAGACTCTGCCAAAAAAAAAAAAAGAAACCAGATATCCTTGGGTTCTTAACTCCGAACTTAATCTAGTATTCTGAGGCCACATGTATTCCACAGGAAATATGCTTCTGTGTCTCTTCAAAGAGAAGGAATTATAAAGATTGCTTCACTTAGTTATCTGCAGCTAATAGAATCTTCCCTTCCCCCTGCTTCAAACCAGACAAATAAATTAATAGAGGCTAAAACCTACTTGCTCTTGTGGAATAAAAATGATGATATGATTGCTATTTTTAATCCTATAATGTCTTCCTTTTCAAGAATGTAAAAGATCTCTTAGTAAGGTGAATTGCATGATTAAGTTACATATAGGTAAGTTTCAGGAGGTCCCTGAAGTCATGTTGATGTAAAGTTATTTTTTAAATAGCAGTACTTGGGAGCATAACACATGTAATTTCTGTTACGACAACTACATAAAGTGTTGTGGTTTTTCATCTAAGATTATGTGGGATGCACGTCAGCCCATTTAAATAGCTTTACATGCCATACACCATTTCTTATGTTAGTTTCAAAGACTTACAGGAGATCTTATTAAAAATGATACTGACTGCTCTTTGAATGCTGCCAAAAATTGCTCCATATTTCGTGTTCTACCCCAAGCTGCCACAAGAGGGCATTCTTCCCCCAAAATATATGCAAGTAGGTAGTACCATTGAGTTCTACAAATAGAGAAAATAATATTTGTAAGATATTTCATGAGTTTCTTTGGCCTGGCTAGGAAATATTTACATTAATGTCTGATTATAAGATGATACTTTATTTTCTCACTGTGTTTTCTTCTCCGATTTTGAATTTTATAGGGTGTTAACCAATGGATTAGATGACAACCAAAAACTGTATATGTTTTTTAAGTAAATGGCTTTTTGTTTTGCTTTTGATTTATGATTAGCATTGTCTAATAAAATTGGTGGTTCATTATGTTCCATAGGGCTTTTTTGAAGAAGAAGAAGGTAAAGAGTATATTTATAAAGAGCCTAAGCTGACAGGTCTGTCCGAGATTTCCCAAAGATTACTCAAGCTCTATGCAGATAAATTTGGAGCAGACAATGTGAAGATAATCCAGGATTCCAACAAGGTAGAGGAAAATCAGTATTCATGCAAGTGCTAAGAATTGACTGAGTTTTTTATTCTTTAACTACATTAAGTTTTCATTTTCTGCCTGACGATGCAAAGTAAACTACAAAAACGATTTTAGATGTTTTGCTTGTTTGCCTGTTGGTTGGTAATTTGAGGGGAGGAGGGTCAAAAACATTATATGTGTTTATTTGGGTAACTTTTAAAAAGAGCTTAGTAAATTCTCTACGTCTCCATTGGTTATTTGCATTTGAATAGCAATCAAAGCCTGAAAGTAATTGGGCTCAGTGGTGGAATTGGAGAAAACAGCAAGTTGAAAATATTTATTCAGTTAAGGAAGTCTTCCCAGGCGTATTAGTCAGGGTTCTCTAGAGGAACAGGACTAACAGAATAGATGTATATATGAAAGGGAGTTTATTAAGGAGTATTGACTCACACGATCACAGGGTGGAGTCCCACAATAGGCTGTCTGCAAGCTGAGGAGCAAGGAAACCAGTTTTGTGTCCCAAAACATCAAAAGTAGGGAAGTTGACAGTGCAGCCTTCAATCTGTGACTGAAGGCCCAAGAGCCCCTGGCAGATCACTCGTGTAAGTCCAAGAGTCCAAAAGCTGAAGAACTTGGAGTCTGATGTTAGAAGGCAGGAGGCATCCAGCACAGGAGAAAGATGGAGGCCAGGGTCTTAGCCAGTCTAATCCTTCCACATTCCTCTGCCTACTTTTATCCTAGCTGTACTGGCAGCTGATTTGATGGTGCCAACCCAGATTGAGGGCAGGTCTGCCTCTCCCAGTTCACTGACTCAAATGTTAATCTCCTTTAGCGACACCCTCACGGACACACCCAGGAACAATACTTTGCATCCTTCAATCCAATCAGGTTGACATTTAATATTAACCATCACACTACGCCATACTTTACATTACATTACATTACATTAACCTTTGAACATTCAGTTACCTTCCTCTTGGCTCCAGAAAGCAAATACTTACCTCTTCTTTTAGATTACTCAGCATCTTCTTACACACTGTCGTTCAGTTAGCCAACCTCTATCAAATGCCTGCTGAATGCCAAGCCCAGAACTGAGAGATGAGGCGCACAGGGTCTTTTCCTTCTGGAGCTCACAGTTCACATGGGGCTAAGAAGAGAAGGACCTGTGCAAACAGCCAATTAAATAGATTACAATAAAGTGTCACCAGAGAGTCAAAGTCCAAGTTGTACAAGGAAAGCTCAGGGCAGGGACCTTCCTTAACAGCTCATTCTTAGTTGGGCAGCATTACATAGAAGGGATGATGTTTGAGTTAGTTTTCTGGAAGCAAAGGGCATGCTGAGAAGCCCAGCACATGCAATGATGGGGAGGAATGAAAGAGGGAGATATGTTTAGAGAATGGCAGGTCTTTGAAACACAGTTTGGATAGAAGAGTGTGGCAGAAGATGCAGCTGGAAAAGGTGGTTTGTGCCCAATGGCATACAGTTCTATTGGGCTACAGAAGAGTTCTTTTTTTTTTTTTCTGTCCTCTTTTACAAGCTCAAGTTTGGAGGCATCTGGGCATGAAATCCTTGAGTCTGGGCAGAAATTTCTGTGAATGTGTTCATCATTCTCCTTCTTAGCTATAGTCACCTTCCCCAGGAAGGCAGGCAGCTGGAACTACTTTATTAGTGGCTCTCCTAGGTAGAAAGTATACACAGAGTTCCTGGGGCAGCGTGGGGGGATGAGAAAATGCCAAATTTGGTATCAGAACAACTTAAGAATTCATTCCACCATCCCACCACTTATCAGCTGATGATCTTAGAGAAATTAGCTGGTCACTCGAAACCTCTATTTTTGATGTAAAATGGTTACAATTATACCCGCCTTACAGTGTAATTAGTAGTAGCATTACAAAATAAATTCAGGAGGTCCCTCAAATCTCTGGGACTGGATAGGCAGTGGATGGGTAGACAGATGGAGAAAATTGGAAGAAGTTTTAAAATTCTTTGAGGTTTCATTAGAAAAGCTGAGAACTCCAGCTCTTCCAACTCCAAGGGAGAGCAAGTGCAATTTCCTGGATTTTCTTAGTACCCCCAGCCTGTCTTCCTTGCTATTTGTCAAACTCACTCACCAAAGCAGTTTGTTTAAAAAAAAAAAAAAATGCATGGGATGACTTGTTACAGATAAGAGAAGGAACCTGACCTTAAAACTATAAAATTTTGCAATCATGTAATAGGCTTATCAGCTAATCTGCTAAATTAAACAAGGAATCTCCCTCCTCGGCACAAGCCCAAAGCCAGTGGCCTCAGTCTAGATACATGGGTAAAATCATAGAGGGACCAAAAGATATTTTTTAAAAGTTTTCATTTGAATTACTCTCAAGAAGCTTGCATTCTAGGGCTGGGTGCAGTGGCCCTTGGCTCTAATCCCAGCACTTTGGGAGGCCAAGAGGACAGATCTCTTGAGGCCAGGAGTTTGAGACCAGCCTGGCCAACAGAGCATAACCCTCTCTCTACTAAAACTACAAAAATTAGCTAGGTGTGGTGGCACATGCCTGTAATCTCAGCTACTAGAGAAGCTGAGGCAGGAAAATCACTTGAACCCAGGAGGGGGAGGTTGCAGTGAGCCGAGATCGTGCCACTGCACTCCAGCCTAGGAGACAGAGCAAGACCCTGTCTCAAAAAATAATAATAATAATATAAATAAAATGAAAAATAAAAGAAGTTTGCATTCCAGACAAAGGCGATTGAACATTCATTACAGAGAAGAGAGAAAATAAAAGACTAAATAACATGCCACAGCCAGGCACATCTGGAAGAGCCTCACCTACTTGGTATGCTGGCTCTAATTCCACCCCTACAGACCTGGCTGCTCAGCTGCAGTCCAGCCTTTACTCTCTCTGTGATCCTGCCCAGCTCTGAAATGATGTGACTGCCCATTTTTCTCCAAGGGGAGAGGCACAGCCTCCTCTGGATGCAAGCTGAGGGAATGGGAGCTTCCCGCTTTCAGAGCGCTCCAGGGCACACCACTCACTTTGCCCATAATCTGTTAACACAGGTAAACCCCAAGGATTTGGACCCCAAATATGCCTACATCCAGGTGACCTATGTGACGCCGTTCTTTGAGGAAAAGGAAATCGAAGACCGGAAGACAGATTTCGAAATGCACCACAACATCAACCGCTTTGTCTTCGAGACACCCTTCACGCTGTCGGGCAAGAAGCACGGTGGGGTGGCGGAGCAGTGCAAGCGGCGGACGATCCTGACAAGTAGGTGCAGGTAGCCGGGCCACACATGTGGCACCTGTTCCAGCACAGGCCCCTTTATAGGGCTGGATCAGTAGGAATCAAGAGTTATTTCAGTCCTGCAGAGAAGTACCCAACATGTGCTAACTGGGAAATGTTTGCCAAGAAGAGATTTCCATCTCTTTATTCTCCATTAACAGAAGTCAACCAGAGGAGAAATTGTCAAAAGAGTTGCTTTGCATACCTATTCCCTTAAGGTTGTAAGTGTGAAGGGTGATGGGGTCAGTGCCTTGGGAAAGGCACAAGGCACTCTGAACTTTCCTCTCTGAGTCTACCTTCAATTGTTTCAGGGTTAACAGCTCTTATCGTGTGCTTTGGGGAAAGATTCTAAACCACTCTGGGATTCATATTCTTCATCTGTAAAACGAATGCAGATGTCGGTCTCCAATATCCCTCGATGTGCTCTCTAGATCTATGCTGTGAGCTAGTCATCCTTTCATTTCCTCAACACACTTTTAGTGAGGCCCTGCTAGGGGCTGGGCACTGTTCTGGGTACTGGTAATGCAAATGAAACATGATTCTTGCCCTCAAGGTGCTCACAGTCTGGTAGGAGAAAGAGCCAAGTAAGGCAAGAATTTCAGATGAGCGGAGCAGGAGAAATGAAACAAGAGCACCCAGTGGGGGCTCCTAAGGCTGGCTGCAGGGGAGGTGAGCAAGGGCATTCTGGAGGAAATGATCAGTAACCCGCTTTGAGAGCTGGGCCATCCTGGAATAGGCTACAGCCTATCAGTAGCACTGATGTCTAAACTGTGACAAGCGTCTGCCTTCAGTAAATGTATCCAAAACTTTTGAAATAAAAAAGCCACAACAAAGCTATATCAATATATACTACTTGGTATATATTTAGGCATTCTGTATTGTGGGTTAGTGTAGTTTTTATTTGAATTACAAGTTGCTGTGGAAGCTTTAATCTTTTCAGTGTTTAGAAATTCTAAAGGCTGGCCGGGTGCGGTGGCTCACGCCTGTAATCCCAGCACATGGGAGGCAGAGGCGGGCGGATCATGAGGTCAAGAGATCAAGACCATCCTGGCCAACATGGTGAAACCCCGTCTCTACTAAAAATACAAAAATTAGCTGAGCATGGTGGCGCACACCTGTAGTCCCAGCTACTCGAGAGGCTGAGGCAGGAGAATCACTTGAACCCAGAAGGCGGAGACTGCAGTGAGCCGAGATCGCGCCACTGCACTCCAGCCTGGCTACAGAGCGAGACTCATCTCAAAAAAAAAAAAAGATAGAAAGAAAAAAGAAAAAAATTCTAAAGGCCTAAAACAGCCCTGAGAATGAGGGCCTGTTAGCAGTGAAGGCAGAAGGGCACACAGGTCAAAGGAGCTTGGGCACAAGCTAAGAGGTATTAGAGAGGATGGCACCTAGCAGAAAAAGTAACTCCCATGCATGAAAAGCATGCAGAATGGAAGGTGCCATGTGCCGTGAAATGATACATGATCCTCTGGTCCTTCAGGGAAACCCTTGACTCTTCACTAATCCTCAACCTTGAAATCCCTTTGTATGGCTTTTGTACAGCGAGTCACCTGTTCCCCTACGTGAAGAAGAGAATACAAGTAATTAGCCAATCGAGCACAGAACTGAATCCAATTGAAGTGGCAATTGACGAGATGTCCAAGAAGGTTTCTGAGCTTAATCAGCTTTGCACAATGGAAGAAGTGGACATGATCAGACTGCAGCTCAAACTGCAAGGAAGTGTCAGCGTGAAGGTGAGTAAGCATTGCCCAGGGCTGAGATGCACATGGCCAATGAAACCAGGTGTAAAATGCCCTGAGAACTTTGTTTACAAAGAATATAAGAAACATTTTCCCTTTTGTGAGAATAGAACACCTTTATCTGGGTCTTTAAAATGGCTTCTAGTTGTCAATGTGCATTAATGTTACTCAACACCTGTAGATAGGCCTTTCTTAAGTTTAGCTGAAATAAAATGTATTCTTCCTCCACCTTGCTATCCCATCTTCTATGGATAACTGTGTTCTATATCTGTATACTAACAAATGAATTAACTAATGAAGAAACACCACATTCTTGTACATATCTGTCATTAAGAGCCTTAAAAAATTGTTTTGAAACAAATCCAAAAAAGAATGATTACTAGTTCATAAAAGGTGCATGCATGTTTATCTGTCTGGCAGAGTTGTGACAGGAAGCAGATGGCATGCTCAGTGAGTGATTGAGGAGGATAGAGTAAATAAACTGTTCCCAAAAGTGTGTGCAGCATTTGGGAAAGCCAGAAAGGGCTGGCACAGGGGCTGGCAGCACTCAGGCGGTGTGACCACCCTAGACCTGAAGATGCAAGGAGAGGAGGGTTAGTGGAAGCAGACAGGGGAGCTGAGAGGTCCATCTGATGACAGACAAGTAGACAGGAGTGACTTCAGCTAGCGATAGGGAGGCTTCTGCAAGGAGGACGCCCTGGGGCTTAGTACTCTGACCAGGGCCAGGCAGGTGAGGTGAGTAAGGCACTCACCTTGGGCACAAAATTAAAGGGAGCTCCAAGCAACTCAGGAATAAGGCATTAATTTTTATTTATTATATTAATAAATTGATGCTAAGTATTTGTAAGGAATAAAGTATTAAATTTTAAAATAAAGGAAGATCAGTAGTGGCACCCTGCACAGCTATATTGGACCCTAAAAGCCAAAGAAGTCCAGATGCAGTGGCTCATGCCTGTAATCCCAACACTTTGGGAGGCCGAGATGGATGGATCACTTGAAGTCAAGAGTTCGAGACCAGCCTGGCCAACAAGGTGAAACCCCACCTCTACTAAAAATACAAAAATTAGCCGGGCATGGTGGCACACGCCTGTAATCCCAGCTAGTTGGGAGGCTGAGGCAGGATAATTGCTTGAACCTGGGAGGTGGAGGTTGCAGTGAGCTGAGATCATGCCATTGCACTCCAGCATCAGTGACAGAGCAAGACTCCATCTCAAAAAATAAAAAAAAAAAAAAGCCAAAGAAAAAATTAATGCTACTGATCCTGACACTGACCACACTCTCCCGTTCCCTACCTCCCTTGTCTGTGTCCCCCATGGGCTGAGAAGGCCAGAAAGCAAGAGAGCCATTGTCCTATCCCATACAAGATGACTTCCCTAGGCACATAGCTGAGTGAAGGGAAGTGGAGATTTGATCTGGAGAAGCAAAAGATGGTACACCCAGTACCAGTGACTGCATCTGCCACACTGGCCATGCCTGCTGGTCACAGGCCCCTGAAGTCAGCTTCCTTCTTCTTTTACCTTTTTCCTTCCCAAGCCTGACAGCCACATTAAAGGCTTCTATGCACTAAGGGATATGAACTCCTGCACAAGTGAGGCCATCCATGGGCATGAGCATGAATTGAACCCAGCACTGTGCATTCATTCAGCAAATCTGATAAATGCCTCCTTGAGCCAGAATCTAAGCCAGACCATCAAATGGAACCCAGTGAAACACTGATTCTAGGGCAGTGCCCACACCACTACCACTGTGGATTATCCCTTCATAATAGTATGTGTTTATTTGAGTGTTAATAGAAAAGAAAAACTAGCACTTCAAACATTTGATTTCACAAATGTTAAATTTAAATAAATATATTGGAATTAATAGAAGTGAGTCTAGTTTTAAAAGCTGTTAAGAAAACAGCAGATTCCGTGGGTGGTTCATGCCTGTAATCCCAGCACTTCGGGAGGCCAAGACAGATGGATTGCTTGAGGCCAAGAGTTCCAGACTAGCCGGGACAATGTAGTGAGACCGCCCCCCTTCCCCCGTCTCTACAAAAACTTTCTTTAAAAAATTAGCCAGGCATGGTAGTAAACACCTGTGGTCCCAGCTACTTGAGAGGCTGAGGCGAGAGGATTACTTGAGCCCAATAGTTTGAAGCTGCAGTGATCATGCCACTGCACTCTAGCCTGGGCAACAGAGTGAGACCCTGTCTCTAACAAAGAAAAAAAGAAAGAAAAAAATAGTAGTTCAAGCAACGTACAGATATGACAAAAAAAAAAAATGTGAAGGGGTTGGCAAAGGACTGAAATTTGGGAAGTTTGTTAGTGAAAGGTGGAGCTCAGACTCATGCTCTATTGACAAGTTGGAGGACAGCAGCTAAGTCAGGTATACAAATGAGTGGACTAGAAGGCAGGGTGTGAGATGGGGGTACCACACCATTGGTGCACAGTTGCTCCTCTTCCAGCGGTGGAAAAGACTCCATGCAGAAGGTAGATCATCCTTCACCAATTTTCTTCTCAACAGGTTAATGCTGGGCCAATGGCCTATGCACGAGCTTTTCTTGAAGAAACCAATGCAAAGAAGTACCCTGACAACCAAGTAAAGCTTTTGAAGGAGATCTTCAGGTAAGCTTCTCGCTGTTGGGATGTTCTTCCTTGAACTTCCTGAGACAGGGAGTCCTCAATCCCCCAAGAATCCATCACACCAAAACTCACTGAGGTGGCAGAGTCCATCAGCAGCCTGACTCTGAACTCACAGTCACTGAGCTCAATGCCACTTCCGAGGGCTGGTTTTTAATTTGTTTAATGCTGTCGCTAAAGGCAATTTGCAGATGCATGTGGGCAGGCCCTTGACGTGAATGAGCGCCTCATCAAAGAGGACCAGCTGGAGTACCAGGAAGAACTGAGGTCCCACTACAAGGACATGCTCAGCGAACTCTCCACAGTCATGAATGAGCAGGTGAGCGCTCCTTGGTGCACACGCGCTATCAGTGGACAGAAAGTCCCTTTCGCTCCCAATGCCAGAAGGACAGGAAAGAGGCCCTTTTCTTGCTGCAGAAATCACTGCATCAGCACCATGTTGCTGATCTGTTCTCTCTCCCGTGCACACCACCTCGTGCCCCAAAGCAGAGATCAGGCTGGGGGAAACTCTGTAGAAAAAGATTATGAGAACCTAGATACTTTCCACAGTCCAAATGAACCCTGGGTTTTCTAGACTATGTGAGTCCCATTAAATGCTGAGGAACACTGGGTGGCATTCCCATGAGGGTTTGCTGCCACCCTCCGCCATCCCTAGTTGAGGACCTCACAACCCTGAGGCCATGATGTGGAGTCCACAGTTGAGGGGGTCTCTACACTATACTCACGATGAACCCTAAGACTAGTCATGGCTGTTTACCACCAAGACTGCCTTTACGGAGGCTGGGCCTCCTGCAGATGTGCAGAATTCAGATAAAACTCAACCACCCACCCCACAAGCAAGTCATCCGTGACGTCTGGGATGTGTACAGCATGTTCTGCAAGGCTGCACACAAAATGTGGGCATTCAGTCATCTCAGTACTTTTTGGGTGGCTAAAAATCAACTGGTTGAAAGCCAAGTGTTGCTTCCTGGCCTACTTCCTAGAATCCATACCCCCACACTCTACCTGGACATCTCATCACCCGTGCTCCCCTCCAGGAGTTAGATGTGTTCTCTACAGAAAAACTGAGGAGCAGAACTTGAATTAGTCTCCCAGTAGTGCTTCATACATGGTAGCCACCCACTGAATATGCATTTCCTTTGTTTTCCTTAAATGGCCTGGCACTGTTAATACGACTCACAAACCATGAAGTGTGTTGTATGAATCTGTTTTTTCTAATTGCATTTCCCATCTTGCTTCTTTTCGGTTTTTCCATCTTCTTCCATCCTGATTTTTAACTCTCCATTGTAGCTAGAGAAAGAAATGGTTGACCGAGTTATATTGGAGAAAATGAATTGCCGTAGATAGGATTCCTCGTGGAGGTAGTATTGGTTTAGGCTATTTGAGGGGTGACAGGAATTAAGTACTCAGGAGAGATGACTTGATAGAATGGGGAAAATCATAAATCTGGGAGTGAAATAAAAAGAACAAATGATGGATCTGAAAGTTCGGGAAGGTGGTGAAGGAATGCTTGTCTCCAACTGTAAATCACATCTGACCTAGAAACTTTGGACAAAAATGCTTTTCTCTTTTTTCCTGGCAGCTCTGTCGAGGTCCGTGTTTATACAGCTTCTGTTCCTCTGTGTCTAGTATTTCCCTCAGTACTGTAAGCAAAAGTGGTATGTTTTTCTTTCTTTATGTCTACTCTGTCCTCTGTGGCCTTCTGGTGTACCCCTCTCTTCCTAGCCATTCAGTCTCTCTAGTCACCTCCCTAGTAGCTAGTGCTCTCTAAGTTTTTATTTAATTAGAACAACTCCATTTCCATTTCAAGGTAGGTCAATGGGGGGAAAAGCCTCATGATTTAAACTGAAGTTAACAACACAGCTTTTAAAATGAAAACTCATACTCCAACTTCTAAAGTATATTTGAGCTGATTTGTTTCCAAAACAAAGATATGCTGTACCTAAAACTGCTAAAACAAAAATATAAAGACAAGGACTAGGTGATTAAGGGGAGAGAAAAATCATCTCTTTTCCAGGAAACCTTTGCTAAAAGAAGCAAAACTTGACTCTATGCCTCATGGAAACTGACACAAAGAAAAGAAACTGATGGATTGCACAGGCCTTGTTATAGAAATAGATCTATAAAAAGATCTGTCCACAGGAAATATACACCTTCTCCTGGTTCTGAACTTCAATGGGGATTTGTCACCTAGGTCTCCATCTATAGGAATACCTTCACATACCTATCTATTCATGCACATATTCTGAAAACAGGTACATACAAAATTACAACAAAGGAAAAAAATTCTATTGAACACTTAAAAATAGAAACAGGCCAGGCACGGTGGCTCATGCTGTAATCCCAACAATTTGGGAGGCTGAGGCTGGTGGATCACCTGAGGTCAGGAGTGTGAGACCAGCTTGGCCAACATGGTGAAACCCCGTCACTACTAAAAATACAAAAAAAAATTAGCCTGTGTGGTGGCACACTCCTACAATCCCAGCTACTCGGGAGGCTGAAGCAGGAGAATCGCTTGAACTCAGGAGGCAGAGGTTGCAGTAAACCAAGATCACACCACTGCACTCCAGCCTGGGAGACAAGAGCAAAACTGTGTCTTAAAAAAAAAAAAAGAAACAATTAGAATGGATAGCTACACATCAAAATATAAAAAGGAAATAGAAAAATAGAATTAATTATGTGTAAGCAAACCCAGATTTGGCTGCTGTCTGCTCAATAGCCGAACACTAGAAGTGAGAGTTGATGGGAGGAAAAGCAGGTTTATTCAGAGAGCCAGCAAACATGAAGATGGTGATCCAGCATCCTAAAGTACCATCTTAACTCAGTACACATTGTAGGCTCTTTTTATGTTAAGGGCAGGGAGAAAAGAAGGGGGTTGAAATCAAGAAGTGTCTGATGACCACAGATATCTGGGCATGAGCAAAGGTCTGAGGAGGTTGCAAACTTCTTTGTCCTGGTCAGGTCACAATGCTCCTATAAATCTTTAAAAAAACATAGTCTTTAAAAAAACATAGAAGTTGTCTACATACTTCTTTAATCCCAGGGTTAGTTTTAAAAACTACATGAGGCCGGGTGCAGTGGCTCACACCTGTAATCCTAGCACTTTGGGAGGCCGAGGTGGGCAGATTGCCTGAGGTCAGGAGTTCGAGACCAGCCTGGCCAACATGGTGAAGTCCCATCTCTACTAAAAATACAAAAATTAGCTGGCTGTAATGGCAGGTGCCTGTAATCCCAGCTATTTGGGAGGCTGAGGCAGGAGAGTTGCTTGAATCCAGGAGGCGGAGGTTGCAGTGAGCTGATATCATGCCACTGCACTCCAACCTGGGTGACAAAGTGAGATTCCGTCTAAAAAAAAAACTACATGATTGCTGTTTTTTCAGATTATATCAGTGCTCCAAAGTGATCCCAGCCTACATTCAGGAATGGGTAAAGGCCCCATGATTAAAACTAAAAAATGTAGTTATGTTCGTCCTTCTGCTGTTTCAGCTACATATGCAATTCACTCCAAAAGTGTCTAGAAAAGTATTAGCTAGAGGAGTATTTTGAAGACATCTAGTTAATGAAGGAACCTTCAGTATAAGGAACGAGACAAGACAAGATAAAGTGGATGCTACTGTGTAAAATGGAGATGTTGAGGTAAAGTAGTTTGAGTTGTCACTGACCAGCAGGCAATAATTGCTTTTATAGGTGCCAAAATTCCATACTGTTTATAATAAATAGCAAAAAACATAAAAGCCTTCTTTGAAGCCAAAGTAATGCATATAAGCATTCAGTTTAAGCATCAGTATAAGATGCCCATTTGGAGTCTGTTTCAACATTCAGTAAGAATAACAGCATAGTGAAGTCAACTGTGATGATGGGTATCCAATACAAAATGCAGAGAAAGGAATGGACCCAATCTGGTGTGATACCAAGCATAGGTATACTGCACCTGGAGTCTACTCTTTGAACACATCATCAGCCAGATTATTCAGAGCTTTGTGATATTGATCATAAGGAGAATTTATTGGTAGTATAGGATGCTCTCAGCTGAGTGCTCTTTGGGGCACTTACAGAAGTAGCGATTCTATCTTGGAAGAGTAGAGATGAAGGTCATGGCACAGTGGGATAATGTGTGAAGTTAGTGGGAAAATCTTCACAATTCTTTGTACAGAAATCTCTTCTGTACAAAAATATATTTTAAAAGTGTCTGGAGTTTCTGTTGTTATTATGCTTACACGTCATTGTTTGAATCAATCTGATAAAGTATTTTTTAGGCACACTAACATTATTTTCAAGATTAAAATCAGGTCAAGACTTTTTTACTATATTTCCTTTTATGCAAACATTTAAATAAAATTTCTAATGTTTCCCTTTTTTGGCAGATGCTGACAATATAAATTATAAACTTTTAGAATAGAATAAAATCCTGGAATTACTCAGATATATTTGTAAGTTTCATCCAAACATTTATAAATTTATGTCAGATAGCAGAAGAGGATTGTGAAAATATTTTAACTTTCACCAAAAGTTAAAGCTAGCACGTGGTCTTGGGGGAAAATTCTTTAGATCCACTTTAATATGTGTCTTTTTATAATTTGAATAAATTACCCTGTGGGGAATGAAAACCTCTATTCTGGGTTTTAATTTTGTGTTTGGGATATTAACATTAACCTCTGCATTCTGTTGTGTTGTGTTTTTCCCTGTTTTAAGATTACGGGCAGGGACGACCTGTCAAAGCGCGGAGTGGACCAAACCTGCACTCGAGTAATTAGCAAAGCAACTCCGGCCCTACCCACGGTCTCCATCTCATCTAGTGCTGAAGTCTGAGGGCTCTGCAGCATCAGACCCACCTCTAAGAGAACTTTCTGAATTTGCAGCTAATCTCGGGGAAGAGAAAGATAGGTTTAATTTATTTGAAGTTTTCATGGTGTTAATATTTTTGTTTACCTCGCTAGCTTCAGAATTTTGCCAACCTCTGAATTTGCACATTTTGTATAATTTTTTTTTCTTTGAGCAGTGTTGATCAAGCCAGGTTGAATATTTGCCATGAAATTCCAGTGAATGTGTAGCTCAAATGCAAACCCTAAGTTTGCTGTCAGTTATTGTATGGTCAGTACCCCAGTCCTAGTACACATATTTTAAAGGTTAAAGTGAATGTTTTTGTAACATTTAAGCATATTTCAGATGTAAATAAAAGATTGTAAAATATACGGTTTTTACCAAATTTAAAAGATCCTTTTTAGTTAATACTATGACAGTACTAAAAATATATGAATAACATTTCAGATACCATTATATTAAAATATTTGTGTATGTGTACAAAAGCGTTGATAAATACTAATCTTTAAAGTTTGTGGAGTTCCTTTATTTGTAATATATGTGCTCTTAAAAGCAATGGGATGTGAAATTATGAAAGTATTTTATTGTTCATAGAAATAAAAAACACAGTTACTTTGCATTTGGTTTCCTGTTGAAGAGTGGGTGAGTTACTGAGAAAAATGGTTCATTGAATATCTTCTGAATGCAAATCTATACTCAATACTTAGGATGCCTTGCCAAGAAACCAACAAAGGACTCAAATCTCAGCTAAGAAGTTCCTCCAAAGATGAACTGGGTAGATCAGAGGTTTCC
Organism: Homo sapiens; assembly: GCF_000001405.40. Taxonomy (NCBI): domain Eukaryota; kingdom Metazoa; phylum Chordata; class Mammalia; order Primates; family Hominidae; genus Homo; species Homo sapiens. The sequence continues at coordinate 224,764,916 of NC_000002.12, read as the reverse complement.
AAATGTAGGAGAGACTTAGAATGACTTGGGGAAAATCTAATGAATCCGAATCTTGAGGTCTGTGGAGGTTCTCAGAGAGATCACAAATGTTCCATTTCTCTGCTCTAATCTTGTGGTAGGATTGCAGTTTCCTGCCTCTTTTGAAGGCAAGCATGACCATGTGACTTGCTATAACCACTGAAATGTAGGCAGAAGTAACATGTGTTACTTTCAGGCAGAGGCTTCAAAGCCAGTAAGTAGTTCTTCCCAGCCTCTTCCCCTGATGTACTTATCTTTGATGTACCTGAAGCCCTGATTTACTTACCTTTGACATATTGTTTCAGCCTCAGTACCCAGGAAACTACAATGAGCAAGACACACACACACACACTCCCTGCTAACGCTATTGGTCATATAGTCTTGAGTGAGAAATACCATTTTGCTGTGTTACGATTCAGGATTGTTTGCTACCACCATGTTATGAGCTTATCAGAGCAATGACCGATAGGTGCTGACCTACGTTTGGGAACCACTGACATTTTCCACTCTCTGGCCCACTTCCCTCCCCTAGTGAATACTGGCTGCCATGGACCCGAACTGAGCTGCTTCTAGGTGCAGAAGGCAAGCTAGAGAATCTAATTTCATACTCACCTTCAGCAGCCATTCCAAAGCCCCAGACATAAAAAAGGAGACTTCAGCTGAGCTCATCTTTCTGCTATGCAAGGCCATTGGCCATGTCAGTACATGATGGTGAGGAGGGAGGTAAGGGGTTGGAATACGTATTTACATTTTGAGTACACAGAAGGGATAGAAAGATATTTTGGGTGAGAACTCGGATCCCTCAAGACACTTTTTTTTTTTTTGAGACAGAGTCTCACTCTGTTGCCCAGGCTGGAGTGCAGTGCGCGATCTCGGCTCCCTGCAGCCTCCACCTCCCGGGTTCAAGTGATTCTCCTGTCTCAGCCTCCCGAGTAGCTGGGATTACTGGCACGCACCACCATGCCTGGCTAATTTTTGTATTTTTAGTAGAGACGGGGTTTCACCATGTTGGCCAGGATGGTCTCGATCTCCTGACCTCGTGATCTGCCTGCCTCAGCCTCCCAAAGTGCTGGGATTACAGGCATGAGCCACCACGCCTGGCCTCAAGACACATTTAACTATTCTTTTCTCAAATAGAGCTCACTTCTTTATAGAAAAGATTGCCCTTTGATGAGCTCTGGCCCAAAGCATTATTCCCAGCTTCATTCTGCCTCCAGTTCTCTTGGTTCCTGACTGTCTGGGTCAGCATCTCAGGTCTTTTCTTTTAATTTCCCCATGTGTAGCTTTAGGCCACCTTAGACATTACTATTCCAGGCACCCAGGAAGATGCTGCCTCCAATATCATCTCCCACCTAACTTCCACCTGTAGGCTCAAGTCCTCTTGCCCATGCCAATCCACCCATCTCCCATGCCCCCAGGACACGGTTGGCAATGGGTTACCTCCAAATCTGAAAATAAATCTTCCAAAAAAACTCTAAGGAAGTAATTGAAAATAATAGATCTTTGTGCTTGTGTTAGGTGCCAAATATTCTATTTTTGCATCACAAACCACAATATCTTTGATCATGTCACCGTTTTGCCCCTGACACTGTTCATAGAACAAGAAGTTTAAATACAGCTTCTCTAAAGAGAATCACCTAAGACCACTCTGCCTTAACAGCGTTGAAACTCACCCTGCACAATCCCAACACCTTTTATTTCTTCCTTTCTCTAGACCAGACACATCAGACTGGCTGCTCAGAGATGGAATCCAGCATACGTATTTTATCTGCCAAACACGTAGTCTTTATTTTATTTCAATTAGGTGTCAACAGTTAAATATTACGAGACTTTGTATAGATTTCCAGCTTTCTGATATCTGTTGAATGCTCAGGCCATTTAGCAGTATTGGAATCGCACTCCCCCATCACAACAACAAGTGAAAATTGAGACACTGTTGCTCCATTTACATGTGTTTTCCAGCTTGCAGCAATAGGCACCAAGCCCTAATCAGCTTCTATCGGGCAGCCCCTGTTATTTATATTTCCTGCCTAGATCCCATAGGCATGTGTAGGCCCCAGTTCAAACAAACTTTTATTATCTATCTCACTGTAGTAATCACTCATGGACAGAAGACCACTTGCTTCAGAATCAGACAAAACACCTGTTCAAGTGCATACTTCTCTGTGCCATAAGAACTTCTGAAATAGAACCCCCTGGAGTGGAGTCCAGTACCCAAGCCCACATGATTCTTAGACATACTGGGTATAAAAACTCCACTGGATCCTCCGCTAATTAGCTACCCTTAAAAAAATGACTGTACGGATGATAAGGCCTTGTAAAACAGTGACCTCATTTCGAATTGCCAAGAAACCAAATTCTTATTTTACATTCTTTTTCATCTTTGTATAAAGTTAAATTAATACTCCTCAAAACAAGCTCAATAAAAAATGGTAGTAACTCTTCAAGTTCCACAGATGGAAAGGATGAAAATAAGACAAATGGCATTTTCCTCTATAATTTACCCTGGAAAAGATCCAACACAGAATATGTGGATCTAATACTTGGGATGTCAGCCCTGGCTCTGTCCCCTCATTCATTCATCATCCCACTCAGTAGCTACTTCTTTTTTCATTCTCATTTCAAAGTGCAAAATGCCCAGACTATAAAAAATTAACATAATCCCCTATTTTTGGTGACAATTACCTTATAAATGAGTGTCCATTATCCAAACCTCACATAGTACATCTGTATTCCTGTGTTAACACTCACTTAGAAACCAGTACAAATGGTCCAAACACCATGTTTCCTTCCTAATGACAGCTTTCTGCGGGATGTAGTCACAGGGAGATGGAGAGAACATTGCTGGGAAGGCTTGGCTTTTAGAACCCTGAATGTTGGTCTCTCTGCAGAAGAGGTCCACTATGTTTGCAGGTGGATGATTTATCATCTTATATTAGTCAAACCCCAGAAAGCCAAAAATACATATATTATAGGATTTCAGTACTCCCATGAGCAGTTAAGAAAATAATAAATATTTGAGAACAAATGTGACAAAATGATACTAAATCAAAGTTATTATTTGCTCATATTACAAGTGGCCCCCATATCCTCCACCCCTACACTTATAGCAGCGAAAAACTATATACCATATATTAAATGTTATATGTTAATATATTTTGTTGAGAAAATGACGAAGTGCAGGCATGACTGGCCTTCAAGATTCTCTGCAGGGAGCCCCTTGCCTTCCTCCTAATTTCACACCCCGTCTGCTTGCCTATGCGTAACCTTCACTAGAGCCGCAATGTTCTGCTCACTTTAAAAAAAAAAGAACAAAAACAAAAAAAAACAAACAAAAAAAACAGTCCGGGCGCGGTGGCTCACGCCTGTAATCCCAGCACTTTGGGAGGCGGAGGCAGGCAGATCACGAGGTCAGGAGATAGAGACCATCCTGGCTAACAAGGTGAAACCCCGTCTCTACTAAAATTACAAAAAATTAGCCAGGCGTCGTGGCGGGCACTTGTAATCCCAGCTACTCGGGAGGCTGAAGCAGGAGAATGGCGTGAACCCGGGAGGCGGAGTTTGCAGTGAGCCGAGATCTCACCACTGCACTCCAGCCTGGGCGACAGAGCGGGACTCTGTCTCCAAAAAAAAAAAAAAAAGTTCCTGTCCCTTTCTCCCTTTACTCCAACCACGCAAATCTAACCCATACACATCAGGACCCAGCTCATATGTACAGTGGATGCAGTGAAATCATACCTAGATCCTCCCTCAGGACTGAGGTCCCCGTTTTCCCAGCTACTTGGACTCCCAGTGGCTCTTAACTGAGTCCCTCTTGCTCCAGGTCACATCGCCAGCCCAGCAGAAGCTCACTTCAATGACTGGTTGAGGATGAGAAGCACAAAGGCGCTCATTGCCCCGACTCTAAAGGCCATCCTGGTTCCCCAGCTCCTACTAAAAGGCCTCTTGCAACTGCTTCACAGTTCAACTCCTCCCTCTAAGCAAATTCCCAAGAAGCATTGGGAATTGCTTTGTAAACGTCTTGCATATAAATCTCCACCTCAGAGTCTGTCTTTTGAGGAGTGGGCTAAGTCAGTAGGTTTTCCTGAGGCTTTGCTTGTGTTCCTAGCATGTCTGGATTTTCCATCCTCTGCCCATGACTGGCAAGTGTTGCCTGCATCACCCATCTCCCTCTTCTCCTCAGTTATGCCATCAGTTATCATGTCATTATCTGTGTTTTCTTCCAATCCTGTCATGGCGTCCCTGAAGGCAGATTGTGTCTTCATCTTTGTAATCTTGGCAGTTCAACCTATTGACCTGCCCTTCAGAGTTTTGGAGTCAAATTCTCAAAGTTCTGTTGGATGGAGTCATTCCAGAGAAAATGCTAGGGCAGGGAATGGGGAGCGGAGGAAGATGGACTGGGGGCCCAGACTTCATTGTAGGAATGAGTGTCCTTGAATCTCTTTTATAAGGGAGTATTTTGACAGTATCAGAGTTTACTGGATTTTGGCTTCTTTTGAGTTCTCAGCCTGAGCAGGGTTTTGCCACTGAAGTATTTGATACTGGATATGTTTACCTGCAGGAGCAAACTTAGGCAAAATTGTTATCAACATGATCTTTTTATTTGGAAGTTTCCCAAGTCCTCTTTGCTCCAAGCTCCATTAGATTCTTGTCCTCTCCTGTCACCTGCTACCTACTCTTACCTTGTCACAGTCCTTTCTCAGCCTACACCCAGGCCCACCTTGGTTAAACAGAACCCCCTCCCCTTCTCACTCCATGCCTTTTTTGTTTCCAAAGGAACTCCAATTCAAATGTCAACTCCAATCAAAAGGAAATTGTTTCCTCAAATACTGGGTTGAGAAGGAATATGTGAGGCCACCTCCACTCCTGGGAGGTTTGAGCATCTCATGAGGTACTGGGCACTGGCTTTAGGAATGGCAGCCCATTTTCCGTGTCTTTGCCACTCCTGTGAACCCCACTCAAGGCTAACACTAATTCAGCTCAAATTAGAATGCAAATGGCTGATTACAGGGAAAAGAGCTATGGTTTCCTGAGAGAAATTAATACCTTCAAAGTACAATCTTTAACCAAAGAGAATGAATTTCTGATTTGGGGGATATTAAGTTTTCAGATATTCTACCACAGAACTTCTTCTCCACCCATACCCTCTCTTCACCATCTCACTGCAAGAGCAATCATCTCCTGTATCTAGGCCTAAAGCCAGCCCTAAACATATTCACTTAAATCTAGGTGGCATAGTAAGTTACGAAGAACCATACCTGATAATGGTCTGAAGGCTCAAATCAGTATGTCCTTGGGTCAATCACTTAAACTCTTTAAACCTCATCTCTAAGAGGGGAGTATAATAGCTACTGAATGAGTTGTTAGAAAAAAAGGCAGGAGGACATGTGGGTACTTTGTAGAGTGGTATATACATACGTCATATGATAGTCCTGAATTGACAAGTTCCAATCAGCCATCCAAAGCTACTCATTCTATCTTCTTACATCATTACAAAGCAACTGACATCAATGAGACCTGATGCACAGACAATATTCAAGGTCTGAGAGCTACTGAGAGAGCTGCATGTGAGTAATACTAATAAAAGAAGTTTTAAAATGTAAGAAAGTTTATGTAGGATCACGACTTTTTAAGCAGATGGAGAGAAGTGTAAGGAATGACAAGAGCTGGCATCTGAGAACCAGTCCTCTGCACATCCACTGACCCATGTCCTGAGCCTTCACTAGAAGATCCAGGGACTACTTAAAGAACACAGCCCCATCCTGACCAGGAGGTCATCTGCCTGAGATGGAGCATGACAAAAATTAATCAGGTTTTAAAAGGCCAATCTGGAAGGGGCTTCAAGATAACTAGAAGCATCTGGTATTCACCTCCTCCACAAAGAAGAATCAAAATAGTGAGTAGATAATCACACTTTGAATACACAATTTAAGACAGAACAGCAGAATTCAGCAGAGAAGTGACAGCAAACATGGAAGACAAAGGACAAGGAAGTGAGGCAGCCTACTCTACCATCTAGAAGCCTGGAGAAGCTCCCTAATGTGGGCAAACAGTAAGTGAGAGACCCCCAGTGGGTCCACATTCCCACCACAGACTTCTGCAATCCTAGCCACAGGAGAGCCGCTTGACACTCAAAGGCCCTCAGGCTAACATAGGAGATACGTGGATATTGCTTGATAGCACTGATCCAGAGACGGAGCTCACACTGGGTCCCACACACCCCTAGTTCTAAGCAGCTACAGCACATCACCATTCTGGAAACCCAGCCCTCACCAGAAGGCATTCTGCTTTGGGTCCCAACAGACCCTGTATCTCTAGACCCCTTTGGCCCCATTGACATCTCCCACCTGCTACTGCTGCTACAACTGACTGCAAACTGGCAAGAGCCACTGGGAGCAAGCACCACCCCTGCAATTCCCCACCCAGCAGAGGAACTACCATGCATTTCCATGCACCTTGAGGTCAGGCTTTCCTGCCCACAGTCACTACTGCTCCCAGTTGCCACCATCAGGGCCAAACTTCTGCCTAGACATCCAGGCATTTCCACACATCCTCTGAAATCTATGCAGAAGTTCCCAAACCTCAGTTCTTGACTTTGGTGCACTGGCAGGCTCAACACCACATGGAAGCTGTCAAGGCTTGAGGCTTGCACCCTCTGAAGCCATGGCCTGAGCTGTAACTTGACCCCTTTTAGTCATGCCTGGAGCAGCTGGGATGCACAGCACCAAGTCTAGACTGCACGCAACACATGGACTCTGGGCCTAGCCCACAAAACCATTTTTTCCTCCTAGGCCTCCAGGCCTGTGATAGGAGGGGCTACCATGAAGACCTCTGACATGTCCTGGAGACATTTTCCCCGTGGTCTTGGTGACAATGTTCGGCTCCTCATTACTTATGCAAATTTCTGCAACTGGCTCAAATTTCTCCTCAGAAAATGGGATTTTCTTTTCTATTACATTGTCAAGCTGCAAATTTTCCAAACTTTTATGCTCTATTTCCCTTTTAAAACCGAATGCCTTTAACAACACCCAAGTCACCTCTTGAATGCTTTGCAGCTTAGAAAATTCTTCTGCCAGATATCCTAAAACATCTCTCTCAAGTTCAAAGTTCCACAAATCTTTAGGGTAAGAGCAAAATGCCACCAGTCTCTTTGCTAAAACATAACAAGAGTCACCTTTGCTCCAGTTCCCAATAAGTTTTTCATCTCCATCTGAGACTACCTCAGCCTGGACCTTATTGTTCACATCACTATCAGCATTTTTGTCAAAGCCATTCAACAAGTCTCTAGGAAGTTCCAAACTTTCCCACATTTTCCTGTCTTCTTCTGAGTCCTCCAAACTATTCCAACCTCTGCCTGTCACCCAGTTCCAAAGTTGCTTCCACATGTTCAGGTATCTTTTCAGCAGTGCCCCACTCTACTGGTACCAATTTACTGTATTAGTCCATTTTCATGCTGCTAATAAAGACATACCTGAGACTGGGAAATTTACAAAAGAAAGAGGTTTATTGGACTCACAGTTTGACGTGGCTGGGGAGGCCTCACAATCATGGCAGAAGGTGAAAGGCACATCTCACATGGCGGCAGACAAGAGAAGAGAGAGCATGTGTAGGCAAACTCCCATTTTTGAAACCATCAGAACTCGTGAGACTCATTCACTACCACAAGAACAAACAGCATGGGAAAGACTCACCCCCATAATTCAAACACCTCTCACTGGGTTCCTCCCAGGATATGTGGGATTTGTGGCAGTTACAATTCAAGATGAGATTTGGTGGGGACATAAGCAAACCATATCAGCATGTAACAAAATATCACTTGCACCCCATAAATATATATAAATATTATGTATCAATTTTAAAAATTTAAAAAGAGTTGATTAACCTGTGGGCAAACAAGAGGATCCGCTATGAATATGGGGCAGATAAACAGGTTTGGGCTCAGAATATGGGTGATTATAATGTTCCAGGTAAATTGTGGAGATGAGGAATGTCAGCCAAAAAAAAAAAAATCTCATAAAAGTTCTAAACGCCCTTGTCTTCCCCTTACCCCTTGTTATTATTGTAATAGGCTGCATGTGGTGGGGGATGGGATATATGAGAAGATTAACTTGATGGAGAGATCATAAGTCACAAGACTCAAGAGAGACACTACAATGAGCACACAGGGTTGATCTTAGAGCAATAAGTAGTGAGAGAGAGATCAAAACTTTCCCATATGGCTCAATCACCATTATTTCACCAAATAATTTACACTGTTAGCTTCTCCAAGTCTTTTGGAGAAGGTAATGGTGATTGAGCCTGAATAATTAAGTAAGGTTTATAAAGAATAGCTTTAAATGACAATAACATGAAGGATTCTCCAGAGGACTCTGTTTGCAGTTTTCTTTTTTTTTTTTTTTTTTTTTTGAGACAGAGTCTCACTCCAGGCTGGAGTGCAATGGCACAATCTTGGCTCACTGCAACCTCCACTTCCCGGGTTCAAGCAATTCTCCTGCCTCAGCCTCCTGAGTAGCTGGGACTACAGGTGCAAGCCACCATGCCCAGCTAATTTTTGTATTTTTAGTAGAGATGGGGTTTCACCATCTTGGCCAGACTGGTCTCGAACTCCTGACCTCAGGTGATCCACCCACCTTGGCCTCCCAAAGTACTGGAATTACAGGCGTGAGCCACCACGCCTGGCCAATATTAATATACTAACTATAACAACATTGTTTCTTGGATATATATATACATACATATATATATATACACACATACATATATATATATACACACACATACATATATATATATATACACACACATACATATATATATATATATATATATATATATTTTTTTTTTTTTTTTTTTTTTTTTTTTTTTTTGAGACGGAGTCTTGCTCTGTCGCCCAGGCTGGAGTGCAGTGGCGCGATCTCAACTCACTGCAAGCTCCGCCTCCTGGGTTCACACCATTCTTCTGCCTCAGCCTCCAGAGTAGCTGGGACTACAGGTGCCCACCACCACGCCCAGCCAATTTCTTTTTGCATTTTTAGTAGAGACGGGGTTTCACCATGTTAGGCAAGATGGCTACGATCTCCTGACCTCGTGATCTGCCCACCTCGGCCTCCCAAAGTGCTGGGATTACAGGCGTGAGCCACCACGCCTGGCCTTCTTGGATATATTTCTAATTCATAAAGGGTATTTTTTAGGCTGATGACTTTTCTTTTTTTTGTTTTGTTTTGTTTTGTTTCTTTGTTTTGTTTTTGTTTTTGAGATGGAGTCTCTCTCTGTCACCCAGGCTGGAGTACAGTGGCACAATCTGGGTTCACTGCAACCTCCACCTCCCGGTTTCAAGTGATTCTCCTGCCTCAGCCTCCCGAGTAGCTGGGACTACAGATGCATGCCACCACGCGCAGCTAATTTTTTGTATTTTTAGTAGAGACAGGGTTTTACAGTGTTAGCCAGGATGGTCTCGATCTCCTGACCTTGTGATCCGCCCACCTTGGCCTCCCAAAGTGCTGGGATTACAAGGCATGAGCCACTGCGCCCTGCCAACTTTTCTTGAATGTCATCAAAAGTAGTGCAACTATAACTACTAAACCTATGGTGGGTAAGGTGTTGGTGGTGGTGGTGGTGGTGGTGCTGTTGTTGTTGTTGTTATAAATAAGACAGTGGTACTTGTAGGATTTTTTATTGAACAGAGTGGCCCATGGACTGAGAAAGTAAGTTTGTTTAATAACACTTGCATGGAAATTAGTGAGTTCCCTTGGATTTTAAGGAACCTGTCTTCTGCAATGTGACTTTTCCCTTTAGAAGAGTGATTTTTTAAAGAAATAAGAATAACAAAGTTGTATAATTTAAATCTAAAAAATGATAAATTTTTACTTTTTAACAAGAGTAATCTGAACTGAAAATTTAGCCCAAAAGGCTCTGGGTGGTTCTATGGAAACATTTCCAAGGAGCAACCCCCAAGCCCAGGGAATAGGGCTTTCACTGCCTCCCTTCAAAAACACTCCTTTAAAATCCTGCAGTCAAATAGGCCCATCACGTTCTACTGAGTGGTTTCAAATTTGCGTGTCTTTCTTCTTCTGAATAGTTGAGCAAAAAGACATCAACTCCTTTAGGTTTATTGAACTGACTCTTCCTGAGTTAAAGAATTTATGGTGTGTATGACCCCTTACTTTGCTGTTAACATTTAGAAGAGCTGAAAATAGAAGTCCTCACCAGAAAGAAACTGTTTTCGTTAGGACTTTAAGCCCAAGAGTTGCAGATAATGATGCAAAACAATCATTACTCTTTTCCTCAAGGGGCCTAGGTTCACATGTTATGTTATGTTATTTATAGAGACTACTGGGAAAAGTTGAGAATGAAAAAATAACAGCTCTTTCCAAACCAGTGTTCACTGGCTTCTATAGCATAACTTGGGCATATAACTGTGCTAACAGAGTCTAATTCTTTTGCCCATTTTCCTTTCCTATCTCACTATTGCTCCTGCTTGGAATGAGTCAGAATCCCAAGAGGGGATGGGTAGGTACCACACCCCAGTAATGGGGATTTCCTAACATCATACATTTGGCAAGAACGAAAGGGTTGTCTTAAAAAATGCATGAAACACAAATGAATTCTAGCCCAGCAAAGTCAGCCAACAATTCCCTGACTCCAGGGCAAGTCACTGGCCCTGGAGGATCTGAAGTTTCCCATTTACAGAAGCTCCCACATGTTGAGACATCTGTTTGTTTCTGATGGATAACATGGCAACATTATTTTATACCTTATTTGGCCTTATTCATATGTACAGCATTAAAAGTTATATTTTCAAATCAAATTGTCAAAAAAATAACAACAGGATGCCTTAAATTTGAATAATAGTTTTCAACATGGCTTTGAGTTACTACTGATTTTTCCACTCTCCTCAAGTGCAGCTTTCCTACTCTATTCAACATAAACTGATAATGACTTTGGTAAAAATGCAGGGCCCATGGAGGACTGTGTAGCTGAGAGGTGAAGCCAGATGGACTTCCTGGGTTGAGTGGGGACTTGGAGAACTTTTCTGTCTAGCCAAAGGATTATAAACACCAATCAGTGCTCTGTGTCTAGCTAAAGGTTTGTAAATGCACCAGTCAGCACTCTGTAAAAATGGACCAATCAGCACTCTGTAAAATGGACCAATCAGCAGGACATGGCAGGGCCAAATAAGGGAATAAAAGCTGGCCACCCCAGCCAGCAGCAGCAACCCGCTTGGGTTCCCTTCCACACTGTGGAAGCTTTGTTCTTTCACTCTTCACAATAAATCTTGCTGCAGCTCACTCTTTGGGTCCACACTACCTTTATGAGCTGTAACATTCACCACGATGGTCTGTAGCTTCACTCCTGAAGTCAGCGACACCACGAACCCACCGGGAGGAACGAACAACTCTGGATGCGTCATCTTTAAGAGCTATAACACTCACTGCAAAAGTCTGCGGCTTCACTCCTGAAGTCAGTAAGACCACAAACCCACCAGAAGAAAGAAACTCCGGACACATCTGAATATCTGAAGGAACAAACTCCAGACACACCATCTTTAAGAACTGCAACACTCACCGTGAGGGTCCACGGCTTCATTCTTGAAGTCAGCGAGACCAAGAACCCACCAGAAGGAACCGATTCTGGACACATAGCTACAATTCAGTTGCATCTTCTGGAGGCCACAGAAATAATTCATGGCTGGAATAATAGATAATCATCCCACCCTTTCATCCTAGAAATGGCCTTGAGTGCAGTGCTCATGTTGGGTGAGAACCTTACATTATCTTCTAAGCAGTTTCATCTTTTGAATGGAATTCACAACTTCTTGGGTTTCCTGTTCACCATATCAAATGATATTCCCTCTGAGGTGTAACTTTTAGCATATTCTCTTTTCTAAAATTAGCAAATAGTATTTTCCTTATCAGAATAACCCACTGATATTTTCTGTACTAGGATACCTTGACATTTGAATACACAATTAATATCAGATCTGAAAGACTTCCTACTGCCAAGGGTAGGTGACCAACACCTTCTCCTGGTCTCACACAGCTAAGATGTTATATGGCACAAGGGTAATGAAAAGAGTAATCTATGAAGGAGACAGAAAAGAAATAATTGAATCCAAGCAAGTAACTCATGAGAGGCAAAGATTGTGTCTTGTTTGTGTCTGTCAGAGGCCTAGCAAAGTGCCTAGCACAGAGAAGATTTCAATTAACACTTTCCAAACACATAGGTGAATGAATGAATAAATGAATCAAAAAGAAATCATCAAGGTTAGAGTTCCTTGAGCAATTTCATACTGACTAGTGACTCTTTTTGGTTTCCCTACTCATACTGTTGAAGGTGGAACGTTCTAAATTAGAATGACATAGCAGTGTGGAGCACCACTCTGGCTGTGGAGCAGGGTTGCACAGATGGAGGACTCCAGCTCCGTTGCTAATTGCCTGTGTGGCCCTAAGTGAGTCTCCTCAGCGAGCTTCAGTTTCATTATCTGTAAAATGGTAATAATAAATACACAAATTTTGAAATTGCCCCAATTTTTCCATAGAACTAATGGTTTTTTCAGTAAATATAAAAATTGACCCTCTTGGTCTTAAAGCTGAAAGTTACATCTGTCTTCTCTGAGTTCCCTTCTCAGAAAACAGATTCACAGGCCTCCCAGATAGTATCAAGGAACTGAAACTTACCAGAACTGAAACATGCAGACAATGAGACCCCTCATCCGTCATAATTCCCTAACTGACCACCTGCTTCCTACTGACCAATCCTCTTCCTTACCCCTCCCTAATTCCTGTTTTCCCACACATAGTTACATTCCTTCCCTCACTATATAAACACCTAATTTAAGTCGGTTGGGGAGCCCAATTTGAAACCTACCCACCATCTCCCAGCTGATGTCAACTGCATTAAAAAGCCTTTCTTCCCTGGCAATACTCATTGTCTCAAGGACTGGCTTTCTGTATAGTGAGCAACAGGACCTTGGTTGAACCCCTGGTATTTGGCAACAGTTTCACCAGGTTATTAAGAGGATTAAATGAAATAAAAAACACAAAGTCCTTAGCATAAAGCCATACAACAGTAAGCATTCAATATTTGTGAGATCACTCATAATTGAGATATAATTATGAAGATGGTACCAAACAGAGCCCAGGTGAGAAGCTCAGGGTTATGACTTTAAATTGTTTTTCTAATTATGTTTATTAAAAGAACTATACGGGCCGGGCGCGGTGGCTCACGCCTGTAATCCCAGCACTTTGGGAGGCCGAAATGGGCAGATCACGAGGTCAGATCAAGACCATCCTGGCTAACATGGTGAAACCCCATCTCTACTAAAAATACAAAAAATTACCCGGGCATTGTGGCACGCACCTGTAGTCCCAGCTACTTGGGAGGCTGAGGCAGGATAATTGCTTGAACCTGGGAGGCGGAGGTTGCAGTGAGCCAAGATCATGCCACTGCACTGCAGCCTGGGCAACAGAGCAAGACTCTGTCTCAAAAACAATAATAATAATAATAATAATAATAATAATGATACAAATAAATGAATAATAATGAATGCATAAACTAGGAAATGGGTAACTCATGTTGTCTCCTTACGTGGCCTCCAATGAACAACCTAGTGCCAGCTGGTAAACCTGGGGTCGTTTTCTTATCTGCCAGATTTCTCAGGGCGGAAACACATCTACTAAGAGACTAGCAGAGTGCACACTGCATTGTGGGCACTTGGGAAGTGTTCAAAGCACAGAAACATTACTCATTATCTGTAAACGTCCCTAAGGAAAGATGCTAGCTACTATTTTTTGCCTTGGATAAGCCCTCTGAGATTGTCCATAAAAGATTAAAGTAGAATTTCTGACAAAGAAAATGAACACAAAAAAGACATTGCTCTGTGGTAGGCAGACCTATGTAAACCCAGCCACAAAGGCCAAGGAAGTTAAGAGGCCAAAGAAAGAGGCTGACAAATCCAGTTTCTCAGAAAGAAACATTTAATAGTGACTTACAAATAAAAGCCATAGTTTCCGGTGGTGATGAGGCAAGATGGTGGATCCTGGCACCATTATCCCCCAGACCCAGGGCTTCTATATGATAGGGTAGGAATGTGTAGGACAATTGAAGTCAAAGAAAGGCACGAATGTCATGTGACTCTCACTAAGGGCAGTATTTATGGTCAAAGTTGTTTTGACCTAAGGACAGATTTACTCTAAGCATATGCTCTTATACAAGGAACAGTAGATAAAATAGAAATCTTAGAGGCATTCCCAGAACTGGGGTTAATCAGAAGTCAACATGGTGACTAGCATCCAAGATGGAGTTGCTTTAGTCTCCACAGGCATGCTTTCTCAGGTCCAGCTGGATAAGACAGTCATTTGTGTAAAGATGTTTCCTTTTTTTAGTCCATGACGTCAAAAATAATTTAAGATTTGACTTCTCTGCTAGAAGGTCAACTTGATCTTTCTTAGTGACAAAAAAATTGGGAAGATGTAAGGTTTTGTGGTATTTTAAAATTCCTAGAAGATATGTAAAAACAAGAAAATGTATAATCCTGACCTGCCACTTGCATTAAAAGCTGAGATTGAATCCTTTGAGCTGGAGAGTAAATTTAAAAATAAATAAATGAAATAATGTTGATATTGGAGACTGATTGAATGGATTAATGTTCTCAGCAATCATATGCTGTAATTAACACCCCCAAAACAGCTCAAAGATGGAATTTATAGCTTTTCAGAGCAATGCTGTGAAATAACTAAGTAGAAATACATATATGTATACATGTATTACTCTGAAAGAAATATAAGACAAAATTCAAATGGAGACGATTAGGACATGGGGGAGCAAGCAGAAAGGAAACCTAAAGTAAACTATTCATTTAGTCCAGGCGCGGTGGCTCATGCCTGTAATCCCAGCAGTTTGGGAGGCCAAGGTGGGCAGATCACTTGAAGTCAGGAGTTTGAGACCAGCCTGGCCAATATGATGAAACCCTGTCTCTACTAAAAATACAAAAATTAGCCAGGCATGGTGGCTCATGCCTGTAGTCCCAGTTACTTGGGAGGCTGAGGCAGGAGAATGGCTTGACCCGGAAGGCGGAGGTTGCAGTGAGCCCAGATCACGCCATTGCATTGCACTCCAGCCTGGGCAACAGAGTGAGACTCTGTCTCAAAAAAAACAAAAACAAAAACAAACAAACAAAAAAACTATTCATTTACTAGTTTATTCCAAAGACCAACCCATGCACATCCACATGCAGGGATAGTATGACAATTTTGACTAGAGAGCAAGACTTTATGCCATCACAATGAGTGTAAAATAGAAGAAATGAATACAAAAATGACAGACTGCTCCAACCTAGTTACATTGTACTTGTTGGATTTTAGATTAAACAAATTGGAGTAAATAACTTGATGCCATATAGTGTTGCACGTACTTGCAGAAGAATGGCAGAACTTCCAGCCAAAAGGCTTTTTACCACACTCCAGACACTCCAGGATAACTTGGGAATCATCTCTGAGGACTCCATAAGCTGCATGGAATCTATTACACTTTGACAGAAGGTTGGTCTAGGTTGTGCCCTCTGGTGGTACTTTAGGAAATTTTGAGGGATTGGGGGAAAGAAGAATGGAGAGAGAGAGGAAAGGTAAAAAAGAGAAGGGCAGAGTATAGGGTAGAAGTAGGGGATGGATTCCTTGAGTGCCCACCATTTACACCATGCCAAGCAATTTTACCTAAATGGTCTCATTAATCCTCTCAACTCCACTGTGAATAGGTATCCTTAGCCTCATTTCATGGCTCAGGAAATGGAGGTCCAGGGAAGTGAAGAAATTGGTTCAATATCACAGTATAATAAGTGACAGAACAAGGTTATTCTCAGTTCTCTCTGCCTGCCCACTGCTGTTCTGCAACTTACCAGATGCCTGCACTTGGTTGACCCTAAACCAGATTCCTCAACAGGTCAACAGCAACCCACCTGCAGTGACCATTTCACCATCACCCACTATGTCATCAGGTACCCTTCCTGAGGGCATTCCCCATCCTGCAAAGGACATCCCTGATTCCACATGAGGTTAAGGAGACGCTGCTGCCTACCCGTTTCACTCTAAGCAAATTCACATAATGATGTTTTTCACCCTAAATGCCAAAACCCAGAGTTTTTTACAATGAAAAATCTCTTCTGAGTAAACTTGAAGTCTACTCTGGAAGGTAAATTTGTCACTGGAGGGCTGATAATGAACTTAAAGTTACTATACTGGACATAGATGTTTTAAAAGATACTTCATTCAAGCCAAGTCTGCTAAAGCCTATCGAAAAACATTTTGACTTATTTTATTTGAAAAGAAAATTTGTGTTCCCTTTCAATGGTATGCCTTTCTATAAACGGAATTGCTCACATTTTCCTCTATTCCAAGAACCGCATACAGTAAACCTTGAGAAAAAATATTTTTCTCCGACTTCCTTTTTCTTAGAAATCTATTGTCCATTTTGATTTTCATTCTCAGTGCATAGCTACTTACATTTTGTTTTCCAATTCTCTTCTGGGATGTGTTCACATTCATTTTGGTAGCCATTTTAGTTTGTCTCCTGTTGATCTTTGATTTTATGTTTATTTCCATCAGACATACTTCATTCTTACTTACTTCTGAAATTGGCATTTATGCCAGAGATGGCTAGCTGCCTTCCCAATATCTGTTTTGCTCTTCTTTTCCAGTAACGCAACCATGATTTTATTCAAGGGATGAAACTGCTGAGACAAAAGACTGTATTTCTCATCCAACCTTGCTGTGTCTATGTGATTAAAGTCTGATCAATGACATATAAGTGGAAATGTCAGGTGACACTTCTAGAAATGCTCCTTGACAGAGCGCCAGACAGCTGGCCCAGGCCCTTTTTGTTCTTCCTCACTTCATTCCTCCTGCCAGGCGCGTGAGCCTGAGCCCTGCTAGCCATCTTGGACCAGAGGAAAGATTGTCAGTCACACATTACAAGTGGCAGAACAGACAGGATACCAGGTCCAAGATAACAGTGGAGTGCTATGCCAGTCTTACACTGCCTATTTCTGGAGAGAAAAAAAGGAAACTTAAGAACTCATCTCGTTTAAGCCTGTGTTGCTTCTAATGTTGTTACTAGTATCTTTACACAATTGTTAATAAATGCAATCTTCCTGGACTCCCCTGAGGATATGGAGTTCCTTTCTGGAAACTACAGATAGACGAAAGATACTTAATTTTCATCTAATACTTCGAGATATGACCAGGTGAAATGTTCTAAGGTATTAAAAGTCTGATTAAAGACAAATCCTATGACAGTAAATTTAACTTTGAATCAAACTTCTATAATACCACAGTACTACAAAAACTGGCAAATAAAATTTCAATACAGCAACTTAAACACCATATTTTTTAAAATATTCATTGTCTCAAGGGCTGATGATGATCTATATACTGAAAAATATTAAATACTGGGTCATGGCTATGGACCTTGGGTTGCAAGAACTAGCTTAGGAAAAACAAAGTATTGGTTTACCTAACAAAAAAGTGCAATAATAGACCCACTTTCCAACATGGCTGGATCTTCAGGAATCTGTCTCTCTTCAGCTCTCAGCTGTGATTTTCTTTTTATTGGTTTTATTCTGAGGCAGGCTCTTTCTATATGGCTGCAAAGTCAACCACTAACTGGTCCAAGACTATAGTTTACCAGCTTAAAAAAACAGTGGAAAGGCCAGGTGTGGTGGCTCACGCCTGTAATCCCAGCACTTTTGGAGGCTGAGGCAGGCGGATCACCTGAGGTCAAGAGTTTGAGACCAGCCTGGCCAACATGGTGAAACCCCGTCTCTACTAAAAATACAAAAATTAGCCGGGCATGGTGGCAAATGCCTGTAATCCCAGCTACTCAGGAGGCTAAGGCAAGAGAATTCCTTGAACCCATGAGGCAGAGGTTGCAGTGGGCCAAGATCACACCACTGCATTCCAGCCTGGGGGACAAGAGTGAGACTTTGTCTCAAAAGAAAAAAAAAATAAACAGTGGAAAGAAGGCACTTTTTCCCAGATGTAATATACTAGATTATCATTCAGCAAGTATTCATTATCTCCCCCTCAACTTTCATGAGAGCCTTTGATGTCAATATTGGTCACACGATTTGCTTTGGCCAACGGAATATTAGTCGATGTGACATGAGTTTGGCTGAAATAGGCTTGCACAGTGGGACACGGTCTTTTACACTTTGCTTTCATCGTTAGAGGACTATGCTTTGAGTTGAGTAGCTACTGGCCCAGGGAGGATGAAGGACACATGGAGCAAAATTGGAGCCAAGCCCAGCCCATCTTACCATGTGTAAAAAATAAATAAATAGTTTTCAACTGAGATTTGGAACGGTTTCTCACACAGCTTATGTGAGGCAACAGCTGATTGATGCAGGTGAAATTCCACCAAAATTGTTTAATCTCATTAGCTCAGGTCAGTAGTTCTTAAGGATGATCATCGGCATTGCCTGGGAACTTGTTAAAAGTGATCAGGTCTCACCCCAGACCTACAGAACTATACACTCTGAAGTAAGGGACCAACGATTTTTGTTTTAACACGTGGTCCAAGTGATTCTGATTTCCTATCAAGTTTGACACCCACTGACTTAGGTTATATGCCCATCCTTAAACCAATCTCAGTGCCTAAGGATTCAGGCCTGGAGCTGTAGGATGGCTCAGTGGCACCAGAATTACCTGAACTAGGGAACAGAGTCTAAGAGTGGACATTTCCGACAAGTCCATAGGTGATGCTGATGCTCCTGTTCTAGGGACCACCCATTTGAGAACCTCTGTTGTAGGCTATGGGTGTGGCAGGAATAATTCCCTATTGGAAAATCAGCATCTGTTAATAAAAGAAGAAAGAAACAAAAGAAGAAGGATGCTGGCCAGGGAGCAAATGTCAATCACGACTCCATTCTCATTAAAATAAAAACATTCTGACAACCACAAATATTCTCCAACAATTCTGTAGGGACAGGGGAATCTGGAGTGAAAAGAGAAATCTCATCTGTCATTCAGTTTGTGAAATTAATTGAGACATAAACTGATTTTTTTTGTCTCTTCAATTTTGCCAAAATTCAAAACAGAGCTCAGGAATCAAATAAAAGACAGCAGTTTTTGCTAGAGAGAGCCATGTATCATTTTCCAATGTGATATGAATTGTCACATAAATCTTTCTTAGTACAATTCACTGAAGATAAATATAGTGCTTAAGGAGATAATGTCTATATATCAAACAATTGAGTCATTTTGATCCATACTAGTGAAATCAAGACAGCAGCCTATAGTTTTGAATGATCCAAGATAAAAAATAGAATCACAGCCCCTGACTATTGCTGTTATTTTTAATCTGTTCTTAGAATCCAGAAATCAAAGAATTTTAGAACTCAAAGGACCTTAGAAATCATCTAGCCCAGGTATTGCAAACCACCAGACAATGGACCACATTTCACCCTCAAAAGGTTGTTTTATTTGCCCTGTACAGGAGTGTTTTTATGTTAATTAATATTTTTGCCATATTTTAAATTTTTCAACTTTTTTAATGAGTTTGAAGATCTGGTGCAACACATTATAGGCAAAAGTCTATATTCCACATGAAAAAATGCTCATCATCACCGGCCATCAGAGAAATGCAAATCAAAACCACAATGAGATACCATCTCACACCAGTTAGAATGGCGATCATTAAAAAGTCAGGAAACAACAGGTGCTGGAGAGGATGTGGAGAAATAGGAACACTTTTACACTGTTGGTGGGAGTGTAAACTAGTTCAACCATTGTGGAAGTCAGTGTGGCGATTCCTCAGGGATCTCGAACTAGAAATACCATTTGACCCAGCCATCCCATTACTGGGTATATACCCAAAGGATTATAAATCATGCTGCTATAAAGACACATGCACATGTATGTTTACTGCGGCACTATTCACAATAGCAAAGACTTGGAACCAACCCAAATGTCCAACAACGATAGACTGGATTAAGAAAATGTGGCACATATACACCATGGAATACTATGCATCCATAAAAAAATGATGAGTTCATGTCCTTTGTAGGGACATGGATGAAACTGGAAACCATCATTCTCAGCAAACTATTGCAAGGACAAAAAACCAAACACCGCATGTTCTCACTCACAGGTGGGGATTGAACAATGAGAACACATGGACACAGGAAGGGGAACATCACACACCGGGGACTGTTGTGGGGTGGGGGGAAGAGGGAGGGATAACATTAGGAGATATACCTAAGGCTAAATGACGAGTTAATGGGTGCAGCACACCAACATGGCACATGTATACATATGTAACAAACCTGCACATTGTGCACATGTACCCTAAAACTTAAAGTATAATAATAAAATTTTTTTTAAAAAAAGTCTATATTCCCTCACAGCATGTTAAGTGGGAGGTGAATGCTACCACCCTCCTCCATTTTTTTTTTTTTTTAGACGGATTCTAGCTCTGTCACCAGGCTGGTGCGATCTGGGCTCACTGCAACCTCTGCTTCATGGGTTCAAGCGATTCTCCTGCCTCAGCCTTCCGAGTAGCTGGGACTACAGGTGCACGCCACCAAGCCCAGCTAATTTTTATATTTTTAGTAGAGACAGGGTTTCACCATGTTGGCCAGAATGGTCTCAATCTCTTGAGCTTGTGATCTGCCCTTCTCGGCCTCCCAAAGTGCTGGGATTACAGGCATGAACCATTTGAAGGAGCTCTTACTCCTACTCTTCAGTTTGATGAGGACACTGCAGCACTGTGATTTTACAACCAGATCTCTTCACTTGTCTCCAGGGCCTGCTGTGGTTCCGTAGGCATTTAGGTTGGCTGCCTCTCATCTAGACCAACTCCCCTGTTTGACCACTGAGAATACTGAGGTCCATGGTGATGACCAACTTTAATTTACATCATCTCTCAGGGGCAGACCGAGTTTGCATTGCCAGTTTTTCCCATTTTTAGAATATAGTTTCTGTAACAGACAAATTTTTTACCATAAATAAGAGAATTGCAAAGTTTACCTTTTAAATTCTACTCATTTGGAGCTGGGCACAGTGGCTCACACTTGTAATCCCAGCACTTTGGAGGCCGAGGTGGGGGGATCACCTGAGGCCAGGAGTTCGAGACCAGCCTGGCCAACATGGTGAAACCCCATCTCTACTAAAAATACAAAAATTAGCCAGGCATGGTGGCGCACACCTGTAGTCCCAGCTACATGGGAGGCTGAGACAGAACTGCTTGAACCTGGGAGGCAGAGGTTGAGATGAGCTGAGATCACACCACTGCACTCCAGCCTAGGTGACAGAGCAAGACTCTGCTCAAAAAAAAACAAAAAAAAAGTCTGCTCATTCAGCCACGCTCAGTGGCTCACACCTATAATCCTAGCACTTTGGGAGGCCAAGACAGAAGGATTGCTTGAAACCAGGAGTTTGAGACTAGCCTGGGCAACATAGCGAGATCTTGTCTCTACTAAAAATTTTAAAAATTAGCCAAGTATGGTGGCGCGTGTGTGTAGTCCTAGCTACTTGGGAGGCTGAGGTGGAAGAATTGCTTGAGCCGGGGAGCTCAAGGTTGCAGTGAGCTATGATTGTACCACTGCACTCCAGACCGGGTAACGGAGCATGACCATGTCTCAAAAGTAAGTAAGTAAATAAATAAAGAAATCCTGCTCAGTCATACTGAGGTAGGTGATAAAATCAGTATATAGCTTATTTCAGAAATCCAAAGAAGAACAAATCCATGAACAATGTAAGAATGATAGACCACAAGTTTAATGTGAAATGAATCTTATTTGGATTAGGTACCTTAGATAGTTTTAATTCCTTTGGCTAGAAAGTGATGGGTTTTTTCTGTTTAAAAGTGATTTATTCTACCTTATACCCATTAGAATGGTTACTATCAAAAAACACAGAAAATGACAAGTGTTTGAGAGGATGTAGAAAAATTGTGATCTTTGTGCTCTATTAGTGAAAATATAAAATGGTGCAGCCACTGTTACCAAGACACCAGGGTTTAGGTCCTGCTGCTCACTGCACAGAAAGCCAATAACTGAGACAATGAGTGTTTCCAAGAAAAAAGGCATTAATCAGGTGATGCTGCCAAGGAGATCAGCCTCAAATCCATCTCCCTAACCAACTGAAATTAGGGGTTTATACAGCATGGAAGAAATGTAACCACATGTGGGAAAACAGGAATTAGGGAGGGGTAAGCAAGAGAAGTTGGTCAACAGGAAGCAGGTGATGAATTAGGCAATCATGATGGGTGAGGAGTCTGGTGTCTTATTATCCAGATGCAGTGATCTGGTAAATTTCAGTTCCTTGGTACTATCTGGGAGGCCTGATGGTTGGTTTTTTTTTTTTTTTTTTTTTTTTTTTTGAGACAGAGTCTGGCACTGTCACCCAGGCTGGAGTGCAGTGGCGTGATATCTCGGCTCACTGCAAGCTCCGCCTCCGGAGTTCACGCCATTCTCCTGTCTCAGCCTCCTGAGTAGCTGGGATTACAGGCGCCTGCCGCCACGCCCAGCTAATTTTTTGTATTTTTAGTAAACACGGGGTTTTACCATGTTAGCCAGAATGGTCTTGATCTCCTGACCTCATGATCTGCCCATCTTGGCCTCCCAAAGTACTGGGATTACAGTCGTGAGCCACCCCACCCGGCCGATGGTTGGTTTCTTAAGAAAGGTACTCAGGTAAGACAAATGTAACTTTTTCAAGTTTTAAAACTGAGAGAGTCAATTTCTATGTTTATTCAAAAGAAATGAAAAATATTAGTTCTATGGGACAATTGGGTTGGTTTCACCATTATAAAAAACAGTATGGCAGTTGCTCAACAAAAAGTAAAAAGAAAATTACCATACAATCCAGCAATTCTACTTCTGGGTATATATCCAAAAGAATTGAAAGCAGGATCACAGAGACATTATTTGTACAGTCATTTTCATAGCAACACCATTCCCAATAGCCGAGATAGAAACAACCTAAATTTGCCTGTCCATTAACAGATGAACAGAATTCTACAATGTGGTGTGTGTGTGTGTGTGAGTGTGTGTGTATGGAATATTATTCAGCCTTCAAAAGGAAGGAAATTTTGACATATGCCACAACCTAAATAAACCTTGAGTGCATTATGTTAAGTGAAATAAGTCAGACACAAAAAGATAAATACTGTATGGTTCCATTCCTATGAGTTATTTTAAATAGTCAAATTTGTAGAAAAAGAAAGAAGCATGGTAATTGCTGGGGGCTGGGGGAGGGATAAATGAGGAGTTATTGTTTATTGAACATAGAGTTTCACTTTTGCAAGATGAAATAGTTCTGGAGATCATTTGCACAACAATGTAAATATGTTTAACACTACTGAATTGCATGCTTTAAAATGGTTAAGATGGTAAATTTAATGTTATATCCTTTTTATCATAATAAAAAATAATTTTTAAAAAGAATTTCTTAGTTAAGTCTACTAGAATTTTTTTAAATCTGGTGTAATTATTTCACAGGTCAGAATGTGGAATCCAAAGACGAAATAGAAAGCAGATATGTCTCATCCTGCTGAGGCTAACTGAACATTCTGTATACCTCTGGGAGAGATCTTCTATGTACATGAACATAGGTAAGCAAGTTCAAAAACAAAGTCAGACTTTAAAAAGATTTTATTGAAATGACAAATTATGGAATGTTGTCTAGAGCTGGAACTAATAAATTTTTATATTAGATTTCACCTCACTCCAAAAACTACAGTAAAAATGTTTGTATTTAGGCTGGGCGTGGTGGCTTAAGCCTGTAATCCCAGCACTTTGGGAGGCCGAGGCAGGAGAATGGCATGAACCCGGGAGGCGGAGCTGCAGTGAGCTGTGATCACACCACTGCACTCCAATCTGGGTGACAGAGCGAGCCTCCATCTCAGGGAAAAAAAAAAAAAAAAAAAAAAAAGTTTGTATTTAATATGTTTCAAACTTACTCTAAAAACATAATGTGTAAAAAATTGAGAAATTCCATTGCTATAATTAAGAAAATTCAGATATGTGGAGAATAGAAAATATACTTTATAATATTTAACCCATCCTTATATTTGGGATAAATAATCTAGTTTTTAGATTTTAATAATTTTCTCAATATAGATTAATCACCTCTATTCACTAATCCTAGAGATCGTTGTTCCTGAAATTAACAGCAAGGACAATATTGGTAGCTCACAATGTAATAGTTGCGTATCCACTGGGTCATCAATCACTGACAAAACGTGAGATCAGTGTCAATGTCCCAGAAGGCAGTTCTAATGCAAACTACCCTCTGAAGATTTTATCATTGTTGACCTATATTTATCTATTGAATAAGGGATCTGTAAGCCACCAGCATGCATATCATTTTGTCTGAACAGCTTTCCACACTGTCTCCTCATCTCTAAAGACTGTCAAGGAAAGCACCACACTCCCAGGTGCCCCAAAAGCAACTCAATGGGCTGGCTTTGGTTCACTGGAGACGTTTCATTCAGCTCCTCTCTGTCAATGTTTCTTACAGACAGTCTATAACCATTGTGCTCCTGGTTCTATATAGAAGAGTGTCTATAAGAGACATTGACAGAGAGGAGCTGAATGAATGATTCTATTCAGCTGTAAACAGTGATGTCCAGGCCTATGGAATGGAAACTGGAATCTGCCCAGGAAACAGATTAGTCTAGTACTCTAAGGCTAGGCCATCCTTGAAATGCCAATTAAAAATTTGGGAGAAAAATGATGAAGAAGTCACAGTTATTACCTGTGTCTTGAAGCTTAGTTGCACCAACAAACATTATCACTAGGCAACAATACTCTCATGAATTCTCTGAGTGATGAGGAAGGGGCATAAGGAGAGAGGAAATAAAGCAATGAGACTAGTCTTTGCTCTTAAGAAGTTTGTATCTTAGTCAAGGAGATAAATGCTATTTACGTGATTCCAGAAAATGCATGACAGTCTATAATCAACTATTAAAATTTGTGATTACTTATACTTTTATTAAAAGAATTCAGAGGATGGCTGTGCATGATGGCTTCTGCCTGTAAATTTCAGCTCTTTGGGAGGCTAAGGTGTGGGAATCACTTGAGACTAGGAGTTTGAGACCAACCTGGACAACATAGTGAGACCTTGTCTCTAATAAATAAATAAATAAATAAAATTTTAATTAGCCAGGTGTGGTGGTGATGCATCCCTATCGTCCTAGCTACTTGGTAAACTGAAGCAAGAGGGTCACTTAAACCCAGGAGGTTGAGGCTACAGTGAGTTATGATGGGGCCACTGCACTACAGCCTGGACAACAGTGCAAGACCCTGTCTCTAGAAAAAGAAAAAGAATTCGGAGGAGGAAAAGACCAAGGTGATGTAGGTGTCAAGAAGGGTTTCATGAACTTGATATGGTTCCCATTTGATAGAAAGGTAGAACTTGATATACAAAAATAATTTGAGAATGAACCACCCATATGCTCCTGCCTAGGTTCTACAATAAACAGTTTCCATATTTGCTTTATCACACATTATGCTAAGTGACACAAAAGACCACGTGCTTTATGATTCTACTTATATGAGATATCAAAACAGGAAAATCCATAGAGATAAAAGTAGATTAATGGTTGCAGGTGTTGGGTGGGGGCAGGCATGAGGAGTGACTGTGGAAGGGTAAGGAGTTTCTTTTGGGGGCGATGAAAATATTTTGGAATTAGATTGCAGTGATGGTAGCATGACCTTGTAAATGACAAGATCTTGAACAAATCTGAGATCGGACGCAAAAGGTCAGTGGCCAATCTTTGTCCAGGGGAGAACACTACCCTTAATGTCTTAACCCTTGTATGGAAAACCTGTTGTAACAGTTAACCTTTTTTTTTTTTTCAGACAGAGTCTCACTCTGTTGCCCAGGTTGGAGTGCGATGACACGATCTTGGCTCACTGAATCCTCCACCTCCTGGATTCAAGCAATTCTCCTGCCTTAGCCTCCTGAGTAGCTGGGACTACAGGCGTGTTCCGCCACACCCAGCTAATTGTTGTATTTTTAGTAGAGACGAGGCTTCACCATATTGACCAGGCTGGTCTCAAACTCCTGACCTCAGGTGATCCACCTGTCTCAGCCTCCCAAAGTGCTGGGATTATAGGTGTAAGCCACCACGCCCAGCCTGTAACAGTTAACTTTATATGCCAACTTGACTACACCATAGGGTTCCCAAATTAAACATTATTTTTGAATGTGTCACTGAGGTTTTTTCCAGATGAGATTGGCATTTGAATTGGTGGGCTGAGTAAAGCAGATGGCCTTCTCAAATGTGTGTGGGCATCATCCAATCGAGGGACTGAATAGAAAAAAATGGCAAAGGAAGGGGGAATTTGTCCTTTGCTTTCTTCCTGTCTGCATGAACTGGGACATCAGTCTTTGCCTGTTCTTGGACTTGAGACAAAGCAGAGACCCTCTGAGAGGCCTGTGGGCACCCCATACGATGAAAATAAAAGAAAATATTTGGTTCCTTCAGGGGAAATTCCAGGCACCTAGCTAGCCCTGAGAAGTAAATGAGCAACTCAAAAAGTAAGAAGGAATGGTAGCTTAAAACAATAGCCAAGGAAGTTAGAGTTAAAGGATGTTTGGTGTTCCCTATAGAAACTAAAGACAACATCTTAACCTATGTGCCTGAGCTGTTTTCAGAAACCTGGATCCCCATCAAATAAACATGCTGGCATGTAGACCTCAGATAAGGGAAAACTGAGGAATGAACTCTGCAGTTCTTTATTGTAAAGTTCTTCCTGAGGGGTCTGGAGGAAATCATGCCCATGAGCCAGAGCTAACATTCTTTTCTGCTAACCCCACATTTTTAAACAGAGATTCTCTTCCTTCACTAATTGCAAATCAGAAAGTCTTTGAATATACCTATGACCTATAATCCCCTGCCTTAAGATATCCAACCTTTTGGGGCCAAATCGATGTGTAATCTCCATGTATTGATTTACAATTTTTACTATAACTTCAACTTTCCTAAAATTTACCCCCACCTTTAAATAACACTCACAAGCCATCAGAGGGGTCATGTCTCAAGCGTAAGCTGCCCAATTCTTCATGCTTGGGCCCCTCCTTTCTCCCTCTGCAAACTTTCATATAGATGTTTGGCCTATGGCACAGGGTGAGCAGATCCCAGTTTGGTCTGGTAACAGAGATTTACACCATTGTGCCCCTGGTTCTTAGGCCTTTGGACTAATCTAGGTCTTCAGTCTGCAAAAGGTAGATCACAGGTGCATTAGTCCATTCTCACACTGCTATAAAGAGCCACCTGAGACTGGGTAATTTATGAAGGAAAGAGGTTTAATTGACTCAAAGTTCCTCAGGCTGTACCAGTAGCATGGGTAGAAGGCCTCAAGAAACTTACAATCACAGCAGAAGAGAAAGGGGAAGCAAGCACATCTTACCATGGCAGAGCAGGAGAGAGAGAGTGAAGAGGGAAGTGCAACACACTTTTAAACCATGAGATCTCAAGAAAACTCACTTACCAACATGAGAACAGCAAGAGGGAGATCCATCCCCATGATCCAATCACCTCCCGCCAGGCCCCACCTCCAATTCAACATGAAATTTGACAGGACACAAATCTAAACCTTACGATTCTGCCCCTGGCCCCTCCCAAATCTCACGTCCTTCTCACATTTGAAAATCAATCATGCTTTCCCAACAATTCCCCAAAGTCTTAACTCATTCCAGCATTAAATCGAAAGTCCAAATCCAAAGTCTCATCTGAGACAAGGCAAGTCCCTTCCACTTATGAGCCTGTAAAATCAAAAACAAGTTATTTCCAAGATAATATAGACATACAGGCATCAGGTAAATGCTTCCACTCCAAAAGGGAGAAACTGTCCAAAACAAAGGGGCTAGAGGCCCCATGCAAGTCCAAAACCCAGCAGGACAGTCATTAAATCTTAAAGCTCCAAAATGATCTCCTTTGACTCCATGTCTCACATCCACAGCATACTGATGCAAGGGGTGGGCTCCAAAGGCGTTGGGCAGCTCCACCCCTGTGGCTCTGTAGGGTATGTACAGCTCTTGTGGCTGCTTTCATGGGCTGGCATTGAGTGCTTGTGGCTTTTCTAGGTGCACAGTGCAAGCTCTCAGTGGATCTACCATTCCGGGGTCTGGAGGATAGTAGCCTTCGTGTCACAACTCCACTAAGCAATGCCCTAGTGGGGACTCTGTGTGGGGGCTCCGACCCCACATTTCCCATCTGCACTTCCCTAGTAGAGGTTCTCCATGAGGGCTCTGCCTCGCAGCAGACTTCTGCCTGGACATCCAGGCATTCCCATACATCCTCTGAAATCCAGGCAGAGGCTCCCAAAGCTCAACTCTTGCCTTCTGTGCACCCACAGGCCCAAGGCCATGTGGAAGCCTCTGAGGCTTAGGGCTTGCACCCTCTGAAGCAACAGCCTGAGCTGTATGCCCTCCCCTTTTAGCCACAGCTGGAACTGGAGCAGCTTAGACACAGGGCACCATATCCCAAGGCTGCACAGAGCAGCTGGGCCCTCAGCCTGACACAGAAAACCATTTTTTCCTCCTAGGCCTCTGGACCTGTAATGGGAAGGGTTGCTGTGAAGGTCTCTGAAATGCCCTGGTCTCTGATATTTTCCTTATTGTATTGGCTATTAACATTTGGCTCTTGCCGGGCATGGTGGCTCACACCTGTAATCCCAGCACTTTGGGAGGCCGAGGCAGGCGGATCACGAGGTCAGGAGATCAAGACCATCCTGGTTAACATGGTGAAACCCTGTCTCTACTAAAAATACAAAAAAATTAGCCGGGTTTGGTGGCGGGCGCCTGTAGTCCCAGCTACTCAGGAGGCTGAGGCAGGAGAATGGCGTGAACCCAGGAGGCGAAGGTTGCAGTGAGCCAAGATTGCGCCACTGCACTCCAGCCTGGGTGACAGAGCGAGACTCCATCTCAAAAAAAAAAAAAAAAATTGGCTCCTCTTTACTTATGCAAATTTCTGCAGCAGGCTTGAATTTCTCCCCAGAAAATGGGTTTTTCTTTTCTACCACATGGCCAGGCTGCAAATTTTCCAAACTTTTATGCTCTGCTTCCCTTTTAAATATAAGTTCCAGTTTCAGATAATCTCTTTGTTCACATGTATAAGCATACACTTTTAGAAACAGTCAGGTTAGCTCTTGAATGCTTTGCTGCTTAGAAATTTCTTCTGCTAAATACCCTAACTCATCTCAAAGTTCCACAGATTTCCAGGGCAGGGGAAAAATGCCTCCAGTTTCTTTGCTAAAGGATAGCAAGGATGACCTTTATTCCAGTTCCCAATAAGTTCTTCATCTCCATCTGAGACCACCTCAGGCTAAACATCATTGTCCATATCACTATCAGCATTTTGGTCAAACCATTCAACAAGTCTCTATGAAGTTCCAAACCTTCCCACATCCTCCTTTCTTCTTCTGACCCCTTCAAACTGTTCCAACCTCTGCCCATGACCAGTTCCAAAGTCACCTACACATTTTCAGGTATCTTTATAGCAGAACCCCACTCTCCTGGTATCAACTTTCTGTATGAGTTCATTCTCACACTGCTATAAAGAACTACCTGAGACTGGGTAATTCATGAAGAAAAAAGGTTTAATTAACTCACAGTTCTGCAGGCTGTACAGGATAGCTTCTTTCTTTCAGGAAGCATGGCTAGAAGGCCTCATGAAACTTACAATCATGGCATAAGGTAAAGGGGAAGCAAGCATGTCTTACTGTGGCAGAGCAAGAGAGAGACAGTGAAAGGGGAAGTGCCACGTACTTTTAAACCATGAGATCTCATGAGAACTCATTCACTATCACAGGAACAGCAAGGGGAAATCTGCCCCCATGATTCAATCACCTCCCAATATCTGTATGTATATATACATACAGTATATATACACAAACACACACACACACACACACACACATATATGTATATATACATACAGAGAGAGATTTATTATGAGGAGTTGCTTTACATAATTATGGAGGCTGAGAAGTCCTGTTGATATGTTTAGAACTTGTGTCCCTACCCAAATCCCATATTGAACTGGAGGAGGTGCCTGGTGGGGGGTGATTGAATCACGGGGGCAGATTTCCCCTTGCTGTTCTTGTGGTAGTGAATGAGTATATATATGTATATATGTGTGTGTGTATGTGTGTGTGTGTGTGTGTTTGTGTGTGTGTATCTACAGCTCCTGTAGGTTCTCTCTTTATATATATATATGTGTGGGTATGCATACATAAATATATATATATGTATATGTATATAAACATGTGTGTATGTTTATACATCTCTTGTTCGTCCTCCATATATATATATATACACACACACACGTGCATGCACACACACACACACACACACATCCTTTTGTTCTGTTTCTTTGGATAAACCTAAGTAATAACCTATAAACACACAATAGTCACATAAACCTAAGAACAGATAGAAAATGTAGTGTGTGATTTTGTGAAATATATATGTGGTCTTTGACCTTGTTTCCTGGCATACAATTCCTAAAATTCTTAGATTCTCTAAATTGACGTATTTTTGTTGCTAATGATAGACTGATGGCTGGAGCCCTAAGGTAGCTTCAAGATGGGGGTTGGTCAACAGAAAAACCAAAGCAGGATTAGAGAGTTAGGGTTTTCAACGTGCCCCCCCTTGAATTCTGGGAAGGGGAGAGAGGCTGAAAGTTAAGTTGATCACCAATGGCAATGATTTAATCAATCATGCCCATGTAATGAGGGATCCCTAAAAGCACAAAAAGACTGGGTTCAAGGAGCTTCTGGATAGCCCAACACCTGGAGGTTCTTGGAGAGTGGCATGCCTGGGAAGGGCATGGAAGCTTCGTGCCCCTTCCTTCATACCTTACCCTATGCATCTCTTCACCTGTATCCTTTGTAACATCCTTTATAATAAACCAGTAAACCAAAGTAAGTGTTTCCCTGAGTTCTATGAGGTGCTCTAGCAAATTAATTGAATCCCAGAAGGTGATCATGGGAACCCCAATTTATAGCTGGTCAGTCAGAAGCACAGGTAAAACAACCAAGGGCCTGCAGTTGGTATTGAAACTTGGGGAACAGTCTTCAAGACTGAGCCCTCAACCTATAGGACCTGATGCTATCTCCAAGTAAATAGTGCCATCCAGCTGGTGTCCACTACAGAACCAGTTGCTTGCTTAGTGTGTGGGAGAAAAAAACCCACGCATTTGGTCACAGAAGCCTTCTGTATTGATTGTTATTTGAGTGAGTGAATAGAAAAAAAAAAGCATAGTTTTGAGTTTTTTCCACTCAGAAGAGTGATAGAAAAAAATAATAGAAGCATATTTCCAATAATGTATAACAGAGCTATTCTTGATGGTTAGAAAACAACATGTTTATTATCTTTTTTCAAAAAAAAGGTTGGTATCTGTGATCGATTTGCATTTACAATTATAGCTATATGTTTCCCAATACTTATTTGCCCTCTGCTTTTTTTTTTTTTTTTGAGATGGAGTCTCGCTCTGTCACACAGGATGGAGTGCAGTGGCGAGATCTAGGCTCACTGCAACCTTTGCCTCCTGGGTTCAAGTGATTCTCCTGCCTCAGCCTCCCGAGTAGCTGGGATTACAGGTGCCTGCCACCACATCTGGCTAATTTTTGTATTTTTAGTAGAGACGGGGTTTCACCATGTTGGCCAGGCTGGTCTCAAACTCCTGACCTCAAGTAATCCACCCACCTTGGCCTCCCAAAGTGTTAGGATTACAGACATGAATGCCCTCTGCATTAAAGAAAAAAAGGTAATAAATAATAGCCTAGCAAGATTTCTAGTTTCTGTGTCACATCATCACTGTCCAATATCTCTAAACCATTGCTTTTAGATGTAAAAAGGCAAGGCATAGAAAAGATATGAGATACACAAAAGAAGCAGGATTTTAATATCAAAATGCTGTATGCTAAGAAAATCTGTTAGGAAGAATAGAGGACCCAAAAACTCAATTCCAAAAACATAATTTGATTAACTACTTAGATCAAAATAGTCGGAAAAAAATGGTAATGGCTATACAAACACAGAAACTCTAATTTTAAAAAATTTATTAGGCCGGACACAGTGACTCATGCCTGTAATCGCAGCACTTTGGGAGGCTGAGGCGGGTGGATCACGAGGTGAGGAGATCGAGACCATCCTGGGTAACATGGTGAAACCCCGTCTCTACTCAAAATACAAAAAGTTAGCCGAGTGTGGTGGTGGGTGCCTGTAGTCCCAGCTACTTGGGAGGCTGAGGCAGGAGAATGGTGTGAACCCGGGAGGCAGAGCTTGCAGTGAGCCAAGGTCACGCCACTGCACTCCAGCCTGGGCGACAGAGTGAGACTCTGCCTTAAAAAAAAAAAAATTATTCATATCCCTTCATTCCGCTGATCCTTTTTTAAGACCACCTTCTGATACACTGCTATTCTCTATGTGGCAGCATACCAAAAATCACAGATGGTGGCCAGGTCTTTAAACAAGAATAACGTATTTTCCTGTTTGAATCACAAAACCTTAGAGCTAGAGATGACCTCAACACTTCCATTAGGCAGATGAATGGCTATCTAAAAAAAAAAAAAGAAGAAAAAAAAAAAAGAAAACCAGATGGCCATTTTCTTAATTTATAAGCATTTCCAGAGACCAAGAATTTTAATTGAACCCAAACGAGAATAAACTGTAAAATATTTGATGGAAAAAAATTTTAGCAAAATCGCAAATGCAAATGAAGTCTGTATATTTTGTTTGTTAACTTTAACCTATATGTTTTTATACTCACTAACCAAGTTCAATATAAAAACCAGTGAACTAAATCTAATATAAATCTCATGAAAAGGGAAAACCAAAGGTGAATCAAAATTCAACCCATTTTCATCAGGTTGTCATTATGGCTAGTTCAGGAAAAGAACTCAGCTCTCCATCAATTTGTGTAATGGCCCCACGGTCAGATGACTCCTTTGCCCTGTGAAACCATTTCCATAGGCTGGCTTGTTTCTGCCACAGCATGAATTATTGCTCTGAATAAGAGCTCCCATCTCCATTCATCATGGCAGAGGAGTTGAGAGTGGAAAGAGGCATGGGAACCCTATTTCAGGACCTCCAACCCAGCTAGACTGCATGCAACACATGCCAATGACTTCACAGAGATTTAATCCAGAGTCAAATAGTCTCATCATTTGCATTATTCATACTTAAAGAAGTCCCAGACATAGGCTCATTTATAATGACACCAGCCATTTGTTGAACAACTAAATGAGTAGGCATTTTAGTGCTCATTCTATTGGCAGAGTACCTTCTATGTATTTTTTAAATATATTCAGAGAAAACTGCTATTCATTTCTTCCTTTACCAAACACACCCTAATAGCATAAGGAATAAAGAATGCTGTTTGTTCTACTATAATGGCAGTAGTCAAAATACCACAGTTCATTTGGAACAGTCTCTAGTATAAACCAGTAAGAGAACAAAAAGTAATAGTTTGTCTCTTCTCTTTGAAATAAGATTTATCCACCACCCCAGAAGTTCAATCACAAACTTTAGTTAGACAATTGATCATCAGATAAATCCAAGGATGTCTTGCCATTTAAAATAATCAGACATGTTTAAATAATATTTCTTAAAAATAAAATGTTTTTCTCCACCACAAACAATGCAGTCACCCAGAAAGCAGGACTTTTGCAGACAGATCGTAACAAGATCATTGTTGTCAAGCTGGGGATTGAAAATTATTTTACCAAAAGACCATGGATAGGAAGAATTCCTTAAATGACATTGCAATATTTAATGAATTTTAAAAATATTTTCTCATAAATCACCTGGTCTCCTCACCAGGATTTATTACCAGTTACTTATTATCACTTAATCCATTCTTCACTGAATAGCCCAAAGGATCTTTTTAAGGCTTAAAAACTTAAAATAAAAGCCAAATTTCACCATGTGGTCTGCAAGGCCTTTTATAAGCTGGCTGAATTTTTTGTGGGACTCTCAAGTTCTACTCCTTTGTGACATAGAGAGGTCTCCCTGATATTCTTCCTAAAGAAGATTGTCCTTGGTGGTTTCTTTCTAATACTAATCACGAACAAACCACAATCTATGTTTTGATTATTTTATGTATTTACTTTGTCGTTTCCAGTGCCCAGGATAGTGCATTAGATAGATAGATGCTTAAAAAGTATTTGCTGAATATATACATGAATGAACAAACAAATAAATGAATGCATTTTTTCAACCTCTCAAATAGTGTCTCTCTCTCTTTTGTGCTCTCTATCTCTCTCTCTCCCTCTCTCACCCCACCCCGAACATACACAGGTGTCAGGCTTGTAGTAAAGGAACTTTTCCAAACTATTGTATCACTGAGTTAAGAACTTCAAATATGTTGTTTGATTCATGCTAAGTAAGCTCTTAGGTATCCCATCAGCCTGGATTTTAAAACACTGGATAACTAGGGATAAATGATACCTTCCCTTCACCCTTGGAAAGAGAGAACAGGCTCGGCAGTAGCAGAAAAGCATGGGTAATGTTTACTGGAGATTTGTGATGCACCTAGATTGAGTCCCTTTATTTGACCAGCCAATGGGGGAGAAAATCTGAGACTGAAAGCAGAACTTCTAGAGAATGGGCATTTCAGAGGTCAGGCCTGGAAGTAGCATAGTTACTTCTGCCCACATTCCATTGGACAGAATTTAGTCACATGGTCCCAACTATCTGCAGGTAGTGTAGTTTATCCACAAGCCAGGAAGAAAAATAAAACAAATTTGGTAAATGCATTAAATAAATTCACTTCAAATATTAAATTTTCTTCTGAAGATGGTTATAGTGGATCTCAGAGATTTTCCATTCATTTTTAATTATTTTAATTTCCTTATTAATACATGGCTGTTTTTAAATTTCTATTAGTTCGGTGCAAAAGTAATTTTGGTTTTTGCGATTACTTTCAGTGACATATTTGGTCAGTCTCTTAGGGATGGAAATAAGAGATCTCTCCTCTTGCATATATTAACTATCTTCAGAAAATGTGACCCATACATTTCTGCCACCTTATTTTTAATTTCTAGAGGCTCCTTATTTCTCTAAAGGTTCTCTTTTTATGTGCATTCTGTTTTTGTTTCATTAACACTAATCTTCACATAGTTTCCAGGAATACTAATTATAGTTACTTGTTTGAATTTTCTTCTTACATTATCTCTGTTTCCTACAAGTACTTTTTTCTGTTTGTTTTGGCCTTTGTCTGTTATGTTAGATGATTTCCTCAATTTGTTAATGATTTACTACCCATCCATACTCAAAGTGAGGCACTACTAGTTGACATTAAACTAAGTGAATGTGCAAATGTGTATACACGTATGTATGCAAGAAATAGAACACCTTTCTATTACTGGGCTTCATTGTTGAGTGACCAGACCAGAGTGGGCATTAACTTAGGGAGCTATCCACTGACAGTATCTATAGATCTTTCTTATTGGGCTGGTCAGTGTCCCAGAAATCAGAGAGAATCACTAAGGATTATAAACCTAGGCCGGGCGCGGTGGCTCACGCCTGTAGTCCCAGCACTTTGGGAGGCTGAGGCGGGCAGATCACGAGGTCAGGAGATCGAGACCGTCCTGGCTAACATGGTGAAACCCCATCTCTACTAAAAATACAAAAGTTAGCCAGGCATTGTGGTGGGCACTTGTAGTCCCAGCTACTTCAGAGGCTGAGGCAGGAGAATGGCGCGAACCCGGGAGGCGGAGCAGTAAGCCAAGATCGCACCACTGCACTCCAGCCTGGGTGACAGAGCGAGACTCCATCTGAAAAAAAAAAAAGAGGATTATAAACCTGTTTGGCCAAAACTGGTTCTAGCATTTTCATCATTAGCAGGAAGAGCATCACTTCATCACTTAATCCTGTTTTCAGTATAGGATTCACACTTTCAACTTGGTGTTCCCAGTTCAGAGTCCCTTTGCTTCATCCCCTCCGGAAAATAAATCTCCTGTTTTATATTAATGCTCAGGTAGTTGATTGTCTATGTGGGGTGAAGAGGGCATCTAGAGATCTAACTGCTTCAACCAATTCTCCTTGTTTTGGACCTTCCCATATCTGCACATTGATCATCACCTGATGTTTCCAAAATCTCAGGTTCTGCATGATGAATTAGCTATTTCAAGGACACTATCCAGGCTTTCAATCTTGCTTCCTATGTGTGCTTTCCATGAGCTGCCAAGTGAGTTACCACTTTTGTGTCTAATTTCTAGCTTCAAAAATTTATTGCCATTGTGTCTTCTTTGTTCTTCTGGAGCCATGCTTCCTTTTTCCTTCTCTGTAGTGGGGTTTTGAGAGGGAATGGAAATAAAGCATATGTTCAGTCTGCTATATTGAACTAGAAGGACTGGCACAAGATTTCCTTTTCTTCCATTGTCATTTTGTGTATACTAATGCTGCTATTGCAGCCAACATTTAGCAAAATTATAGTACCCCACACAAAAACCCCAATCCAAGTACCTCTATGAAACTAATCCATTCATAATAAGGGTAATGTTTATATGTTTACATCTATTCCTTTTTGGTTATTTTATATTTTCTGTTTATCAGCAAGTATTTTGTTTGTGGTGGTATCAATTTTTATCTCTAGTGGTTCAGAAGACATGCATTCTATTTCTCTTTTTCTAGTACTATCCTTTACATTTTTAACAGACTTATCTAAATCTGTATTCTTCTATAATTATATTAAATGAATCAATATCTATACATTTCCTTAGCAAATAAAGGAAATTTATCACTTTATCACTTTACTATTTCAACAGTATTTTATATTATAAGCTATGGAAATTTAGCTCCAGAAAAGTTACTATAAATTTTCTTCTATATTATATATCAAAGATTAATAAGATAATTCTACCCTTTAAAGGCTCATTTACCTATCAGTTTCTTATATCTTAGGCCTTATGCTTTCTCTGATTCAATTTTCACTTGCTACAATATATCCTTAAGAAATCTTTCCAAAGCTTGTGAGTGATAAGCTTTCTGAGTTCTAACAGTCCTAAACAAAATCAACAAACCGTAAGCTACACCAAGGAAAAAAGAAGCCCACATTTTAAAAATCAGCGATGAAAAAGGAAACATTACAACTGGTATCACAGAAGTACAAATAATCATTAGAAATACTATGAGCAACTATGCTCCAACAAATTGGAAAACCTACAGGAAGTAGATACATTTCTAGGCAAATACAACCTACCAAGATTGAACCATGAAGAAACTGAAAACCTAAACATAACAATAGCAAGTAAAGGGAAGCAGTAATAACAATAACGATAACAAGTAAAGGGAAGCAGTAATAAAGAATCTCAATCAAAGAAAAGACCTGATGGATTCCCTGTTGAATTCTACCAAACACTTATAAAAGAACTAATACCAATTCTACTCAAATGATTTCAAAATATCAAAGAGGCAGGAATACTTTCAAATTCATTCTATGAGGCCAGCATTACCCTTATACCAAAACCAAGCAAAGACGCAAAAAAAAGAAAACTACAGACCAATATCCTTGATGAACATAGATGCAAAAATCCTAAATGAAATACTAGCAAACAGAATTCAATAATGCTTTTGTATTAAGCCATTCCTGCATTGCTATAAAGAAATATTGGAGGCTGCGTAATTTATAAATAAATGATATTTAATTGGCTGACAGTTCTGCAGGCTGTGCAAACATGGTGCTGGCATCTGCTCAGCTCCTGGGGAGGCCTCAGGGAGCTTTAACTCAAGGCAGAAGGTGATGTGGAAGCAGGTGTTTCACATGGTGGGAACAGGAGCAATGGGAGAGAGAAAGTGGTGGAGGAGATGCCACAAACCTTTAAATGACAAGATCTCACAAGAACTCACTATTGCAAAGACAGTATGAAACCATGAGGGATCCACCCCCATGATCCAAACACCTCCCACCAGGCCCCATCTTTAGCATTAGGGATTACAATTCAACATGAGATTTGTTCAGGGACAGATATACAAAATATATCAACACTAAAAAGATCATTTACCATGATTAAGTGAGATTCATCCCAGAGATGCAAGGATGGTTCAACATATGCAAATCAATAAACATGATACATCACATTAACAGATTCAAAGACAAAACCCACATGATCTTTTCAATAGATGCTGAAAAAGCATTCAATAAAATTCAACATCCTTTCACGATAAAAAACCCTCAACAAATTGGGTATGTAAGGAGCATAGCTCAGCATGATGAAAGCCATGTATGACAAACCCACAGCTAACATACTGAATGGGGAAAAATTGAAAGCCTTCCACTAAAATCTGGAACAAGACAAGGATGACCTCTATCACCACTTTTATCTTTTATTCAAAACAGTATTAAAGTCCTAACAAGAGCAATTAGGCAAGAGAAGTTTTTTTTTTAAAAAAGGCATCTAAGTTGGCAAGGAAAAAGTCAAATTATCTTTGTTTGCAGATGACATGATCTTATGTTTCAAAAATCCTAATAGCTCTACCAAAAAACTCTTACAACTGATAATAAATTCAGTAAAATTGCAGGATACAAAATTAACATACAAAATTCAGTAGCATTTATATATGCCAATAGTGATCAACCTGAAAAAGAAATCAATCCCATCTACAATAGCTACAATGAAAATAAAATACCTAGAAATCAATTTAACCAAGAAGTGAAATATCTCTACAAGGAAAACTACAAAACACTGATGAATGAAATGGAAATGGACGCAAAAAATGGACAGATATTCCATGCCCACTGGTTGGAAGAATCAATATTGTTAAAATGTCCATACTACCCAAAGCAATCTACAGATTCAGTGCAATCCCTATCAAAATACCAATGACATTCCCCACCGAAATAAGAAAAACAATTGCAAAATTTGTATAAAATTACAGAAGACCTCGAATAGCTTAAAGCAATCTCAATCTTGAGCAAAAAGAACAAAACTGGAGGCATCACACTACCTGATCTCATATTATACTACAAGGCTATAGTAGACAAAACAGCATGATATTGGCATCAAAACAGACACATAGACCAATGGAACAGCACAGAAAACCGAGAAATAAATTCACACACTTAGAGACAACCCATTTTCAACAAAGATGCCAGGAACATGCATTGGGGAAAAGACAGCCTCTATAATAAATGGCATTGGGGAAACTGGATAACCATACGCAGAAGAGTAACACTACATCCCCATCTTTCACCATATACAAAAATCAAATTAAAATGGATTAAAGACTTAAATGTAAGGCCTGAAACCATGAAATGACTAGAAGAAAACACTGGGAAACACTTCAGAACAGTGGTTTGGGCAAAGTTTTCTGGGCAAGACCTCAAAAGCACAGGCAACAAAAGCCAAAATAGGTAAATAGGATTACATCAAGCTAAAAATGAAGAGACAACCTACAGAATGGGAAAAATATTTGCAAATTATCCATCCAAAAAGAGATTAATAACCAGCATATACAGGGAAAGCAAACACCTCAGTAGCAAATAAATAAATAATCTAATTTAAAAATGGGCAAAAGACCTGAATAGACATTTCCCAGAAGATGACATACAAATGGCCAGCAGGTATACAAGGGAAATGTGAATTAACCACAATGAGATACTCTCTCACCCCACTTAGAATGGCTATTAAAAAAAAAAAAGCTAGCAAGGATGCAGAGAAAGGGGAACACTGGTCCACTGCTAGTGGAAATGTAAAGTAGTAGAGCCATCACAGAAAACATACAGAGGTTTCTCAAAGCACTAAAAATAGAACTACTGGCCAGGTGTGGTGGTTCACACCTGTAATCCCAGCACTTTGGGAGGCTGAGGCAGATGGATTACCTGAGGTCAGGAGTTCGAGACCAGCCTGGCCAACATGATGAAACTCCGTCTCTACTAAAAATACAAAAAATTAGCCAGGTGTGGTGGCACACACCTGTAATCCCAGCACTTTGGGAGGCCGAGGCGGGCAGATCACGAGGTCAGGAGATCGAGACCATCTGGCTAACACAGTGAAACCCTATCACTGCTAAAAATACAAAAAATTAGCCAGGCATGGTGGCAGTCGCCTGTAGTCCCAGCTACTCGGGAGGCTGAGGCAGGAAAATGGCGTGAACCCAGGAGGCGGAGCTTGCAGTGAGCCAAGATCGTGCCACTTCACTCCAGCCTAGGCGACAGAGCAAGACTCTGTCTCAAAAAAAAAGGAAAAGAAAAAAAGAAAGGTGATTATTATATTGAGGAGAAACCTGCACTCCCTTGTTTATTGCAGCACTATTCACAACAGCCAAAATATGGAATCAACCTAAATGCCTATCAACAGACAAATGGATTTTAAAAAAATGTCCTGTCATTTGCAGCAGCATGGATAGAGCTGGAAGTCATTATGTTAAGTGAAATTTGGCAGGCTCAGAAAGACAAGGAGCACATGTTCTCACTCATATGCAGGAGCTAAAAAACTAGATCTCATGAAAGTAAAGAGTACAATGATGGTAACCAGAGGCTGAAAAGGGAAGGTGAAAGGAAAGGATAGACAGAAGTTCGTTAACGGGTATAAAAATAGTTTGATAGAGGGAATATATTCTAGTGTTTGATATTATAGTTAGTAATTTACTGTATATTTCAAAATAGCTGGAAGAGAAGAATTGTAATATTCCCAACGCAAAGAAAAGATAAATGTCAGAGGTGATAGATATCCCAATTAACCTGATTTGCTCATTATACATTGTATATGTGTATCAAAATATCACATGCACCCCCAAAATATGTACAATTCTGATATATCAGTAAAGAATACACCAAAAAAAACTTATAAAAAGTGAATATCTCATATAAAATCTGAATTCCCAGCTTCTTTTGGAAAGCCTTGTGAAAGCTGCTGAAGCCAAGATGGAGTCACTTATGTCAGACCCAGACCAAAGCAGGGCCAAGAGGTCATGAGGGAGGGGACCTCATGCATGTATGTTTAAGATTGGAACTATTTTAAAGACTCTCTGAAGGTCCTTATTCACACATGGCTATGATAAGAACTATTTCAAGAACTCTCTGACACCACAAAAAATTCTAGATAAGATGCTTCTATGAAGACGTCTTTCCAACAATGATCAGCATTGCCAATGAGTAATCAACAGCTCCTGCAGTGAGCCTCTGTGACTAATGAAGTTAGTTTCAGGACAGCTTGTGTGAACTTCTGCTTTTTGCCTTTAAAAATTTCCCCTTATCCTAACCTCTTTGGATATGCCTATGATCCGCCATAGCATGCATATCCTAAATTATGATCCCCTGCTCATTCTGGAACAAATTCATTTATTTTGAGAGCCACTCTGTCTGTTGTTACTTGAGGTTGACAGTCAAAAGAACTGGAAACACTGCAATTACAATCCTTTATGGCAGCAAATGGCTGGAGCTGAGTAGTTGCCAACCTCTGCATCTCTAGTCATTTATTTTACCTGACTCACTCTGTAAGACATTTATTTATGATTTTTGCAATGTCTATATTTTATGATTAAGATGTAATAATGAGTTAATGACAGAGCAGAAGTTAGGACCTGGGATCTTCACCCTGTCCATTATATCAGTTCAAATTGTTTGCACACATGCCAGTCAAGGGGGCTTTGAAATTCCTATTCTCATTGGAAACTCCCCACAGGCCAGTGGCAGCTTATCAAATGGTAGATGTTCCTTCCCATACCTGTCTCCAAGGAAGTCCCTGCATTCACACGAACCTAACCAAGCCATGATCATCTCACGTCTCGCTGCACAAGGAGGCAGCTAATCTCTTTCATGTGAGTTGACCCAGGGCATTCCGTAAACATCCCTCTCACAGACTCATCAGCATTTCATGTATGTCATGACCAT
The DNA here is from genome assembly GCF_000001405.40 of Homo sapiens. Classification (NCBI taxonomy): domain Eukaryota; kingdom Metazoa; phylum Chordata; class Mammalia; order Primates; family Hominidae; genus Homo; species Homo sapiens. The sequence continues at coordinate 224,723,057 of NC_000002.12, read as the reverse complement.
CAAAAACTTTTCATCTCTTTCCTTTCCACACAACTACTCTGATACTGTGTGATACTCAAATGTCAAAACAACAGCAAAATGGCAGACTGTCAAATCTGCTGCTGAGTCTGGGCTCATAGAAACACCAGCTGCTTCTGGTCACCTGGGAAATCACTGTGACAATAGCTGCATATCAAGTTCAAGGTCAAAGTAAATTCTTGGCAAATGCTGCAAAAGTAGAATTTCTCGGTAGCTGTTTAAATAATTTATAACAGCAGGATGTATGTCTGCTTGAAAAGTAAGACATAAGATTTCATGTAAGTGACATTTTCCTATTATGTCACAGAGGGTAAGGCAATTGGATATCTCTGCACAGAAGGAAATATGATCAAGTGCTGATGATCCAGTCAAAATCCCTTCTTTTTATTCTGACCTTGCTCATCCTTTGTCATCGACTAAAATGGAAGGTTCTGACAGGTAAGGAAGCCACATATCACCCCTCCATACCATATCCCAGCAAGATGATGTTATGTCTAGAAAAGGCAAATGTTGTGGTCTTTGTTTGAGCCGGGTGGAAGGAAGGTATTTGCCAGGTTTCCAGTGTCTGAAAAGCAGACAGCCTAATGTGGCTAATCTTTTTTTCTAAAATGTTGCCCTCAGACCTGAGAAGAGCCAAAGGCCTACTCAATTCCCACAGCGCTGACTCATGCTGGAGGCTGGGGGCTGGAGGTATGGTGTTTACTAGCTGAGGCAGGAGATGAGGAAATTAGCTATGTAGATGCCTAGGGAAACCTTGGCTTATTCCACTACATAAGACATCCATATGCTTTACAATATATACATGTTTGTGTGTGTATATATATGTATGCATCTATATAAAAAACCAGCCAGGCGTGGTGGCTCATGCTTGTAATCCTAGCACTTCGGGAGGCTGAGGCAGGTGGATCACTTGAGGCCAGGAGTTCGAGACCAGCCTGGCCAACATGGTGAAACCCCATCTCTACAAAAAATACAAAAATTAGCTGGATGTTGTGGCGGGTGCCTACAATCCCAGCTACTCGGGAGGCTGAGGTTTGAAAATTGCTTGAACCTGGGAGGCACAGGTCGCAGTGAGCCGAGATCACGCCACTGCACTCCAGCCTGGGTGACAGAGTGAGACTCTGACTCAAAAAAAAAAAAAACTTGGTTCTTGCATTCGTATAAAAATTTACTAATTCTAAACAGCTTTCACTATATATCAAAATTTCAAATTTTTATGACAACTGTTACAGACTACAACAACTTTGATAAGAAAATTCCAGTTTTCACTAGTCATCTGACTTCAAAAGTCCACCAAAAATTCCAAAAAAATGTAATATCACTTCATTTTATTAAATTTCTTTCATATTATTTATTCTATTTTCATCACTTTTTTTTATTATAGAAGCCATTCACATAATTACAGAATTTTTTTTTTTTTAGACGGAGTCTCGCTCTGTCGCCAGGCTGGAGTGCAGTGGCACGATCTTGGCTCACTGCAAGCTCCGCCTCCCGGGCTCACACCATTCTCCTGCCTCAGCCTCCCGAGTTGCTGGGACTACAGGTGCCCGCCACCATGCCCAGCTAATTTTTTGTATTTTTAGTAGAGACGGGGTTTCACCACGTTGGCCAGGATGGTCTCAATCTCGACCTCGTGTTCCGCCCCCGCAGCCTCCCAAAGCGCTGGGATTACAGGCTTGAGCCACTGGGCCCAGCCAATTACAGAATTTTTTAAAATTCAGATAACATACACGGGTAACTAAAAATCATCAAAAATCTTACCACACAAACTTAGAAACTGTTTTTCCTTTGGGATATTTCTTTCCATTTTTAACATAGTTTAGATAATGTTTTATATACAGCAGGTGTATTGGTCCATTCTCACGTTGCTATAAATAACTATGTAAGACTGGGTAATTTTTTTTTTTTTTGACATGGAGTCTCGCTCTTGTTGCCCAGGCTGGAGTGCAATGGTATGATATCGGCTCACCACAAACTCCACCTCCCGGGTTCATGCGATTCTCCTGCCTCAGCCTCCCAAGTAGCTGGGATTACAGGCATACACCAACGCGCCGGGCTAATTTTGTATTTTTAGTAGAGACAAGGTTTCTCAATTTATAAAGAAAAGAGGTTTAATTGACTCAGAGTTCCACAGGCTGTACAGGAGGCATGGCTGGGGAGACCTCAGTAAACTTATAATCATGGCAAAATGGTGAAGGGGAAGCAAGCATATTTTCACATGATGGCAGCAGAGAGAGGGAGAAGGGGGAAATGCTATACACTTTTAAATAACCGGATCTCATGAGAACTCACTCATGAGACAGCACTAGGGGAATGGTGCTAAACCATTAGAAACCACCCCCATGATCAAAACACCTCCCACCAGGCCCCATCTCCAACACTCAGAATCACAATTCATCATGAGATTTGGGTGGGGACACAGAGTCAAACCATATCAGTTGGGTATACTAATTTTTCCACACAACATTTTCAGGTTCAGAGTATTATTCTGTTTTATGGCTATACCATATTCTATTTATTCATCTTCCTCTTTTGGGCAGTTAGGTTATTTCCAGCATTTTGCTATCAATGTGCAGCATGCATCATTTTATAAGAATCTTTACATGCAATTACTTTCTTAGGTAGAGTCTAGAAGGTGGAATTTAAAGGCTAGTTAAGCACTTGTTAAATATCCTTGATACTTATTGTTAAATTGCTTATCTGAAAGATTTGTCAGTTATTAATAGTATTTGCATTAACTTTTTTTATTTTCAAAATCTTTGCTAACTTCTTCGACCCCTCAACATAAATTTCAGTAATTTAATTTGCAAAATTACTGATGAAGTTGAGCTTTTTTCCTCATGTTTTGCCATTTGCTGTTCTTCTAGGAAATGTCTGTAACTTTGTCCTGCCTGCAAATTCTCCAATATTTGCTGTTTTTATCATCGTAACTTCATTTTATATTGGAAAATTGAATAAAGCAAGTCCCCAATAATTACTCTTCATTTTCACATACTTCATAACAATTGTTTCCAGATGACCTTTAAAACGATTTCATCAATTTCTTTTTTTAAAAGTCCCATTGAGATTTTTATTAGAAATTCAACTAAGATGGCCTGGTGCAGTGTCTCACCCCTGTAATCCCAGCACTTTGGGAGGCCAAGGTGGGTGGATCATTAGGTCAGGAGTTCAAGACCAGCCTGACCAACATGGTGAAACCCCATCTCTACTAAAAATACAAAAATTAGCTGGGCGTGGTGGCACGCATCTGTAATCCCAGCTACTCAGGAGGCTGAGGCAGGAGAATCGCTTGAACCCGGGAGGCAGAGGTTGCAGTGAGCCAAGATCATGCCACTACACTCCAGCCTGCGTGACAGGGCAAGACTCCATCTCAAAAAAACAAAAAAAAGTAAGGAAAAGAAATTCAATTAAGACTTCTTTTAAAATAGTCAGTCTTCTTAACAGGAAAATAGTTTCCATTTTCCTAAGTTTTCTTTTATATCTCAGCAAAATGTTAGTTTTTTTTTTTTTAATTATAAACCTTACAAACAAAAAAATTCCTGGGCATTTTATATGCAGAGACCTATTGTCAGTGGAATATTTTTCATTTTTTTTCTACTGGTCATTGATAGTACTTTGAAAAACTATTGATTTTTAAGTGCCTATTTTGTAACATAGGAGTAGATTACAAAATAAAATTTTGGACTTTTTTCATTTGTGGGTTTTGTTTTGCTTTGTTTTGTTTTGTTTTTGACACAGGGGCTTGCTCTGTTACCCAGGTTGGGAGTACAGTGGCACAATCTCGGCAGCCTTGACCTCCCTGGCTCAAGCGATCCTCCCACCTCAGCCTCCCGAGTAGCTAGGACCACAGGCACGTGTCACCATGACTGGCTAATTTTTGTATTTTGTATTTTTCGTAGTGACAGGGTTTCACCATGTTGCCCGAGCCAGTCTTGAATTCCTGAGCTCAAGAAATCCACTCACCTCGGCCTCCCAAATTTCTGGGACTACAGGTGTGGGCCACTGCACCCACCCAGATTTATTTTCTTGGGCTTTCTAGATATATAATCAAATTGTCTATACATAATGATATAATCTTGTCATTTCCAATAACAGTACAAGTTATTTTCACATTCCGCTTTGTTGCTGAATGCAATTTTAAGAAGCAAATACAATTTCAACACTGAGTTCAATTTCAAGAATGAATTTTACGGCCCATTTTTGTGGAATGTACCACAAAATACTTTATGGAAGCTGAGGCAGTTTGTCCTATTCTAGTCAGATGCATTCAGGAGAATGCCTTTAGACCTGGATATCCTAGTTCAAGAAACCTATCAACAAATTGAAACATGTTCAAAAGAGAGTCCAAGATGCACTCCAGGCCCTGGAACACACATTAGATTAAAACAACAGCTAAAAATATTGAGGCTGTTTTTTCTAGAGTGTAGAAACTCACTGGAACATGATGGAACAATAATTTTTATTAAAGCAAAGATTAGACATATTGCATAATGTCTCCAAAGAGAAGAGCTAAGAACGAGCTGAACGGAGACCAATTTTTGGTCAATGGAAATAATTTTAGTTAAAAAGCAACACAAATAAATGATAAATGCTTGAGGTGGTGGATACACCAGTTACCCTGATTTGCTCATTATACATTGTGTGCTTTATCAAAATATCACATGGGGGCCAGGCACGGTGGCTCACGCCTGTAATCCCAGCACTTTGGGAGGCTGAGGCGGGCGGATCACGAGGTCAGGAGATCCAGACCATCCTGGCTAACACAGTGAAACCCTGTCTGTACTAAAAATACAAAAAAAATAGCCAGGCGTGGTGGCCGGCGCCTGTAGTCCCAGCTACTCAGGAGGCTGAGGCAGGAGAATGGCGTGAACCCGGGAGGCGGGGCTTGCAGTGAGCCGAGATCGCACCACTGCACTCCAGCCTGGGCGACAGAGCGAGACTCCGTCTCAAAAAAAAGAAAAAAATCACATGTACCCCAAAAATGTGTACAACTGTTATGCATCAATAATAATTAAAAATAAAAATAATTTAAAGAATATCTGATGAGGTGGGCACAATTCTAAGGGGCACAGTACAGATAATTATTGAGTATGTAAACTCCTGAGTCACATTGCCTGCATTTAGTATCCCTGACCTAGGCCAAGTGTCTTCAACTTTCTATGCCCATTTCCTTTGCTGTAAAATGGGGATGATAATACTGCCTATCTCGTTTATGAGTAAATTTTCTCAAAAAGAAAATCGCAGGAAGGAAACTCTCCTACAAAAGAAATACTCACATATAGGGTCAATGATCCATTGCAGAGATACTGTGGAACAGATCTGAACATCCAGTAGGTGGTGAGATTGGATGACCTTTCCAGTCCCATTTTGCTCCATAGTCCATATTTCTACAAGCTACTTCTACAGCCTCTGGAGTGGCACATGTTTACTGAAATTCATTTAAATACAAATATAAATAGTATATGAAAATGCTCTCATCATTTTTATATACTGACTTTTTAGTGAACATAAAATTCAAACATATAAAATAAATTTGTATGAATAAAAAAGGAGTAATACTTTCTTCAATCATTCCTTCCATCTAAACAGCCTTGGATCAATCAACACATATGTATTAGGATGGGCAAATACACACACATACACACATACACGGGCACACGCAAAGAAAACAAAAATGAATGTGAAAGAAAATCTATCCCCATAAAAAGTTTTCTAATTATTTTCACCGTATTGCAAAAGATCATTTATGTTTAAACATTAATTGAATTTCCAAACAGATATTGCTATCAGGGCATATGCTATTTAAGATTTGTACTTTTCATTCCCCCACAAAGAAACCTCTTCAGGAAATAGGTAACAAAAGCTGTTATTGTCACATGTCTCTCTCATTCAAGATTAATGTTTAGCCTGTATCTTCTTACATTCCCAAAATACCCCTGGCAGCCTTTGCCCAGGCAAACATCCTAGAAGTAAATAATGGCAAAATGTTTCTAAGATAGAAATTTACTGAGGAGTGATAATATCTGTCCTTCCTTGGCCTATCTTGAGGGATTTAGGTATTAATTACCAACGTCATATTTAAATAATATCCCTGCAGTTCATATGACCCCTTGTGATTAATGTTACCCTTCCTTAGTAAGTGTCAAAATTAATAATTTACCAAAAAATGCAGAACTATGGCACATTAGACAGAGAAGACATGGCATAATTCTTCTATGTCCATTTTGATGCACTTGTGGCAGCTGGTGATCCTGAGATACATTTGATCCCAGAAGTGGCAATAGAGAAAAGACTGAGTGGCTGTTGTGATGGTAAGTTCATGATGGAAACAAGAAACTGTTCTTCACTGGAAATTTGTGGAGTGTTCTCTTCTCCTCCCACACAAAGCAATATTCTAGAACTGTGGATTGACATGAAATGAAAGATAGAAAGAAAATCTCTGTTTTGAAAAACAAAACCCAGAATGAATACTTCATGGAAGATCTTTTACCTCCCTTGACAGCCTAACCCCCCAGGTGCTGAAAGATGGCGCAGAGAAGAGTGACAGCTATTGTTTGGAAAGGTTTATGAGCAGGATCAGCCAGACCCACTGAGTAGATTGTGTTTTGGGCTCATGAGGAAAAGTCCACCTGTCTCTCCCAAAGAAGCCAACTAGAGCAACATGAGAAGAGACAATGGAAGCTGATATCCAGCTCATGAGACTTATCCAGGAAATGCGGGCAGAGATCCACAAACTGGAGAAAGAGAATCAAGCCCTCCGGATGAAACTCACTGCAAGTAGTCAGAGAGCCTCAGGCTCAGGGAGAGAATCAGGAGACGAAAGGGAGGAGGAAGCGCCAGGACAATCTCCAGCAACCCTTCAGGGTGCCGTTTCCACTGATGCAGCACCAGCAGTGCAGGAACACCAAGGTACCCAAACATTCTGAGCTCTTGTGGGCTGTGCCCATTTTGCAAATATCGTGAAATAGTTAAGTGTATTGTGCTGATCAGATAACTGTATAGTTTGGTAATAACGGTGGTGGGTTTCATCCCTTTCCTCCTAGTAGATTACCTGTGAATCCCTAGACAAAAATGGCTTTAGCATCTTCAAGCAACACATTATAGCAACACTAAAATTACTTCCATATTTGCTGGGAAAGATAAGAGAGACAGGTTTGTGGAAATCAGTCACACTAGGAACAATGTGGTCTTTTTCCTCTTTAACTTCAGCCATTTAAATGCTGCATAATAGCACATTGAATGTGTGTATGTCAAATGGCACGCACACTTATAAGGCTGGAACAGTACTGCACACCAGATAAGGGAATGGATGTCAAAGTCAACAAATATGGTTGCCAATTGACCACTTCAGCCACTTGACTCTAAGCCAGTGATTAGACCTCTTTAATCTTTGTTTTCTTCATCTGGAAGTGTTATAGTACCTATCTCACAAGGTTGTGAGGATTAACTACAGTAATATGAACTAAATGCTTAGTATTGCACCTGGCCAAGGCACAACAAATGGCAGATACTATTTCCTATCCATGTTTTACTAATAACTTTATTGTCCTGTATGAATGAATACTGCACATAATTCAGCCTGCTATGCAGATTGAAGACTTCAAGATACAGAGTCGATGTTTGATATATTCTAAAAATCAAATCTCTCACATTTTATGAGAAATATTTTGACTGTGAAGATTACACATGGGGTCAGAAATCAGCAGAGTGAGAAATATACTCTACATTAAAATTGTCAATACCTGCCTACACACACCATATTGAAAGAAAATAATTCATATACATAATTAAATACTCAAAACTCTTAAAATCATCTGTCAAAAGCTTCAGGCACTGCCAATTAGAAGCACTTTGGGAAGCCAAGGTGGATGGGTGATGAGGTCAAGAGATTGAGACCTTCCTGGCCAACATGGTGAAACCCTGTCTCTACTAAAAATACAAAAATTAGTCAGGCGTGGTGGCGCACACCTGTAATCTCAGCTACTGGGGAGGCTGAGGCAGGAGAATCACTTGAACCTGGGAGGCGGAGGTTGTAGTGAGCTGAGATCTTGCCACTGCACTCCAGCCTGGCAACAGAGTGAGACTCCATCTCAAAAAGAAAAAAAGGAAAAAAAAAGAAGCTCTGAACAGGTTGACAATGGAACAGGTCATATTTGCCGGTTGGTTCTCGCAGTTAGAGATGTGTCTCTCTAATGAGACCCTATATTTGAAAGCTGAAAACAGATTCCAATCCAGGTCTTTTTCCTTTTTCATAAGTACAACTCTGGATTGAGTAACTGTCTACTGGTTATTTAATAAAACTGTGAAAGAGTAACCTATAGGAGGTTAGACATTCTCTTGCTGGAAAAAAAAAAGGATGTGGACATTTATAATATTTGCTTAGTTGAGGGTTTCTCAACCTCTGTATTACTGACATTTGAGACTGAATAATTACTGTGGAGGTCATCTCGAGCATGGTAGGGTGTTTAGCAGCTTCCCTGGCCTCTAACCACTAGATGCTGGAGTACTCACACTTCCCCTTCCAGTTATGACCATCAATAATGTCTCCAGGCATTGCCAAATGTTGCCTTGGGAACAAAATCGCACCCCATCCACCATTGAAAACCACCGCCTTGCTCCAAAAATAAACAATACTTCAAGTCTATTCTCTGTGGGACTTATCCTAACAGAAAAGTAAGTTGCATCTTAGAACTAACTGTCCTATTTTAAAACATGTATTAACACAGTTCAAAGAACAGAGTATTGCCCTTTAAATTCTCAGGGTCTAAACATCATCAAGCTTAGAGGAGGTTAGAACATATTCATAAGAGTTAAACGCATAATTGATATCATACTTCTTCAGCATATGGGTGGTAATTTCCAATAAGAATGTTAGCATTAACTTTGAAAAGGATTGGTGAGGCCAAGCATGGTGGCTCATGCCTGTAATCCCAGCGCTTTGGGAGGCGAAGGCAGGAGGATCACTTAAGGACAGGAGTTCGAGATTGGCCTAGGCATCATAGTGAGACCGCCATCTCTACAAAGAAAAGAAAAGAATAGAAAAGAAAAGAAAAGAAAAGGATTAGCCAGGAAAAAATTAGCCAGGCATGATGGCATACATCTATAGACTGAGCTACTTGAGAGCTTGAGAGGCTGAGATGGGAGGATTCCTTTGAGGCTGCAGTGAGCTAAGGGTGCACCACTGTACTCCAGCCTGGGTGACAAGAGTGACCTTGTCTCAAAAAAAAAAAAAAAAATACTGGTGAAAAATATTTGATAAAATTGTAGGAAACCTTGCTTATTGCACAAATAAAACACAGAAAGAAATGTGATTTAGATTTGCACTTGGGAGTCCTGTTGAGTTACTTTAAATGATGTTTATCTGTTTCTTAAATGTTATGTGCTATTATAATAGCAAGTAATGTAAGTAGGAAGAACATTGTCCTGAGCATGAAGACACCTGGATTGAATTCCTAGTTGTTCAACACTGGGCAGGTCACATAAACTTTCTGATCTTAGCATCCTCATGTAAAAATAAGTGGATTGGGCTAAATGTCTTCCAAGTCCTATTCCAACTGCAAAATCCTGTGATTCTATGAATACAGAGTGATGTAGAGCTTTTTATGATCACTCTCTTCATCTGTAAAATGGAGGTAATGATGGAATCTACCTCACAGGGCTGTTGAGAGGAGTAAAGATAGTGTAAGTAAGATTCAATGTAAATTACTAAGTAATAGTTGTCATAATATCATTGGACATGTCAGAAAAATATTATTATTTGACTTGAGCATAAGTTTTTATCAGTAGTTTTAATAGTAATTGCCAACATCAATTGAAATTCATACTTACAATTAATTGAATCATAGAAATCTGTTACTAGAAAGGAACGTTAGAGGCCAGGCACAGTGGCTCACTCCTGAAATCTCAGCACTTTGGGAGGCCAAGGTGGGTGGATCACGAGGTCAGGAGATCGAGACCATCCTGGCTAACATGGTGAAACCCCGTCTCTACTAAAAATACAAAAATTAGCTGGGCGTGGTGGCACGTGCCTGTAGTCCTAGCTACTCGGGAGGTTGAGGCAGGAGAACCGCTTGAACCCGGGAGGCGGAAGTTGCAGTGAGCTGAGATTGCACCACTGCACTCTGGCCTGGGCAACAGTGCAAGACTCCATCAAAAAGGAAGGAGGGAAGGAAGGAAGGAAGGAAGGGAGGGAGGGAAGAGATCATCCAGTAGAAATTTCCTTATTTGCAGTTGAAAATATAAGCCTCATAGAGATTATCTTACCCAACTTCTCCAATCCTTTTTTGGAAACAAAAATACATAAACCTATTCTTTCAGAAAGAATAATGTGAAATCAGAAATATGAGTCTCACTTTAAGAAAGGGAATAATTAAAGAGGACCTGGAAGTGGATCACTTAGAGCTAAAAGTTCCTCCGTGTGTTCCTTGGTATGTGTGGTGAGATAAAGTGAGGCTCTCTGTGAATGGAGAACCCTACTTCCCCTGAAGTCACCCGAGGACGCAGAGCTACGCTACAGCCCAGACACAGCTGTGTGGTGATAAAATATACTGAGAATGCAGAGTGCCTGCTCGGAATGAATCCTTGCTGGGTAAATGCTCATGGAAACATCTGTAATAGTGCACAAATATTTGGTAGATATGAAATCTAGCCAGTGCTTTCAGAGATGTTTCCCGGCCCCTCTTGCCCTGTGGAACCTTGAAGCAATTTGCCGCTGTAAAGATAAAAGAAACAACCCTTTACAGCATTGCTGGACCTCTGATTCTCTGCTCACATCCTTTGCTGGCAAATAAACTGCATTTGGCTGTGATCTTTGAAAATGTTCTAATGAGCCTGTGATGCTGTGTTGAATATCTTTTTTGTTAATAAGAAACTGAAGGACACAGACCCTTTGTGACCCATGGAGATGAACAATAAGCCTATATGCTAATCACTCCCAAATTAACTGTAGGTCCCAAGTAAAAACAAACGTAATTTTGCTATCATCAGCATAATTTCCTGTTGTGTTTTCCTACGATTCAGTATCAAGGGATTGTTTTATAATCCTTCTAAACAAAAACGTTTATGTTTGTAAGTAGTCACAGATCTGTTTTTAGATAATTATGGAAGTTACATATCATGACCAAGGGGAGCATTTAAAGATAATTTATGAATAATATTTGTAGTTAATCACTTCAAACAGATTTGAACTTAAACTCTCCCTAGACCTCTCCTACAATTCAGTCTTCTGTTCTACAAAAAGCCGAAACAGCCTCCACCTTTTGAAATAACCATAATGATTTTCTGTCTGCTTTTTCCAGAAGCAGTCAGCAAACATAAATAAAAAATAATTGTGCTTCTGGCACTCTCAAAGCCTACCCATAATGCAGTGGTTTTTTTACGCTTTCATGCTCGTTCATGGCAAAGCTGCAGTAAGAAAGAATGAAGATTCCACAATCACTCATAAAGTGCTCCAGAAAATGAAAACCAACCCATGAGATCAGTGTTGTAAGCCACATGGACAACACTGGACATGCAAGTAGATGTTGGATAATCACCAGACCTCCAAGTAGAGGTTAAATGACCAGCTCCAGATCACAGAGTTAATGCAGTGTAAGAGCTGGCGTTCAGACATACCAAGAGCCTCTAAAATAAAGCCCTTTTAATCAACATGTTTTCATTATTAAAAAAAAAAAAAAAAACAGGGAAGATTTGATTTACCTCAAGGAAAGAGTTTATTGGGAGACTCTATGAATAGAAACTGAATTGGAAGTCCCTGGAAACTAAAGCCACAAATCTCTCCATCTCTTTCAGGGGCTCTCCAATTTCCCACACCATGCATCTTTGCTCTTTGCCATGTGTCTCCTTTGCGTTTGTCTCTCACTCAATAGACATCCTCTTAACGACTGTCCCAACTAAGGCCAAGACATGCAATCATAGGCCAGTTAGCAACAACCTGTTAAATTCCTGTGGCCATTCAGGTGATCAGACACTGTGGATAAGCCTGTTCTTCTAGAATCAGGAGTAAGAAGGCCATCAAGAATTGGCATGTCTGGGAGATTCATGTTCTCCCAATTTTAAGGTCTATTTTTATTATCTATGTATGTCAAGCCCCTGTTCTAATGCTGTATTCTCAGAAAGGTCTTCCCTGGCCACACAATTGAAATAGCCTCCGAACACCTTCCTGCATCTGTCTCTATCCCCTTGTCCTCATCAGCCTTATTTGCCTTCCTAGAATGTATTACTATGTGAATTCTATCATCTATTGTTTACTGTCTGTCTTCCACATAAGAAGGTGAACTCTGGAATTTTATGTTGTTCTCTACCACATTCCCATCTTTTAAAAAAGATCCTGGCATATGGTTGGCACTCAATTAATATTTGTAAAATAAATCAATGAATGCTTTTTGTTTATTTGATTGTTTGAGACGAAGTTTCCCTCTTGTCACCCAGGCTGGAGTGCAGTGGCATGATCTTGGCTCACTGCAACCTCTGCCTCCCGGATTCAAGCAATTCTCCTGCCTCAACCTCCTGAGTAGCTGGGACTACAGGTGCCCGCCACCACGCCTGGCTAATTTCTGTATTTTTAGTAGATACAGGGTTTCATATTGGCCAGGATGGTCACCATCGCCTGACCTTGTGATCCACCCACCTTGGCCTCCCAAAGTGCTGGGATTACAGGTGTGAGCCACCGCGCCAGGCCAAATGGATATCTTTTATGCCAAAAAAGTAATGAGAAACAATAGTTCTGTCTAGTTAGTTTCAATAAAATTCTATCATTTTTCATTTGTGAGTGTCATTAGGGTAGAATTTTTTTAAGTTGGATTTTGTGTCTTTTGTACAGGCAATGTCATGATTGTTAGACGCTATTCCATTTCATCATCAGTTTGCTCATCTGCTGTAAATGATCCCTGGAAATCTGGGAAAAGTCACCCAAAGAGCGGAATTCTAGAAGGTCAGAGAACACTGAAGTCATTGGCATGTTCTCCAATTAAGAAGCAAGACATGGAAGAAAAGGTGTTTGCCACAGATTCTCTCACCAGCAATAGGACCAGCCAAAGAGCTTCTCCTGAGCATGTTTGTGGTTGCAGGTAATGTAAAATACACTTCAAGCTGGTGAATAGGCCCATACTGAGATGGTTACTGAGACTTTCCCCTGGATAAATGAAGTCTTATCTAGTGGAGGAAACAAAACCAAATAGCATATAAATAATTTCCATATTACCTATGTCAATTTTGGGAATTTAAAGTAACAAATTTATTTGAGGTTAAATGGCACCCTCTAATAGATGCCTCTAACAACTGGACAACTTAGTACTCATTTATTCATTAAGCATTAGTGATCATATTCTAAGCCAGGCACTGGTGATACAAGATTCAGCAAAAGTAAGCCATTACATTCAAAACTCTCATTAAGTGACAAAGGCACACAAGTAAACTATCTACTGCAATAAAGTGCATCTCAGGGAGTAGGCACAGTTACTTTAAGAGCTGAATGCAGAACACCTCTCAGAGAACAGCTGTTCTGGTGGAGGCAGGTGCCTTAGTGGGCGTTAGGGGAAATTGTTTTAAAAAATTATTTAGGCATAACTCATAAGGGCCAAGAGACAAAGAGAAAACCAATTTGCTCTCCAAAATATGTGAATTGGTATTTAGAGAGCTGGAACAGCCTGAGAATGGGAGGGATGTGAGACAACAGTCAAGAAAGCACTTTGGGATGCCGAGGCGGGCTGGATCACTTGAGGTCAGGAGTTCAAGGCCAGCCTGGCCAACATAGCAAAACCCTGTCTCTACTAAAAATACAAAAATTAGCCAGGCATGGTGGCCTGCGCCTGTAGCCTCAGCTACTTGGGAGTCTGAGGCAGGAGAATCACTTGAACCTGGGAGGCAGAGGTTGCAGTGAGCCGAGATAGTACCACTGCACTCCAGCCTGGGGGACAGAGTGAGACTCCATCTCAAAAAAAAAAAAAAAAAAAAGACAAAAGAAAGGAAAAGAAAGAAAAGAAAAAGAAAAAGAAGCCAGGGTCTGTTAGAGGAAACTTGGCCAGTGGCTCCTGAAGTGGTAGAGTCAAGTCCTCTAACATCAAGCCTAATTTATCTGCACAACTGTGCAGGAGCATGCACTGCCCCCTCTCTCCCACACTCTGCATCCCTACCTTCCAACTCCCAATGAGGCCCTAACTCTTCAGCAAGATCTCTACTTGTCTTTGTCTTGTGTGAGTAGAAGGAGGAAAATCAAGAGGAGGGGACCTGGGTCTCATGATTATTAGCTTATCACGGGAAAGAGAAAATGCAAAAAATATGATTGTTGAGAGACCCAGAGCACCATCGAACTCAGCAGTGGCAGGAAAGCAAATCAAGAGATAACCATAAGCAAGAGGCCTGTAGGAATTCTCATAAATATTGGAAAGGGCACTGGACTTCCCACAGGATGTGGGATACAAAGGTTGAATCAGCTTTATTTGGATTTCCAAAGACAGGATGAAAATTGTGTTTCCCTTGCAGAAGGTTCTATCATAGGAGCAGGGAGATTAACTGGAGTCACCAAGGACTACTAGATTTAGCCAAAGAAAAATGGAAAGGTCATCCCAGGTAGAACGAAACAGACATGAGGATAGAAGAAGCCATGCCACTGAGAGAAACTAAAAGTAGTAAAATAAATGAGGATGGAGAAGTGAGAAGGATTCATCATTAAAGGCCACTCGTGGAATGCTAAGGAATATATGCTTTATCGTGAAATTATTGGAAAGCCAGAATAAATGTCTTATGAAAACTTCCAAAATATTCTGTAAATATTTTCCAAAATATTTCTGTAAATATTCAGAAATTAATGTTACATGCACCAATAGATTCAAAAAGTTTTATCATATTTGCTTCAGATGCTTTTATATGTAAAAGAAATAAAATGTGGCTAGGTGCGGTGGCTCAAGCCTGTAATTCCAGCACTTTTGGAGGCTGAGGTGGGCAAATCCCTTGAGCCCAGGAGTTCGAGACCAGCCTGGGCAACATAGTGAGACCTTGCCTCTAAGAAGGAAGGAAGGAAGGAAGGAAGAAAGGAAGGAAGGGAGGGAGGGAGGGAGGGAGGGAGGGAAGAAGGGAGGGAGGGAGGTAAAGAGAAGAAAAGAAAAGAAGAAAGGAAGGAAGAAAGAAAAGGAAGGAAGGAAGGAGAGAAAGAAAGAAAGTTACCAATAAAGAAAGTCTTATATAACTTTTCCTTTGTCCTCCCAGGGGCAAATGTCATCATGAGTTTAGTTTTTATTTTTTCAGTCTAGGTTTTTATACTTTTATTACATTCATTCATTCAATAAATATATCCTGAGGGTGTGCTGCATGTTGGGCAGGATTCTCTGCCTTGCAGATACAGCAGGAAACCGAATTGTCAAAAACCCCTGCCCATGTGGAGCTTATTTCTTTGCAACATGATAATCAGTAAACATGCAAATATATGAAGTGTATATTATGTTAGACGGTGTTAAGTACCAAAGCAAAAAATAAAGTGAATAAAGAAGGGTTAGAGGAGCATAATGAAATGTTTGATACCATGGCCAAAGAATGCCTTTCCATCTGAATAAAGAAGGGAGAGAGAGAGTGAGTCCTGATCAAGGCTAAAGAGAGAACTCTCTAGGCATTGAGAAGAGCAAATGCAGAAGCCCTGGGTAGGAGCATTACCAGTGTGTTCAAGGATAGGCCAGGAGCCTGGTGTGACAAGTGAGCAAGCTGGTGTGCAGAAGGACAGGTAGGCAGAGAGCCAAGGGTGGCCTTCTACCCGATTCCAGTGACTCTGGATTTATTGTAAATAAATTTGTGTGGATAACATGTTCTTTTCATTTTGTAAAAAGTTCTTGGGTTGGAAACCCTATTGTGAAAAATTTTAAGAGAACAATATCGAAAACAAGGAGACCAGACTGAAGGCTATAAAATAATCTAGGCAAGAGGGGATCATTTCTTTGCCAAGCGTGCTAACAGTGGACATGATTTCTAGATGTGCATCAAAGGTGGAGCCAACAAGATTTATTTATAGATCAAATGTGGGATATGGAAACAAGAAATGAATACTCAATCATTGGGTTCCATTGGTCATGTGTCTTCAAAGAAGGAAAACAGAAGAATGGCAGAGATATGTCCTTTTCCTTAAAAAAAAAAGTGCGCGTGTGTGTATATATATATATATATACACACAGACACACATACATATATATATATCCAGTTCTATAGCAGCACTAAATGTTTATCATAAAAAAAGTTACAGCCAGGTGTCGGTCGCGGTGGCTCATGCCTGTAATCCCAGCACTTTGGGAGGCTGAGGTGGGCAGATAACCTGAGGTCAGGAGTTCGAGACCAGCCTGACCAACATGGTGAAACCCCATCTCTACTAAAATACAAAAATTAGCCAGGCGTGGTGGTGGGCACCTGTATTCTCAGCTACTTGGGAGGCTGAGGCAGGAGAATCGCTTGAACCTGGGAGGCACAGTTTGCAGTGAACCGAGATCACGCCATTGCACTCCAGCCTGGCAACACAGCGAGACTCTGTCTCAAAAAAAAAAAAAAAAAAAAGTTACAGCCAGGCACAGTGGCTCATACCTGTAATCCCAGCACTCTGGGAGGCCAAGGTGAACAGATCACCTGAGGCCAAGAGTTCAAGACCAGCCTGACCAATATGGTGAAACCCCATCTCTACTAAAAATACAAAACTTAGCCAGGTGTGGCGGTGTATGCCTGTAGTCCCAGCTACTTGGGAGGCTGAGACAGAGAATTGCTTGAACCTGGGAGGCGGAGGTTGCAGTGAGCCGACATTGGGCCACTGCACTCCAGCCTGGGTGACAGAGTGAGACTCTGTCTCAAAAAAAAAAAAAAAAAAAAAAAAAAAAAAAAAAGTTACAAAATATAGAGGCAATATACAAAGTAAAAATGTTTAAAAACAAAACTCTTCATAATCCCACTACCTGAATAACTACCATTGAGATGGATAGCTTGTGTTCACATATGTTGAAATTATACAGTGTATATATCATAATGTTTTACTTTTTGCACTTAAACCATTCTCACAGACATACAATGCTGAGAATTATAGTACTATTAGTTTTTCCATTTCAATTTATATTATTTTCTATGATAGTATGGGAACCTAACCAACATTTATGAGGTATTATTTTTCTAAAGTAAAATGTTTTCCAACTTCCAAGCTGCCAACTAATGAACTATTTAGAATACAACCCATTTCTAATGTAAAAGTTAATTTGAAAGATTGAGCCAATTGCAAGGTTGTATTAAAGGAAGAAAGCCAGTATTGGCTTAAAATCAACAACTGGATTGGCATGAAATCCACTAGAACTATTGAGTAGGAATTGAGCATTTTTTTTATTGTAGTCCTTTTTAAATGTGTCTTTTATATTCTCAGGAATTAACTAGTAAAGTAAAATGTCATTATATTATTCCTCTGATTATTTGGGAAATTAATTTCCTCACTAATAGCTTTCAAAGCATTTTACAAATATTTATCAAGAACCAATTTGTTTGCACTGACTTTTGAATCATATCAGACATCATAACCAATTTGCTTGTGAACTTTTCCATTATTATACCACGAAAATATTTTACAAAATAATGCCAATGTCAATATTTCTAAGAATCAAAGCTTTCCAGAAACTAAAAACAGGATTTTAATTTTTTCTTAATTTTGACAGAGAAATTCAATCTTTTCTTCCTGTGTTTTAGAAAAACAAATTTCAGTTGACAAGCTTAGGGACAAGGGCCCATATAAACAGTTAAAATTAGAAATGCTATGTTATTCAGTTTACTGATAGGGTAAACCAGATTCATTACAATAAATATATTCTCTCCTTTTCCAAATCCAGAAAGAAGTTTAAGGAGGCAGCTTCCAGAATCAGATGGCCAAAATTCCACCTCCATCATCATTTACAAACAATGTGGCCTTGGAGAAAGTTACTAGATTGTCCTGTGTCACAGTTTACTCTTCTGTAAAAAGGGAATCTTAAAGGCAGATACCTCATAGTTTTTGTGAAGAGTAAATGAGGTGGTTGAGTGACCGCTCACCAAGTGGCAGTGGTTGTTATTATTTTATTGATTCCAGTGCTTGGAAGCACTGGCCTGCCTACCTCCCAAAAGAGGGTGCAGCTGGCCTGGCTGGGAATGGTGGCTCATGCCTGAAATCCCAGCATTTCGGGAGGTCAAGGCAGGCAGATCACTTGAAGTCAAGAGTTCAAGACGAGCCTGGCCAACATGGCGAAAACTCGTCTCTACTAAAAACACAAAAATTAGCCAGCATGGTGACGTGCACCTGTAATCCCAGCTACTGGGGAGGCTGAGGCAGAAGAATAGCTTGAACCTGGGAAGAGGAGGTTGCACTGAGCTGAGATCATGCCACTGCATTCCAGCCTGGGCGACAGAATGAGACTCTGTCTCAAAAAAAAAAAAAGAAAAAAAAAAAAAAAAGAAAAGAAAAGAAAAAAAAAAGGTGCAGCTGTGTTTTCTGAGACGCAGGCCACCAAATGTCATTCAGTGAAATTACAGCCTTATCTACCCTCTTTGTTCCCACAAAAGAGAACAAAAATGAAGAAAAGGCAGTCATTTTAAACACTGTTTAGATTTATTCCTAAGAGCAGTTTCTCCTGGTTAATGTCTAAATTCTATGTAATATTTTAGAGGTAAAAGGAGAAGTAGGCAAAATGAAAAGATATAATCCCTCAGATAGCATGGGGCTATTGCTCTTACCCCCTTTACTCTTCAGGCATGATGTGTATTCAGTTAATTCACAGTCAAAAGGAGCAGATTTATCTGGACTATAAAATAATTGCCTCAAGTTTCTGCTTCATTTCATGAGCTGAAGATTTGACGCAAGAGACTTTTGCCTAAGAATGAGATATTCTTCCACTTTGAACATCAAACTAATAATCATTCCTCAGCCATATAGTCTCTCCCTCAGTAGTTTTAAGTTTTTGTTTTATCCACACTATTCCTTGGGTTTAATGAAAAGGTCATTCCAATATATATCCTTACATCATTGTTGAACAACTTAACAAAAAATATCATGATATATTTTTAAGTGAACTTTTAACACTGTAGGTAGTATCTGGTGATTGGGGGGAAAAATCATCAATGTTCTATATAAAGTCTCACTAAAAAGTCTTTTTCTTCCCTTTATTTTGCTTCCTGTAGGGACAAGACAAAGGCAGTCAGTTTCCTGTTACCCATGGACATGTCTTCATATTCCAAAAATTCAAGTTCTTTGAAACACTCACCAAATCAGGCCACAAACCAGCTAAGTATCATTGCAGAATAGGATATGTGAAGTGATTAAATGTAAGAAACAGTTGATTCTCAAGAGATGGCAGCACCAAGGTCTAGCTGGGTCAGTGTCTTTCCCTATAAAGAAGTCTGGCAAGATGTCCAGTAAGACACACAAAATATTTGGTATTGGGTCCATAGACCTGTTTGGCCAAGGAGTGGAAGCAATTATTTTTTGTCATTGCTGAGCACTAATGACTGGTATGTGTGCAGTGGCTATTGTAGACTATATGACATGTGAGTAATTAAATGTGATTATATGCTAAGTGTCAGTGTCTGTACTATGCCATCAAGAAATGCTTCTGTTCACTTTCCAGATGAAGCTAGAACAAGCCTAGAAAAAAAGTTCTGGTTTTGATTAGTGGCATAAAAGCAACTATCCTTTGTTTTCTGTGACATAAGTGTGATTCTCCTTTTAGTTCACTGTGTGTTGATATTTCACTGACACTAGCTCATTTGTTCTTTAAGAGCCTGTGTCACAGGCGTGTGAGCTCAAACACAGCAACATCCATAGTTTACATTGTGGACTCAGAGCAATTGTGAGCTGACTAAGGGCAAGCACACTAAACCTGATTGGAAGGAGAGAAAAAATGGTTCTGCTCATCACTACTCAAGGAATGGAAGTTCTCACAACTCCCCCAATTCCTGAACTTCTAGTTAACAGAATAGCTCCTCTTCCTGTTTATAGCAATTGAGTTTCTGATACAAATACCCTTCTTAAACAAAGATCGTATTGTATTAGAATATCCAGATTATTAAAATGCAGATTCCTGGGCCTCACCCCAGACCTATTAGATTGATTGGGGGAGCTGGGGAAGGCAGAAAGAAGAAGTGAAATTCACGTTTTAAATGAGCTTTCCAAGGTGACTCCCGCCATACAGCTGTGCTTGTGATCTACTGTTGTAAATACCAAGAAACATGGTCCAGGACCCTCTGATCCTGCACCAAGTAGAAGCAGTGAAGCAAAGAAAGGATAGGAATGGTTCATACCATTTCTAAGAATAAATTGTAATAGTCACAGGCTTCTAGAAAAGACAGAAATAAAGCAACCAACACCCTGTGGTAAAAGTCATGTAATAAAATTAAATGCTTCTTTTATTTATGGCATTCATTGAATATTAACAAGATTCCTAACATTATAACAGATATACAATAGGGCAAGGTTACAACTGGAGGGGAAAGATGCAAACTGGATGTGAAAATACACTCCTCTGGGAATAAAGACCCACACTGAGTAGATAATTAAGCTATTACCCATGAGATAGTTGGCATTTTTAGTTTATGCACAATTATATTCTTTGCATATCTATAAAATTGGGAATTTCACCTTAACCTCAGTTAAAAAGAAACATTCCCCAAACAGTAAAACTTTTTTAAAGCAATACATGACAACTATGCAAGTTGTAATGTCGTAACTGGCCAAGCTAATATGACAAATATCCCCAACACTAAGCTCAATGAGTATGTAACTGACATTTGATCCATGTTCGATGAGCTGAACAGTTACATGAATCTATCAGTTTCCAGTAAAAAAAACCACCACACTATAAAATGTTAAGCTTTAAAATTAAATCATTTAACATAGGATTAAAGAAATAGGCCAGGTGCGGTGGCTCACGCCTGTAATCCCAGAACTTTGGGAGACCGAGGCAGGTGGATCATGAGGTCAGGAGATCAAGACCATCCTGGCTAACACGGTGAAACCCCGTCTCTACTAAAAACACAAAAAATTAGCCAGGCGTGGTGGCGTGCGCCTGTAGTCCCAGCTACTCAGGAGGCTGAGGCAGGAGAATGGCATGAACCCGGGAGGCGGAGCTTGCAGTGAGCTGAGATCACGCCACTGCACTCCAGCCTGGGTGACACAGCAAGACTCTGTCTCAAAAAAAAAAAAAAAAGAAAGAAAAAGAAACAACGCTCTATCTCTGTTCCCCGGCTGGATATAGTGCTTAATAATAAGCCCTTGGAGCATATTTTTAAACATAATGAATTACAAAGAACATGAAATGCATCTTGGTCATGCTCTGATCAACTAGTTATGTTTGTCTTCTTCTACGCCCAAAACTTCCACTGGTATGTATGAAACTAAGTCAGGAACTCAAATGCCTAGCAGTGACAGGAAAGTAACAACAATGAGTGAAGATTCTGGAGAGCAGACATGTATATGCTCCATCTAAGAAGAGCCACTGTTACCCACCTTCATAGTGCCATATGGCAAAGCAGACATAGTATTGCCATATGGCCTATTTTTCAAGATACATTAATATCTGGGTTTTTATGCAAAATTTCCTGATTCATAAATATTGGCAATGTGCTCAGTTTTTTAAACACTGTGAAAACCAAACACAATGTATCTAGGGGCCAGATCTAGCCCCTAGCACAAGGGTCCCCAACATTTTTGGCACCAGGGACCAGTTTCATGGAAGACAATTTTTCTATGGATGGCGGAGACAGGCAGAGGGGTTGGTTTGGGGATGAAATTGTTCCATCTCAGATCATCAGACATTAGATTCTCATAAGGAGCATGCAGCCTAGATCCCTTACATTTGCACTTCCAGTGGTCCTATGAGAATCTAATGCTGCTGCTGATCTGACAGGAGGCGGAGCTTAGGCAGTAATGTTCACTCACCTGCTGCTCACCTCCTGCTGTGCAGTCAGGTTCCTAAAAGGCCACGGACCAGTACCAGTCAGTGGCCTAGAGGTTGGGGACCCCTGCCCTAAGATACCAGATTTTGATCTCTGACTTAAACGCAATTTCCTAAACATAGAGATCCAGAACAAGAAAGGGGATGTGGAAAGTTACACTTTGGAAAATGAAAAAGGGAAGAGGAAGTCTGAGGATGGGAAAAGAGAATAAGAGGGTCGTATAAGAAGTGACATCTACGTGGATAAAAAGGCTAAAGTTCCACATCTTCACGAAAATGTAGCCTAACCCAGAGTCAAGACATATTTGCCACAGAACTAAAACATAATGTTAGAAAGTATGAGCATATTTTGTTTTAAAACTTTTTTCAAAATATATTTTTGTCTACTTTATGGTTTTCACTTGTACAGTTATCTTGCAAGGAAAACAATACATAAACAAAAACAATCACTCTGGCAGATTTTTCTTCTTCTTCTTTTTTTTTTTTTTTTTGAGACAGTCTCACGCTATCACCCAGACTGGAGTGCAGTGGCACAATCTCAGCTCACTGCAACCTCCGCCTCCCAGGTTCAAGTGATTCTCCTGCCTCAGCCTCCCAAGTAGCTGGGGTTACAGGTGCCCACTACCACACCCAGCTAATTTTTGTATTTTTAGTGGGGTTTTGCCATGTTGGCCAGGCTAGTTTAGAACTCCTGACCTCAGGTGAACCACCGACCTCGGCCTCCCAAAGTGCTGGGATTACCGGCATGAGCCACCATGCCCAGCTGATTTTTCTTCCTTTTGATGGGGAAAGGAGATTCCAAAATCAAAAAATCATAAAATATTCCTGCAAAATTCTAGTTCCAGGCCATAATTTCATAGACTAAGAATAGCTCACGGTGGTTGTGCCACTAACTTGACATGGTTAGTTTGTAGCACAGCCAAAACTGGAGCTTATATTTCCTGATTCCTTCTGTAAGAGTTCCATGCTGTCCCCTAAATGTATGACACTAAGTGAGTTATCAAATTTAAATGTTTGTAATTTGAGGCATTCTCAAAAGTGAAGATGATCTCAATGTTCTCAGTGTTTGGGGTGGTTGTATTCGTTTGTTTTCACATTGCTATAAAGAAATACCTGACTATGTAATTTATAAAGGAAAGAGGTTTAATTGACTCACAGTTCCACATGGCTGGGGAGGCCTCAGGCAACCTACAATCATGGCAGAAGGTGAAGGGGAAGCAAAGACCTTCTTCACATGGCGGCAGGAGAGAAAAGTGAAGGAGGAACTTCCAAACACTTATAAAACCATCAGCTCTCAAGAGAACTCACTCACTATCATGAGAACAACAGAGGGGAAACTGCCCCCATGATCCAATCACTGCCCTCCTTCAACTAGTGGGAATTACAGGTCCCTCCCTTGACACGTGGGGATTATAATTCGAGATGAGATTCGGGTGGGGACACAGAGCCAAACCATATCAGGGGTATTTAAAGATCAAATAAGATCATGAAGGTCAATATGTTGCATAAAGCACTAAATAAATGCAAGATACTGTTATTTTGTTCCATTCAAAACATAGACTCCCAACATATGCCTAATTTAAGTCAAGGTGTTAAACTGATAAAATTTAGATATGAAATTTCTAGCTGTTGTTTTTTTCTAGCTTTTGATTTTCTCTAGGTTGAACTGAAGAGTGATCAGCTAATAGTTGGACAGCAAGACACTTCCCTAGTGCTGGGTCAAGAGCTTCACCTGTAAAGAAGAGTAAGATAGAAAAGAAAAAGACAAAGAAGAAGGGGGAGGAAGACTCCATGATGAACTCTTGATGGTCAAAAACACTACCAATAATGGTACAAATTAATAATCCTGTGGGAGATGAAAACTAGGGGTTAGCAAATACATCCAACTATTTATTGTCAAGTACAACACTGTCTGCCACCGCTATCTGCTTTCATAAATATGGCCTCCAGCAAATTTCCTTGAACAAATGAGCATACTGATACAAAGGAAGCCTAAACAATGTGTTCAGGACTAACTGGCAAGCTCTGGCAATTTTTCTAGCACCCCAGTTCTGTCTGTTCTCATTGCCTTGAGCTACAGCTGCTCTCTACAGTTAGAACCTACAATAAACTTAACCAGAGACAGCTGTGTACAGGGAAAATGTGAAACATAATGGAGTTCATTTTATTTCTAGGTCCAAATTCTAGTTTATCCTCTAGAAAATAAATCTTTGTAACCTCTAAGAATCCTGGAAGGCACAAACATTGAGCTTGATAGTTTTAGCCACCAAAATTAAAGGCAAAATACAGTAGTACCTGCTGATTATGGAAAACACCATTCACAGAACTTAAAGGACAATAAAACCATCTGGGGAAGAAAAGGTATGTTATTCCAGTCAACAATCTTCAATCATATTCCTTTCTCAAGAGACTTGAGTTCTGCCACCTGCTGCAATACTTAATTTTTAAATATCAATGCAGGAGAATGTTCATTTAATCAAGCTATGTTTTTAAAAGCATATTAACAGCATTTGGAATGACCTGGATGAGATTAGAGACTATTATTCTAAGTGAAGTAACTCAGGAATGGAAATCCAAACATCATATGTTCTCACTGATATGTGGGAGCTAAGCTATGAGGACACAAAGGCATAAGAATGATAAAATAGACTTTAGGGACTTGGGGGGAAGAGTGGGAG
Organism: Homo sapiens; assembly: GCF_000001405.40. Lineage (NCBI taxonomy): Eukaryota > Metazoa > Chordata > Mammalia > Primates > Hominidae > Homo > Homo sapiens. Next base: position 224,698,438 of record NC_000002.12, on the reverse strand, counting down.
GAGGCAAGGGACAAAAGACAACAAATATGGTGCAGTGTACACTGCTCGGGTGATGGGTGCACCAGGATGTCACAAATCTCCACTAAAGAGCTTACTCATGTAACCAAATACCACCTGTACCCCAATAACTTATGGAAAAATAAAATTTTTCAAAAAGCATATATAGTTGGAGAATATGCTTTTTCATACAAGAATGAATAAAAGACCTGTTTTGGCTTTTTTTATTGTTTCTATCTTTAACATTAGTGCTGCCAGACAGTCAAAATATTTCATGACTACAATCATCTGCTAACAATTCCTTTTCTAAAAAGTGACACAAGAAAGACTGAGTTAATCCAATCTCATACATACACATTTAATAGTTTGGCATGATTAAAACTACCTTAAAAATTGAACTGGAAACCCCATTCACCCTCAACTCAGAGAAAGATTAAACTTGTTCCCATCTGGGTTTTCCTAAAAGGTAATTCTCTGTGGAAGTCAGATTTTCAGTCAGGAAATAGCAGCTCTTTCTTCCTTTTTCTTTCACTAGAATATCTCCTCTTTCAGTCACTTCAGAATTCTTATACTGGGTATGTTTCTATCTAAGAACCAATGAAAAGTCTGTACCTAACAATGCTAAATTCATCCTGTCATTTGCTCAATGCCCTTTTGGGAAAACCACGTACACATTCACTTTTGTTAAGAGCATCCCAAGAAACAGAGCAACCCTCTTCTTTAAGGAACACAGTTATCACTCATGGTTTCACTCATTCATGAAGATTGTCCCCAGTTCTACTCAGAATTAATTCTCAAGCCCACACACTTCTTTCTTCCTCTTCTTCCCTGGCCTTGAGGAGTTTTAATTTATACACAGTTACCTCCAACCAGGAACTCACTGCTGATGGAAAGATGACGGAACAACCAAGACTTGCTAAGAAGGAGAAAACTTCACTCTCCAAAATATCCAGAAGACCCTTTGATTTTGAAGCACATTTTGTCCAACAAATCCAGTTATTTAATATAAAAGAGCATTCAGCATTGCAGAGTAGGAAGGTGAGTAAATAACCCAGAAGCAGATAAGTCTTTGGTTCAGTTGTTACACCATTTAATATACTAGAAAGTGTAATTTGCTCAATGGCTCATGGTCACATGTAACAGTTAAATGGGCACACAAGAAGTAAACGAATCACTCCCTTCTTAATTACATCATCTTATCTACTATGTGGATGATATTACACTGTCCACCCAAACTGTGACCCTTTTCATCTCTGCCATGACCTTTAGTTATAGGCCTGACTGGATTAATTATGTGAGAACTTGTCACTACATCATCACACATAGAATCTTCTTTTTCTCTTTTTTTTTCTTTTTTTTTTTTTTTTTGAGACGGAGTCTCGCTCTATCGCCCAGGCTGGAGTGCAGTGGCACGATCTCGGCTCACTGCAAGCTCTGCTTCCTGGGTTCACACCATTCTCCTGCCTCAGCCTCCTGAGTAACTGGGACTACAGGCTCCTGCCACTACGCCCAGCTAATTTTTTGTATTTTTTTTTTTTTTTTTTTTTAGTAGAGACAGGGTTTCACTGTGTTAGCCAGATGGTCTCCATCTCCTGACCTCGTGGTCCACCCACCTCGGCCGCCCAAAGTGCTGGGATTACAGGCATGAGCCACCGTGCTCGGCCCTTTTTCTGTTAGAACAGGAACTCCCCTCATATCAAATCTGCTCTCTGAAACCAACTAATTCAAGTGTTCCTCCCAAATACTTGCTCCTTCCCTTCCACAAGTGCTTTACACTTTTAGAGCTGCATTGATGATTAGTCCAAATCCCAAGAATTTAGCATTTAAAGAACCTCTTCAAGAAACTCTTCTAAGAAAAACTAGCTCTCTGAACACTGGAGCTCCATGACCAGAAAGTACCTCAACCCTCCCAGCTTTCTCTTCTCAATCTCTGAAACTTCACATAAAGCTGCGGTTCTCAATCTTGGCTGCAAAATAAAACAAATTGGGGAGAACTAAAAAAATCCCACTGCCCAGGCTGTAACCAAGACAACTTACATCAGCATCCCTTGGGGTGGAGCTTGGCATCAGTGTCCTTTAAAGTTCCCCTTCACCCACTATGATGCCAATGTACACGCAGGCTGAGAATCACTCTTGTAAAGCTGAGGGGTTACTAACATCAGCCCTGCTTGTTATCCATCTTAAAGCAGGAAGTGCATAGGCCTTGAAATCAGACGGTCCTGGGCTCTAACACCTACACACCCATGTGACCTTAAGCAACATGACCTGGCCTCTTTAAGTCTCGCCCTCTCATCTGTTAAGAGGAGATATACTGACATTCTCTGACATAAAAATTTAATGAGGTAAATGATGCAAAGCACTTACTATGATATACTTAGTTCCCAGTAAGCACTCAAGAAATAGTAGTAATAGTCCAGGCGTGGTGGTTCACGCCTGTAATCCCAGCACTTTGGGAGGCCAAGGCGGGCAGATCACGAGGTCAGGAGATTGAGACCATCCTGGCTAACACGGTGAAACCCTGTCTCTACTAAAAATACAAAAAATTAGCCAGGTATGGTAGCACACACCTATAGTCCCAGCTACTCGGGAGGCTGAGGCAGGAGAATCGCTTGAACCTGGGAGGCAGAGGTTGCAGTGAGCCAGGATCGCACCATTGCACTCCAGCCTGGGCGACAGAGCGAGACTCCGTCCCAAAAAAAAAAAAGGAAAAAGAAAAGAAATAGTAGTAGTAGTAGTAGTAGTAGTAGTAGTAGTAGCAGTAGTAGTAATAGTAATAGTAGCAGTAGTAGTAATAGTATTAGTAGTAGTAATAGTAGTAGTAGTAGTAGAAGCAGTAGTATTAACATTGTATATAAGACATGGTTTTTGCCTTCAAAGAAAATTAAAGTGGGCGTTCATTTTGATCCCACATCCTGCAAGGGAGTTAGTGGCAGAACTTGTCCCAGAAACCCCATGTCCTGACTCATGGTCCGATGCCCTTCCCGTGGCATCACACTTCGGCCCTCAGTGAATTCAGCCCTCGTGTTACTGTTCAGTGGCTGCAGAAGATGTATGCAGTACATGAGAATGAACATGGCCCCAAAGTTCCTTCCCATAAGAAATATTGTTATAAATTTATGCTGTAAATATAACACTTAAGAATTTATTTTTGTGTTTGTTTGTTTGAAGACTGGAGCAACTTCAAAAGGTTTCAATTAACTCCAAGCCATTTCTCATCAGTTGCATTCCTACTGCAAAGGACCTCCCCAAGACAGCAGTGTCAATTATAGAGCCACTGAACTGCAGTGGAAATCTTGGTAGAGTAGCAACCACCCTTGTGAAGATTTCCAACCCAATCCCTACACATGCTCCCCCATGCTGGCGAACCATGGCATCATTTTGCTGCTGCCAGGGCCCAGAGCAAAACTGTGTAATTAACTGAATAAGCTGATAAATTGAACAGGTTAATGAAATCTATATTAGAGAACAAAAATTACTCTGAGAAAGTATTGCTTATTGGCAAATAAGTATATTTGGTCATTTTAGAAGGAGGTTTGCATTCAGAGCTTTCCAAAGAAGATTACAGGCCTTTAAAGCAACGGGTATTTTCATAACTACTCACTGATAAGTACTTGGACTGAATTTTGCTTGGAATCCTATGACTCTTTATGCAAGATTCTTTATTAACTGTGTCTTCAAATACTCAATATACCTCTTCTCAAAAAACACTCCAGTTAGATTACCCTGTATGCCAACTCTTATCTTTATCAAACGTGACAAGAATAGTCAGAGATTCAAAGGTCACTTGCCTGTTCAACATTATGTCTCAACATCTATACAACCCTTTGCAATGTCTCCTTTAGTTATCCTGATTTGCAGTTCAATATAAAGAATGGAGGACACACGGGACAAAATATATTCTACTGTTATGATAAAGTGTTACTTATTACTGTAAATAAACACAACGCCCATTCCCCCTTCCTGACTGGTGACACGTGAGATGTGATGCTTGGAACCAGGCAGCAATCATGTCACCATGAGGAAATTAGTCTGAAAACAAAAGCAAAAACCACACTGAGGATGTCAAAGAGAAAACTGTTAAAGAACCTGGGATTTTAAATATGTCATTGAGCTGCTGAATTCACTAACCCATAAAAACATCCTACCTCCTACCATCACTCTGATGTTCTCTGGGAAATCTTCATCAGTTTTCTGTTGTTGTTACAACAAATCACCACAAACTTAGTGGCATAAAGCCATACATATGTGTTATCTTACAGTTCTGGAGGCCAGATGTCCTGAAATCAAGGTGTCTTCAGGGCTGTGTTGCTTCTGGAAGCTTCAGGAGAGAATCTGTTTCCTTGCCCTTGCCAGCTTCTAAAGGCTGCCTGCGGTCCTTGGCTCATGGCTCCTACCTCTATCTTTAAGCCAGCAACATAACATCTTCAAATCTCAATCTCTATCTCTCTCTCTCTCACACACACACACACACACACACACATACACACACAAACACACACACACACACACACACACGCTTCCATCATTACATCTTCTCTGACTCTGACTCCTTTATCTCCCTCTTTGACTTACAAGGATCTTTGTGATTGCATCAGGCCCACTCAGATCACCCAGGATAGTCTTCCCATCTCAAGAGCCTTAGCTTGATCACATTTGTAAAATTCTCTTGCCTTGGAAGGTGACATAGACACAGGTTTCAGGGATTAGGACATGGACACCTTTGAGTGGGGAAGGGGGATCAATATTCAGCCTTCCAGAGATATCGAGGCAGGGTGGATTTCTTCAGATTGTATCGTGACAGAGAGCAAATATTGATGTCTCTTCCATGTGAATGAAAATTGTTCCTGGTCTTCATCATGACAGAGATACAGTCTTTTGTAATTGGGCTGCAAAGAAATGCATTTGCCAAATCCATGACCACTTATCAGAAACTTGAGGTCAAATTATTTAATAATTTGTTCCGGCAAAAATACCTTATCTTACTTTCTGTCATTTATAGCTATCCTCCAGGATCCCTTGACTTTCTTTGGGGTCTATGTTGGTGAACTGAATGGAGACATGATGGGGACCACCAGCTCCATATCCATTGTATCCTTAAGGGTGGCTCTAATCTCTCTGTGCCTCCTAGGATGAAATGTTATTTTTACTTACGATCTTGTCCAGGGATTGAGAGAGAGTTTCAGAGGCTCCTACTTGAATAGGATAGATATAACTCAGATCAAGGAGCCAGTATGAGGGCACAGTTGAAGGAAAGAAGACAGGAATGTGTGGGTGATATTAGACTTCTCCCTGTAAAGAGAAAAATAAAATGTAGAATCTTTGTGAGAAAAGAGTGTTTATAGTAAATACAGAAGTCTCACATGTGAAAAGAAATAATCTCAATAGAGCTATTTTTTAATACTAGAAAAGACAGCTCATGTCTAAAAAAATAGAACATCAATAATTCCAGAAGAAAAAACAATAAGCAAGTTTAAAGTTTATCATAACAAAGAAAACTGCAGCTACTTTACTTGAGGTAAGTTTAAAGTTTATCAGAGCAGAAAAAGCCACAGCTACTTTACCTAAATGCAACTATGGGGAAGAAAAGGGGGAAAAAACATGCAAGTGTAAGGGTATAGGAAGAAGGAAAATTACCTGACTTTTTCTGTACTTTTATTTACCCTACTTTTATTTTCACAGGACTCAAATCATGTATTTAAAAAGACTCACACATTCGGTACCCATCATAGTATAACAGCTAAGATGATTAGCATGCTCGGTTCCAGCGTCCAGTCATATTGCACCACAGAAAGCTCTATAGTGGATCAATTGCTGCTGTGCAGTCCCTAATATTTGGTCTTTATTGAAGTTTATTGATAAAGCTGGCGCACTCTTTATTTTTTTTATTTTTTATTTCCACAGGTTTTTGGGGAACAGGTGGTGTTTGGTTACATGAGTAACTTCTTTAATGGTGATTTCTGAATTTTGGTACACCTATCACCCAAGAAGTATACACTGAATCCAATTTGTAGTTTTTTATCCCTCACCTGCTTCCCACCCTTTCCTCCTGAGTCCCCAAAGTCCATTATATCATTCTTATGCCTTTGCATCCTCACAGCTTAGCTCCCACTTATAAGTGGGAACATATGATGTTTGGTTTTCCATTCCTGAGTTACTTCACTTAGAATAATAGTCTCAAATCCCATCTAGGTTGCTGCAAATGCCATTAATTCATTCATTTTCATGGCTGAGTAGTATTCTATTATATATAATAATTATATATAATATATATATATATATATATGTATGTATGTATATGTGCCACAGTTTCTTTATCCACTCATTGATTGATGGGCATTTGGGCTGGTTCCACATTTTTGCAATTGCAAATTTGTTCTTCGTTATTATCCAGATTATATAAAGCACTTGGATTGTTATTGTCTAAAGTGAAAGAATTACCTTGAATCTCTCCTGTTTATGAATGGTAGCACGCTCTGATTTCATTCAGCACTGTGGTCTGTGCCAGTGTTTAGCACTTATTTACTGCCAGGTGGCAGGAATCATTTTTATATCATTATTATTGCTTTGAATCTTCTACCCCAGTTAGCCCAGTGTCTTGCATATAGAAGTGTTGAATAAATAGTTTTCAGTTGGCAAGTTAACAACTTGTAATCTAGGAGTATTTTACAATCTATGTGTCCCTCAAGTGACTCATAGACAATGTTGATAGAGAAACACGCATAGTTTTGCTTCTATCATAAACAAAAAACATTGGGCCGTTTTTAAATTACATTTCACCTTTCTGAGCACACTCTAACCTGAGTGAATTGTATGAGAGTGTGTAAGGGGATACACAGAGTGAGTAAACATGTGTGAGGTTGAATTTAGATGTGAGAGAACATTAATGACTGAAAATCACTCAGGGCAGGCCTCAAGGTCAGTGCCCCTAGTCAAGATCAGATACTTCGTAAGATTTCACAACTCCTCTTTTCATACCCATCACAGTATATTGTGTCGCTCATTTCCATGTCTTCCTCCCAAAGCCATCTAGGTTGATGGGATGTCTGGTCATTTTTCTACTCCTAAAACCTTATTCAGGGTATTTGCTCAATACATGTTAAATAAATGAGTGAATACATGTTAAACAAATGAGTGAATTAATGGTTGAAATAGTGGTGGGGATGCAGAGTAGTCACTTGATTTGGAATAAGAAACCATTGTAAGAACTCTAAGTGAGTGTTATAGTGAATGTAAAACTTTGAAACTGGACAGACCAAGCTCTTCATGTAACGTCAGATTTGAGGAAAGTGCCTTGATTTCTCTGAGGCTGTTTCCTCCTCTGTTAAATAAATATTGAAGAAAAAAAGGGCTGTTTCAGATATAAAATAGGTATACAAAGAACAAAGGGCACTGGCCAGATTGAAGGTGATTTCCCACACATGTTTGTTGCCATTATTCTTTAGACAATCTGGGCGTTTTTTAAGTTGAAGACTATTGTTAGAAATGTGTGAAAGGTTTACTTGGAACACACACACACACACACACACACACACACACACAGAAAAAAAGCCAAATCACTTCTCTATGTAATATTTATAGGGTAATCTTTTTTTGTCTTTTTTAGGTTTGTTTTTTTTGAGATGGAGACTTGCTCTGTCGCCCAGGCTGGAGTGCAGTGATGCAATCTCGGCTCACTGCAACCTCCACCTCCCAGGTTCAAGTAATCCTGCCTCAGCCTCCTGAGTAGCTGGGACGATAGGCTCATGCCACCACACAGCTAATTTTTGTATTTTGAGTGGAGATGGGGTTTCACCATGTTGGCTAGGGTGATCTCAAATTCCTGACCTCAAGTCATCTGCCAGCCTTGGCCTCCCAAAGTGTGGGAATTATAGACATGAGCCACTATGCTTGGCCTACATAATATTTATATATACAGGGTTTTAGGAGGTGGGAGTAATTTTTTTTTTTTTTTGACAGAGTCTCGCTCTGTCGCCCAGGCTGGAGTGCAGTGGCGCAATCTCGGCTCACTGCAAGATCCACCTCCTGGGTTCACGCCATTCTCCTGCTTCAGCCTCCTGCGTAGCTGGGACTACAGGCACCTGCCACCATGCCTGGCTAATTTTTTGTATTTTTAGTAGAGATGACGTTTCACCATGTTAGCCAGGATGGTCTCGATCTCTTGACCTCGTGATCCGCCCTCCTCAGCCTCCCAAAGTGCTGGGATTACAGGCATGAGCCACTGTGCCCGGTGGCTTAAAGGTCTTTTAAGGCCAGTGTGCCTGATCCCCTTGTAAATACTGTTAAAAATATCCTGAAAGGAAACTGGGCTTAGTCTCTATATGCTTGAATTTTCTGGCTTTGAGAAAATCTTAAAAGAGAAACAATCTCAAAAATGTATTGTTCTCATTTTAAATATTCAAACAGTTTTTCCGGACAATGTTATCTTTTTTCATCAAAATATCAGCTTTAGTCATAAAAAGTCATGATTGGCAGATTCAATTTAAAAGGCAAAATTTTAACTCCAGGTACCCACCTCCAGGAGAATGGCTAGAGACAGAAGCTATTCTATCAAAGCTGGATATTGGACTTGACCCCAGTGATAGATTCAGAGCCTTTAATTCAGTAGCCATCACCACAGCGGGGACAACTTCCCTTCCCTCCAGTCATCCACAACAAAAGGCCCTATGATTATAATGGGCCCAGAGAAACCTCTGCCAATACCAGAAAAATTCCCCACACCCTTTAACCCTGTAATTACAGGTCTAGGAATTTATCCTGAGGCGGCAATCAGAGCTATGCAAAAGCAAAAAAAAAAAAAAATGTACACAGATACTCATTGTGGTGTTATTTTACAAGAGCAAAAATGTAGCCTTCCTGCCCAAAAATTTGGGGGTATGATTTTATAGTTTTTGGAGAATATTTCATGAATATGTGGAAATACATGGAAATGTTCACATGACATATTAAACTGAAATGGTACAAAGTAAAGCATGTAACACTATTTTGTTATTTTAAAAAACACAACTAATGTCTATGAGTATATATGCACAAAGGATAAAAAGATCAAATCCCCAAAGTGCTCATCTCTGAAAGGTAGAATTATGAGTAAATTATTTTCTTCTTCACCCTTTTCTTTATCTCCCAGATTTTCCACAGTGAACTTTTATAATCAGTGGGGAATGTTACTGATTTCACAGAAAAACAACCCAGAGCTTCTGATGTGCTGACAGAGTAAGCCAGTGGCATCATCTTCATGCGTGAATAGCTACAGAGGTCACACACTCCAGGGACTCTCAGTTTTGGCTGGGTTGCTTCTCTCCAGACTCTAGCATCAACCTTCTCTCAGTAAAAAAAAAAAAAAAAAAAAAAAAATGGACACACACACACACACACACATATTGTCTTTATCTCAGTAAAAAAAATTATATACGTATATATGATACATTATGTTATATATGTTATATATGTGTATATATACGATATTATAATATATATATATATATATATATATATATATATATATATATATATATATATATATATATAATGTTATTGGCCAGGCATCATGGCTCACGCCTGTAATCCCAACACTTTGGGAGGCCAAGGTGGGCAGATCACTTGAGGCCAGGAGTTGGAGACCAGCCTGGGCAACATGGCGAAACCCCATCTCTACCAAAAATACAAAAAATTAGCCAGGCAGGTGGTGCACGCTTGTAGTCCAAGCTACTCAGGAGGCTGAGGTGGGAGGATGGCTTGAACCTGGGATGCAGAAGCTCCAGTGAGCCAGGATCCCCTCACTGCACTCCAGCCTGGGCCAGCCTGGGTGACAGAACAAGACTCCATCTCAAAAACAAAAACAAACAAACAAACAAAATGTGTATATATAGTGTTATCATATACATATAATATAAATTAAAATATTGGTAATTAACAAACCTCTGAATTTCAGATATAGAGGAAATTACTTCAGGATGTCTGCCTCACTCTGGACAGGTGACAAAAGAATTCAGTTCCGTGTTCATCATGTCAGTAAACAGAGCTTTGCTTCCCATAAGTGTTCCTTTAGCTACACTGTATATAACAACTTTTCAAAAATTCAGTGTCACACGGAGACACCGTGATTTGACTATCCTCTAGTTAAAAGATTTCTCTATAGTATGACACTACCACTTAGTTGGAACCTTGACTTGCAATGATAGAGTTCTAAGTTATCTGAGAAACAATTTTTTTTAATTTATGGTTATCACTAAAATATATATGAGGTTGACAATATAGAATTTGTTATTACTATGTTTATTTATATATATATACATATATATATACACAAATATATATATACGAATATATATATATATATATATTTTTTTTTTTTTTTTGAGAAGGGTCTCATTCTGTTGCCCAGGCTGAAATGCAGTGGCGTGATCACAGCTCACTGCAGCCTCGACCTCCCGGGCTCATTTGAGCCCCATGCCTCAGCTTCTCGAGTAGCTGGGACCACAGGTACACGCCACCATGCCCAACTAGTATTTGTATTTTTTGTAGAGAGCGAATTTCACCATGTTGCCCAGGCTTAAGTGATCCATCCACCTCAGTGCCCCCAAAGTGCTGGGGTTACAGGTGTGAGTCACCACACTGGCCTATGTTAATTTCTAATAGATTTCACATATTGTTATTATTGCCATCTTCTCTCCTCAGATCAACTCATATTTATTAAATAGAAGACAGCAGAATGAACAGAATTCCAGGTCATGGCAATCCCTCCACCTGGCTGGGCCTCAAATTTCCCATCTGTGAAAGAGGGATGTGGACTGCTACAACTGAGGGACTTCTCATCACTGACATTCTATAAGTCTATAACTGTTGCTACAAACTTGTTATCTATTTTAGCAGAAAAGACAGATATAAGAGTAAATATGAAGCTGTATGTCTAGAACCTAAAAGAGATCAGGATGGGCTCGCACGAAACTTGGCTATGAACCTACAAAAATCCCCTTAGAAGATCAGTGGGAACTCTCAACAGGTTTCTATGTTGGTTTAATGGATTTAACATCGGGAATTTCTCAGGGATGTCAGTGGAAGTGAGGGATGATGTTCCACAGACAGCTGGTTCTCGTTATTAACTGTGGTTATGTTCTATAAAGCCACTGTGAACAATGAATTAGTGAATACTGAACCATCACCTTGAGGGAAACACAGGGTTAGGATCCTGTGAGCCTCTGGTATCCATTTCATCAACTGATCCATAGAGAAGCTTGTTGTATGTGTGCTTCTGCTTAAAAACACTTTATTTAATATATATTGGGATTCATTAACATTAAACTCACTGACAACAACATTATAACTCATGTCTGAAAGAAGCTTATCAAACACTTGTATTTTCTCTGGCAGGTATGTCACAGCCCTCTTGCACTTAGAAACACTAGACAGCCCTTCATCCCTATGGCTGTGGACATTTTAAAGGGCAAAATCACCAACAAAAAGAAGAAAAATTCAAAAAAAAAATGTGGTACTAAGACGGTGAGAACAATACTTGTTTGCAACAAGAGAGCTGAAACAAAATTGCCAAAAGAGTAGATTTTGTGTTTTCATGACAAAAAAAAAAGTATACAAGGCAATACATATATTAATTAGCTTGATTTAGCCATTCTACAATGAATACATATATCAAAACACCATGTGGTGCTTTGTGTATAAATATACACATTTTGTATCTGTTAATTTTTAAAAGTTTTTGTTTGTTTGTTTGTTTTTGAGATGGAGTCCCACTCTGCTTCCCAGGCTGGAGTGCAATGGCACAATCTCGGCTCACTACAACCTCCGCTTACTGGGTTCAAGTGATTCTCCTGCCTCAGCCTCCTGAGTAGCTGGGATTACAGGTGCCCACCACCATGACAGGCTAATTTTTGTATTTTTAGCAGGGACAGGGTTTCACCATGTTGGCCAGGATGGTCTCAAACACCTGATCTCAGGTGATCCACCCACCTCGGCCTCCCAAAGTGCTGGGATTACAGATGTGAGCCACTGTGCCTGGCCAATTTTTAAAAGTTATAAAAAGAAAAACTATGCTGGGTGACAGAGGAAGACTCCATCTCAAAAAAAAAAAGAAAAAGAAAAAGAAAAGAAAACCCATCCATCGAAAACTAAAAATCATTGTCATCAATGGTTTTCATAAACCTAAATAAGTGGATTTGTAAACAAAAAAAGTAAAAGAAGAATGCAGAAGGCAGAGCATCAGTTTTAGGAAGACTCAAATTTTTCACCATGCTGCATGCGTCCACAAATGACTACGAAAGTGCAACAAGTATTGATTTTGGGGGTTCAAATAAATGTTAGTGAGTAGGTGAATTCACAACTACAAAATCCATGAATAATAAGGATCAACTGCATTTGTCATCTCATCATCAACAGAAACATAAATGACAAGGATGATGGGAGGCTGGGGACTAGAGTATTTATGAACTTTAAAATTTTTGAAAAGTAGATGCAGAGTGATCATTCAATATATGTTGTCTCTTCAGTATCTCCAGGAATTGGCACTTGTCATTTCTTTCTTTTTTTTTTTTTTTGATATGGAGTCTCACTCTGTCGCCCAGGCTGGAGTGCAATGGCGCGATCTCAGCTCACAGCAACCTCTGCCTCCTAGGTTCAAGCGATTCTCCTGCCTCAGCCTCTGGAGTAGCTGGGATTACAGGCACCCACCATCATGCCCAGCTAGTTTTTGTATTTTGAGTAGAGACGGGGTTTCACCACATTAGCCAAGCTGGTCTCGAACTCCTGACCTCAGATGATCCACCCAACTCAGCCTCACAAAGTGCTGGGATTACAGGCGTGAGCCACCGCGCCCAGCCGGCACTTGTTATTTCTAATAGGATCCCTGTACTGTCTAACTCCGAAGGTCACTATATTTATTTTATATGATGCTGTGAAATAATTCGACAAAATCCCAGCCCCAAAGCATTTTTTTTCTCTTCTTCCTTTGGTCTCTTTCACATCTGTCCTTCAATTTTTTCCCCAAATAATTATTAACATAGTAATAGTGCTAAGTTAAGTTTCATAACATCAGCTTTTGATGCTGACAGGTTAATGGAACAGAGTTGAATATGTACTTGAAGTGGCAGATTAAAGTCCAAAGCACAGAGTCCCAGCCACTGTCTCAGCTAGCTCTTTGCTCTTCTCCAAGCACCTGGTAATAAGCCTTGTACAATATGGTGCCACAAAACACACCCTTTTCATCAATAATCATGAGAGAAGGGAGCCCACTACAGAACATTTTTAAGTCCTTCCACAAAGATTTTGTACATCTGGGTCAAAGCTTTGCAAAATTATTCTGCAATATTACAACCACTTGAAAGAACCTTGGCACTTTTTACTAAATATAAACCTATCTATGACCAAGCAATTCTATGCCTAGTACATCTCCAAGAGAAGTAAGTGCATGTGTCCATAAAAAGCCTTGCGTAAGAATGTTCAAAGAGCATTATTAGTAATAGACAAAGCTAGAAACAAAGAAATAGAGCAAACAAATAAATTGTGATATATCCATACAATGGAATACCACATAGCAATAAAAATGATGTTGATAGATGAATTTCAAAAACATTATGTGAAAAGAAAGAAGCCAGATACAAAAGAGCATACGGTATGATTCTATTTATAAGAAGATCAGGTAGAGGAGAGACTAATCTATGAAGACAGAAGTCAGAATAATGGATACCTCTAATGGGTGATATTGACTGGGAAAAGGCATAAGAGAACTTTCTAGGGTGGTTAAAATGTTTTACATGATATAAATCTGATTGCATTGCTATAAAGGAATACCTAAGACTGGGTAATGAATTTAAAAAACAGGTTTATTTTGGCTTATGTTTCCACAGGCTGTACAAGCATGGCACCAACATCTCTTTGGTTTCTGGTGAGAGCCTCAGGAAGTTTCCACTCATAGCGGAAGGCAAAAGGAGAGCCAGGGTACGACATGGAGAGGGAAGAAGCAAAAGAGCAAGGAGGAAGTGCCAGGCGCCTTTAAACAACCAGCTCTCGTGTGAACTCAGGGTGAGAACTAACTCATTACTGTGAGGAGGGTACCGAGCCATTCATGAGGGATCTGTCCCTCTCACCCAAAAAATTTATTTTGCTGTTGTATTGGGTTTCTATTGCTGCCATAACAAATCACCACAAACTTAGTAGCTTAAAACAATACAAATTTACTATCTTACTGTTCTGTAAGGCCAAAAATCCAACAAAGGTTTCCCTTGGCAAAAATCAAGGTTTTGGCAGGGTTGCGTTCCTTTCTAAAGACGGGGAGCTTTGGGAGGCTGAGGTGGGCTGACGGCTTGAGTCCAGTAGTTCAAGACCAACCTGGGCAACATAGCAAAACTCCTTAGCTACGAAAAAATACAAAAAATTAGCTGGGTATGGTGGTGTGAGTCTGTGGTCCCAGCTACCCGGGAGACTGAGGTGGGAGTATCGCCTGAGCCTGGGAGGCAAAGGTTGCAGTGAGCCAAGATTGTGCCACTACACTCCAACCTGGGAAACAGACCAAGATTCTGTCTCAAAATAAATAAATAAATAAAGAGTAGCTGGGTGTGGTGGCTCACACCTGTAATCCCAGCACTTTGGGAGGCCAAGGCAGGTGGATCACCTGAGGTCAGGAGTTCAAGACCAGCCTGGCCAACATGGTGAAACCCTGTCTCTACTAAAAATAAAAAAAATTAGCTGGGTGTGGTGGCAGATGTCTGTAATCCCAGCTACTTGGGAGGCTGAGGCACAAGAATGGCTTGAACCCAGGAGGTTGCAATGAGCCAAGATGGTGCCACTGCACTCCAGCCTGGGGTGACAGAGTGAGACTCTGTCTCAAGAAATAAAATAAAATAAATAAAGACTGTGGAGAATTCATTGTCTTGCTTTTTCCTGCTTCTAGAAGTCATCCACATTCCTTAACTCACAGCCTCCTTCCTCTATCTTCAAAGTCAGTAATGGGTGGAGGTCTTACATTACATAATTCTGATCTCCCTTTTGCCTCTCTCTCCTGCTTTTAAGAACCTTTGTGATTACACTGAGTCCACACAAATAATCCAGAATAATCTCCCTATCTCAAGGAGATTTAAGCAAATCTTCAAATTTCCTTTTGTCATATAAAGTAGCATATTCATAGGTTTCAGGAATTCAGATGTGGAAATCTTTGGTAGTACATTATTCTGCCTAGCACAGTGCTTAAGATATATGCATTTTACTCTGTGTAAATTATACCTCAACAAAAAAATAAAGTTTTTCAAAGAGAAAAGAAAAATACCAGGCAGAAATCTTCATAAAAACCCTCAGAATGTCAAGCTTGATGAAGTAATTCATCAAAACAGAAGCCAAACAGAATTCAAACTATTAAAAGTTAATTCATAGCTCACTCAGTAGTCTAACATAAAAAACCAGTCCCTTTAGGAGTAAATCAACTTCCCCAACTTATGTTTTGATTCAGTTGAAGGACATATGCAAAATCTACGTAAAGTGTAATTCAATACGTAAAAATGTTATGATGCCTAAGAACCAATTAATCTGTGATTGTCTCATGTCCCTTCTCATATCTCGTCCCAGAGACTGTTAACTGTTATTTGATAATATGGATCATTTAATTTGTACCTCACTTTGACTTTTAATTGGATAAATGAGCCAAGACATAAATCATTATCTCAATCTTGAAGGTTTTTATATTGATATTTCAGCCAAAAATTGCAATTGAATTGAAAAGTTCATTAGATTTAAATGTTTTTAAAATGCAAAAATATTAGATGGTGGTAAAATAAATGAAAATAGATGCAAAAAATGGTGTCAACCTTATTTTTAATGGTAGTTTAGCTATTGCTTTGTTCACATTAAAATATATTCACAACAGATACTTACTATGTATAATAGATTAGTCGTATTTGCCTAATAAGAAAATAAATACTCCACCATATGGTCTCAGTTACATTTGCACTATTTTGCCAACGTGTATTATCACATTCCCTTGAGGAGAAATAACTCTGTGGATTAAGCTCAGAAAATAATATAAAATGAAAAATTATGCCTCTAGCCCTATTTCAGAGTAATCCTGCTTGCCTGCATGTGCACCTGCTGTCCTGCTAGAGATCTCAGCCATCTGGGTTGTAGCATACCCCTGGGGCTGGATATTGTGCCAAATATCTTTCACTAGAGGCAATATTGCTTCTTTGATGACTATAAGCCATGCTAAACCAGAACATAGGAGTTTTCCAGCTAAGGACACTATCCATGTACACTGTTTGCCAGGCAACTTCTCACCACATTTGAGCAACAGAAATGCATTTTGGTCTTAGAAATTTGGGTAGGAAGGGACTTTTAAGGGCAGGAAATTTAACCCCAGGAAATAAAAATTCAAACACCAATATTGATAGGCAATTCTCAGATAGGAAAAGTCAATGTCTCAATTCATTTAAGCTGTTATAACAAAGTGCCATAAACTGGGTAGCTTACAAACAACAGAATTTATTTCTCTCCATTCTGGAGGCTGGAAAGTCCAAGATCCAGGCACATTCAATGTCTGGTGAGGGCCCATCTCTGGCTCATAGATGGTACTTCTTGCTGTGGCCTCACATGGCAGAAGAGGCCAAGGTCTCTCTGAGGTCTCTTTAAGGGCACAATAAGGGCACAATTCTATTCATGAGGACTCCATTCTTATGCCCTAGTCACCTCCTAAAGGCCCCACTCTATAGTTTGAATGTCCCCTCCCAAACTCATGTTGAAATTTAATTACTATCTTAACAGTATTATGAGGTGAGACCTTTAAGAGGTAATTAGGCCATGAGGGTCTATTTTCATGAATGGATTAATGCCATTATTAGGGTATGGCTTTGTTGTCATGGGAGTGGGTTCCTTATAAAAGAATGAGTTTGGCCCCTTTTGTCTCTCTCTCTCTCTCTCTCTCTCTCTCGCTGTCTTGGATCTTACACCTTCTACCGTGGGATGATGCAGCAAGAAGACCCTTGCTGGAGACCAAGCCCTGGATCTTGGAATTCCCAGCCTTGAAAACGGTAAGAAATTAATTGCTGTTCATTATAAATTACCCAGTCACAGGTATTCTCTTGTAGCAGCAGAAATGGACTACCTCCTTATATCCCACCCCTAATACCATCACTTTGGGGGTTAGGATTTCAATATATGAATTTAGAGGGGGCCAGACATGGTGGCTCATGCCTGTAATCCCAGCACTTTGGGAGGCCGAGGCGGGTGGATCACCTGAGGTCAGGAGTTCAAGACCAGCCTGGCCAACATGGGGAAACCTTGTCTCTACTGAAAATACAAAAATTCGCTGGGTGTGGTGGTGGGCAGTCCCAGCTACTCGGTAGGCTGAGGCAGGAGAATCACTTGAACCCAGGAGGTGGAGGTTATAGTGAGCCTGGATTGTGCCATTGCACTCCAGCACTCCAGCCTGGGCAACAAGAGCGAGACTCTGTCTTAAAAAAATAATAATAATTTAGAGGGAGACACAAACATTCTGATCACAGCAATCACTTTCCCAAAGTCATACTGACACTAAGTAACACAGACAGGGTTTGAATTCAGGCAGTCTGACTCCTGTGGAACTAGCCACTATTTGATGCTGCCTCCCAAGCCACAAAAATCATGGCCATACATGTATCCATCTTAAAATAATTCTTCCTCCATTCTCCACACATTGGTCTGGACAAGGAGGAGAGAGCACAGGGCTCTCTGGGCTTGATGATATCTGCTATAGAAGATCTAATTGCAGACTGACTCTAGGTTGGAGGATCCTCAATAATTGCATGTGTCCCCGAGAATTTCCAGGCCAGTGAGGAAGCTCTAGAGGCATCTCAAGTTCACTTTGATTCAAAAAATAAAAACAAAATCCCGGGAAATACAAACAAAATTCCACTGAAGTGGACCACTAAGTTTCCCCAAGATGAATCCACTCAGCAAAACATGCCAGATTTTGAACACATTGGAAGAACCTACACTTTTGGGACTAGACAGATTTTAAGAAGGATTCAATGAGAGGACTCAGGTGTGTTATCCTCCACAGCTTCTCTTGCTTTCCAAACTGAGGGGCCATATACAGATAGCTAAAAGTACCAAGAATACTCAAAACTGCTGATACAATAGAAACATAGCTTTTGAAAGCCCAAATGTATGTTACAGCCTTATTTATTTATTTATTTATTTATTGATTCATTCATTCATTTTTGAGACAGAATCTTGCTCTGTCACCCAGGCTGGAGTGCAACAGCGCGATCTCGGCTCACTGCAACCTCTGCCTCCCAGGTTCAAGCAATTATCCCACCTCAGCCTCCTGAGTAGCTGGGATTACACGCACCCGCCATCATGCCCGGCTAATTTCTGTATTTTTGTAGAGACGGGGTTTCACCATGTTGGCCAGACTGGTCTTGAACTCCCGACCTCAGGTGATCCACCCTCCTCAGCCTCCCAAAGTGCTGGGATTACAGGAGTGAGCCACCACGCCTGGCCTACAGCCTTATTTTAACAGCAATTTGCCTGTACTAGAGCCAGACATTCAGGGACATACGGTGGTCACCTATCCTTTTCAGAAAGGCCATTTCATTTATTCAGGAAATCTTTTTTTTTTTTTTTTTCAAGGCAGGATCTTGCTCTGCCACGCAAGCTGGTGTGCTGTGGAGTTACCATAGCTAACTGCAGCCTCAACCTCCTAGGCTCAAGAGATCCACCCACCTCAGCCTCTCAAGTAGCTGGGACTACAGGTGTGCACCATCACACCCAGCTAATTTTTAAATTTTTTTGTAGAGAAGGCGTCTCACTTTGTTGCCCAAGCTGGTCTTGAACTCCTGGGCTCAAGTGATCCTCCCACCTTGGCCTTCCAAAATGCTAGAATTACACACGTGAGTCACTGTGCCTGGCCCCAGGAAATCTTAATTTAGCACTCACTATGGGTGAAGTGCTGCAGCCACACAGGGATTACTGCAGTGAACTGGACAGACTGGTCCCTGACTGGCTGGATTTTAGAGTATAGCTGGGGACACAGACAAAGAGATTTCCTAACGAAGCAAGAGATTTAAAAACAAACAGAAACAAACAAACAAAAAACACATAAATACTGGGCACGGTGACTCATGCCTGCAATCCCAGCACTTTGGGAGGCCAAGGTGGGTGGATCCCTTGAGGCCAGGAATTTGAGACCAGCCTGGGCAACATGGTGAAACCCCATCTCTACTAAAAATACAAAAACGTTAGCCAGGTGTTTTAGCACATGCCTGTAATCCCAGCTACTCAGGAGGCTGAAGCACGAGAATTGCTTGAGGCCCGAGAATCACTTGAACCTGGAAGGCAGAGTTTGCAATGAGCCAAGATTGTGCCACTGCACTCCATCCTGGGTGACAGAGTGAGACTCTGTCTATAAACACACACACACACACACACACACACACACACAAATACTACTGTAATAAGTTTTGAGGAAAAAAATCCATTAAGTGCTAAATGGAGAAAAATTAGGTCCAGTTTTAGGAAAGGTTGAAGGGTGAGATGGAGGCAATTTTCAAAGAACCGAGAGTAAAGTCTACAGGGAAATGGAAGAATAATTTACATTCCAGGTGCAAGTAGTCATCCCATCCCCAAACCCACAGAAGCTATTTTCCTACTACCAGGGCCCCTTGATCTTTCACGAGGGAGAATAAATAGTAGGCAAAATCACCCCAGAATAAGATTTTAGCTTACCTTTTTAAGATCTCAGACCAGAACCTTCATCTACACATCTTGACCTCATAAGAAAGTTCAATATAGGGTGAAGAACTGAACCTTCCCAATACCAAGGCTGTAGCCCCAACCCTGTCCCTTCTCAGGGCGTGCCCTGGTTAACTGTGCCTCTGTTCACTTAACAAGGCTGGGTCTCTATAAACTGCAGGCGTTGGATTATAAAGTCCCTTTCATCACTCATGCAGCTAGTGATTAACTGACAATTGCAAGCTTGTGCAACCCCTTAATCTTTTTTATTGCATCACGTAAGCCATGCTATATTATATAGTTTCTCTTTCATATTATTGGCTTTTAAGAGCTTACCCCTGTGGTTTCTGCAAATGGATAAAAGACAGAGCCACTCCAAATGGTTCCTCACTTCCCAAACATCACAAGTAAACAAGTGATCTTTCCATAAATGTCTTACCTTGCAATTGCCCATTACAATTTGTCCTTGGTAGAGAGTTAACCTCTCATTTTCCCACATTATTAATTCCATGTGGCATTTTTTTCCAGTTCTGTTCATGCATTCTCGAGATGCCTCCTTCAAAATTTCATTTTTACCTCATTTTCATTTATTTTCCAGGCTGACTGTACCACCTGTCACTGGCAAATCCAGGGAAGTTTATTCCAAGCTCAGCCCTATAGTACACTGCACGGGCACAGTGGTTTCTCCTCAGCATTTAGAGGCAATTTCCACTAGGTTGTTCTAATTCCCACTGAATGACCCATGTGTTCCAAATTAGGATACACTTTCTTTTTTTTTTTTTTTTTTTTTTTTTTTTTTTTTTTTTGAGACGGAGTCTGGTTCTGTCTCCCAGGCTGGAGTGCAGTGGCACAATCTCGGCTCACTGCAAGCTCCGCCTCCGGGGTTCACGCCATTCTCCTGCCTCAGCCTCCCGAGTAGCTGGGACTACAGGCGCCCGCCACCATGCCCGGCTCATTTTTTGTATTTTTCTTTTTTAGTAGAGATGGGGTTTCACCATGTTAGCCAGGATGGTCTCGACCTCGTGACCTCGTGATCCACCTGCCTCGGCCTCCCAAAGTGCTGGGATTACAGGCGTGAGCCACCGCGCGCAGACAGGACACACTTTTGTCCTAAAAAAAGGAAAATTTTGGCCCGGGCGTGGTGGCTCACGCCTGTAATCCCATCACTTGGGAGGCCACGAGGTCAGCAGATCGAGACCATCCTGTCTAACATTGTGAAACCCCATCTCTACTAAAAATACAAAAAATTAGCTGGGCGTGGTGATGGGCGCCTGTAGTACCAGCTACTCCGGAGGCTGAGGCAGGAGAATGATGGGAACCCAGGAGGCGGAGCCTGCAGTGAGCCGAGATCGTGCCACTCACTCCAGCCTGGGTGGCAAAGCCAGACGCCGTCTCAAAAAAAAAAAAAAAAGGCAAATTTTATCTTTCCATTTATAGTAAGTCAAAAACAGACAAAACTCGGCTACAGTTTTAGAAGTCGGGAGAGTGATTACCTGTGAGCAGGAGGGAGGGGCAGTGACTAGGAGGGGCATGGGGTGGGCTGCTGGCCTCTATAACGTTCTACTGCTTGACCAGAGCAGTGCTCATGGATTTGTCCACTTTGATAAGTCATCAATCTGTCCACTCTTGATTTTTACACCTTCTTTTTTTTTTTTTTCTTTTTTGAAACAGAGTCTCGCTCCATCACCCAGGCTGGAGTGAAGTGGCGCCATCTCGGCTCACTGCAACCTCTGCCTCCTGGGCTCAAGAGATTCTCGTGCCTCAGCCTCCCAAGCAGCTGGGATTACAAACATACGCCACCACGCCTGGCTAATTTTTGTAATTTTTAGTAGAGATGGGGTTTCACCATGTTGGCCAGGATGGGCTCCAACTCCTGGGCTCAAGCGATCTGCCTGCCTCAGCCTCCCAAAGGGCTGGGATTACAGGCGTAAGCCACCGCGCCCAGCCTTTTACACTTTCTTTTATACGTGTTGTCTTTTCATTTAAAAAATATCCATTAAAAAGTCAAAACTGTTCCCTACACTTTATTTAGTAATACAACCAACATAGGTAATTTAGTGGTTAAGAGTGTGGCCTCTGGAGTGAGACTTCCTGGAGCCTAACTCAGTTTCTCCTTTTTATTGCTTTTCTCTTCTGTAAACATAGAGAACATAGCTTTTCTCTTCTGTAAAATGGTAATGACAGTAATACCTACCTCAGAAGGTTGTTCTGAGGATTGAAAGAGTTACTGTCTATTAAGCCATTAAACAATGCTAGGCTCATTGAGGGCAGCGTTTAAATATTCTTTCTCATATAAAGAGGAATGAAACTTTAGTTGTACTCCTAAAGTCTGGAATCATTACCAGACTTCAATCCTGCCTCTGCTACTCCCTAGCTATGTTACCTGTGATGAGTGTCTTGACCTCTTTGTTCCACAGTTTAGCTACCTGTAAAATAGGGGAACTACCTGAATTTGAGGGCAGGTAGAGGTTATAACACGCATAGGACTTAATAGGCCACAGACTATGAAAAAAATTGGGCTTTTGTTCCCCTCAAAGTATAGTGGGAAGCCTTTCAAATGATTTTTTAAAAAATCTTTTGTTTTATATTTTCAAAGATTTTTTTTTTTTTGCTACTATATAGAAAGGAATGAGAAAAAGTAAGTCTGAAGGCAGGTAGACCAGGTAGGAAGGAGTCTAGGTAAGAGGCGAAGGTAGATTTGAACACAGAATTGACAATACCTGCTGATAGCTAGATGGGCATCACAAGGACTCTTAGGTTTCTGGCTTTAACAAGTCTTCATACAAGCTTTTCCCTCTGCTGGGAACTCTCCTCCTCCACTTTTCAGGTAGCTAGTTAATATGGTTTAGCTGTGTCCCCACCCAAATCTCATCTTGAACTATAGTTCCCATAATCTCCACGTGTCATGGGAGGGACCCAGTGGGAGGTAATCGAATCATGGGGGCCGTTACATCCATGCTATTCTCATGATGGTGAGTGAGTTCTTATGAGATCTAATTATTTTATAAGGGGCTTACCCTCTGCCTTCTCCTTGCTCTCCATTCACTCTGCACTTCTCCTTGCTGCCATCATGTGAAGAAGGATATGTTTGTTTCCCCTTCTGCCATGATCGTAAGTTTCCTGAGTCCTCCCCAGCCATGCCGAACTGTGAGTCAATTAAACCTCTTTCCTTTATAAATTATCCAGTCTCAGGGGATGTTCTTATCAGCAGTGTGAGAATGGACTAATACACTAATTTATTCCTACCTTTTAGATCTCAGCTTAAATGCCACTTTATCAGGCAAGCTGGCCCCAAGCAACCTATATGAAGTGAGTACCTCCCACCATTTTTCTTATTTACTTTGTAACTCTTTTCCTAATTCATAATCGTTTGATCTGCTCACCTGTTTTTCTCTGCCTTCACCAGTAGTACCTAAGCCCCAAGAGAGCAGGCACCGTGTCCATCCTGTTCTCCACTCTTTCCCTATTTCCTGGGACCTAAGAGCTCTCAACAAATACTAGATGGATGAAGGATGCATGATTTCCAAACAAGATGATTGTTATTATCTAACAAGAGGGAGGATTAACCCAGTATTTGGCCTATTCTTTTTAATATACTTTGACTTATTAATAGGAAAAGTTATATTATGCTGTGAGTAAATTTGTTCATTCTTATTTTATGTCAATTTTATAATCTTTTCAAACATGCATTCATTAAAAATACTAAACAAAACAAAGTTCTATGTTCTCTTGAGACTTATATTCTTTTTTTTTTTTTTTCTCAGAAATAGGGTCTTACTCTGTTGCCCAGGCTGGAGTGCAGAGGTGTGATCATAGCTCACTGCAGCATCCAACTCCTGGACTTAAGCAATACTCCTACCTCAGCCTCCCAAGTAGCTGGGACTACAGGTACACAACACCACACCTGGCTAATTTTGAGAGGGATGGTAGAACTTGGATGTCACCATGTTGCCCAGGCTGGCCTCAAACTCCTAGCCTCAAGTGATCCTTCCACTTCAGCCTCCCAAGGCATTGAAATTACAGATGTGAGCCACCGAGCTCAGCCCTGAAACTTATATTCTATTGATGAGTCAGACAATGGATATCAGACAAAATAAAGAAGTAAAGTATAGAGCACATTAAAAAGCGATAGGTGGGCTGGGCATGGTGGCTCATGCCTGTAATCCCAGCATTTTGGGAGGGCAAGGCAGGACAATCGCTTGAGGCCAAGAGTTTGAGACCAGGCTGGGCAACATGGTGAGACCCCGTCTCTACAAAAAAATTTAAAAATTCAATAAAAATTGTTAAGTGATAAGAGCTGTGGAAAAAGAAGGAACAGAGTAGGTGTAGTTCATTGCTACATTGGTAGCCCCCAAGGATCCTTACCTAATGGTGTTCATGCCTTTCTGTAGTTTGTCCCTTCCATGTCACCTCAAGCCTTGGTGATATGACTTGCTTTATCCAATGGGAAATTATCAAGCATGATGCAAACAGAGTTTGATAAGTGCTTGGACACTGGGACTTGACCGCTTGGAAAGCTCCTCCTTGGAAGCTATCTACCATGCTACAAAGAAGGCTGGGCTAGACTTGAATCATGAGATACCACGTGGAAAGGGGCCCTGGAGGAGGAGAGCAGCACATCTTGGACACTGCAGGCCCAGCTGAGATCTCGGATTAATACAGTTACAATCAGACCACAAAGCTGGGCCAGCCCTTTTCCCTGTTCTTTCATCTTTTTGGAATATTATTTAGTCTTTAAAAGGAAGGAAGCATGTTGTTACATGCTACAACACAAATGAACCTTGAACACACTATGCTAAGTGAAATAAGCTACTCACAAAAGAACACATACTCTATGATTCCAGCTCTATGAGGTATCTAAAGTAGTCAAATTCACAGACATAGAAAGGAGAGTGTTGGTTACCAGGGGCTAGGAGGAGAAGGCAAAGGGGAGTTATTGTTTAACAAGTAGAGAGTTTTAATTCTCCAGGAAGAAAATGTTCTGGAGATCTGTTTCACAATAATGTAAATATACTTACGACTACTGAAATATGCACTTAAAAACGGTTAAGACAGTACATTTTACGATATGTGTTTTTTCCTACATTTTTTATTTTTTATTTTTTATTATTATTATTATTATTTTGAGACAGAGTCTCACTCTGTTGCCCAGGCTGGAGTGCAGTGGCACGATCTCGGCTCACTGCAACCTCCACCTCCTGGGTTCAAGTGATTCTCCTGCCTCAGCCTCCCTAGTAGCTGTGATTACAGGTGCCCGCCACCACACTCAGCTAATTTTTTGTATTTTTAGTAAAGACAGGGTTTCGCCATGTTGGCCAGGCTGGTCTCGAACTCCTGACCTCAGGTGATCCACCCGTCTCTGCCTCCCAAAGTGCTGGGATTACAGGTGTGAGCCACTGCTCCCAGCCTACTACATTTAAAAAAAAAAAAAAAAAGTGTGGCAGTTACCTATTGCTGCATAACAAACCATCCCAAAGCATGTGGCTTAAAATAGCAGTCATGTATTATTTCTCACAGTGCTGAGACAGCTGTATGGTTCTCCTGAGGTTTTGCCTGGTCCCGTTCATGCTGTATGCTCGGCTGAAAAGCTGGCTGGGCTAGAAGATCCTAGATGACCTCACACACATCTCTGGTGGCGAGCATGGCTGCTTGCTAGGCCACCACTTTACTTTTTTCTATGGCCTCTCCCTCTCCAAAAGAGTAGAACTACTTTCCTACAGAGCAGTCTTAGAACAGTGTTCCAAGAACGTAAGGATTCAGGGTCAAGGCCTCTGGAGGTTTAGGCATCAGAACTCACACAACATCACTTCCATTATATTTTATTGGCATAAAGCAAGTCTCAAGGCCCAACTAGAATCAAGGGAGGATGACATGGGCTCCACCCCTTGATAGGAGAAACTATAACATCTTGAGGCAGGGTTTTATAATTTACCAAAGCCCTCTGCTTTGTTACAATCAAAAATTATTTTCAAACACTATCAGTTTGCTGAAGGGAAATTAACTGTACACTACCTGGTACAATTGTCAACAATTCCAAGTTTGAGTAAAAGTAGCCTACAAATTTTGGATAATAGTGAAAAATTACGAGATCATGCTAGGTTTGGGGATGAAACTTACTATGAACATCACAGGAACTTGCAATGATTTCTAGGAAACTTAGTATAAATCTGAGAAAACTGCCTCATTTTAATAATGGGGATACTCATACCTTGATTATCGAAAAATCCTTGAAGAGTTTTCTGATAAAATTCACCATTACCATTAAAGCTATTTATAATTATCTATCTTTGCAAAAATGATTTTTTCTAAGAACGTCATTGGCAGGGCTGGGCGCATGGGCTCATGCCTGTAATCCCAGCACTTTGGGAGGCCGAGGCGGGTGGATCACCTGAGGTCAGGAGTTGGAGACCAGCCTGACCAACATGGTGAAACCCTGTCTCTACTAAAAATACAAAAATTAGCAGGGCATGGTGACGCATGCCTGTAATCCCAGCTACTTGGGAGACTGAGGCAGGAGAATCGCTTGAACCTGAGAAGCAGAGGTTGCAGTGAGCCGAGATCGTGCCACTGCACTCCAGTCTAGGCAACAGAGTGAGACTCTGTCTCAAAAAAAAAAAAAAAAAAAAAAAGAACGTCATTGGTGATGTGTGATGAATCTCTCCTATTCTAATAAGTGAACTCTTCATTACTTACAAAAAATACACAAAGACTCTAGATAATAATACCATGTTTATTTTTATGAGTAAGCCTAAATCCTTTCCTTTAGAAAATGAATACAAACAGCTGCCTGCCATGAAGTTCCTTTCAAAAGCATAATGCTATTTGGTTGGGCTTTGCCAGGTTATATTTATTTTGCCTTTGAAAAGGAAGAGCTCTCCATATGTTCATAAAGCTCATACTCCTGGCTGTTTTTAAGCTATCCTGTTGGAATAATCCTGTGGGATGTCCCTGATCCCAAATCAGTACAAACATTGTATCATCTCTGATTATGGGTTTCTCAAATATATAGTAGAAATAAGAATATATTAAAAACAATTACCAATAATTTATTTGAATTCAAACCTCTTGAAAAACTGACTACACCATGAATTCAATTTTATCAATTATTGGATTTACTCTAAATGTATGAAGAAAGGAAGAGATTGGGAAAAGTATCTCTAATCTTGCACATTTATCTAATGGGGAGGGGTGTCTGATCTGAATCAGTACTCCTCAAATTTTAGTACATGTAAGAATTACCTGGGAAACTTTTTAAAAATACAGATTCTGGGCCCCACCACCAGAGATTGTAATTCAGTAGGTCTTGGATGGAGCCTGAAAATTTTATGTCTAACAATCTGTAAGGTGATGCTGATGCTGCTCATCCCTGGACCACATAATAAGACTGTCTTAATCTACATTAGATACAAAAAGAGTTTGCATAAGAGAGTACACCTTTTCTCTTTTACCCTTGTTAAAAGATAATATGCAGGCATTACACAACATATCCTTCAAAAGCAATAACCTGTGAGTCCCCCTTTTATTTGCTCTATGAAGTAGCTTAAATGGTTATTGCTGAAACTAGATTCTATTGAGATTTGGACTTTTTATTTGTTTGTTCCAAGTAAATCTTTCACACAACTCTAGCAATGGTCTTTGGTGTTTGGTGAAGAATAATGCTACCTATCGTATCATCATTGTGGTAGACCGTTTAAAAGCCAGAAATTCCACCCATCTGACGTTGCATCCTTTGCAGTGTGACTTTGCTGATTCTCCCATCCAGAATTAGAGTCTATTCGTCAACCTTCCTGAATCTGAGCTGGGTTTGTAACTTGCTTTAATCAATAGAATGTGCTGGAAGTGATGTGATGCAAGTCTCAGCCCCTCAGTCTCAAGAGACTTTGCAGCTTCCACATTTGTCTTTTGGAAAACTGTCCTGGAATAGCCAAGTGAGAGAGGTGGTCTAGCCTAGTGAAGGATGCCAGACCATGAAGGAGAACTGAGGCACCTCAGCCAGCACCAACTGCCCAGATGTGTGAGGGAGGCCATCCTGGAGTTCAAGCCCCGGGGACCTCCAGCTGAAGGCCATTGCATGAATGCACCTAAGCAAACCCAGTGAAGAACCTGCCAAGTCAATCCTTAGAAACATGAGAAATAATAAGTCATTGTTTTTAAGCCACTACATTTTGGGTGCTTTGTTCAGTAGCAATAATTAAGTTATACAGCCATGCTGTATGTTTCAATTAATCTTGATAAGGAAGGACTCTGAGTTCTATAACAGAACAGAAGTAATAATGTGATAGTACCTCACAGTCAGCAGCGCCTGCAATAATACAGCAGAGCTCACATCATTGAGTAATGGTGCAATACATTGGCCCATCCTTACTCTTCCCTACTAAGAGGAAGTGGGTTAATTCCTAATTTTTAAAAACTTGTAAAAAGTTGTATAAAAATTGTATACATATATAATTTATATCACCTTTATATATATTTATATATAAATATAACCATTATATATATTTTGATATATTTATATGTAAATATATATTTTGATATATTTATGTGTAAACATATATTTTGATGTATTTATAGGTAAACATACATTTTGATATATTTATATGTAAACATATATTTTGATATATTTATATGTAAACATATAATATATTTTGATATATTTATATGTAAATATATATTTTATATTATATATTTACATATATTTTATATATTTACATATAAATATATAATATATTTTAACATATTTATATATAAATCTTTATATATGTTATATATTTATATATTTAAATAATATATTTTTATATATTTATATATTTAAATAATATATTTTTATATATTTATATATAATATATTTTTATATATTATATATTTTATATAAATATATAATGGTGATATAAATTATATATAAATTATATTTATATATATAGTGGTGATATAAATTATATATATGTATACACCATTAATTATTCTCCATCTGAAGGAGTCAACAACAATGACATAATCAAGAAAATGAGCCCTCTGCATTATCAGGTTCTCCTTACACTTGGAAAATATGAGCAAAGCTTGCATAGAAGTACAATGCATGATCATGTAAGAGAAGAAGATGATTCAACAGAGAGGAGGATGCTAGGAATTGCCCCACCACACAGGCAGAGCATTAGTTGTGGTAGAAACAAAGCAAAGCTTTCCAGAATAAAACCACTGATAACTCAGCGTTTATTTTTCAAGAGAAATGGGTAGGAATTACATTGAAGTAATATCTTCCTCCATAGTCTGTTAATTAGATGATCTGAATAAAGATACTTCATAATATTCCCTTGCATTTCTAAAATGTTTATAAGTTTTAACTTTCATTTTCAAAAGATTTAATTTGATTATGGGAGATAAGATACGGTATATTTTATTATCATCACTGGGGGAAAAAAATAGCAAAATTTGAAGTCCAGACAAAAATTTGCCCAAATTCTAACTGATGAACACATAAATATTTCTCATTTAGTGCTAGAATCACCTCAATTTCAGCAGACCATAGTGAGGGGGTTGAGGGACTCTAATTCAGAAGCAAAATGAGTGTTAACAGTTTTCATTTAGAGTTGTTTCTTTTTTAGAATTCAGTCTCTTGCCACCTTTCCCCAGTTTCATATTCAGCGGGTCTGAGTTGAATCCCTGAACCTGCTTTTTTTTTCTTTTTTTTTTTTTTTCCCTGAGATGAAGTCTCGCTCTGTTGCCCATACTGGAATGCAGTGGTGTGATCCCGGCCCACTGCAACCTCTGCCTCGTGGGTTCAAGCAATTCTTCTGCTTCAGTTTCCCTTGCAGCTGGGATTACAGGCATGTGCCACCACGCCGGGCTAATTTTTGTATTCTTAGTAGAGACAGGGTTTCACCATGTTGACCAGGCTGGTCTCGAACTACTGACTTCAGGTGATCCACCCATCTCGGCCTCCCAAAGCGCTGGGATTACATGCAAGAGCCACCGCACCCGGCCTGAATCTGCATTTTTAATAAGCATCCCGGGTGATTTTTATGCAAGAGGTCCTTGGATCAGTTTTGGAAAACGATGCAGGGGTTTAAAACACAATGTTTGGAGTAACCTGAGTCCAGCCCCAGCTCTGTCCTGGCTGCTTGACGTCAGACAAGTTTATCTTTATGAGCCTCAGAATCTTCACTTATAAAATGAGGACCATAATTACTTTGTTCAGGCTGACATAACAAAGTACCACAAACTAAATTTATTATCTCACAATTCTAGAACTACAAGTCTGAGATCAAGAGGTTGCCAGGGTTGGTTCTTGCTGGGGGCTGTGAGGGAGAATCTGTTCCATGCCTCTCTCCGAGCTTTGGGTGGTTTGCTAGCAGTCTTTGACACTCCTTGGTTTGTAGATTTCTGCCTTCATCTTCACATGGTGTTCTCCCCATGAGACTGTCCGTGTCCAAATTCCCCCTTTTGTAAGGACAACAATCATGTTGGATTAGAGGCCTACCCTACTTTAGTATGACCTCATCTTAACTGATTACTATTATGTCTTAACAATGACATCTTAACTAGTTTTATTCCATTGTCTCCTGAAACACTGGGAGTGTGAGCCTCCTTTCTACCTTTACTATAGGTTATGACATATAATTATCATTTAAACAAGAGAAATGGCCCTTTCAAAATGGTTCTTGTATACTAGAAAGATAAATGATCTGTGTTTTCTTTATTTTACAAAATATAAGAAATATAGCAATTAGGAAAACCTTACCAATGCACTCAGGGTCTGAAAGCTGTGGGAAACAAAGCAATCACCTTGGTGCTTTCTCTGCTTTTAGAAAGAAACTTATTTTTTAAAATCCTGCTTTTAATTATATTACTTAGGCCCCAGGGTACTGAGTCTTTTCTAATTGTTTGCCTTTTGTATAAGGGTTTTTCCATTGTTTCAAGGTTTTATTTACTTACGTATAATTCAACTAATAGAATTGTTGACTCTCTTAGAAGTTAAGGTAGTTTGCCGGGTGCAGTGGCTCATGCCTATAATCCCAGCACTTTGGGAGGCGAAGGTGGGTGAATTACCTGAGGTCAAGAGTTCCAGACCAGCCTGGCGAGACCCCATCTCTACTAAAAATACAAAAATTAGCCACGCATGGTGGCTTATGCCTGTAATCCCAACTACTCAGAAGGCTGAGGCACAAGAATTGCTTGAACCCGGGAGGCGGAGGCTGCAGTGAGCCAATATTGTGCCACTGCACTACAGCCTGGGTGACAGAGTGAGTCCATCTAAAAAAAAAAAAAGAAATTAAGGTAGTTTAAAGGGTTTATTGTTTAACTTAATGATTAAATTCCCCATGTTGTCCCAAAATATGGCACTTCTTACAAAGAAAAGAGACACCATTAAAAAGTAAGTAGAATTGCGTAAGAGCAATTTTCAGAGTAACTATCTATTCTCATTATCCCCCAGCAAATTAGCCACTTCACAGATTATTTGCTGAAAACGTAAACTCTTATCAAAGACAGGATGTGAAAGCTAAGGTATTTGCATTACCATTAACCCTCTAGTGACTCTGCAACTCTGAAAGCTCTCAAAATATGTCATTTCTTGGCTGGCTGATCACCCAAATATGACAAAGACAGGTGTTATGGTTAATTTTATGTATCAACTTGACTGGCCATGGGGTGCCCAGATTAGACATTGTTTTTGAGTGTATCTGGGAGGGTATTTCCAGATGCAATTAGCATTTGAATCAGTGGACTCATTGAAGTAGACTGCTCTTCCCATGTATATGGGCATCATCTGATCAATTGAGAGCCTAAATAAAAGAAAAAGTGGAGAAAGGAGAAATTTGCCCTGCTCTGCTGAGCTCGGACACCTCATTTCAGCTTCTTGGCCCTCAGAACGTGATTTACATAATTATTTCTCCTGTTTTCCGTCCTTCTGACTGAATTGTACCACTGGCTTTCCTGGGTCTCCAATTTACAGATGGCAGATTGTGGGACTTCTCAGGCTCCATAATTGCATGAACCAATTTCTCATGAACCAATGCCTAGGTGACAGAGCGAGACTCTGTCTCACAAAAAAAATAAATAAATAAAAATGTATATATATATATCCATATGTATATTACTGGTGCTCTTTCTCCGGAGAACTCTGACTAATGCAGTTAAGGAACTATATATGCATCTAACTATGCATGCATATGTAATGCATGCAAGTTTTCTATAAAGTTGTAGAAATTTCTAGTTAGGGTCATCAGCATATGATCAGAGTCTGACCTTTTGTAAAACTCGAAGAAATATTCTCCAAACTCCTTCAAAATTACATTGCGGTCAATATATGGTAAGATAAAGAAAACTGGGTATGCTTTACACTTCAGCAATGTCTTCCTTTTTTTCTTTTTTTTTTTTTGAGACGAAGTCTCAATCTGTCACCTAGGCTAGAGTGCAGTGGCACGATCTCGGGTCACTGCAACCTCCACCTCCTGGGTTTCAGTGACTCTCCTACCTCAGCCTCCTGAGTAGCTGGGATTAAAGGCACCTGCCACTACGCCCGGCTACTTTTTGTATTTTTAGTAGAGACGGAGTTTCACCATGTTAACCAGCATGGTCTCCATCTCCTGACCTCGTGATCCGCCCGCCTCAGTCTCCCAAAGTGTTGGGATTACAAGCGTGAGCCATCGTGCCTGCCCCTAGTAATGTCTTTCTACATATTCCTTTAGTTAAATCACCTGTGAAAGGTAACATAACATTACCTTGCCTTTGTAAAATCCTTTATAATTTTTAGAATTCATTTGAGGGATTGAATTTGATCCTGTGAAGTAAGGTAAGGCACATTTTATTGTCCCCACTTTTAAAGGCAGACTCTAAAGCCCATTAGATTTTGCAGTCTTGTAGGAGATAACTACTGTTTTGGCCTGGCCAACATCCAGCCACCCTCTAGAAGTCAGTGCCTGGTCTTTCAAGGAACTAACCCTTTCCCAACACTTAGGTTACAGGATTAGATGAGTCGACCTCATACCCACAAACCTCCTGTCTCTAAAGAGAAGCATGTGA
Organism: Homo sapiens; assembly: GCF_000001405.40. NCBI lineage: Eukaryota > Metazoa > Chordata > Mammalia > Primates > Hominidae > Homo > Homo sapiens. The sequence goes on along the minus strand of NC_000002.12, from coordinate 224,665,720 downwards.
TTCAAATTAGCCAATAGGTGCATCCCATTTCCCTGGCCACATTGACTGATTCAGGGTGGGGCACATGACCCATGATGTTTCAAAAAGAATTGAATCTGGTCCTTTTATTATAACTGTTGTGAAAGATGAGCTTTTCCTGAAGATGCTAACCTTGCATGATGCCTTCTTTGTCACCACAAGAGAGAACTTGCCCAAAAATGAAGCCAACATGAAGAGAAACAGAATCGGGAATTGAGAGGGACATATTATTGGTGACGTTGGGCCCCATATTATTGGTGAAGCTGTGCCTGCAACACTACTGCTTGACTTTCTAGATAAGTGGGCAATATGTATTTCTCTTTTCTGGAGAAAAGAGAAATATGTATTCTTTTTCGTCCAGTTTAAGTACAATTTCTGTTACTTGATACTAAAATAGTCCTTACTGAATACAGTTAAAAATTCTAGGCCAGGCACAGTGGCTCATGCCTATAACCACAGCAGTTTGGGAGGGCAAGGCAAAAGTATCCTGAGCACCTAATTGGAAACTGCAATAAGCAGACACAAAAGAACATCAAGATTTGGTGGCATCTGCTCAGCCTTTAAGTTAGCATGGACATACCAATGTGTGTCGGAGGATTACTTGAGCCCAGGAGTTCAAGACCACACACACACAGTGTTTCTCAGAGGGGATATTCTGGATCAAATGAGGTTAAGTGATGGTTTAGGCTTTCTAAAATCCATCTCGGTGAAGCAAATATAATGGTTTCTCACCTTGTCTTTGAGACGGTGTGGGTCTCACTCCAGGTAGGAAAGGATAAGCAAGCTTGGTGAGGCTTTTCTGATTGCTGGAAATCAAGTCTCCATTACCTGGGAACCACAGAAACAGTACTGCCTTTGGTCTCAAGCAACAAGGGCTGCAAAACTGAACCTCACACATTAGAGGAACCCACTCTGGCCTTCATCTGGCTACTGGCTCTCCCCACAGACCAAGGAGTCTACAAGCCCAGTGGACATACTCCCCTGGATCCCACATTTTCTTCTTCTGAACCATGATCCACATATACAGAACCTCAGAATCTTCTGCCCAAAGAGTCCCACGCCTGATTCCAGAGCCTAAGCTCTTCCCAGGCTCCTCATACTGAGACCAGAGTGGCCAAAAAGCAGTTATGTATGTGAGATGTGGGGAGAACCATTGCAGAAGGTTTCTTGCAGAGCAAGATGGAGCTCAGATGGGAAAAGGAAAGTCACAGATGCATAGAGGCAGGGACGTCCAAGGATTCCAATAATTCTAAAACTGAAACCAGGGCTGCATGCAGTGGCTCATGCCTGTAATCCCAGCACTTTGAGAGGCCAAGGTGGGAGGATTACTTGAGCCCAGGAGTTCAAGACCAGCCTGGGCAACATAGTGAGACACAACTCTATAAAAAAAACTTTTAAATATTTTTTTTAATTAGCCAAGAGTGGTGGCATGCTTCTGTATTCCCAGCTACTCAGGAGGCTGAGGTAGGAGGATCACTTGAGCCCATGAGATGGAGGCAGCAGGGAGCCATGATCATGATGCCACTGCACTCCAACCTGGGTGACAGAGAGACACCCTTTCTCAAAAACAAATAAATACATTAAATTAAATTGAAACAAGCCTTCTAATCATTGTGAAGATGAGGACACAATATGTCTTATATAACAGTTTGGTGCCTTGATTTATAACTTTTACATATTTGCACATATGGCACAATGGCCTCCATTTGGACTCCTGCCCCAGACCTCACAGTATTCAGAGCAGGCCCACAGAGGAAGCAACAATTAAAGGTCCAGAGAAAGGAAAAGAGGACTCTGTTCTGGAAAACAGCTCCCTCTATTATGGTTTGGGTGTGTCCCCATTCAAATCTCAACTTGAATTGTATCTCCCAGAATTCCCATGTGTTGTGGGAGGGACCTGGGGGAGGTAATTGAATCATGGGGGCCAGCCTTTCCCATGATATTCTCATGATAATGAATAAGTCTCAAGAGATCTGATGGGTTTATCAGGGGTTTCCACTTTTGCTTCTTCCTCATTTTCTCTTGCCACCACCATGTAAGAAGTGTCTTTTGCCTCCTGCCATGATTCTGAGGCCTCCCAGCCATGTGGAACTGTAAGTCCAATTAAACCTCTTTTTCTTCCCAGTCTCAGGTATGTCTTTTATCAGCAGTATGAAAACGGACTAATACAGTAAATTAGTACCAGGAGCAGGGTGTTGCTGAAAAGACATGCAAAAAATGTGAAAGCAACTTTGGAACTGGGTAACAGGCAGAGGTTGGCGCAGTTTGGAGGGCTCAGAAGAAAACAGGAAAATGTGGGAAAGTTTGGAACTTCCCAGAGATTTGTTGAATGGCTTTGACAAAAATGCTAATAGTGATATGAACAATAAGGTCCAGGCTGAGGTGGTCTCAGATGGAGATAAGGAACTTGTTGGCAACTGAAGCAAAAGTGACTCTTGTTACATTTTAGCAAAGAGACTGGCAGCATTTTGCCCCTGCCCTAGAGATCTGTGGAACTTTGAACTTGAGAGACATGATTTAGGTATCTGGCAGAAGAAATTTCTAAGCAGAAAAGCATTCAAGAGGTGAGTTGGGTACTATTAAAAGCATTCCATTTTAAGAGGGAAACAGATCATAAAAGTTTGGAAACTTGCAGCCTGATGATGCAGTTAAAAGAACAATCCATTTTTTGAGGGGAAATTCAAGCCAGCTGCAGAAATTTGCATAAGTAGCAAGGAGTCTAATGTTAATCCCCAAGACCATGGGAAAAATGTCTCCAGGGTATGTGAGAGACCTTCACAGCAGCCCCTACCATCACAGGCCCAGAGGCCCAGGAGGAAAAAGTGGTTTTGTGGGCCAGGCCCAGGGTCCTCATGCTGTATGCAGCCTAGGGACTTGGTGCCCCATGTCCCAGCCACTCCAGCCATGGCTGAAAGGGGCCAATGTACAGTTCGGGCTGTAGCTTCAGAGGATGGAAGCCCCAAGCCTTGGCAGCTTCCATGTGGTTAAGTCTGCAGGTGCACAGAAGTCAAGAATTGAGGTTTGGGAACCTCCACCTAGATTTCAGAAGATGTATGGAAATGCCTGGATGCCCAGGCAAAAGTTTGCTGCAGGGGCAGGGCCCTCATGAAGAACCTCTTCTAGGGCAGTACAGAAGGGAAATGTGGGGTCAGAGCCCCCACACAGAGTCCCTACTGGGGCACTGCCTAGTGGAGCTTTGAGAAGAGGGCCATCATCTTCCAAACCCCAGAATGGTAGATCCACCAACAGCTTGCTCCATGCACCTGGAAAAGCCACAGGCACTCAATGCCGGCCCATGAAAAAAAATTTTTTTTTTTTTTTTGTTAAAGACAGGGTCTTGATTTCTTCCCCAGGCTGGTCTCCATCTCCTAGCTTCAAATAATCTCCTCACCTCAGCCTCCCAAAGTCCTGAGATTACAGGTATAAGCCACCATGCCCACCTGTAATTTCTTTTTGTTGTGGAGTAATGTTTCATTGTATGATATTTATACAGCTGTAAGTTTTTGTGGCTACAATTTGTGCTGGCTAGAGTTTGTGCCTGTTGTAGAAAAGGACAGTCCTGGTAGGTGGGAGGGAGAAGCCAGGAGGGAGGCAGTACCCTGCAAAGCCACAGGGGCAGAGCTGCCCAAGACCATGAGAACCCACATTTTGCATCAGCGTGAACTGGATGTAAGACCTGGAGTCAAAGGAGATCATTTTTGGAATTGGACTTCCCCACTGGATTTTGGACTTGCATAAGCCCTGTCACTACTTCGTTTTGGCCAATTTCTCCCATTTGGAATGGCTGTATTTACCCAACGCTTGTGCCCCTATTGTATCTAGGAAGTAACTAGCTTGCTTTTGATTTTACAGGCTCGTAGGTGGAAGGGACTTGCCTTGTCTCAGATGAGACTTTGGACTGTGGACTTTCGGGTTAATGCTGAAATGAGTTAAGATTTTGGCAGACTGTTGGTAAGGCATGATTGGTTTTGAAATGTGAGGACATGAGATTTGGAGGGGCCAGGTGTGGAATGATATGGTTTGGCTGTGTCCCCATTCAAATCTCAACTTGAATTGTAGCTCCCAGAATTCCCACATGTTGTGGGAGGAACCCAGTGGAAGGTAATTGAATCATGGGGGCTGGTCTTTCCCATGCTATTCTCATGATAATGAGTAAGTCTGGTGATAACCAATGGGTTTATCAAGGGTTTCCACTTTTGCTTCTTCCTCATTTTCTCTTGCTGCCGCCATGTAAGAAGTGCCTTTCACGGCCAAGCACGGTGGCTCATGCCTGTAATCCCAGTACTTTGGGAGGCTGAGGCGGGCAGATAACGAGGTCAAGAGATTGAGACCATCCTGGCCAACATGCTGAAACCCCAACTCTACTAAAAATACAAAAATTAGCCAGGCATAGTCACAGGCACCTATAATCCCAGCTACTTGGGAGGCTGAGGCAGGAGAATCGCTTGAACCCAGGAGGCACAGGTTGCAGTGAGCCAAGATCACACCACTGCACTCCAACCTGGTGACAGAATGAGACTCCGTCTCAAAAAACAAACAAAGAAGTGCCTTTCGCCTCCTGTTATGATTCTGAGGCCTCCATAGCCATGTGGAACTGTAAGTCCAATTAAACCTCTTCTCCTTCCCAGTCTCAGGTATGTCTTTATCAGCAGCATGAAAACAGACTAATACACCCTCTTTCTAGGATGGGCTTATCTAGACATTCCACCTACCAGGACTGTCCTTTTCTACAACAGGGACAAACTCTACCCAGCACAAACTGTAGCCACAAAAACTTACAGCTATATAAATACCATACTCTGAAGTATTATTCCGCAATAAAAATAAATGTTGGGTGGGCATGGTGGCTCATACCTATAATCTCAGCACTTTGGAAGGCTGAAACGAGGAGACTATTTGAAGCTAGGAGTTGGAGACTAGCCTAGGCAAGAAATCAAGACCCTGTCACTACAAAAAAAAAAAAAAAAAAAATTTCATTAGCCAGGCATGGTGGCATGCGCCTGTCGTCCAGCTGCTTGAGAGGCTGAGAAGGACTGCTCGAGCACAGGAGTTGGAGGCTCCAGTGAGCTATGATCTTACCATGGCACTCCAGCCTGAACAACAGAGTGAGACCCTGTCTCAAAAAAGAAGGGGGGGTTGGGGGACCGGGCGTGGTGGTTCACGCCTCTAATCCCAGCACTTTGAGGGGCCAAGGCGGGTGGATCACGAGGTCAGGAGATCGAGACCATCCTGGCTAACACAGTGAAACCCCATCTCTACTAAAAATACAAAAAATTAGTCGGGCATGGTGGCACGCACCTGTAATCCCAGCTACTCAGGAGGCTGAGGCAGGAGAATCGCGTGAACCTGGAGGCAGAGGTTGCAGTGAGCTGAGATTGCACCACTGCACTCCAGCCTGGGCGACAGAGCGATACTCTGTCTCAAAAAAAAAAAAAAAGGAAAGAAGAAATGATATAATGATTATACTGATACATGCTACAGTGTAGATGAACCTCGAAAACATTATGCTAAGTGAAAGAGGCTACATATCGTATGATTCTGTTACCAATGGAAGGTGTCCAGGATCTTGGCATCTTGAACAAAGAATTGACAAAACGTACAAACAAAGCAAGGACAGAATGAAGCAACAAAAGCAGAGATTTATTGAAAATGAAAGTGCACTCCACAGGGTGGAAGTGGTCCGAGCATAGGGGCTCAAGAGCCTCGTTACAGAATTTTCTGGGGTTTAAATAGCCTCTGGAGGGTTCCAATGGAGTATGTGCTATGTAAATGAAGACACTAAAGAGAAGTTACAAAGTCACTCAGTGTATGCCCTATGTAAATGAAGAGGATATTTCCTTTCATCACTGAAGTGTTTCTGTTTGATTTAGTTCTAGGGAGTCCTTAGGTTCCCGGCCTCCAGCCCCTATTCTCCTGCCTCAATTCCATGTATGTAAAATGTCCGGAATAGGCGAACCCACAGGGACAGAAAGTTGACTAGTGGTTGCCTGGGGCTGGGGGAAGGAGGTGGGAGGTGGGCAGAGAAGGACACATAGGGGAATGATAGCTGTCTTAATCAGTTCAGGCTACCATAACAAAATACCACATACTAGGTAACTTAAATGAAAGAAATTTATTTTCTCATAATTAAAGACGCTGGAAGTCTAAGATCAAGGTACCAATAGTGCCTGTATCTGGTGGAGGCTTTCTTCTATGGTGAGAGAAGAGAAAACAAGCAAGTTCTCTGGGGTCTCTTATTATAAGGGCCCTAATCCTATCATGAGGGTCCCAATCTCCTGACTTCATCTAAACCTATTATCTTCCAAAGGCCCCACCTCCAAATACCATTACATTGGAGATTAGGGCTTCAGCATATAAATTATGGGGAGAGGGATATAGAATTCAGTCCATAGCAACAACTCAAGGGCACAGGGCTTTCTTAGGGAGAAAAAAATGTTTCAAAACTTATTATGGTGATAGTTGCACAACTCTATGAATATACAAAACCCATTGAATTGCACACTTTACATGGAGGAGTTGTATGGTTATATGAATTATATCTCCATAAGGATATTAAGGCCTTCAAGCTGAGAATGGTTTTTTTACATTGTTTTTGTTGAGGTGAAATTCACATAACTTCAAACTCACATAATGCATTTTAAAACAAATAATGCCATGTTTGAATAGAACAATTCCATTCAGCACATTCACAATGTTGGGTAACCTTCACATCTGTCTAGTTGCAAAACATTCACACACAAACACACATTGGCCTTTGTTGTTATAAGAAACCCAAATTAGAAAAATGCTCAAATGCAATAAACTGTCATGCAGCCCCATAAATTGGCCTCTGCTTGTTGTCTGAATCCTGAGGAAGTAAAAATAAGTAAAGGACTAAGCTCCATGAGGGTGGCAAAATGTCTGCCTTGCCCACTGCTGTAACTAGGGCACCGCATATGTCCCCCTGGGTAATGCTCTGTGGAATGAATTAATAAATATGACTAATACAAAATTTATGCTCCAGAGAACTTATCATTATATACTCCTTACTTCTGACAAAAGAAATTAGCCCTTCCTTTAGCCCAAGAGCCCACAAATGATGACCCTGCAGCCAAGTTCATCCTCTAGCCTGTTTTTTTAAGGCTTTTGAGCTAAGAATGTTCTTTAAGGTATTTGTTTGTTTTCCTTGAGGTGAAATTCAGAAAACTGAAATTGAACCATTTTATATTGAAATTCATGGCCGGGCGCTGTGGCTCACGCCTGTAATCCCAGCACTTTGGGAGGCTGAGGCGGGCGGATCACGACGTCAGGAGATCGAGACCATCCTTGCTAACAAAGTGAAACCCCGTCTCTACTAAAAATACAAAAAAAATTAGCCGGGCGTGGTGGTGGGCACCTGTAGTCCCAGCTACTCAGGAGGCTGAGGCAGGAGAATGGCGTGAACCCCGGGAGGTGGAGCTTGCAGTGAGCCGAGGTAGCGCCACTGCAGTCCAGCCTGGGTGAAAGAGCAAGACTCCGTCTCAAAATAAATAAATAAATAAATAAATTGAAATTCACATAACAGAAATTCATATCACAGAAACTGAAACATTTTAAATTTAACAATGCCATGTTTAAGTGAAATAATTTCATTTAGTACATTTACAATGTTGTGCAACCTCACCTATCCAGTTCCAAAACATTTCATCACCCCAAAAAGAGTAATCATGCCCATTAAACAGTCGCTCCTTTCCTCCTCCCCTAGCTCCTGGCAACCGCCAATCTGCTGTCTCCACGGACTTGCCTATTCTGGATATATCATATAAATTGAAACACACAATATGCCACCTTTTGTGTATGGTATCTTTCACTTAGCATGCTTTTGAAGCTCATCCAAGTTTTAAAGGGTTGTAAAAAACAACAACAACAACAACAACAAAAATATGTGACAGATACCTTCCGTAGCCAGCAAAGCCTAAAATATTGCTATCTGGCCTTTTAATGAAAAAATCTGCCAAGTTAGCCTGAACCCTTACCTGGCCCAAGGTTATCCAGAACAGTTTAGTTGATGCTAACATGTGTATGTGGACACACTCATACGTGTCCAAACTGAGATCATTTGCCCTCGCTCAATGGCCAAACACCAAAACACGGGCTTGTGCAGCAAGAAAGGTTTGTTATGACTATACTGACAAAGTGATAAGAGGAAATGCTCAAATCTGTCTCCGAGAGCTGAGGGCTGGGTTGAGTTTTATAAGCATGAGGTAATGAGGTGTGATCTAATTGGATCTTGCAATGAGGTGATGCCCACAGGCATGATCTGATGGATCCAGCCATGGGGTGATGCTGGAGTCTGGTCTCATTGGATCCCGGACCCTGCCATGTAGTGTCCTTCCCCCCCCCCCCCCCCCCGCCCCAAGACAGGGTCTCCTTCTGTAGCCCAGGCTGCAGTGCAGTGGCACAATTATGTCTCACTGCAGCCTTGACCTTCTGGGCTCAGGTGATCCTCCCGCCTTAGCCCCCTGAATAGCTGGGACTACAGGCACACACCACCATACCTGGCTTATTTTTGTATTTTTAGTAGAGATGGGGTTTCACGGTGTTGCCCAAACTGGTCTTGAACTCCTGGGGTCAAGCAATGCACCTGCCTCAACCTACCATAGTGCTGGTGTGTCCACAATTGGCGGGTTCATGGTCTCACTGACTTCAAGAATAAAGCCGCACACCCTCTCGGTGGGTGTTACAGTTCTTAAAGAAGGTGTGTCCAGAGTTTGTTCCTTCTCATATTCAGACACATTCGGAGTTTGTTCTTTCTGGTGGATTCATGGTCTCCCTGGCTTCACGAGTGAAGCTGCAGACCTTCACGATGAGTGTTACAGCTCTTAAGGCTGCGCGTCTAGAGCTGTTCATTCCTCCCGTCTGGAGTTAGTCATTCCTCCCTGTGGGTTCATGGCCTTGCTGGCCTCAGGAGTGAAGCTGCAGACCTTCACGGTGAATGTTACAGCTCATAAAGGTAGTGCGGATCTAAAGAGTGAGCAGGACCAACATTTATTGCAAAGAGCAAAACAACAAATCTTCCACAGTGTTGAAGGGGACCCAAGCCGGCTGCTGCTGCTGGCTCTGGCAGCCTGCTTTTATTCCCTTATCTGACCCCACCCACATCCTGCTGATTGGCCCATTTTACAGAAAGCTGATTGGTCCATTTTGCAGAGAGCTTATTGGTCCGTTTTGACAGGGTGCTGATTGGTGCATTTACAATCACTGAACTAGACACAGAGTGCTGATTGGTGTATTTACAATCCTCCAGCTAGAGGTAAAAGTTCTCCAAGTCCCCACTAGATTAGCTAGACACAGAGCACTGATTGGTGCATTTACAAACCTTGAGCTAGACACAGGGTGCTGATTGGTGCATTTACAAACCTTGAGCTAGACACAGAGTGCTGATTGGTGTGTTTACAAACCTTGAGCTAGACACAGAGTGCTTATTGGTGCATTTACAATCCTTTAGCTAGACATATAAGTTCTCCAAGTCTTGGCCCGACGCAGTGGCTCACGCCTGTAATCCCAGCACTTTGGGAGGCCAAGGCTAGCGGATCACGAGGTCAGGAGATGGAGACCATCCTGGATAACAAGGTGAAACCCCATCTCTACTAAAAATACAAAAAAAATTAGCCAGGCGGCGCAGTGGCGGGCACCTGTAGTCCCAGCTACTCAGAAGGCTGAGACAGAAGAATGGCATGAACCGGGGAGGCGGAGCTTGCAGTGAGCATAGATAGTGCCACTGCACTCCAGCCTGGGTGAAAAAGTGAGACTTCGTCTCAGAAAAAAAAAAAAGGTTCTCCAAGTCCCCACCAGATGAGCTAGATACAGAGTGCTGATTGGTGCACCCATGAACCCCGAGCTAGACACAGAGTGCTGACTGGTGCATATACAATCCTCCAGCTAGACATAAAAGTTCTCTAAGTCCCCACCTGACTCAGGAGCCCAGCTGGCTTCACCTAGTGGATCCGTGCCAGGGCTGGGGGCGGAGTTGCTCACCAGTCCCACGCTCTGCACCTGCACTCCTCAGCCCTTGGGCAGTCTATGGGACCGGGCGCCACGGAGCAGGGGGCTGGCGTCTGTTGGGGAGGCTCAGGCCGTGCAGGAGCCCATGACTGGGGTGGGGGGTGGGGCTTGGGCATGGTGGGCTGAAGGTCCCCAGCCCTGCCCCTCCGGAGGCGGCTGAGGCCAGGCGAGAATTCGAGCACCGCGCAGGCCGGCCGGCAGTGCTGGGGGACCCAGCGCCCCCTCCACAGCTGCTGGCCACAGTGCTAAGCCCCTCACTGCCTGGGGCCAGCGGCACTGGCCGGCAGCTCTGAGTGCAGGGCCCGCTGAGCCCGTGCACACCCGGAACTCGCGCTGGCCCATGAGCACCACGTGCAGCCCCAGTTCCCGCCTGCGCCTCTCCCTCCACACCTCCCTGCAAGCAGAGGGTGCCAGCTCCGGCCACGGCCAGCCCAGAGAGGGGCTCCCACCATGCAGCAGCGGGCTGAAGGGCTCCTGAAGCATGGCCAGAGCGGATGCCAAGGCCGAGGAGGTGCTGAGAGCGAGCAAGGGCTGCTAGCACGTTGTCACCTCTCACTGGGATTACAGGCATGAGCCACAGCACCTGGCCCTCACCTCTCTCAAGGCATAACATTTAAAGATTGGCTGGATCATTGATTTTTCAAAAAACTTTTCTGACCTCAACATATGTTCCCACCACTGAAATAATGTTTAAGAGATTTTTTCACCTTCTTTAAACTTATGTTACAGAGCCTGGGAATTATTTTACTACCAATTTATAAACCTCCGAAAATATGAGAGCTGGTGAAACTACTAACAGATTTCTAGAGCTTCTCTGACCATGTCAAAGACCATTTTCCTCTCTCTTGCCCAAGAACACATCCTTTCCGCCTGAGTTAAAAGCCACCTTTCAAGCATCATATTCTACTTCAGAAAGAGCCAGATATAGCCATGGGAGTTGGGATAAGGAAAGAAACTCATATGACTTCTTTTTTTTTTTTCTCTCTCTCTCTCTCTCTCTTTTGAGATGGAGTTTCACTCTTGTCACCCAGGCTGGAGTGCAATGGCTCAATCTTGGCTCACTGCAACCTCTGCCTCCCGGGTTCAAACGGTTCTCCTGCCTCAACCTCCTGAGTAGCTGGGACTACAGGTGTGTGCCACCACACCCAGCTAATTTTTTGTATTTTTAGTAGACATGGAGTTTCACCATGTTGGCCAGGCTGGGCTCGAACTCCTGACCTCAGGTGATCCACCCACCTTGGCCTCCCAAAGTGCTGGGATTACAGGCGTGAGCCACCATGCCGACCTGAAATCCATATGACTTCTTTCAAAAAGCTTTCTGCTAAATAAATCTGGTCTGAATGGAGGGAGACAAGTAGGCATGGTTGATCTCTGTGAGAAGTGAAGAGAGGAAAGACATTGCAGGGGTAACAAGTAGATACCAAATTAGAGCTCTTCAAGCTCAAGGCTGTTAGTTTGCTCTTGTGAGTGTCCTTTAGTTTTTTTTTAATTAAAAAGATTTTTTTAAATCACAGACAAGGACTCATTCTGTCACACAGACTGGAGTGCAATGGCACCATCACAGTTCACTGCATCCTTAATCTCCAGGGCTCAAGTGATCCTCCTAATTCAGCTTCTGGAGTAGCTGGGACTACAAGTGTGAGCCACCATGCCCTGCTAACCTTCGTTTTGTTTTTTTAAGAGACAGGGTCTTACCATGCTGCCCAGGCTAGTCTCAAACTCCTGGCCTCAAGCAATCCCCCTGGGTGGCCTCCCTAGTGCTGGGATTACAAACGTGGGACACTGCACCTATCTGTGAATGTCTTTTAAAATCAGATCCACAAGAAAATAATTTTCCAGCCAAATTTTGGCAGAATACAAACCTCGGGGAAAAATGCAACTTGATGACCACTGGGTTCAACGCCAGCAACAGGAAAATCACACTGCATCAAACTATGGGTCTGACTATAGTCTGCCCTGTGAGACCAAGGTCTTTGCAACATTAAGTATCCCGGATTTAGACAAATGCTGCTATCCATTATGGTAGAGTATTACTTTAATCATAAGAATGTACTTAGTTTTTATTGATTTCAGAACCTTATGGTTCCTCCAAAGGTGGACCTTATAAAATAAAGTAAAAGATAAAAAGTTTGGAGGATGCACATTTATGACATTATGCAGTTTTACCTTAAGCCATTGTTTGGTTGGCCAGTAAATTTCACACTGAGATTAGTTTAGTTAGTCTTAGAGAAAATATAATGTGCAGTATGATACAAGATGGGTAGTGTGTGTGTGTCTGTGTGTGTGTGTGTGTGTGCATGTGTGTTTGCTTCTTAGGCTCTATTATCACAAAATGTATCCCAGCCCTTTCATAAGTATTAAATGCATAAACTAAATCTATAACTATTATCCTTTCTTTTTTAAAAGTAACTACATCGGCTGGGCGCAATGGCTCATGCCTGTAATCCCAGCACTTCGGGAGGCTGAGGCGGGCGGATCACAAGGTCAGGAGATCAAAACCATCCTGGCTAACACGGTGAAACCCATCTCTACTAAAAACACAAAAAAAATTAGCCAAGCGTGGTGGCGGGCACCTGTAGTCCCAGCTACTCGGGAGGCTGAGGCAGGAGAATGGCATGAACCCGGGAGGCGGAGCTTGCAGTGAGCCCAGATCGCACCACTGCACTTGAGCCTGGGTGACAGTGCGAGACTCCGTCTCAAAAAAAAAAAAACAAACAACAACAACAAAAAACTACATCAAACATAACTCATCATATTGTGTATAATTTCAAATGCTTACTAAAAGCTACATGAATTTATCACCAAAAAGATAATATATACAAATTTCAGGTTAATAATCATTTCATCCAACATTCTTTAATATCAACAGAGACAATTCCAGGATATTGTTGAATGATACTGTCCTTCATTTACATGGCCTATTAAGGAACGTAAAGGAGAAAAAATATTTGACAACATGCTATTAATCAAATCTTGTTCCCTAAAAGTATATGCAGGTCTAAATCCTTGATGTAAAAAATACTTATCTATGCATCTTGTTAAATTCAAGTCAGTGGTCCACCATTTCTTTGCTTAGCCAAAGAAGAGACTCTTTTCCTCCTGGTTATGTATATCTGTGTCCTGAGTTTTAAGTGCCACATTTTTCACGTCAGTTTCACATCCTGCCTTTAGGCTCTCAGACTTGTACTTCACGGATGCTGTAACTCTTGTTTACTGATTTTACTTCACGGATGCTGTAACTCTTGTTTACTGATTTTATGCCTTACTCCTAGAATTTGTGATCTTGTAAGACTTGCCAGCTAAGATCCAATCAGCTTTCAGCTCACTTTCTGTCAGGAACCAAAAACCATTCAGAAATATGTTATCTTGGCCAGGCGAGGTGGCTCATGCCTATAATCCCAGCACTTTGGGAGGCTGAGGCAGGTGGATGACTTGAGGTCAGGAGTTCAAGACCAGCCTGACCAACATGGTGAAACCCCATCTCTACTAAAAATACAAAATTAGCTGGGCGTGGTGGCACACACCTATAATCCCAGCTACTTGGGAGGCTGAGGCAGGAGAATTGCTTGAACCTAGGAGGCGGAGGTTGCAGTGAGCCGGATCGCGCCATTGCACTCCAGCCTGGGCAACAAGAGCGAAACTCCATCTCAAAAAAAAAAAGAAAAGAAATATGCTATCTTAAAAGAAGGGTGATTTTTTCTCCTCTTGAATGCAGTTTTCTAAACATGATGATGGTAAACAGTAGAAAATTAAGTGACAGCGACTACAAAGCTCCATTACTTAACTATTACCAAGTATCTGCATAGATAAAAAGATTCAATAAGTGAAACATTTGCTTTCCATCTTGTTTACAAGATATAAATCACATTTCCCTGAAAATTAGCTTCCAGTACTGAAAAATTGTTAATATTGAAGTGAATGCATTAGAATTTCAGTGATCCAAGTGAACTAATACAAATATCTTCAGTGAATGCCATTTTCATAATGAAGTAAATTCTGAATAAAAATATCCTGCTTAAATTTAGATGCCAGTTTTAACCCTGTTCAGGCATTCAGAAATATGTTTTATTAATTACTACTATAATTACATTTTCAAAAATATTTCTCCTGTCTTTTATCCAAGTTCCCAGAACTTGGGCCTTGCCTTTCTTACCCTTAACTACATGCATTTCTCTAACTGACTTCAGGACTTTCATAAACAGACAGTATAAGAAGAGTTCAAGCAAAATTTTGTGGAACTAGCATTTCAATACACTCTGTCCAGTCTTGATGAATTAATCAAACTATGGTAAAGTTAAAGCAATCAGTCTTGCAGCCGTGATGGGAGTAAACAAATAGAAATACCCCCAACTGCTGATTAATTATTGCTTCTTTCGTTTATTGCTCCTGAATCTCCTGCTTATGAAAAAGGTTGACAAATTAAAGATTTGCTGCTGTATTTAGTGTGATGGGGAAGCCTGAGAAGGAACGTAAGCTGGATTGTCAAATTACCTGAATTATACTAATTATTTCCAAGTGATAAAGTCCCTTCCCCTCTGCAAAACTTTAAATTCATCTCTCAAATGAAGAGTTTCGTTCAGCTCCAAAATCCTCATGAAGGGGAACCTCATCTGCCCAAATCTAGTCCATTTTGCAGGTATACACTCCTTATTTTGACCTCTAGAGGGCGATCCTTCCTAATCTTAGCAGGATCTGATTCTACAGGAATGAGTTGAGACTAACCAAATCCCAAACTAGAAAGTAATCTCTTTGGAAAACCACCAGGAGGGAAAATTATCACTACTGCTTCCAAGTTCCCTGTGACATACCAATCACCTGGTCTCCGTTTTCCATACTATGCCTTTTTCTTTTTCATTCCTTCATCCATAAAACGAAAGTGTCAAGAAAAACTAGGTCTCTCAAAGCCCCTTCCAAGTGTGTAAATTGTATCATCGTCTTCCTTGGGTGACTTTGTTTCTTGGTACCAAAATAGCAAATGCTGTTTGCTGTATATCAAAATATTAACTCAATAGGTATCCGGTCTCTAGCTTACTCTTCCTGAGTTTTGTTTTGCTTAATTTTGCTTTTAAGAACAGAGGTAATATAGAAGCGTTTTACTACATGCAATCAAAAAAAAAAAAAGATCATTAGTGATGTCTCAGGGCAGGTGAGCCCCAAAGCTGGGGCTCAGCCTGGGAAGGTTTTTTGGTTTTGCTCAGGAAAGAATTCAAGAGTGAGCTGGTGATAGAAGAAAATGGCTTTATTGAGGCAGCAGTGCTAACAACTCAGTGACCGCTTCTGCAGAGCAGGGCTACCCGCTAGGCAGTTACGTTCAGAGGAGCAGCTCAGAGGCAGCTCTGCGTATATATTTATACCCAATTTTAATTATATGCAAATTAAGGGGCATATTATTCATAAATTTCTAGAAAAGAAGTGATAACTTCCAGGTCATTGCCATGGAAAGGGGTGGTAACTTCCACGTGTTGTCATGGCAGTGGTAAACTGTCATGGCATTGGTGGGCATGTCTTATGGAGAGAGGCTTATGTTGATTCTTCCATGTTTAACTAGTCTTTAATCTGGTCCAGAGTCAAGTCCTGCCTCTTATATGTGAGACATGTGCCACATAACAAATTATAAAGGTGACCATATCTACATAATTATAGACTCATACATTACATAATAAATAATTTACAAATAAAAATTTCCTTTGTAAATTTTTTTTTTGACACAGGGTCTCACTCTGTCACCCAGGTCTCACACTATCATCACAGCTCACTGCAGCCTCCAGTTCCTGGGCTCAAGGGATCCTCCCACATCAGCCTCCCAAGTAGCTGAGACCACAGATGCACGCCACCACACCCAGCTAATTTTTAAATTTTGGGTAGAGACGGGGTTTTGCCATGTTGCACAGGCTGATCTTAAACTCCTTGAGCTCAAGAAATCCACCTGCCTTGGCCTCCCAAAGTGCTGGGATTTTACAGGCTTGAACCATCACACCCAGCCTCCTTTATAAATTAAATTAAATTCATTATGAATTAAAGTTTCCAAAGTGCCAAACCATTTTCCAAGGGTCACCTTATTTTAAATTGGCAGAAACAGAATTTAATCTCACAGTTTCAAAATGTTTATCTGAGATTTGCTTGCTAATCCATCCCCATCCTATAATTCCACCATGAAGCTCCCTGCAAAACAAGAACTATCATCTACTAAGCCCTTTCTTTGTACCAGGCACTGTGTTAGGCACTTGACCTGAATTATATCACTTAATCCTTACAATTCAAAGATGTGTTATTATCCACTTTACAAATGAGGAACCTGAGGCTCAGGGACATTAAGTGACTTGCTCAACATCACTCAGTTAGTAGATTTAACTAGAGATCAAGTCACTTCCATCTAACACAAAGTGAATCCATTTTCTTGTCCACTGCTATCTTGCCGCTCTGCAAAGACTGCCCCCAAAGCGTCTCCAAATCTGTAAACTTTTAAGTATAGTAAGTTCTTACTTAACCTCGTCAATAGATTCTTGGAAACTACAACTTTAAGCGAAATGATGAACTGCAGGTCTTCAAATAACATCATTTTGTTATAACATTAATGAGAACAAAATGGTTTTGTTATACCTCATTTTGCTTAAAGTTGCAGTTTTCAAGAACCTATTGACGACACCAAGTGCGGACTTTCTATAGTCCGTTCTCATCCACTACAGTCCTCCACTCTACCAACTGAGCTATCAAAGGCATCACTTGTACTCCTTCCTTCACTTGTACACCTTTCTTTCAAAGGCAGTGAGGATAATTCAAAGGAATCTCAGGAAAAACAAGAAATCAATTTTCTCAATTACTCCCCCCCTGACAATACTGACTCGTGGTTTAGAAAAATTCTAGATCCTGATTTCAGACTGCACAATACATCACAAATTCTAGGGCTAAATTGCCTAGCTTGAAGTTTGACTCCTCCCTTACTAGCTAAATTACTTTCAATTATTTACATCCTCTGGGCCTCAGTTTCCTCATTCGGAAATTGGTTAATAAAATACATTTCACAGATGAGGCTTAAATAGCTATCTGTAAAGTACTTACAACAACATCTGGTAAGTGCTCAGTAAATACCAACCCTTCCTATTTTTGTCTGAAACAAAAGAGAGAAAGAGGTTTAATAATGGGAACTATGAAAGAGGATCACCAACTTGGGAAAAAAAACGTAAGGATGTCTACTTCAATTAAGTGTAACAATTAAGACTTTTTAAAGACCCTGTGTAGGCCGGGTGTAGTGGTTCACACCTGTAATTCCAGCACTTTCGGAGGCCGAGGCGGGCAGATCACTTGAGGCCAGGAGTTCAAGACCAGCCTGGCCAACATGACGAAACCCCACCTCTACTAAAAAAAAGAAACAAACAAAACAGAAATTAGCAGGGTGTGGTGGTGCACACCTGTAATCCCAGTTACTGGGGAGGCTGAGGCATGAGAATTGTTTGAACCTGGGAGGTGGAGTTTGCAGTGAGCTGAAATCACGCCACTGCACTCCAGCCTGGGTGACAGAGCAAGATACTGTGTTAAAAAAAAAAAAGAAAAAAAAAAAGACTGGACGCGGTGGCTCACGCCTGTAATCCCAGCACTTTGGGAGGCCGAGGCGGATGGATCACGGGGTCAGGAGATCGAGACCATCCTGGCTAGCGTGGCGAAACCCTGTCTCTACTAAAAAAAAAATACAACAAAAATTAACTGGGCGTGGTGGCGAGTGCCAGTAGTCCCAGCTACTGGGAAGGCTGAGGCAGGAGAATGGCTTGAACCCAGGAGGCAGAGCTTGCAGTGAGCCAAGATTGCGCCACTACATTCCAGCTGGGCAACAGAGCAAGACTCCATCTCAAAAAAAAAAAAAAAAACCGTGTAAATATTTCAGTTTGGATTTGGTTTCTGTTGGGTTCTTTTGGGTAATATGACTTCCCTGGCTACATAATGAGACTTTATAGGAAAGCGGGAATACCTACCTTAATAGTTTGTGTACAGATTTCATTTAAAAGCCAGGCCCCACACTCCTGCCCCTTTTCAGTAAAATCGAAATGCCTGAGTGCGGTGACTCATTTCTGTAATCCCAGCACTTTGGGGGCTGAGGTGGGAAGATCATTTGAGCCCAGGGATTCGAGACCAGCCTGAGCAACACAGGGGAACCCCGTATCCACAAAAGAAAAAATATTTTAATTAGCTGGGGGTGGTGGCATGTGTCTGTGGTCCCAGCTACTTGGGAGGCTGAGGTGGGAGGATAGCTTGAGCCCAGGATGCGGAGGCTGCAGTGACAGCACCACTATAGCACCAATGTACTCCGGCCTGGGTGACAGAGCATGACAGTCTCAAAAAAAAAAAAATGCAAAACCTAAAACCCTCAATCTTGCTTCTTTTCTATTAGATGCTTCATGAAATTCAGCATTTTATCTCAATACGAAATTCAGCATTTTATCTCAATATCCCAAACTTTTCAGCTATTTTATGTTATCCTCTGTCCTTAACAGCTCAGACTATACTTCAGGGTAGAACTCCCCTTTAGGAAATAATGGCCCGCATCTTCAATTGAGAGGTATCTCAACTGAGTAAACATTGTACTTGACAGATAACTTAGCCACAGTACACTCTACTGCATGAAAGCCTCAGCTTCTGTTTACCTGTCTTTGAACTTGTTTTATATTTAAAGCATCTGTTAGTAAAGCAAGATGTCAAAGGAGATCAACTCTACCACACACTGGGAGCAATGAGTGGAGAAGACACAATTGGTGGGTCCACTTGGAAGGATCAAGGACCCTAGGTTTTGCTCTTCAAGTTTTTCCTCTTCGTATGATTTTTGCTCTGCATGTCATCAGCACATTCATCTTTTGGGGGCCTTCCACGTGCTTAAAGCTGCATGCGAAAATGATTTTCTTGTTATCGGAGGAGGTAGGTTGCTTCCTACATATATAATTGGTTTGATTAATTCAGCTAAGAGTTCATGAAGAGACAGCAATTTGCTGTAATCAGTCACACATATGCACACCTTTAACCTTTTAATTTACGTGCATATGCATGGCTGCCTTTAATTTACGCCCTAGTTTCATTTCTAAAGTTACATGCAGATGAATTTTTTTCTTTCAAACTATTGCATATTTCGAACTATTTTGACCTTGTCTCTGTTGATATGTTGGGGCTGATCATTGTTGGGGGTCTTCCTGTACATTGTAGGATATTCTGAAACATCCCCAGTCTCTACCACTAGATGCCAGTAGCAAACGCTACCCTCAGTTGTGACAACCAAAAATGTCTCCAAACATTGCGAATGTCCCCTGGTGGTGGTAAAATTGCCCCCGTTAAGAACCACTCATCAACTGCTATTGTCCTATAACTTTTAAATAACAAATGTTTGATTCTCATTTTGAATATTAGTAATACATATTTAGCCTTCATTTTCCCCCCTGATTTTGTACCTTGCTTGTCTCTGCCCATGGATAGAAGACCATTATATAAGTATAGTAAAGTCTTAATTTGAGATTGTTGAGTTATGAAAACGATAACCAAATAGCTGTGTGATAATGCAAGTCATTAAAAGTGAAACTGAGCTATTGCATTGTATGTGCACCTGTTCCATAGTTCACTTTAGTGTGCTGAATTATATTACCTGACTCTGCTAGAGTCTTTCCACTTACACTCCCTCCAGAATGCCTGCATCAGGTAAGGCCCATAGAAGCCTCAAGACAAAAGCAAGTCATTGCCTAATTATGGATGATGCCATCGTTATGCACAGCAGGTGCAATTCAGGTCCCGGGAAGCCATAGGAATTGAACAATACTGCCTCTGTGTAACCTGATTGCCAAGGAAGTAAAAACAACCTGTATTCAAAATACAGATATCTGTGGCATTGGGGCCAGCCCTAGATTAGCTTGTCAAGTATGCCCAGGTCACCTTCGGTCACGGGCTTCATCTTTTCAGCATCCTTCTTGCTCCCAAGTCCAGTCTTTCTCCTGCCCCAGAGCAGCTTCTGAGGATCCACCCACCTGAGCCTGTCACTCCAGTGGTTCCTGGTGCTCTAACCATTCTCCCATGTATATTGACCTTTCTGGATCCTATTTCTGGCTGGTCTCACAAACTAATCTGCAGTAGTCTAGATCAGCATTTCTAAACTGGTGGTCTGTGGGTCAAGGCCACTCCCCTGAAACATACATTTCTTTAGCCAACAAGGTGTTTCTAAACTCTTTGGTTAAACTGCTAACATTAATAAACCCAGAAATCTCATCTATTAATAAAAATTTCAGATTTCCAGCTTCTCTGAAAGAATCTGCAAGTGATACTGCTGGTATTGAAATAGTTGGCCATAGCCTATTTTAACAGATCTGATTCTGATTGTGGACCCTTCATCGCAGAGCTTGCACCCTCATTTATTTGTGTGACCTGTCTCGCCCCTGTAGCCATCTGAGTGTGTGATCCTCTCATTTAGATCCCAGAGATTAGATTTGTGTGATAATGTTGTAATTATTTCTGGAACACAAAATCAGCAAGGATAATGGAGGATGTAATAAAATTTAACACAATAACTTTTTTTTCTTTTAGACTGAATCTCACTCGCTCTGTCACCAGACTGGAGTGTAGTGGCGCGATCTTTGCTCACTGCAACCTCCGCGTCCCGGGTTCAAGTGATTATTGTGCCTCAGCCTCCCAAGTAGCTGGGACTACAGGCGTGCGCCACCACGCCCGGGTAATTTTTGTATTTTTAGTAGAGAAGGGGTTTCATCATGTTGGCCAGGATGGTCTCGAACTCCTGACCTTGTGATCTGCCTGCCTCCGCCTCCCAAGGTGCTGGGATTACAGCTGTGAGCCACCACGCCCAGCCCCACAATAACTAACTTTTTAATGCTGTTAAAGTACTTTTCATGGACGTAATTATTTAAATAATAGACATTCATCAAGGGCCTCTTTTATCAACAGCTTTTTTTTTTTTTTGAGATGGAGTCTCGCTCTGTCACCCAAGCTGGAGTGCAGTGGCGTGTACTTGGCTCACTGCAAACTCCACCTCCTGGGTTCACACCATTCTCCTGCCTCAGCCTCCCAAGTAGCTGGGACTACAGGCGCCTGCCACCAAGCCTGGCTAAATTTTTTTTTTTTTTTTTTTGGTATTGTTAGTAGAGATGGGGTTGCACCGTGTTAGCCGGGATTGTCTTGATCTCCTGACCTCATGATCTGCCCGCCTCAGCCTCCCAAAGTGCTGGGATTACAGGCGTAAGCCACTGCGCCCGGCCTCAACAGGTATTTTTTAAGTGCTATAATCAAATACCAGTCACAGTTTAAAGCATTTCCCATAAAATATTTCATCCAATTCTCACAGCAACCATAACAAGAAGGTACCATTATTATTCTCTTATTGGGAATAAGGAAACTGAGGCACAGAGAGGGTAAGAAACTTGTTCCCATGTCCCACCACCCAAAATTCCAGATGGAAAGGAATTGAAAGGCCTGACTCCACACTCGAAGCCAAGCTTACCTGGGCTGTTTACTGCCTCTGAAATTAAGTCAATTCTCATAAAAACTCTAAGAAGCCATAATTATTACTACTCTGCCTTTCAGATGAGGGAATTAGAGCTCAGAGAATTAAGAAACTCTCCTGAAAGTACTTGTCAAAGCACTGCAGATGAGAAGCTTTTTACAGTTGACACCAGCTTCCCACAGAGTCAGCCCAAAGCCGCTAGGCTGGGGTTTCGGTACCACCAATCACCAATGGCTGCAGCATCCCTTCCCCAAAGACCCTAAACCAAAGGAGACATGCGTAGGGGTCTGCTCTGCTCTAGCCCCCAAACCTTGTTCAGGATCAGCACAGGCAGCCAGGATGGCATTTTTTGTTTGTTTGTTTTTTGAGACAGAATCTTGCTGTCGCCCAGGCTGCAGTGCAGTAGTGCCATCTTGGCTCACTGCAACCTCTGCTTCCAGGGTTCAAGTGATTCTCGTGCCTCAGCCTCCCGAGTAGCTGAGATTACAGATGTGCACCACCATGCCTGGCTAATCTTTGTATTTTTAGTAGAGATGGTGTTTCACCATGTTGGCCAGGCTGGTCTCGAACTCCTAACCTCAGGTGATCCGACAGCCTCGGCCTCCCAAAGCGCTGGAATTACTGGTGTCAGCCACCACGCCCGGCCTAGGATGGCATTTTCTATTCACCAAGCCAAGAAGTCACACCACCTGAAGGCAAGACCCATTGTCCAGGGCCCATGCCAAGCCAAATGAACTTGCCATGCCCTGGGAGGCTGCTCCTGTTCTACTGAGGTGCAGAAGAAGCAGAAGTGGGAGCCACGAGTAGAGTAGGAAAATGGGACAGTTGGAGGATAATTGAAGCAAAACTTACAAAGTAGTCCAACACATGTATCCATAAAGGAAAAATCCTAGAGGATTCAAGAAGTAATCAACCTCTCTTCTCTAATACCAACAAATCTATAGCCCAGTCTTGTTTCTCACTGATAATAGCATATACAGGACTGAGTGCATCTTGTACAATACAAGACACTGCTCCCTTTTAAAACACACAATGGAACATTAAGAGCGCCCTGGATTTCCCATCAACAAATGCTCAGCCAAAAGCCTGAAGTCATCCTTTATTCCTTCTGTTCTTTCACTCCTGTGTTTTATCCATCTGATAGATCCTATCAGCTCCTCTCCAAAATTTATCCCAAATCCATCCTCTTCTCTCCAGCTCAGCTGCTAGAAGCATTGGCCAAACCACAGTCACCTCTCACCAGGAGTATCGCATTAGCCCTCTCACTCATTCTTTTGCATGCTCCCTTGCCACCTTAACCTCTCCAGTCTCCTTTTCAAACAGCCAAATGAATACTCCCTGTAAAATATAAATCAAATCACATGGTTCCAATGTTCAAAACCCTCCTGTCACATTTACAATAAAGTTCAAATTTCTTGCCATGTCCTAGAAGACCCAATTTCCTTCTTCATCTTTACTCCACAAATGCTCTCGTTTGTCAAGCACCAGGAACCCTGACCTTCTTCCTGCTCCTCAAACCACACCAAGTTCATTTCACTTGCATACACTCTGCCTCCAACTCTGTTTTCCTGCATGTTTCTATTGCTGTTTTCTCTCTTCCCTCCTATTTCTTTTCTGATGTCTCCTCCTTAAAGGTTCATTCCCAGTCACAATTTCTAAGGTAGCCCTTCTTCATTGTCTCCCCTGCCTCATCCCTGATGACTCTGCCATCTCACACTGCCCTGTTCCTTTTTGTTTCCTTCACACTGAGAACTGTCTGAAATTCTCTAGTATACATATTTGCTTGCTGGTTTCTTGTTAGCCTTCTGCTAGAATGTAATCTCCATGAGAACACAGATGTTGTTCAGAGCTATGACCTCAGAACCTAGAACCAGGCCTGGAACAGAATAGTTGCTCAATAAATATTTGCTAAATGAAAGAATGAAATTATAAACTTACCATCATATTCCTAGCTTTAGGGAAGATTTAAAAAAACCAGTAAGAAAACAATGCTCAGTATATATTTTTTGAATGAAGTGATAAACTCACTATCATATTCCTAGCTTTAGGAAGATAAGAGTAAGAAAACAAAAGGAAATTAGAAAGTGTGGAAAGAAAACTTGTCATTTTATTTAAAGCGCCTACAAGGAGCTCAGCACAGTGCCTCAAATTAAGCCCCCAACAAACAGTACCTGTGTTTGTTGATACTACATGCCCACTGATTTACACGCACAATTGCATTTAATAATCTCATGGATCCTGTGAAATGGACACTAGTGGTCCCATTTTACAGAAAAGGAAGCTGAGGCTGAGAGTTTAAGTAACATGGGCCAAACAGCTAGAAAGTAACAGAACTGACCCCAAAGCCAGAGTTATTTTTCCTCCCACTGCTCTGTGGCTTTGACTGCTGTCTCTGAGATTCACTGACATGACGTTCCATCCTTGCACATTCTCCTACAAAAAAGTGGAGCTAAAAAGAACTTGTCCCCAGGGCCAGGCATGGGGCTAGCCAACATGGAGAAACTGCATCTCTACTAAAAATTAAAAAATTAGCCGGGCATGGTGGCGGGCACCTATAGTCCCAGCTACTCGGGAGGCTGAGGCAGGAGAATTGCATGAACCCGGGAGGCAGAGGCTGCAGTGAGCCGAGATCATGCCACTGCACTCCAGCCTGGGCGACAGAGAAAGACTCTGTCTCAAAAAAAAAAAAAAAAAAAGAACTTGCCCTCTATATCCTAGGCATGTGACCAAGGCAAGAAGATAACGCTAAAAAATTGTTTCAGCATCTTTGACAACAAAGTGACTCTTGATTACCTGGAATGCCGGAACGAATTGTGTCCACACTGATATAGTGAAGTCCAACAATGGAAGGCCTGTTGATGGATGTGTCCATTCCTGCTCATATCTGTATAAGATAACTTCTATATTTGCTGGTCTAGTCAGCCAATGACCTAGGATCCTAGGTTTCCCCATCAATTATGATGTGTTGGAAAAAGACCGTGATGTGGTCATACATAATGATTATAAACAAATTCACAAATTGGCTTTCCCATGTGAAGAACCATTATCAATAATCAATTTATTAAGGAATTTATTTTTTTAATTAAAAAAATAACACACTGGGAATGTAAAATGATATGACCCCTCTGAAAAACAGCTGGGCAGTTTCTTAAAAAAGACTACACATGCTCTTACGACATATCCTAGCAATTGCATTTATCCCAGATAAATAAAAACGTAAAGCCACACAAACTTGTACATGGTTATACACAGCAACTTGATTTGAAATAGCCAAAATACTATGACACATCCGCCCAGTGGAATACTACCCAGCAATAAAAAGAAATGAACTTTGGATACACGCAATAACTTGGAAGGATTGCAAAGGCTTATGCTAAGTGAGAAAAGCCCAATCTCAAAAGAGCACATACCATATGATTCCATTTATTTAACTATCTCAAAATGACAAGTTTATACAAATGGAAAATAGACCTGTGGTTGCCAGAGTTTAGGGGTTGGGAGAGGGGCAGGTAGCAAGAGGGATGGTGTGGGGAGGTAAGAAGAGGGCAGTCTTCCTGGTGATAGAATAGCCCCGTATCTTGACAGAGGTGGTTGTTACATGAGTGTGCACATGTGATAAAATGGCATTAAACTAGACACATACATTTTGCCAGTGTCAGTTTCTCAGCTTTGAGATTATACTGTAGTTATACAAAATATAACCATTGGGAGAACCTGAGTGACTTGTACAAGAGAACTCTCAGTACTATCGTTACAACTGCATGTGAATTTATACTTTCAAAACAAAAATTTCTGTAAAAGAATACCATGTTTAAGTCACTTTGGACAGCTAGGAAACAGCTGGTATAAAGATGATCACTTACCCTCTAATTAAAATACTAAAATTTATATGTATCATAAGGATTTATGATGTATCTCTTCACAAATGACCTGAATTAAGGTTGCCCTAAAGGACTGGCTTACAACATTCCTCATTTTTCACAGGTTATCACCCAGAGTTAACCAGTTAGGCAAGGGTTAGTACAACATGGTTCAGCAAGTACTCAGTCCACAGCAGTAGCTCCAAATATTGGCTGAGTGGATGCATGAATATAAAAATGTTAAGAGTAGATATATAAGAATGTAAGAATGGCCGGGTGCCATGGCTCACGCCTGTAATCCCAGCACTTTGGGAGGCCGAGGCAGGGGGATCACCTGAGGTCAGGAGTTCAAGACCAGCCTAGCCAACATGCTGAAACCCCGTCTCTACTACAAATACAAAAATTGGCCGGGTGCGGTGAGCACTTTGGGAGGCTGAGGCGGGTGGATCACCAGGTTAGGAGATTGAGACCATCCTGGCTAACACAATGAAACCCCGTCTCTACTCAAAATACAAAAAAATTAGCTGGGTGTGGTGGCGGCTGCCTGTAGTCCCAGCTACTCGGGAGGCTGAGGCAGGAGAATGGCATGAACCCGGGAGGCAGAGCTTGCAGTGAGATGAGATCATGCCACTGCACTCCAGCCTGGGTGACAGAGCAAGACTCTGTCTCAAACAAACAAACAAACAAAATACAAAAATTAGCTGGGCAGTAGTGGCGCGTGCTTGTAACCCCGGCTACTCTGGAGGCTGAGGCAGGAGAATCGCTCCAGCCTGGGAGGTGGAGGTTGCGGTGATCCATGATCTCACCACTGAACTCCAGTCTGGGTGACAGAGTGAGATCCTGACTTAAAAAAAAAAAAAAGATTGAGATGGGGGGAAGAAGGTGTTTCTCACTTAGTGATATAGTGCTTTATGTACATACAGAAAACACTTCTCTTCCTCCAAAACCAGATATTGTATTAACAGTAGAAACAATTGAGATGAACTAAGTTTTTAAGGTAGTCCCAGGAAACTTTTTTTTTTTTTTGAGATGTTGTCTCGCTCTCTCGCCAGGCTGGAGTGCAGTCGCACAATCTCAGCTCACTGCAACCTCCCCCTCCAGGGTTCAAGTGATTCTCCTGCCTCAGCCTCCTGAGTAGCTGAGACTTCAGGTGCCTACCACCACGCCCAGCTAATTTTTGTATTTTTAGTAGAGACAGGGTTTCATCATGTTGGCCAGGATAGTCTCGATCTCCTTACCTTGTGATCCCCCCACCTCAGCCTCCCAAAGTGCTGGGATTACAGGTGTGAGCCACAGTGTCCGGCCTGGCCCAGGAAACTTCTTTGAGTTCCAAGTCAATCCAAAATCACACTTTTATATACATAGGTGTAATGGTAACCAAGCTTTGAAGGTCCTTCCGAGTTTCATCACAGTTCTGGAAGCAACAATTGAAAATACTGATGGCTATGTTTATTCTAGGACGGTAAAAAAAGGTATCTGCTTAACTCTGTACTTTTCCCTACTTAACCTAAATAAGCGCAGCCTCAATGTCTATGGACTTGCTTCTGTGGTTTAGTCTGGGGAGGCAAGGTCAACGCCTACAGGAGCTGGGCACGTAATGGAAACACATTAGTCAAATAAGAGATAGTGAGACTTAACAATGCCCAGAAAAAGCATGTCTCAGCTGAAGTCATTCAAATCCAAATACTGTAAAAAGAAAAAACACACATCGTGTGGGCTCAACCAAACATTGTTAGTTGCCAATCTGGACCCCTGGTTAGACCATCAGGGCCTAGACTGGTACCATCACCGTTCACCTCTTGCAGGTGCACAGTAGCTGAGGCGGAGGCCAGGCTTGTTTGTTTTCTTTAGAATCAGAATGAGGAGGCAGCCAAAATGAGGAAGTGCTGAAGTTTATTGCTATGAAAGACTAAGGGCTCCTCCCAAAGACACCCACTTGTTGAAGTGTTTACGTTGTAAAGCGTTTGACAGGGACAGGATATCGCCAATGCAAAGAAAGAGACTACAACCCTAAAAAACAGCAGCAAGAGGCTGGGCACATTCAGGTCTGAAAGGCTGCTACAAAACATTTATTAATATCCTGTTTCCTCCTACTCACAGTAATCCAATCAATGCTGATAATTTGTAACATTTATATTGTCCTGGGTAAATTGTGAAGAAAGTAGGGAGAAAAACTTGCAATCAGCAGGAAGTAGTTCCTAACTGGTGCCAGTTGCTTTCTGTTGAGTTTCTATTGAGCCCTGTAGTGCTAAATCCCAATATAATCTTAAAATCTGGAAGAAATGCCTGCAAACCACCAGCCCACGAGTCCATCCCCCCATCTCCAAGCAAAATAATTCTAAATCGATTAATGCAAGCTGAAAATCTGGAACATTCCATTGTGTGAAATTCAGAAGCTCATTTGATTCAGGATCCAAATTGTTCATTAAAAAAATGTAGCACTTATGTGTATTTACTGCTAAATGTTATTTAAATGGTTGACATCTGGTCTATTATAAAATCCTATGTAATTTGAGTCCTGATTATATTATTGGATCTTCCCCTTCACCTTCCAGATAGGATGTTCTTTAAAATGCCTTCCTTTTTTTTAATTAATTAATTATTTATTTATTTAAGACAGAGTCTCGCTCTGTCGCCCAGGCTGGAGTGCAGTGGCGCGATCTCGGCTCACTGCAAGCTCCACCTCTCGGGTTCACGCCATTCTCCTGCCTCAGCCACCCCAGTAGCTGGGACTACAGGCGCCCACCACCACGCCCAGCTAATTTTTTGTATTTTGAGTAGAGACGGGGTTTCACCATGTTAGCCAGGATGGTCTGAATCTCCTGATCTCATGATACGCCTGCCTCGGCCTCCCAAAGTGCTGGGATTACAGGGGTGAGCCACCGCACCTGGCCAAAATGCCTTCTTTTTGAATTTCAAGGAAACCAGGGATTATTTGAACTTTTTTTTTTTTTTTAACTACAGGGCAAATCAGACTTGGCACTTTTCCAGGTACTCATTTATTAATTTATTTTTTCAATGACATTTATTGAATAATTACCATGTACCAGCCACCATGATAGATATGAGAAATAAAAGAATGAGTAAAACATGGTACCTACCTTCAGCAAAATCCTGCAGAAGGAAACAGTAGGGGTGGGCATTACCGATTGCTAATCTAGAAGGCATCCCTCCCTTAGGCCTACCAGAGCTCTGGTTGAAGGGTAAATCCCTGTCTCTTGTTCGTCATTGGGCAGGTGAAAATTCTTGCCTAGTCATGAGAAGTGTACTGCAGGTTTCCCCCATCCTCTAGGTAAGGGTCCCCTAAATCAGAACCGTCAGCTTCTGGAAGCTTTTATTTGTCTGCTTCTGGATGATGTCATTCACAGATTATACATCTGGAACTGGCGTATCCATTCACCACGGGCCTGAGGATGGAGCTGACCCATGGAGAAGCACAGAGTGAGCTGGAAGAGGCACAGGGAAACGGAGCCAGAGTCAAAGATGAACATAACTGAAAATCTGTCCTACGTCTGGGCTTCTGGTCATGGGGGCCAATGGATTTCTTTATTATTTAAGGCAGTGGTCCCAATCTTTTTGGCACCAGGGACCAGTTTCATGGAAGACAATTTTTCCAAGGACAGAGGGATGGAGAGGGTGAGATGGATTCGGGATGAAACTGTTCCACATCAGATCATCAGGCATTAGATTCTCATGAGGAGCACACAATCTACATCCCTCACATGCGCAGTTCACAATATGCTTCTCACTTCTATGGGAATCTAATGTTGCAGCTGATATGACAGGAGGCGGAGCTCACTGGTAATGCTCGCTCACCCGCCACTCACCTCCTGCTGTGTGGCCCGTTTCCTAACAGGCCACGGATTGGTACTGTTCCATGGCCTGGGGGTTGGGGACCCCTTATTTAAGGTAATTTGACTTGGGTTTCCTTGTACTTGCAGACAAAATGAGCTGATATGCCTATACCAACAGCTCTTCCCATAAGAAGATCCATGGTTGGCACCAACTTTTTCTCCAAGACGATAGTGACATGCAATGCCACAGACATTCCATGGCATGTGCAGGAACTGTGCTTTTGTTTCTCAGTGAAGACACTAGGTGCTTTTGGACACTTTCTCCTCTCTCTTTGCCCTTGTATTTGCAGTGTCCCTTCCCCATTCCCACCTAGTTTAGCTTAAACTACCATATGTGAAATGTCAAGTAGGCATGGGAAAGTTTCTCCAAGTATGAGTGTTTCTGTAAGTCAATTTTCAGTCACAAAACATTTTTTTTTAGTAGAAGTATCTTTTTTTTTTTTTTTTGAGATGGAGTCTTGCTCTGTCGCCCGGGCTAGAGTGCAGTGGCCCGATCTCGGCTCACTGCAAGCTCTGCCTCCTGGGTTCACGCCATTCCCCTGCCTCAGCCTCCTGAGTAGCTGGGACTACAGGCACCCGCCACCACGCCTGGCTAATTTTTTGTATTTTTAGTAGAGAGGGGGTTTCACCGTGTTAGCCAGGATGGTCTTGATCTCCTGACCTTGTGATCCGCCCACTTCAGCCTCCCAAAGTGCTGGGATTACAGGTGTGAGCCACAGTGCCTGGCCCAAAATTAAAAATATTTTAAAGCCTTTCTGAAATGTTTAACTAAAATGCATTAATTTAAGGATAAAACCTTGTAACATTTATTATTTCCTTTCAAAAAATACTTTAATATCAACTTTTTTTTTTTTTTTTTGAGACGGAATCTTGCTCCCGTTGTTCAGGGTGGAGTGCAGTGGCTCAATCTCGTCTCATTGCAACCTCCACCTCCTGGGTTCAAGTGATTCTCCTTCCTCAGCCCCCAGAATAGCTGGGATTACAGGCATGCGTCACCACGCCCAGCTAATTTTTGTATTTTTAGTAGAGATGGGGTTTTGTTATGTTGGCCAGGCTGGGCTCGAACTCCTGACCTTAGGTGATCCACCTGCCTCAGCCTCCCAAAGTGCTGGGATTACAGGCATGAGCCACCTTGCCTTGCCAACTTTTTAAAATTTTTTTTTTCTTGAGACGGAGTCTTGCTCTGTCCCCAGGCTGGAGTGCAGTGGCATGATCTTGGCTCACTACAAGCTCCGCCTCCTGGGTTCACACCATTCTCCTGCTTCAGCCTCCTGAGTAGCTGGGACTACAGGCGCCTACCACCACGCCCGGCTAATTTTTTGTATTTTTAGTAGAGACGGGGTTTCACCGTGTTAGCCAGGATGGTCTTGATCTCATGACCTCGTGATCCACCCGCCTCGGCCTCCCAAAGTGCTGGGATTACAGGTGTGAGCCACTGCGCCTGGCTGCCAACTTTTTTTCTTTTTTTTTCTTTTTCAGCTGGAGTCTCAATCTGTCGCCCAGGCTGGAGTCCAGTGGTGTGATCTCTGCTCACTGCAACCTCTGCCTCCCAGGTTTAAACGATTCTCCTGCCTCAGTCTCCCAAGTAGCTGGGATTATAGGCATGTGCCACAAAGCCTGGCTAGTTTTTCCATCTTTAGTAGAGACGAGGTTTCGCCATGTTGGCCAGGCTGGTCTCAAACTCCTGACCTCAAGTGATCCGCCCTCCTCGGCCTCCCAAAGTGCTGGGATTACAGGTGTGAGCCACCATGCCCAGCCCAATATCAACTTTTAATGTAAGTAAAAATTTACTCATTCTTTGCAGTCTCTGTTACTGACTAAAGCAAATGATGATAATTCTATTTTGAGTATTTTAAAATTTTTTCTCTTATATTTCTGAGTAGAGATTGCCATTTTCAAAGAACCACTACTTGTTCCTCTAGCTACTGGTGATGGGGCACATGATCTGCTGAGTATTTTCAAGTATGCTTCTGGGACTTCCATTATATTCATAGATTAACTATAGAAAATAGACAACATTTTCGCTATGATAATACCACCTTATTTTTCTGTGTTACTTTTTTGTTTACAGTGCTTCTTTGTATACATATCACATTTTATTTTTCATTTATCTGTGAGGTACTCTTCATTATACTGATATTTTAAAAGTGAATAACGAGGCCAAGCGGGGTGGCTCACACCTGTAATCCTAGCACTTTGGGAGGCCAAGGCAGGCGGATTGCCTGAGTTAAGGAGTTGGAGACCAGCCTGGGCAACATGGCAAAACCCTGTCTCTACTAAAAATACAAAAAAATTAGCCAGGTATGGTGGCTTGGCACACGCCTGTAATCCTAGCTACTTGCGAGGCTGAGGCAGGAGAATCACTTGAACCCAGGAGGCAGAGGTTGCAGTGAGCTGAGATTGTGCCACTGCACTCCACCCTGGGTGACAAAGTGAGACTCTACCTCAAAAAAAAAAGTAAATAAATGAATAAAATGAAAAGAGAATAATGAGCATGAAAATTCACAATTAGTTAATTAAAAAGTGGAACTTGAACTCAGGTTTTTGAATGGCTAGTTTAGTTCCTTTAAAAATGATATTCAGCTGGGCACGGTGGCTCATGCCTGTAATCCCAACACTTTGGGAGGCCAAGGCAGGCGGATCACGAGGTCAGGAGATCGAGACCATCCTGGCACTAACACGGTGAAACCCTATCTCTACTAAAAACACAAAAAATTAGCCAGGTGTGTTGGCACGTGCCTGTACTCCCAGCTACGCAGGAGGCTGAGACAGGAGAACTGCTTGAACCCGGGAGGCAGAGGTTGTAGTGAGCAGAGATCACGCCACTGCACTCCAACCTGGGCCACAGAGCAAGACTCTATCTCAAAAAGAAAAAGATATTCTTCTCCATGCACTGATACATGGTCATCTGAAGAACATCCCTGACACCGTCCCCTGGGAGGAATTCATCTGAGCGATATCAAAGTGGCACAGACTCTGCTACTTATTAACTTTGGTTGTCATGATTTTAGACTATGATGAAACGATTGCTTCTATTTTAATAGGATAATAGCAAATACTTAAAGAACAATTCCCACATAACTTCTCTTTGTCCCACGTTGCTTCTTAAAACTTTAAATGTATTAGGTTGATGCGAAAGTAATTGCGGTTTTTGCAATTACGTGGCAATAATTTTTTCACCAACCTAATAACTGAGTCTCAAACACCCTAGGCCTCCCATTTCTACACAAACAGGAGTAACTATATGGTGCCTGCAAGGAGCAACATCCATCTTCCCTAGAAGTTCTTAAACACATCAACTGGGGCCAGTGAAATGCCTCTTGTCTGGACTTCCTCTCCTCCAACAAGATCAAAAGAAAGCTTGAAATATCTCTCCTTCTCCACCCTCCAGCCTGCAAAGTCTCACCACCACTGCCATGAATCCCCCAGGATGAATCTCAAGTCCCATAATCTTGTGTGTGTCAATCACCCTAATAAGACCCAGATTCTCAGGTCATCTGGAATCTTCCTCACTCGAACCCCCATAGAGCTCTGCACAGCCCCTGTCTGGCCCTATGTTCTACTCCTCTACGGCTCTTAGAACCTTTTCCACACTGCCCTCTGCAATTCATGATCCATCCTTTATAAAATCCCTGTACCCTCAGGCTGGGTGCAGTGGCTCACGCCTGTAATCCCAGCACTTTGGGAGGCCGAGTCGGGCAGATCATGAGGTCAGGAGTTCAAGACCAGCCTAGCCAATATGGTGAAACCCCGTCTATACTAAAAAATACAAAAAATTAGCCAGTCATGGTGATGTGCACCTGTAGTCCAAGCTACTCGGGAGGCTGAGGAAGGAGAATCACTTGAACCCAGGAGGCAGAGGTTGCAGTGAGCTGAGATCGTGCCATTGCACTCCAGCCCGGGCAATAGTGCTAAACTCCGTCTCAAAAATAATAATCATAATCATAATCATAATCCCTGTACCCTCAAACTATCTCTAAATACCCCCCTTTACCTTTCTATCTCTCTCTCTTCTTTTTTTTTTTTTTGAGACAGAGTCTTGCTCTGTCGCCAGGCAGCAGTGCAGTGGCGCAATCTCAGCTCACTATAACCTCCGCCTCCCAGATTCAAGCGATTCTCCTGCCTCAGCCTCCCGAGTAGCTGGGACTACAGACACGCACCACAGACCCGGCTAATTTTTGTATTTTTGGTAGAGAAGGGGTTTCACCATGTTGGCCAGGGTGGTCTTGATCTCCTGATCTCGTGATCCACCCACCTCAGCCTCCCAAAGTGCTGAGATTACAGGCATGAGCCACTGCGCCCAGCCTCCTCCCTTTCTATCTCTAAATACACCCCCCCACACACACACCGCTTTTTTTTTCTAGCTCTAACTATAACCTGGCTCTCCCCTGAGGACACTGTTTCCCCTGCAGCCTCTCATCCAATCATCTTTTTTCTCCTATAGCCCTTGTATCACTTGGATGTCTAATCAGCATCTCAAAGCTAACATGTCCAAATGGAATCCTGATCTTCCCCCACAAAATGCCTCCACCACAGAATTCCTTATTTTATAGACGGCAGCTCCATCCTTTCCAGTTGCTCAGGTCGAAAGCCTTGGAGTCAGGCCGGGCGCGGTGGCTCGTGCCTGTAATCCCAGCACTTTGAGAGGCTGAGGCATGCGGATCACTTGAGGTCAGGAGTTTGAGACAAGCCTGGCCAACACGGTGAAACCTCGTCTCTACTAAAAATACAATTAGCCAGGCATGGTGGCGCATGCCTGTAGTCCCAGCTACTAGGGAGGCTGAGGCAGGAGAATCACTTGAACCCGGGAGGTGGAGGTTGCAGTGAGCCGAGATTTCGAGATTGTGCCACTGCACTCCAGCCTGGGTTGACAGAGTGAAACTCTGTCTCAAAACAAAATAAAGCAAAAACTTGGAGTGGTGCTTGGTTCCCTTTTCTTTCACACTCCACATTGAATCTGTAAGGAAATTCTGTTGGCTCTACTTTTCGGATATATCCAGACTCCAAGTTCTTCTCACTACCCCCACTCCTCCCTGCACAGTAATCCATATGATTCCCTGCCTGGATTACCGCAATGGCATCTCTAAATCTCCCTGCTTCCACCTGAGTCTGTTCTACCTTCCCGGAGTGTATTCTCAACCCAGCAGCCTGAGTAATCCTTTGAATTCATAAATCAGATTATGTCGTCACTCTGCAGGAAAATTTCCAAAGACTCCCTGTTTAAACAACAGTAGTACAAGCCACTTACAATGGCCCATCAGGCTCTACATGATCTGGGCCGCTGGACCCTCGGATCTCTTACTCTCACTGGCTACTCTGTTCTAGCCACTCTGTACTCCCTGATCCTCCCTAGAGGAATTGGCAAGCACTGTCTGCCTTAGGGCATTTGAGCTGACCATTTCCTCTCTTGAAACAGACTTTTCCCAGGTACCTCCCACCCCAGTTCTCCCAATCCCTG
Source organism: Homo sapiens (assembly GCF_000001405.40). Taxonomy (NCBI): domain Eukaryota; kingdom Metazoa; phylum Chordata; class Mammalia; order Primates; family Hominidae; genus Homo; species Homo sapiens. The sequence goes on along the minus strand of NC_000002.12, from coordinate 224,631,028 downwards.
CACCCTGCTGTTTGTTTTCTCTTACCTCTGATCTGTTTTAACATAGATATAATTTTCTTATGCACTACACTTTTGTCCCTACCATCCATGAGAGTGTAATGTCAGAGGCTTGGCTCTTTCCTTATCTTATTCACTAAGGTGTCCCAATGTCTCTCTAGAGCCTAGTGACTAACTCCTAATCACCTCCCACAAACCTGCCTTACCACAGATTCCCCTGTCTCACTGGATGGCAACTCCATACATCTAGTGGCCCAGGTCAAAAACATTGGAGGCATTCTTGGCCCTTTTCTCTGTTACACCACATCCAATCAGTCAGGAAATGTTATTGGCTCCACCTTTAAAATAATTGCTCAGTAATTTTATGTTGAAGGATTGATTGATCCTTGCGAAGTTGGCTAATAACATGGCCCAATCTCAATATCACTAATCCTTTTACATATCCCACACATTGACGCCCCATTGATTACGTGTGTATGCACTGGTAGTCTTCTCAACATTAATATTGAATCTACATTTGCTGAGCTTGACTTCTACTTTGAATTTATAGACTTCATTAACTTCCTAAGTGCTGGGACTGTGTGCAAGATACTTTATATGTCTTATAGGTCCAGTTTAGTTCTTCTAGCTATGAGGGCTTTGTAAGTGTTAGTTAATGGTAATGCAGATAGTGACTTCACAATCAGCAGTCAGTCAGAACTCAGAGTTCTTGAGATCCTGAGTCCATCCAAATGAACAAATCTTTTTTTTTTTTTAATATAGGGTCTTGCTTCGTCACCCAGGCTGGAGTGCAGTGGCACAATCAGGACTTACTGCAGCCTCAGCCTCCCAGGGCAAGTGATCCTCTTACCTCAGCCTCCAGCGTAGCTAAGACTAGGCTACAGGTGCATGCCACCACACCCAGCTAATTTCTGTATTTTTTTATAGAGATAGATTTTCACCGTGTTGCCCAGGCTGGTCCCAAACTCCTGGGCTCAAGCTATCTGCCTGGCCTTGGCCTCCCTAAGTGCTGGGATTACAGATGTGAGCCACGGAGCCTGGCTAAAATCAGCAAATGTTTAGCTGGGCACGGTGGCTCATGCCTGTAATCCTAGTACTTTGGAAGGCCAAGGCAGGCGGATCACCTGAGGTCAGAAGTTTGAGACCAGCCTGGCCAACATGGTGAAAACCTGTCTCTACTAAAAATACAAAAAATTAGCTGGGCATGGTGGCACATGCCTGTAATCCCAGCTACTCCAGAGGCTGAGGCAGGAGAATCGGTTGAACCCAGGAGGCGGAGGTTGCAGTGAGCCAAGATAGCACCACTGAACTCCAGTCCGGGCGACAGAGCAAGATTCCGTCTCAAAAAACAAACAAACAAACAAACAAAAAAACAACAAAAAACCAAATCTTTACTGCATGACTATACCAGGAATTCTACTGGATGCTGGAGATTAACAAAATGTGTTTTAAATCACATCATCTGATAGAGTACATATATTTAAACAAATAATCTCAATAAAGTGTGCTAAATAGAATATGAGTATTGATACAAGGTGAAAGTAATTAACTCAGGGTAAGTCAGAGTTCACCAGGAACACGATGTGGGGAAAGATATTCCAAGCAAGGAAAATTGAACAAGACTTTTTTGTTTGTTGTTAGGCTTCTGTCCTTTATTATTAGTGTTCCTGCTTTTGGCTATAAGAATAAGAGAGTAGGTAGCGGGGGGTGGGGATTCAATTCATGAATCAGAATGCATACATTGGGTAAGTATTTGGATTAAAACGTTTCCAAGGTCTCCTGCAAAATTTTTATATATGATGATTCAAATATCAAAAAAGGACTGTATTAATTTAGTCAAGTTTTGACTCAGGATGCTTTTGGCAAGGTTTGCATGAATAATCCTATTTCATGTGCCTGATGCCAAAACTGAAATATTAATAGACTGTGTTAAGATTTAAATCTAGTCATAAACATGTCTCTAAGATGCATGATAATTAGGAGAAAAAAATAATCTGAAGCAGTTTCTTTCTGTGAACCATTAGAACTGCGAACAGCTACAATCTGTCTGCGTTTTCCTTGAAAGTAAAATCACAAAACTACAAAGAATAGAAGTGCCTATTCCTATACAACAGCCTGGGTATAATTCTGTTTTAACTCTGTTTTAGGAAATTTTGACCACTTGTTATGGCAACATTTTCTTCTGGATCTGTAACTTACTCTAGACACTGCTTCTCTAATGAGCATGGGTAAATATATTCACATCTTTACAAAACTGAAAATAAGCAACAAATTTCACCTTTCCCAGAAAATTCTGTGCTTCTTTTGACATTTTTAAGCTATTTTTTAAAAAACAGGACTGGATTAGAGTGCTGACTCTAGCACAAACTAAGCAATTATCTCTGAGAGCCTGTTTCCCTAGAGGCAAAATGGAAATAGGATTTGTCTTATCTCACAAAGTGTTTGTGAGGCCCAATGAGACAAGCAACCTTAAAGGACATCATAAATACTAAAACAGCATGTGTGAACAAAAACTTGTACACTAATTTCACAGCAGCATTATTCATAATAGTCAAAAAATGGAGGTTGAGCGCTGTGGGTCATACCTGTAATCTCAACACTTCGACAGACCACGGCAGGAAGGTTGCTTGAGGCCATGAGTTCGGGACCCTGTCTCTACACAAAATTAAAAAGTTAAAATTAAAAAATTATCTAGGTATGGTGGTGTGGTCTGTAGTCCTAGCTACTCGGGAGGCGAAGGTGGGAGGATGGCTTGAGCCCAGGAGTTCAAGGCTACTGCACTCCAGCCTGGGTGACAGAGCAAGACCTTATCTCTATTACAAAAAAAATAAAAAGTAGAAATAACTTAAATGTCCATCAGTTGATGAATGGATAAAGAAAATGTGTCATACCCATGCAATGGAATATTAATCAGCCATGAAAAGGCATAAAGTACTGATACCTCTTAACAACATGGATGAACTTTGAACACATTTTGCTAAGTAAAAGGAGCTAGACACAAAAAGCCATATTTATATTATTCCACTTATATGAAATGTCCAGCGTAGGTAAATTCATAGCTGCAGAAAGTAAATTAGTGGTTGGCGGGGGCTGGGGGCTGATGGATATGGGAGTGATGAAAACATTTTTGATATTAGAGATGATGGCCGTACAACTCTATGAATATTTTACAAACCACTGATCTGTGCGCTTTAAAAGGATAAATTTATGGTATGTAAATTATATCTAAGTTTTTTAAATTATTCAAATACAATATCAAATATTTAATTGTTATTGTCATTTAGGATTCTCTTGATTTCCAGGTGAAGAAGAGTCCTTCTCTCAGAATATGATACAGTTCTTTTTTTTTCCTTAAAACTTCTCTCTAGGCAGCTGGGCACGGTGGCTCACACCTGTAATCCCAACACTTTGGGAGGCCGAGGCGGGCGGATCACTTGAGGTCAGGAGTTTGAGACCAGCCTGGCCAACATGGTGAAACCCTGTCTCTACTAAAAATACAAAAAAATTAGCTGGACGTGGCGGTGTGCACCTGTAATCCCAGCTACTGGGGAGGCTGAGGCAGGAGAATCTCTTGAACCCGGTAGGCAGAGGCTGCAGTGAGCCAAGATCACACCACTGCACTCCAGCCTGAGCCACAGAGTGAGACTCCACCTGAAAACAAACAAACAAAGAAACAAACAAACAACAACAAAAAAAAACTTCTTTCTAATGTACTTAAAGCTGCCCCACCAGGCTTCTGGACAATAACTGAGGAAGCAATTTGTACTTAAAAGAAAGCAGGGGTAAGAGGCACGGATAGAGTTTATAAACATGACTACATATAATAAGATCTCCTTCCTCTGTCAGATGAACATCATGAAGAAGTAGAATTTCCTTGTATTAATACAATGACTTCAGGGACTAGATGTGTGGTCATATCACTTTTTACTCAAAGTTGCACTTACTATTTATTTTGAGCCAATTTCACCTCGGGAAAAACGTGTGTGTGTGTGTCTGTGTGTGTATCACTGTGTGTGTGTGTGGGTCTGTGTGCCTTCGTTGGGGGGTGGATGGGTGTGTGTGTCTGTGTTGGGGGTATGTATGTGTGGGTGGGTATGTGTGTCTGTGTGGGGGGTGTATGTGTGTGTGTGTGAGTGTGTGTCCGTGTGTGGGGGATGGGTTTATGTGTCTGTGTTGGGGGATGGATGTATGTGTGTGTCTGTGTGTGTTGGGGGTATGTATGTCTGTGTAAGTGTTGTGTCTGTGTGTGTGTGTGTGTGCTTGCATATAAGGGAAAAATGTGGAGACAGAACACAATTTGGCCACTGCTCCTGTCTCCATACCACTAAAGGTCATCAGATTCTCACCATATCACATGTTTTAGAAGAGTTTTCCCTTCATTTCTAGACATTCTGAATAACTGGTTTAAAAAATAATCTGTCAGCAGAAGATAAAGGATCAAACTGTGTTATATTAAAATTTTCACTAAATTACATAATGTGATCATCCCTAATGTAACACAATATTTATTTCCTAGTTACAAACTATTTTCAAACAATAGGGAACATAATTTTATTTGGTTTGGTCATTTTGTAGGTATTATACAAAGAAGAAATACAGATCAGATCAAAAAATACTTCTGGTAACATGAGAACATGAGTTTCAAAGAGAATTAATTTATTGTGCTGACTATTATACTTTTTCACCCACAAGAATAGCATGGAGCAGTAGATGAATTTAAAAAGAAATTTTAAATGATTTCTTGAAGAGTTTAAGTATGGGTATAAAAGTGAAAACTGGTTAAAGAGCAGCATACAAGGCCGGGCGCGGTGGCTCACGCCTATAATTCCAGCATTTTGGGAGGCCGAGGCAGGCAGATCATGAGGTCAGGAGTTCAAAATCAGCCTGGCCAACACGGTGAAACCCCATCTCTATTAAAAATACAAAAATTGACCGGGCGCAGTGGCTTACGCCTGTAATCCCAGCACTTTGGGAGACCAAGGCAGGTGGATCACCTGAAGTCAGAAGTTCAAGACCAGGCTGGTCAACATGGTGAAACCCCGTCTCTACTAAATATACAAAAATTAGCCGGCCATGGTGGTGGGTGCCTGTAATCCCAGTTACTCAGGAGGCTGAGGCAGGAGAATCACTTGAACCCGGGAGGCAGAGGTTGCAGTGAGTCGAGATCGCGCCATTGTGCTCCAGCCTGGGCAACAAGAGCAAAACTTCGTCTCAAAAAAAAAAAAAAAAAATTAGCTGGGCATGGTGGTGCATTCCTGTAATCCCAGCTACTCGGGAGGCTGGGGCAGGAGAATTGCTTGAACCGGGACCCGGGAGGTGGAGGTTGCAGTAAGCCGAGATCGCACCACTGCACTCCAGCCTAGGCTAGAGAGAGAGACTCCGTCTCAAAAAAAAAAGAAAAAAAGCAGCATACAGAAAATGCTCCCATTTCTGTTGTCTTCAGTGTGTAAACATGGAAAGAAGGGGATGTGGATGGCTGTTAATGGCAGCCGTCTCAAAAAGGGTGGCGGGTGGGTGGTCTTGACTTCTTTATGTGTATGTGTATTTTCTGACTTCCCTGTAATAAAGAAGTAAAAAAAGATGGAGTCTTATTATAAAAGTTGATCGCAAATAAAAACACTGTCATTGTTTTAATTCACTTTACAAAAAGATGCACCCCTGCCCCCAACCCAAGTAAGTCTAGCTTCACCATGATTTTAGGAAAGCTGATATAAAACAGCAAGGCGTGGTGGCTCATGCCTGTAATCCCAGCACTTTGGGAGGCCGGCGTGGGCAGATCACAAGGTCAGGAGTTTGAGACCAGCCTGGCCTACATGGTGAAACCCTGTCCCTATTAAAAAAAAATAAATATATACAAAAATTAGCCAGCCATGGTGGCATGCGCCTGTAATCCCAGCTACTAGGGAGGCTGAGGCAGGAGAATTGCTTGAACCTGGGAGGCAGAGGTTGCAGTGAGCCAGGATTGCGCCACTGCACTCCAGCCTGGGCAACAGACAAGACTCCATCTCAAAAAAAAAAAAATATTCAGAGTAAAACAAGGACAATTTGATCAGATTAAGCAAGATACATACAAAACGAGCTCCTTCAAAAGATAGACATTTGTCGAGTCATTTATACCATTTGACTAGATTTTTCGTTTTTCAGCTTTTTGGTAGTCATTAAGGACAGCCTAAATTTTTTTTTTTTTTTTTTTTTTTTTTGAGACGGAGTCTTGCTCTTTCGCTCAGGTTGGAGTGCAGTGGTGCGATCTCGGCTCACTGCAAGCTCTGCCTCCTGGGTTCACGCCATTCTCCTGCCTCAGCCTCCCGAGTAGCTGGGACTACAGGCGCCTGCCACCACGCCCGGCTAATTTTTTGTATTTTTAGTAGAGACGGGGTTTCACCATGTTAGCCAGGATGGTCTCGATCTCCTGACCTCGTGATCCACCTGCCTCGGCCTCCTAAAGTGCTGGGATTACAGGTGTGAGCCACTGCGCCCGGCCGACTCAGTCTAAATTTAAGATGCACTTAGGGAAATGCTTTTTTATCACATTACAATGAGATTTTAAGAATAATTTGTAATTAGGACATTATATGCAAACAGCAAATGACGTTAAGTTTATTCTTAAGTAGGTAGACTATTACTATTTACACAGTTATTCGCTTTAGTAAAATATTTTTGTAGAAAACACAAAAGTAGGCCAGGGGCGGTGGTTCACGCCTGTAATCCCAGCACTTTAGGAGGCCAAGGCAGGCGGATCACGAGGTCAGGAGATCGAGACCATCCTGGCTAAACTAAAAATACAAAAAAATTAGCCAGGCCTGGTGGTGGGCGCCTGTAGTCCCAGCTACTCGGGAGGCTGAGGCAGGAGAATGGCGTGAACCCGGGAGGCAGAGCTTGCAGTGAGCCGAGAGTGCACCACTGCACTCCAGCCTGGGCAACAGAGCAAGACTCCGTCTCAAAAAAAAAAAAAAAGAAAACACAAAAGTAAATTTGTCTATAGTATGTACAAATGTAGTAATTTCATTTGATTCTTACATATTCATTAAACATAAAGAAGACCAACCATCCAATACACTTAGACTTATCTCTTCCCTGACACCACCTGGTTGCCCAAAATTGATCTTTCAAAATATTAGGACATGTCTCACCCATAACATAAATTCCCGTTTATTTAGCATCAGATAAAGAAAAACTCAAATAACCAGAAATTTTTAGCAGATAAACTGCCACTACACAAAACTGATATCAAGAATTTATTCAGGAACTTATCCTACTTACATATTCACACAAGTACATAAATTTATATTTACAATTGTGTTAATTGAAGCATTGCTGCAAATAGCAAGTAACTGGACACAGCCAATATGTCCATCAATTCTCAGCTAGTTATGTTAAATTAGGGTAGATCCAAATGATAGACTATTATGCGTTCATTAAAAAAACTCAGGGAGATCACCAATATATGTTAAGTGAAAAATATAAGGTATAAAGCAATAGTTATTATAGGATCTATATGTGTAAAACAGTAATATACATACAGATACATATATGCATTAAAAATATCTGGCAGGACACTTAAGAAAATATAATTACTGGCCAGCCACGGTGGCTCACACCTGTAATCCCAGCACTTTGGGAGGCCAAGGCAGGCAGATCACCTGAGGTCAGGAGTTTGAGACCAGCCGGGCCAACATGGTGAAACCCCATCTCTACTAAAAATACAAAAAATTAGCCAGGCGTGATGGTGGGCGCCTGTAATCCCAGCTATCGGGAGGCTGAGGCAAGAGAATCACTTGAATCTGGGAGGCAGAGGTTCCAGTGAGCTGAGATGGCACCACTGCATTCCAGCTTGGGTGACAAGAGCGAGACTCCATGTCAAAAAAAAAAAAAAGAAAAAGAAAATATAATTCCTTCTGAAAAGTAGGGCTGGTACTGCAATAGTCTTGTCCAAGAAAAGAAAAAAAAAAAAGAGACAGTAGGGTTGGAAGTCAGGGTTAAGATCAAATGTTGTGTTTTAGTTTATTTCTTTCAATTCTGTTCAAGTTATATATTTACGCATTTTTAAATTATACTTTAAGTTCTAGGGTACATGTGCACAATGTGCAGGTTTGTTACATATGTATACATGTGCCATGTTGGTGTGCTGCACCCATTAACTCATCATTTACATTAGGTATATCTCCTAATGCTATCCCTCCCCCTCCCCCCACCCCATGACAGGCCCTGCTGTGTGATGTTCCCCTTCCTGTGTCCAAGTGCTCTCATTGTTCAATTCCCACCTATGAGTAAGAACATGCGGTGTTTGGTTTTTTGTCCTTGCAATAGTTTGCTGAGAATGATGGTTTCCAGTTTCATCCATGTCCCTACAAAGGACATGAACTCATCCTTTTTTATGACTGCATAGTATTACATGGTGTATAAGTGCCACATTTTCTTAATCCAGTCTATCATTGATGGACATTTGGGTTGGTTCCAAGTCTTTGCTATTGTGAATAGTGCCACAATAAACATACGTGTGCAGTGTCTTTAAAGTAGCATGATTTATAATCCTTTGGGTATATACCCAGTAATGGGTGGCTGGGTCAAATGGTATATCTAGTTCTAGATGCTTGAGGAGTTGCCACACTGTCTTCCACAATGGTTAAACTAGTTTACAGTCCCACCAACAGTGTAAAAGTGTTCCTATTTCCCCACATCCTCTCCAGCACCTATTATTTCCTGACTTTTTAATGATCGCCATTCTAACTGGTGTGAGATGGTATCTCATCGTGGTTTTGATTTGCATTTCTCTGACGGCCAGTGATGATGAGCATTTTTTCATGTGTCTGTTGGCTGCATAAACGTCTTCTTTTGAGAAGTGTCTGTTCATATCCTTTGCCCACTTTTTGATGGGGTTGTTTTTTTCTTGTAAATTTGTTTGAGTTCTTTGTAGAGTCTGGATATTAGCCCTTTGTCAGATGAGTAGATTGCAAAAATTTTCTCCCATTCTGTAGGTTGCCTGTTCACTCTGACGGTAGTTTCTTTTGCTGTGCAGAAGCTCTTTAGTTTAATTAGATCCCATTTGTCAATTTGGCTTCTGTTGCAATTGCTTTTGGTGTTTTAGACATGAAGTCCTTGCCCGTGCCTATGTCCTGAATGGTATTGCCTAGGTTTTCTTCTAGGGTTTTTATGGTTTTAGGTCTAACATTTAAGTCTTTAATCCATCTTGAATTAATTTTTGTATAAGGTGTAAGGAAGGGATCCAAGGAAGGGATTCAAGGCTGGTTCAACATACGCAAATCAATAAACATAATCCAGCATATAAACAGAACCAACTACAAAAACCACATGATTATCTCAATAGATGCAGAAAAGGCCTTTGACAAAATTCAACAACCCTTCATGCTAAAAACTCTCAATAAATTAGGTATTGATGGTACGTACCTCAAAATAATAAGAGCTATTTATGACAAACCCACAGCCAATATCATACTGAATGGGCAAAAACTGGAAGCATTCCCTCTGAAAACTGGCACAAGACAGGGATGCCCTCTCTCACCACTCCTATTCAACATAGTGTTGGAAGTTCTGGCCAGGGCAATTAGGCAGGAGAAAGAAATAAAGGATATTCAATTAGGAAAAAAGGAAGTCAAATTGTCCCTGTTTGCAGATGACATGATTGTATATTCAGAAAACCCCATTGTCTCAGCCCAAAATCTCCTTAAGCTGATAAGCAACTTCAGCAAAGTCTCAGGATACAAAATCAATGTGCAAAAATCACAAGCATTCTTATACACCAAGAACAGACAAACAGAGAGCCAAATCATGAGTGAACTCCCATTCACAATTGCTTCAAAGAGAATAAAATACCTAGGAATCCAACTTACAAGGGATGTGAAGGACCTCTTCAAGGAGAACTACAAACCACTGCTCAACGAAATAAAAGAGGACACAAACAAATGGAAGAACATTCCATGCTCATGGATAGGAAGAATCAATATTGTGAAAATGGCCATACTGCCCAAGGTAATTTATAGATTCAATGCCATCCCCATCAAGCTACCAATGACTTTCTTCACAGAATGGAAAAAAATACTGTAAAGTTCATATGGAACCAAAAAAGAGCCCACATTGCCAAGTCAATCCTAAACGAAAAGAACAAAGCTGGAGGCATCACACTACCTGACTTCAAACTATCCTACAAGGCTACAGTAACCAAAACAGCATGGTACCGGTACCAACACAGAGATATAGACCAATGGAACAGAACAGAGCCTTCAGAAATAATACATCTACAACCATCTGATCTTTGATAAACCTGACAAAAACAAGAAATGGGGAAAGGATTCCCTATTTAATAAATGGTGCTGGGAAAACTGGCTAGCCATATGTAGAAAGCTGAAACTGGATCCCTTCCTTACGCATTTTTAATACTAAGATTTTTAGAAAGTGCCACACACTTTGTAAAAATTTAGTCTAATTTTCTACAACTGTTACATATGATAAATTTTAACATTAAATTTTATTTATAATGATGTCTTAGAAGGATTGCAAGTTACTTAAGTGTTTTCTAAATCATTAAAGAAAAGGTAAATTAAGTTCAGTATGGTTTTATGTCAAGCTTTTTTTATGTTGTATTTCTTTTTTTATTTTTATTATTATTATTTTTTTGAGACAGAGTTTCATTCTTGTTGCCCAGGCTGGAGTGCAGTGGCACGATCTCAGCTCATTGCAACCTCCGCCTCCCTGGTTCAAGTGATTCTCCTGCCTCAGCCTCCTAACTGGGATTACAGGCATGTACCACCACGCCGGGCTAATTTTGTATTTTTTAGTAGAGATAGGGTTTTTCCATGTTGGTCAGGCTGGTCTCAAACTCCCGATCTCAGGTGATCCTCCTGCCTCAGCCTCCCAAAGTGCTAGGTTTTATGTTGTATTTCTACAGAAATTTATTATATATAACATATATATTGTTATATACAGACATATACAATACATAAAGAGTTAGTTACCAATTCTTATGTGTATATCAATTAACCAGAACACTTCCTTCCCAAACATTTTGAATAAATATACATATTCAAAATTAGAAGGTTAATGTGGTTTTATTTGAAAAGCATATTTAATTATACAGTATTTTGCTGATATTTATTTGTATCATTACTTTTTAGTAATGTTATCTCATCTCTGCCTGCATTATGTTTTATGTCTGTTCTCCGCAATTGCATTGCAAATCTTTAAGGTAAGGCACTTGCCTCACAAGTACTACAGCACCTAGTATATATCAGGCACTCAGGATTTGCTGAATGTGTGAACTGATTAATAACAAAACTGTTACCATGTATTTGAGAGTATATATATTCCTTTTTTTTTTCTTTTTTTTTTTTTTGAGATGGAGTCTCACTCTGTCACCCAGGCTGGAGTGCAGTGGCGCGATCTCGGCTCACTGCAAGCTCCGCCTTCGGGGTTCACACCACTCTCCTGCCTCAACCTCCTGAGTAGCTGGTACTACAGGCGCCCGCCACCATGACTGGCTAATTTTTTTGTATTTTTAGTAGAGAGGGGATTTCACCATGTTAGCCAGGATGGTCTCGATCTCCTGACCTTGTGATCTGCCCGCCTCAGCCTCCCAAAGTGCTGGGATTACAGACATGAGCCACCACGCCTGGCTGAGAGTATATATATTCCTGATGCAGATCCACTGAGAGTAAGAAAAATTTGGGGACTTTAAAAATTCAGAACTCTCAATTTTACACCATGTGATATTTAATTTTATATGGCAATTTGACTGGGCCACAAGGTGCCCAGATATTTGGTCAAACATTTTTCTGAGTGTGTCAGTGGAGGAGTTTCTGGGCAACATAAACATTTAAGCAGGTATACTGAATAAAGCAGATTGCCCTCTCTAATGTGAGTAGGCCTCATTCAATCAGTAGAAGGTCTAAATATTAAATAGAATGAAAAGGCTGACCCTCCCCCAGGAAAGAGAGAATTCCTCCTGCTTGTCTCTGAACTGTCACATTTTATTTTGTATGTGTTTATTATATTTTATTGAGGTGAAGTCTCGCTTTGTCACCCAAGCTGGAGTGCAGTGGCGTGATCTCGGCTCATTGCAACTTCCGTCTCCTGGGTTCAGGCAATTCTCCTGCCTCAGTCTCTCTGAGTAGCTGGGATTACAGGTGCCAGCCACCATGCTTGGCTAATTTTTGTATTTTTAGTAGAGACAGGATTTCACCATGTTGGCCAGGCTGATCTTGAACTCCTGATTTCAAGTGATCTGCCTGCCTTGGCCTCCCAAAGTGCTGAGATTACAGGTGTGAGCCACCGCACCTGGCCATGTTTATTTTTGAGAGAGTCTTTCTCTGTCTCCAGGATGGAGTACAGTGGCACAATCACAACTCACTGCAGCCTTGGCCTCCCAGCAACACACCACCTTTCATCCATGTCTCTTAAACGTTCTGCTTTCCTTGGCTATTCTTCTCATTGTGTTCACTATCTTCTATACAGTTCCAAGACAACAGTCATTGTGTTTTTCTCAATAAAAGTGAATTGTTATGTAACCCATAGGGTAGACTTTTTCTCTCTGTCTTTCTGAGAGCCATTGCTCACAGAGTGATTCTTCTGGCCCCCAGTGGCCCATGTTGAGGGTTCCATGTAACCAGAGAGGAAATAGAGAACTGTGTCTCTGCCTCTTACGGACACTGCCTCTCAGACATTTGGCTAAAAGCACTCATGCATGGTACTGCTTGAAGAGTGAAGCCAAAGCTTGCCTCAAGTGAGCCTCTCATCTCAGCCTCCTGAGTAGCTGGGACCAAAGATCCATGGCATCATACCTGGTTAATTTTTCATTTTTTGTAGAGATAGGGTCTTACTATGTTGCCCAGGCTGGTCTCAAACTCCTGGGCACAGGCAATCCTCCTGCCTCAAGCTCTCAAAGTGCTGGGATTATAGACATGAGCCACTACACCCATCCTGAACTGTCACATTTTACAGATAAAAGTCACAGGCCAGGCACGGTGGCTCACGCCTGTAATCCCAGCACTTTGGGAGGCTGAGGCGGGTGGATCACCTGAGGTCAGGAGTTTGAGACCAGCCTGAACAACATGGTGAAACCCCGTCTCTACTAAAAATACAAAAATTAGCTGGGCATGGTGGCAGGTGCCTGTAATCCCAGCTACTCGGGAGGCTGAGGCAGGAGAATCACTTGAACCCAGGAGGCGGAGGTTGCAGTGAGCCAAAATCGCGCCATTGCACTCCAGCCTGGGCTACAAGAGCAAGACTCTGTCTTAAAACAAAACAAAACAAGTCACAGGAATAGTCCAGATTTAAGTACGGTCATGTGCCCCACAACAGTGTTTCAGTCAATGATGGACTGCCTATACCATAGTCCCATAAGATTATAACAACATGTTTTTACTGCATCTTTTCAATGTTTAGATCCACAAATACTAGTGGGGCATGGTAGCATGTTTATGTAGTCCCAGCTACTCTGGAGGCTGAGGCAGGAGGATCACCTGAACCCAGGAGCTCAAGGTTGCAGTGAGCTATGATGGGGCCACTGCACTCCAGCCTGGGCAACAGAATGAGACCCCTGTCTCAAAAAAAATAATAAGGAATTTATTTCATCTTTTATGAGAAAAACCAAAGCCATCTGAAAATACCTGGGAAACAGGTGATTTTTGAGGAGGAGATCATGAGATGAACCTAAACTTTCAGAAAAAACAATTTGATGATAAAGTCTAAAGGGAGCATATGCAGACAGTGTTTACATATGCAAATAAACGGAGAGTGAACATTTTTAAAAATCACAGTACTTTTCTATTGCATATTGGCCTCATTTGACACGTGCAACATCTCCATTCAGTGATAGTAATTATTTTATAGATGAGAAATGTGAGACTTAGAGGCTTCAGTAATTTTAGAAGCCAAGACTCAATGCCACGGCAACACACCACATTTCATCCATGTCTCTTACATGTTCTGCTTTCCTTGGCTATTCTTCTCATTGTGTTCACTATCTTCTATACAGTTCCAAGACAACAGTCGTGCTTTTCTCAATAAAAGTGAATTGTTATGTAACCCATAGGGTAGACTTTTTCTCTCCATCTCTCCGAGAGATATCCATTGCTTGCAGAGTGATTCTTCTGGCCCCCAGTGGCCCATGGTGAGGGTTCTATGTAACCAGAGAGGACATAGATAGCTGTGTCTCTGCCTCTTCGGACACTGCCTCTCAGACCTTTGGCTAAAGCACCCATGCATGGTACTGCTTGAAGAGTGAAGCCAAAGCTTGCAAACAAAACCAAAGACATGCAAGCAATCACTGGTATGGAGGGTATGTTTTTTAATTTGAATCTGAAGGCCTTTAGGTGATACACACTTGACTGCCTCTGACATTTGAAATATTTCTGTGGCCTCTGAAGGCATCTGAATTTGCAGCTCCAGAAGCAGGTCTTTACCTCTGGGGCTCTCGGTTTATTCCCAAGCTGCACTGAACAGAGGGAGTAGGGAGATGAGGGGAGAATCAAACACTGCACCCCTCATCTTGCTGTTCAGTTATCTTAAACTTCACTGCGGCTAGGATTCCATGTGTCACTTCCTGGGGGAAGGGAACAGCCTCATGAGGACAAATCTCCAGCTTTCGGAGGGAGCTCTGCCTGCATCTCTCTTGTTTCCCGTCTCTTCCCTCTCTCCTTTCAACCCTTTCCCCTTTACTGTCCCATTCCCTAATTTTTTCCCAGGACTTTCACCCCTCCCTAAAGAAATCATCAAGTAAATTCAATTCCACAATCCCAGGCATGGAATGCCAACAGCAATAACAATAGTTAACATGGATGGGGTTTATACTACATGCCAGGCGCTATGTGCTTTAGCGTTTTATATGATGCTCAAGGGAATTATTATTATTATCATTATTTTGAGACAGAGTCTCGCTCTGTCAGCCAGGCTGGAGTGCAGTGGCGTGAGCTCGGCTCACTGCAACCTCCGCCTCCTGGGTTCAAGTAATTCTCCTGCCTCAGCCTCTTGAGTAGCTAGGACTACAGGCACGTGCCACCAAGCCTGGCTAATTTTTTGTATTTTTAGTAGAGACGGGGTTTCACCATGTTAGTCAGGATGGTCTCGATCTCCTGACCTTGCGATCTGCCTGCCTTGGCCTCCCAAAGTGCTGAGATTACAGGCATGAGCCACCTTGCCCAGCTGGGAATTATTAATTATATTTTATGTTTGAAGAAGCTGAAGCTCCAAATAAAAAGGATGACATTCCTGGTGCCATAAGATTCCGATCCCGACTTCCTGTCCTGGGCTTTCAGCCACCATATCAACTCTTCTTTCTCCCCCAGCCATCCAGAGCCATCATCTGCTCTGAAGAAGAGACACTGGATTCTGATTCAGGCTGTGAAGGCCTGCCCAGGGAGGGAAGGATTAGGGACGGGGAGAAGCAGAGGAGAGGAGGTGAGAGTCTTTCTCCCAGGCTGCAATCCCTCCACCTACCCTGCCCAACACCTCCGCTGCAAAACCAAACATATCCTGCAACACAAAGACTCATCTCCTTCCGAAATTTCATGTGGGGGTCTAGAATACGAACAGAAATTCATATTCTTCCCATTAACATAACTTTGACTTTATTTCTTACGAACGAGTATCCTCACCTTATTAGGTCTAGAAAACATTGCCCTGACTTTTTCCCAGATCACGTCACGAAGTATCCCATAACACAAGGCCCAAATCATCTTTCCCGAGAAGGGAGATGGGGAAAGAAAGGGAGAATGGAGAAAAGAGTCTCTGTGTTTCCTTTCATGGTATAAATGTATGATACATTTTGATTAAACTTTGATGCCTTTTTAATGTCGTCTTTAGAACTCTACATGAAACAGGGAAAATAGCCCCCAGAAAATGAATCCTGATGTACAGTCCTAGGAATCCAGGAATACCCAGAAATATCAAATGTGTGGGGATGGGCCGGGCGCGGTGGCTCATGTCTGTAATCACAGCACTTTGGGAGGCTGAGGCGGCCAGATTGCTTGAGGTCAGGAGTTCAAGACCAGTCTGGTCAACATGGTGAAACCCTGTTTCTACTAAAAATACAAAAATTAGCTGGGCATGGTGGCATGCTCCTGTAGTTGCAGCTACTTGGGAGGCTGAGGCAGGAGAATTGCTTTAACCTGGGAGATGGAGGTTGCAGTGAGCTGAGATTGTGCCACTGCACTCCAGCCTGGGTGACAGAGTGAGACTTCGTCTCAAAACAAACAAACAAAAACAGAAACAAATGTACAGGAATGGATGGCTCCATCTACAAGAGGCTGGCTTCTGTTCATGGAGACAGGGCCTGTGTAAGCCTGCTAAGTGACCCAGCCTCCCGCTCCCTGGAAATCATCCATGCGATGGTAACCACAGTGGCTTATAAAAGTTAAATAAAATAATAAGAAAAATAAGCAAGGCATACATGCATTCATACATTTATAATGTATTCAGGGCAAAAAAATCCATTCAAAGCTAATTGCTAAGCAAATTAACAGACTAACTGAATTGTCTGGAAATGTTTGTTTAGTTATGGGTAACATAATGCAGTATGTTAAATACAAACTATTGTTGACCCTAGAGGAACTTTTATTTAAGAAGGCGGAGAAATTATGCCTTAAAGCATTCATTTTGTAAGTGCTTTGCCATCTGTTTGGGTGAAAGACCATATAAAGGCCGGTAATTACCATTATCACTAATTATCTGTCACTAGAAATCTTTTTCAGTTTACCATTAGCATTAAACTTAAAGCAAGAAGCAGGCTTATTTAATCCTAGAGTAGATTTGTATTCTCTATAGAGACATGCAGTTTACAAAACACTTTGATATTCTAATGTGAACTTTAAGGCCCAAGATATAGTATCCAAGTCAGCTGTACCTCTGTACATGAAACTGCCTGTCCAGTCTTTGGAACCATAAGGCTATATAATGTGGAATCTGTTAGCTTCTAGGTAAAAGGCCAATTACCAGACAGACTCTCATAACTGTTAGAGATTAACAGATATTTCTAGAGGAGACTCTGCTCCTGGCATAGAGGTCACAATCGTTTACAACTCAAGATTCAGTGATTCTGGGCCATGAAAGAAAAAGATTATACGTGTTTAACAGAAGGCGAATAAAACACTCATTCGCTTACCTTATACCATTCACACAAATGCTTAAAACAGTAGTGGGCCCATAGAAGAAGCCTTATAAACACTGCTGTTGTTGTTGTCATTGTTATTTGTAGTTGTTGTGGAATGGCTTTTGGCTTCTTGGCTTGGATTTTTAATTAGGTCATTTGTAGAGATCTACTAGCTTTATTTTAAAAGTGCTGAGATAACAGATTATCTATTTTTTTTTTTTTGTACTAACTTACTAGGTAGACTCTTATTCTAGTTGCCTTCTTTCAACATTGTTTCAATTTGTGGCTTGATTTCTCTTTCAATGCCCTGTAAAATGAAATTAATCTGCTACTTGACTTGATCCTAGGGTTTACCCAAGAACCAAAGAATATTTTCCAGAAAAACTTGGCAGTTTCCCTCCATGGTGTATCCTCAGACATTAGAGACACCCTAAAAAATCTAAATGCCTGTCTGGCATTTAAATGCCCTTGACAATATGATAGCAGACTGTATCTCCAGCCTCATTACCTTATTGTCCTCTATGTAAATCTTGGGCTACAATAAATCCCAACTATGTAATGATCCTTGAACATCAGTCTAATTAATCTAGAAAATTTACTGAATATGTATATATATAAAATATCTTTGTTTCATGCCTTTGTTGGTACCACTTCCTCTTACAGAAGTTAATTTCTTCCATATTTCATATTCCACCCATTAAGGCCGTATAAGAAATGTATTTGCCCAAACTGCCTTCCCTGGAAAATGCCATCCTTCACCTCAGCTCCCCAGAGCTGCTAAAGGAACAGGCAGAGGTGACCATGTGTTGATCATGTGTTCCCTCTCCTACTTTCAGCTGAATTAATCATGTTGGGTGCAGAGCTGACCCAAACTCGACCAATCAGATTCTTCTCCTGGGAATCTGGAGATTAATAGAGTCAGTTCAACATAGAAAGCTCTGTGAAAGCTCATCTGGGTCTGTTCATGGGTCAACACTATGTCAAACCAAAGTCATAGGCAAGACAAAACTATGGATGATCAGAGACCAAGAGTAAGCAAAGAAAGAAAGTTTGCCAAACAGAAGAGAGCATACTTGCAAAACGATGCATAGAAGAAGGATCATGCAGCCGTGTAAAGAAAAAGCAATGATGATCCTCAGCAGCTCTTCAATTTGCAGCTCCATTCCCAGCTGTGTCTCATTTACGTGAGTGTACTATATCCTAAAAATAAACCTCTCTTTCAGATGGAACTAATTTGAGTGGATTTCCATCCCTTACAACCATTGAATTTTGCCTTTAAAAAAATACCCCTGCTCAGATGACAATTCTTTCATTACACTTTTCTGAATCGTCCCAGCTCGGATGATTCTTGCCTTGCTCTGCTATCTTGTCATGTTCTGCCTGCTTGTGTGTTCTCACTGCCTTCTGTTCACTGCCTCCCCACCTAGAGGCTTAACCCCCCATCCTAAGCCCCGGGATAGATGTTTTACTCTCCAAGGACATTGGAGAAGGCCTAGTTCAATCACCTAGCACCACTCTGATCAAAGTTAAAACAGATAGATTAGTTCGTTCCTATGACAAAACTCCCACCTCTACCCTTGCTTTGATAATTTGGTATGTGAGATCCTCCTAAATTGATCCTACCTTGACCTGACCAGTTATTTTCTGAAACCCCATTTCTAAGGCCGGGGACTCTGGTGGGCCTCCCTAACCTCGGGAAGCTGCTGGTGTTAGAGCAGTGGTTCTCAACCTGGAGTGATTCTGCCCCCCAGGGCACATTTCCACAAAGTCTTTTATCACAACTTGAAGGTGAGGGGTGCTACCGACATCTAGTGGGTAGAGACCAGAGATGCTGGTAAACATTGTACAATGCACAGAGCAGCCCCCAACAACAGAATTATCCAGCCCCAAAAGTCAATAATGCAGAAGTTGAGAAGCCCCATTTTAAAGTACTGGGCAAATGACTTTGAGCAAGTGCTTTAACAATTTTATGTTTCAGAATCTCCCTCCATAAAAATACAGATATATTTCCTGTAAGGATATCATAGGACTGAACACAGTGCCTTTGGAACTTTAAGTATTCTGTCATAATTATTTTTGCACAATGAAAATAAACGTGTTAAATGCTTACGCTATTAATAACCCTTTCCTTATACTAGCTATACATTGAGGTTGGAAAAACTCTTGGGAAAGATGAAGTCCATGTTTACTAATCCAACCTTTCAGAATTCTAAAGGCTTTGGTCATATACTCCTCTTGATTTCTTAAAAATAACATTATTAAAATAAATTATTTGTATTGGGGTAAAATATACATAATATTAAATGTACTATTTTAATGATTTTTAGTATACAGTTCAGTGGTATTAAGTATATTTATATTGTTGAGTAAACATCACTCCCATCCATCTCCAGAACTCTTTTCATCTTACAAAACTGAAACCCTACACCCATTAAAGAGCAATCCCCCATTTCCCCACTTCCTAATCCTGGCAACCACTATTCTACTTTCTGTCACTGTGATCTTGACTATGCTAAGTGCCTCAAATAAATGGAATCATACAGTATTAGTCTTTTTTCGATTGGCTTATTTCCTTTTGCAAAAATTTTTAAATTTTTATATTTTTTGAGACAGAGTTTCATTCTTGTCTCCCAAGCTAGAGTGCAATGGCATGATCTCAGCTCACTGCAACCTCCGCCTCCTGGGTTCAAGTGATTCTCCTGCCTCAGCCTCCTTAGTAACTGGGACTACAGGCACCCGCCACCACGCCCTGCTAATTTTTGTATTTTTTGCAGAGACGGGGTTTCACCATGATGGCCAGGCTGGTCTCAAACTCCTAACCTCAGGTGATCCGCCCACCTCGGCCTCCCAAAGTGTTGGGATTACAGGTGTGAGCCACTGCACCCAGCCTGGCTTCTTTCCTTTAGCATAATGTTCTCAAAGTTCATCTGTGTTGCAGCATGTGTCAGGAGTTCATTCCTTTTTACAGCTAAATAATACTCCACAAATAAGTAAATATGTACATTTTGCTTATTCACTGATCCACAATGGACATTCAGGGTGTATCTACATTTTAGCTATTGTGAATAATGCTTCTGTGAACATGGGTGTACAAATATCTCTTCAAGATCCTGCTTTCAATTCCTTTGGGTATATACCCAGAAGTGGAATTGCTGGTCATATAGTAATTCCATTTTTAAGAAACTGTCATACTATTTTTTACAGTGGCTATACCATTTTACAATCCCACCAACAGTGCACAAGGGTTCCAATTTGTCCACATCCTTTCCAACAATTGTTATTTTCTGTTTCGTTTGTTATCTGTTTTTTATGGTAGCTGTCCTAATAGGTGTGAGGTAGTACCTCACTGCGGTTTTAACTTGCATTTCCCTGAAGATTAATGTTGAGCATCTTTTCATATGCTTATTGGCCATTTGTATGTCTTTTTTGGAGAACTGTCTATTCAAGTCCTTTGCCCATTTTTGAATTGGCTTGTTTGGTTTTTGTTGTTGTTGAGTTTTAGAAGTTCCCTATATATTCTAGATATTAATCTTTTATCAGATACATGATTTGCAAGCATTTTCTCCATTCCGTGGGTTACCTTTTACTCTGTTTAGCGTCTTTTGATGCACAAAATGTTTAAATTTTCATCAAGTCCAGTTTGTCTGTTTTTCCTTTTGTTGCCTGTGCTTTTGGTGTTATATCCAATAAATCATCACCAAATTGAATGTTGTGAAGATTTTGTCCAACGTTTTCTTGTAAGAGTTTTATAGTTCATTCATATTCTCCTCTCAATTTATTTTTAGAGCTTTATTTTTCCAGATAAAGTCTTCAGCCTGGCCGGGCACGGTGGCTCACGCCTGTAATCCCAGCACTCTGGGAGGCCGAGGCAGGCAAATCATGAGGTCAAGAGATAGAGACCATCCTGGCCAAGATGGTGAAACCCTGTCTCTACTAAAAATACAAAAATTAGCTGGGTGTGGTGGCGCACACCTGTAGTCCCCGCTACTCAGGAGGCTGAGGCAGGAGAATGGCTTGAACCCAGGAGGTGGAGGTTGCAGTGCGCCGAGATTGTGCCACTGCACTCCAGCCTGGCGACAGAGTGAGACTCCATCTCAAAAACAAAAAAAAGAAAAAAAAAGTCTTCAGCCTAAACATGTGCTGGGTAAAATACACACAGATAAATTACTCACTGACAAAACCCAAAGGTAGTTAGTGTGTGCATGCACTCACACGTTTTAGAGTATCACTTGCCACTAGAAATAGAAAAAGCTTTTAACAGCAGTACAGAAATAATGCTTCTATGAACATGAGTATACAAATATATCTCTCTATATAAATAATCTATATATAAAATATATGTGTATATCTACACACATACACACACACACACATGATAGAATAGGCTAAACTGCTAAGCAAACCAAAAAAAAAATATATAGCAGTTCAAATCAAAAAAGTTGATTTCTTGCTTAACATCCAAAATGAATACATCCAACTGACAGCAGACTTTCCTCAACGTGATGCTTCAGAGACCCATGCTCCTTCCTTCTTGTGTTTTTTTTTTTTGAGACGGAGTCTCACTTTGTCCCCCAGGCTGGAGTGCAGTGGCGCAATCTCGGCTCACTCCAAGCTCCACCTTCCGGGTTCACACCATTCTCCTCCCTCAGCCTCCCAAGTAGCTGGGACTACAGGCTTCTGCCACCACGCCCAGCTAATTTTTTGTATTTTTAGTAGACAAGGTTTCACCATGTTAGCCAGGATGGTCTCAATCTCCTGACCTGGTGATCCACCACCTCAGCCTCCTAAAGTGCTGGGATTACAGGCGTGAGCCACTGGGCCCGGCTCATATCTGCTTCTTAACCACCTTGTTTTTGGAAGTAACACACACAGCTTCTACTCTTAGGTCTGGCACTAACTAGTCACCTGGTCATTCCTAGATGCAAGGCAGCTGGGAAACAGCTCCTGCTAGCGCAGCTGCCTTCCAGTAACTGTTCTGTGTCTGCACTGTCCAACAGGGTAGCTATTATGTGGCTACTGGGCACTTGGAATTTGGCTCGTCCAAACTGAGGTGCACTGTAAGTGTAAAACGCACACCAGAATTTAGTGACTTAGTATAAAAATAAGACTGTAAACATCTCAATAATTTTTATATTGATTACATATTGAAACAGCAATATTATATATATATATATGGGGTTAAATATATTATTAAAATTGATTTCACTTGTTTTAAAAATATTCTTAATGTAGCTATTACAAAATTTTAAATTACACATGTGGCTTGCATTCTATTTCTATTGGATACTGTTATAGAAATTAGGTTTCTCTGTTACACAGATTATCTATCTTATAGAATCAGGATAGAACATACATCTGGGCCACTCACAGAACTACAAGGAGGAACTGGAAAGATCTCTGAAATCAAAATGTGTACTCTCTTTTTCCTTTTTCCTCCCTCTCTCACTGATCTTTGTCTGACTACCTGCTGGCTTTGCCCTTTTTTCCTCTCTCTGCCTCTATGTGTGTCTCCGTCTCTTCCTGTCTCTTTCATCTCTGTTCCAATCCACTGTGTCCAGGAGGATGGGGTCATGTGGCTTGCTGCCCATTCACCAAAAGTAATGGGAACAGGTTCTCAGGAAGAAGGCACAGCTAGGTCAGACAAACTGACATGTTTGCTTAGCATATAAAATGTGTAAACACGATGTGGGCTTGGCAGCTGTCAACATTCCCCAGTTTTTACACTTAACAAACTATATTTGCTTTGAGGCCTTTTGTAAGTATTCTGTGTTGAATAGGTGACAAATTTAATCTGAGAGTATATTATTCAATTCGTGTCATCACTAAAGAAAACATGTAACTAATCTTTCTTTGTGGGGCTTGTACCAGTGCCCAGAAATAGTCAGCATCACTGACAAGCCTCAAATTTCCAAAAGTGTACCTTGAACTCAATGCCTATTCATATAATAACAGATTTCACCCATAAGACCAGGCTCACCATATGCATCAATTATATGAAGCTATAAAGTTAATAAATGGGTGACATACCCCCAAATAGAACTTTCTTATAGGTCTGGAGCTTTTAAATTTAGTTCCTGAGGGTCTTTTGGGCAGTCTCAATAAAGGGATGACCTTCCATAAATGAGCTGATGAAGAGCAAAGAGATATAATTCAATCAATTATTATTGAATTATTTTATAACCACATCATTTTCTGTAGTTTAAGAAATGTATCCAAGTGGTCCCTGTTAGAACATATATATGTGACCTAGAGATATTATTAGATTACCAGATGCTTTTATATCTTCAGCAAGTATTTTTGTGCCAGACATTATCCTAAATCCATTCTCATCATTAACAATTTATCAGACATAGATTTTTTTTTGGATATTATCTTTCCCGAGGAAAAAAATGGGGCCCATAAAAAAAGGAATAAAGAGCAGTAACTTTTGCTGAAAGATAGGATTTGGTTCACTTTAGAATATGCCCATGAAAAATGAGCTTTAGTGGGATGCGGCAGAGGAACCCCAAATAGCTCGGATGTGGACTAGGACCCTGGGCATTTGGGAGGGAAGGGAGGTAGGAGATAATGCAGAAAGAGGAGGCAGTGGTGCCCACCAAAACACTTTTTGCCTACTTTGTCATTCTGATGGAACTTGAGCTTTGACAATGATTCTCTTCTTTGCTGCTCCATTTCACAGCCCTGCTTTGGGGCTATGGTCTTCAAAGTCGGTAGGAGTCTTCTAAGTTCCTGAGGGTCTTTTGGGCTGGTCTCAATAAATGGATGACCTTCCATAAATGAGCTGATGAAGAGCAAAGAGATATAATTCAATCAATTATTATTGGATTATTTTATAACCACATATATGCACTAAAAGACTATTTAAAACATTTGAAAACATTAAAACACCTCTTAGCATCCATAAATCTGTAGTATGATTTGAACTTATTTTTAAAACTTGGGTTTAGCATTTAGCTGAATTTCACTAATTTCTCCTCCCTGATAGCCTGAATATTCTGCTTAAGATAACAATATTTGGTTCATATTATCTCTAGCAATATATATTTCTTTCATATATATTAATATATTTTATTAAGCTGGTATTGAGCAGGAAGGAAAATGGCTAGGAAAATTCAAGAAATAAAAATAGCATCACAGTGTATATGGATTAAATTTATAGGAAACTTTATTATACCTTTTACTTAGAAAAAATTTTTAGGTCAATAAGACATCAAAAGTTTTTTAAAAGTTGACTAATAGATTAAAAGAAAGCTTATAGGTTTTTACAGCTCTTTGTGGTTCATAATAAAAATTAAACACCATTTAATAGAGTTCGAATTTAAGATGTTTAAAGTGGAAAAAATACAGTAACTTTTTTTTAGAAAAAAAGCATTTTACTAAAATTTTCATTGCAAAAAATTATGACTAATGCAGAAAATTATGACTAATTTTATTTTGGCCTAAACACTGATAAAATATTTATAGAAAAATTATAATTTTCTTAACTTTTAAAATATTCACATATATATTGTGTTAAGATATCCTTAGACAAAAAAATAATACCTATATGAGCAACTGCAAAAATGAAAGAAGGGTTTGGGGAAATTTCTTTAGCCAATTTACTTAATATAAGGACTTGGATAATATGTAAAAGTGACTGGGATCTTTAAATAAGAGGTCAAGAGTTAAGACAGGGTAAGCTGGCCGGGCATGGTGGCTCACGCCTGTAATCCCACCACTTTGGGAGGCCGAGGCGGGTAGATCACAAGGTCAGGAGATCGAGACCATCCTGGCTACCACAGTGAAACCCCGTCTCTACTAAAAATACAAAAAATTAGCTGGTCGTGGTGGCACACGCCTGTAATCCCAGCTACTTGGGAGGCTGAGGAAGGAGAATCCCTTGAATCTGGGAGGTGGAGATTGCAGTGAGTAGAGATAGAGCCACTGCACTCCAGCCTGGGCAACAGAGCAAGACTCCATCTCAAAAAAGGAAAGAAAAGACAGAGTAAGCCAAGCAGACTGTTGGCTTACTAAAACAAAAGGGAGAATAAAAAGGAATGTTACTAAGGTAGGAAACAGGCAAATCTATAGACCTCTGAGGAGCTGGTTTCCATAAATATGGGCCTCTTTCCCAGTAAACTGTCATTTCCTATATGCGCTGTTTAGCTTAATAGTAGAATTTTACTGTAATCAAAAGTTAAGTAGGCTTACTAAAATTCTTGAGTGTTTTGTTTTGGCGAATTCCATAGTTACTATGATGCCAATTCGCAGGAGTCTGACATAAATGATACATAATGCTAAAAAATTGAGTTTAAAATACACTTCTATTTTATATTCTATTCCCATAATAGAGGAACAGAAAATTGAGTCTAATGCTGCTATGATACTGACACTTCAAAAAAGATTTAATTAGTTTCTCTGACAAAGCAGTAAATCTTTAAATTAAAGAGTTCAGGAGTGCTGAGCCCCATAAATTCTCTAAGGAAATTTAAATAGGAATAAGTTTTAAACACATCCTTCTGGTGCCTCCCATGAGGCAGCCAGTGTTGCCCCTTGACAAATGTCAAACATAAATATACCTCGAATTTAGAAGACTCAATCACAGGCATGTAGTATTAATAAAACAAAATTTCATGATGTTAAGGAAATAAAAGTCAATCTCCAAAATGCTGGAGAATGAGACAGAAAAAATGTCAATAAATACAAAAGGTCACGTTCTTCTATAACAATAAACAACATTTCATAAGTCCTGATGAAATAGTATGGCTTATTTTAAGTGTTTTACATGGACTGAATTTTTAATCTTCATCAACCCTATGTGGTTGATGCTATTATTCCCATTGTACAGATGAGGAAACGGGGGCATAAATAGATTGAGTAACTTCATAGACTATACTGCTGGAGGGTATCTATAGCAAAAGCTATGGCTGTGCCAACTACATTCCCTTGGGCCTTATTAATGTAAAGCACACCCGAATCTCACATCTACCTGCCAGGGCCTGTGGCAGTCTATTTTGTATTGGGCAAGGCAGACCAAAAAATCCAGAACTAGAATCAGAACCTACCCTCTTCCAGGATCCCTCAACCAAGGACTTATGTGATTTAGTGTATAATATCCTGCTCCCTCACCCCTCAAGCAGGAAAGTCGGAGGCACATATTCTGTATTGGCTACCAAGAGTTCCCAAATAAGATTAAATTCTAGCAGTCATAACTCACTTGAAAATTCATCATTTATTGTCTGCCTTCCCTCTCCTTTCCGACTTCCTCCGTTCCTATCAGTGATTCCTAAGATCACCTTCCAAATAAACTAGTTTCACTCATATCCGTGTCTCAGGGTCTGTTTCTGGGAACCCAAACTAAAAGGGACCACTATTCAGGATTAGAACCCAAAGAGCCTGGCTGCAGAATCTCTAAGATTAATCATTACAATATACCGCCCACTCTCAAGAAGTTGACACATATTTTGTAAAAATTGTCTCAAGTCATGATAGAAGGAAAAATCATTCCCCATTTTACATCCCAACTTCCTGTCAAGAATTGTGAAGGGCCTGAGATTTTGTTTTTTGCCAGCTAACAAGTTAGCCTGCCACAGAGTATGAATCGTTAGAAGATCGTTAGAAGACACGAGACTCCTGGGGCAGACACAAGAGGCTTTATTACTCATAGCAAGAGAAGTAGACAGAGTATTGAGAGGTGACAACGTGCTGGCAGTCCTCACAGCCCTCGCTCACTCTTGGCGCCTCCTCTGCCTGGGCTCCCACTTTGGCGGCACTTGAGGAGTCCTTCAGCCCACCGCTGCACCCTGGGAGCCCCTTTCTGGGCTGGCCAAGGTCGGAGCCGGCTCCCTCAGCTTGCAGGGAGGTGTGGAGGGAGAGGCGCGAGCGGGAACTGGGGCTGCGCGCCGCGCTTGCGGGCCAGCTGGAGTTCCGAGTGGGTGTGGGCTTGGCGGTCCCTGTACTCGGAGCAGCCGGCGGGCCCTGCCGGCCCCAGGCAATGAGGGACTTAGCACCCGGGCCAACGGCTGCGGAGGGTGTACTGGGTCCCCCAGCAGTGCCGGCCGACCGGCGCTGCGCTCGGTTTCTCACCGGGCCTTACCTGCCTTCCCGCGTGGCAGGGCTCGGGTCCTGCAGCCCGCCATGCCTGAGCCTCCCACCCCCTCCGTGGGCTCCTGTGTGGCCGGAGCCTCCTCTACGAGCGCCACCCCCTGCTCCAGGGCGCCCAGTCCCATGGACCACCCATGGGCTGAGGAGTGCGGGCGCACAGCGCGGGACTGGCAGGCAGCTCCATCTGCAGCCCTGGTGCGGAATCCACTGGGTGAAGCCAGGTGGGCTTCTGAATCTGGTGGGGACGTGGAGAACCTTTATGTCTAGTTCAGGGATTGTAAATACACCAATCAGCACCCTGTTTCTAACTCAGGGTTTGTGAATGCACCAATGGACACTCTGTATCTAGCTACTCTGGTGGGGCCTTGGAGAACCTTTATGTCTAGCTCAGGGATTGTAAATACACCAATCGGCACTCTGTATCTGGCTCAAGGTTTGTAAACACACCAATCAGCACCCTGTGTCTAGCTCAGGGTTTGTGAATGCACCAATCGACACTCTGTATCTAGCTTCTCTGTTGGGGCTTTGGAGAACCTTTGTGTGGACACTCTGTATCTAGCTAATCTGGTGGGGACCTGGAGAACGTTTGTGTCTAGCTCAGGGATTATAAATGCACCAATCAGCGCCCTGTCAAAACAGACCACTCTGGCTCTACCAATCAGCAGGATGTGGGTGGGGCCAGATAAGAGAATACAAGCAGGCTGCCCAAGCTAGCAGTGGCAACCCGCTGGGGTCCCCTTACCCACTGTGGAAGCTTTGTTTTTTCGTTCTTTGCAATAAATCTTGCTACTGCTCACTCTTTGGGTCCACACTGCTTTTATGAGCTGTAACACTCACCGCGAAGGTCTGCAGCTTCACTGCTGAAGCCGGCGAGACCACGAGCCCACCAGGAGGAAGGAACAACTCCAGACGCGCTGCCTTAATAGCTGTAATACTCACCGCTGAGGTCTGCAGCTTCACTCCTGAGCCAGCGAGACCACAAACCCACCAGAAGGAAGAAACTCCGAACACATCTGAACATCAGAAGGAACAAACTCTGGACACGCCGCCTTTAAGAACTGTAACACTCACTGCGAGGGTCCGCGGCTTCATTCTTGAAGTCAGTGAGATCAAGAACTCACCAATTACGGACACAGTATCAGCCTTTTCACCAGTACCCCAAGGCCCAATTCCCACAGGGCAACAGGGACAAGCCCAGATAGACAGCTACACATAAAATTGATTGTGTAATAGTAGAGAAACCCTAAAGTTAGGGAACCCTAATCTTTTATACTGAATAGTAAGCATGCCTGCTGTTTGCTCCACAAAGAGACATCATCTCTTTCAAGGCTGTTCTATAAAAATCCTTGAAAAAATAGTCTGTAATAAAGGAAATCAGTGCCTCACTTGCAAGATGTGCAGATATGCAAGAGATCAATGGAAAATTATCTTCCAGCACTTCCATATTCTGAAATCAAGAAAGATGTTTATAGTTTCATCATACGCTAAAAACATATAATTATGCCTGATAGAAAATGGCAAAAACAAAGGGTAAATTTTTAAAAATGTTGATCACATTGTTCTTTTCTGTCTTTGCTTTTTTGTTTTCAAAGCATAAATACATTTTGATTTGATACCCATAATAATCCTGTCAGGTTAGTATTTTATAGCTGATGGAAAACTGACTCAGAAGATAAGGTGTTTCACTGACACTCATCTAGTGAGTGATGGGGCTGAAACTTAAACCCAATACTTCTAACACCAAAGCTGCCAGACACTTGACTAATTGTACTGGAATCAATGGACAATTGCCTAGAACTTAAAACCTAAGATGAGATTGAGTGGCTCTCTTAGTTTCTTCAATGCTGCCACACATCCGCATCAGGATTTCAAAAATAATACTGAAGGCAAATCGGGGGAAAAAGGGATAGGTTGTAAGTGGAGGAAAGGACATAAATGTCTTTTTTATTTTTTAATGTTCAACTCTCCTTTCCTCTGTTCCTGTTTTTTTAAGGTGGTTTGCACCATGGAAATCAGAAAAAAAAAAAAAAAAAAAAAGCCCAGAAAAGCTGTGGGTTTAGAATTGAGCTGTGAAACAATTTCCAGAATTATCAGAATTACAGCATTTTCACCCAAATGGCTGCAATATATATGTATTAAATATTTCAGAATTTCATGCCTTTTTCCCATCAGGGAAATCTGCGCAATTTCAGTTCATTCAAAAGCTCAAGCTAAATGTTACACTTTTGGACATACTGTTTGTAGCATTAGGGTGCCCCTGTTTATGACATATATGATGCCTGAAAGAAAAGTATATAGATCAAATTCTACTATATCAAATTAGAATTAAAGTGCATTATGGAAATTTTTTACTTAAAGGAATCCTATAGTGAATCCATTTTGTCAAAAACAGCTGTACTTAGTGTGACACACGGTGACTAGTGGGAAAGCCTTAACCAGAGTCGAAACTCTGAGATTCTAGTGCTGCTGAACATTTGTGTCATTTGTGACAAGAGGTAGGGACATTGAATTAGATAATCTCTAAAGGTTTCCAGTTCAGTTTTCCCTTTCCTGGAGTGCAGTGGCTAACAGCATTGGCTATAGACCCAGACAGATACAGTTTCTGTATCTGCTGCTTATTGGATGTGTACTCTCTGAATGTTATATAACCTTCTTATGCTTGTTTCCTAACTTGTAAAATAAGGATAATTCCCCATACTTCAAAAGACATTTGTATTAAATTAGATAACATTTATTTATTTATTTATTTTTATTTATTTTTTTGAGACGGAGTCTCACTGTGTCGCCCAGGCTGGAGTGCAGTGGCGTGATCTTGGCTCACTGTAACCTCCGCCTTCTAGGTTCATGCCATTCTCCTGCCTCAGCCTCCCGAGTAGCTGGGACTACAGGCACCCGCCACCAAGCCTGGCTAATTTTTTGTATTTTTAGTAGAGATGGGGTTTCACCGTGTTAGCCAGGATGGTCTCCATCTCCTGACCTCGTGATCCGCCCACCTTGGCCTCCTAAAGTGCTGGGATTACAGGCATGAGCCATGGCACCTGGCCTAAATTAGATCACATTTATTAAGCGCTTTGTGCAGTTCTTGGCACTTACTGGGCACTGATAAATTGCAACCAAAGTCGTTATTAATTCTATGTTTTCATAATCAAGTTCACTTAATGTGAGATTTTCTATCATACAAGCATTTTCTGGACTCTTTTAAATAATGTCTGACTACTAGTAATTTAATCCATGCATTCATGTTTTTCTCAACATTTTATTGAAAATTTCCAAACATATTGTAAGGTTGAAGGAACTGTGCAGTGGTATTATCATCTATTTTTCTACCCATCCCTATATCCATCCAAAATCCTTATTATTTTGATGCACTTCAAATCAAGTTGAAAACATCAGTATACATCATTCCCAAACATGTCAGCCTGCATATTGTTAAACAGAGTTTAGAATAAAGAGTTGCCTATGGTTCTTTTTCTTCCTTTTGAGCTAAAATTTCACATATAATAAAAGTATGTATTTATTTTTACATTTTAAGGTGATTCAGATATTCAGAATTGAATCACCAGTTATGTTTGCTGTAACACAATGCATCAGAATGGCTTTAAAATTTGGTGTTAAAGGAAAACCTCACCTTACAGGCCAGCTGAAACACACCAAGTTTCTCTTTAGTTGGTTGATTTATTTGGGTACATGCAACTTGACGCACAGTATACCCATATCCAAAAAACAATAAACTGCAATAAAAGAAGTTGTACTGCGGTTACTTAAAAAAAATTCTCTTAACCATAGCTGGGACATTTAGATAAATATAAATTTTCTGGTGAACTGAGAAAATTTTTTCGCTTCAAAACTTGTTGAAACTTTAGCTCCTTTCTCTAACATAGAGAGAACACTTAGCAAAACGAAATCTTTTCTCGAAGACGGTGGTCATGAGTAAAGATCATAGTAACAGACAGAAATAGAGAAGTTGCAGATGGCATGGAAATTGACTGACTTTGTGGGACCCCATACCCACCGCAAACCAAGCACGAGGGTGTTTGTTTTATTGGCTACTTTATTTGTTGGTTTTGCATATTGTGTTTTTTTGGTTTTATGTGTTTATTTTGATGGCATTTATTTCACCAGAGCAGAGACAACAAAGCCTGATTCTTAGGTCCTGGTTACTTAAGGTTTTTCTATATACTGTAGAAAATTCACTCTGAACACACTGGGAGCTTTTTCAAAGCAAGGGGACAATTCAGCAGGGCAGTCAGGAACATGGGTCAGGAATGCAGCCACGCACACTTCCCCCTGGAGTTCTGCCACCTGCTAGCTTTACAACCTCAGGCAAACCTCTTCACCTTGCTAAGGTATGAGTTTTTTGGGTTTTTTTTTTGTTTGTTTTTTTTGAGACGGAGTCTCGCTCTGTTGCCAGGCTGGAGTACAGTGGCCTGATCTTGGCTCACTGCAACCTCCGCCTCCCGGGTTCAACTGATTCTCCCGCCTCAGCCTCCCGAGTAGCTGGGATTACACGCACGTCCCACCACACCCAGCTTAGTTTTGTATTTTTAGTAGAGATGGGGTTTCACCATGTTGGCTAGGATGGTCTCGATCTCTTGACCTCGTGATCCACCCACCTCGGCCTCCCAAAGTGCTGGGATTGCCGGCATAAGCCACCGCGCCCGGCCAGTATGAGTTATTATTACATTTTCAGTCTATTACTGAAAACTGCAACATGGTAGTTTATCAAGTTCTTAAGCATAGATTCCCCATTTTTCAGTCATGCAGCAACATCCGCTTAATGCCTCCTAAGTGCAGAACACTCAGGATGACAACAAAAAAATATTTATTTTAACGTTCCAACTTTTAGGAGCTTCATCCCATTATCTTGCATAATTGGAATAAAGTATTTGAAATAGACTATTCAACAGAAAGATGACATAGTTGTGAAACATCTGACTCTAGAATTGGACAAACCTGAAATTAGACAAAAGGGTTTGAATTCCTCTCTCATGACTAACTTATGTGGTGACCTTAAGCAAGTGACTTAACCTGTCTCTGATATGACAAGTTACTTAATCTCTTGAAGATATGACTTTCTTACCTGTAAAATGAGGAAAACAACAAAACACAAGCAGATATTTACGAAGTGCTTATTATTTGCAAGGTGCTGAGTGAAGCACACTCAACATTCCCTAGCTCATTTAATTCTCACGACCATTTCGTGAGGTAGGTACTTTTACTGTCCCCTCCTTTATGTTTTTAAAAAGGAGCACCCAAGGGCATTTGGCTAGTTAGTTGACCCCAGTGCTCTTTGTCACAATACTATTATAATAATAGTCACACAGGACTGTGTGAGCATGAAACAAGCAATGCAGTCATGACACAGGCACACAGGTGGTGTTTTATCAGTGGTAGCCCTCCATTCCGTTGGGAAAGTATACCCCCGTGAAAATACCAGAAATTGTACCTTAGATATTTCCTTACTTTAGGAAGTTAGGCCAGGCGCGGTTGCTTATGCCTGTAATCCCAGCACTTTGGGAGGCCAAGGTGGGCAGACCACTTGAGGTCAGGAGTTCAAGACCAGCCTGGCCAACATGGTGAAACCCCATCTCTACTAAAAATACAAAAATTAGCTGGGTGTGGTGGTGCATACCTGTGATCCCAGCTACTCGGGAGGCTGAGGCAGGAGAATCGGTTCAATGTGGGAGGCAGAGGTTGCAGTGAGCCAAGATTGTACCACTGCACTGCATCCTGAGCGACACAGCGAGACTCCATCTCAAGAAAAAAAAAAAAGAAAAAGGCCAAGCGTGATGGTTCATGCCTGTAATCCCAGCACTTTGGGAGGCCTAGGCAGGCAGATCATGAGGTCAGGAGATCGAGACCATCTTGGCTAACACAGTGAAACCCTGTCTCTACTAAAAAATACAAAAAATTAGCCAGGTGTGGTGGCACACACCTGTAATCCCAGCTACTTGGGAGGCTGAGGCAGGAGAATCACTTGAACCCGGGAGGCAGAGGTTGCAGTGAGCCGAGAATGCACCACTGCACTCCAGCCTGGGTGACAGAGCGCAACTCCGTCTCAAAAAAAAAAAAAAAAAAAAGGAGGTTAGTAAATGATCCCCCCAAAAGAAGCAATAAATTATGAATAGATCTGACGTAAAATACTAACTTCTATTCCCAAAGGGAAGTTTCCTTGTTATGCCAGCTGTTCACATCTTAGGGAGACACATGCACTTTTGCTACCAAATAGTAAAGACAGGGTCAAGCGCTTGAGGGGTTCCACAATGACTGATAAAACATTTTTGCATCAGTCAAGTATAAACATTTCTGCACTAAACATCCCAATACCAAATTCTCACATACCCCCTCACCCTTCTTAGGAGGGTCCAAAATGAACCCAAGATCACACTTTATTCTTTGGCAATGTCTTGATTAATTTGTAATGTAAGGTGCCAGTTTCTTATCAACAAGCAGGAAATGAAGAACCAAATCCCAGCGTCCTTCTCAGGAGCCAGACTACAAGAAGAGGAGCGCCCAGAGGGCCAAATGGGCCCCTCTCCTGAGAGTCTTATATTTATGGTTTCTTCCCCATATATTGGCTCAAGTAGGACACATACTTGAATCTCTCTCTCACATTATTTTCTCATGTGTTTTATATAGATGTGTCTGCCTTACTAGAAATTTTGGCAAAATGATAAAGCAGTTTCTTTTTCTTTTCTTGAGATAGGGTTTCACTCTATCGTCCAGGCTGATGTGCAGTGGTGCTATCATAGCTCACTGCAGCCTCGACCTCCTGGGCTCAGGTGATCCTCCCACCTCAGCTTCCTGAGTAGCTGGGACTATAAGCACACACCACCACATCTGGCTAACTTGAAAAAAAAATTTTTTTTGTAGGCTGGGTGCAGTGGCTCACACCTGTAATCCAAGCACTTTGGGAGGCCGAGGCCGGAGGATCACCCGAGGTCAGGAGTTCGAGACCAGCCTGGCCAACATGGTAAAACCCCGTCTCTACTAAAAATACCCTGACTCTACTTGGGAGGCTGAGGCGAGAGAATGGCTTGAACCTGGGAGGTGGAGGTTGTAGTGAGCCAAGATGGCACCACTGCACTACAGCCTGGGCAACAGAGCAAGACACCATCTAAAAAAAAAATAACAATTTCTTTTTCTTTGGTAGAGATGAGGCTTCACCATGTAGCCCAGGCTGGTCCCATAGTTATCTATTGAGTCTACCTGAGCATGAAGCTAATTTGGTTTCTGTGATTTTGTGCATTTGGTTTGCTTTATTTTTGGAGGAGAGAGTTTTGGAGGGTAAAGGGCCTCTTCCTCCCCAAGTTGCACTGTGTGGGCAACCACCTTGTTCTCATTTGCCTGTGGCTAGTTTATAGATCACATAAAAGCAGGTAACAGTGAATAAGGCTTCTCTAAGAGCTTCTGAAAGAGCAGCCCAGAACCCCTGACAGGAGAGTGCAGGTGTCTGTGAAAATGTGCACACCCACGGTAACTTTTGGAACAAGCCTCACCTTTCCGTAGGGCCCTGCCTATGATGTACTTTTCTTTGCTCTCATCATCTGAGAACTGTTGTGGATGAGAACTATTCTTCAGTGCAGTTTGAGGCCTGAGATCATGCACCTTCATTAGCCATACACTATTATACACACACACACACTCACACCTCCTGGACATTTCCCTTCAAACTCATTAATCTCCATGTAAATCTCTTCAGAAAGAGATAAACAAACAGGCTCTGTACTAATAAGTGGTAGTGGTTGACTCCCAAGATCTATTCCACCTCTATGACTAGTATTAACTATGCCCATCCCCCTTGGCACTGAATGGATTAAAACAGGAATGTAACCTAGTCTTGGCTAATGAGCCATGAGAGAGAGTCTCCTGCCTCTGGGAACAGTTTCCTACCCATAGTACAGATCCATAAGAAGGAGACAGTCTCTCTTCTTCCTCTGGTCTGGACTTTGTTGTATCTGTGATACCTATAATGACTGTAGCCACCTTGCCACCAGTCAAGTAGGAGCCCAGGGCCAAGAAAACTATCACAACGTTGGGCTGGAGCCCTGCGATGTAGCATGCCTGGAATCCATCCTGCCTCTGGACTTCGTGCTATATGACATAATATATTTGATTACGCCAATTGGAGTTAGGTTTTCTGTTACTTGCAGTGGAAAGCAATTTAGCTGATTCAGATGCTGTCTGTTTTGTTGCTATAACAGAATACCTGAGAGTGGGCAATTTATAAAGAAACAAGGTTTATTTAGCTCACAGTTCTGCAGGCTGGAAAGTACAAGAAGCATGGTGCTAGCATCTGCTTGGCCATGAGCTAGGTCAAAACATGATGAGGGTCAAAGGGGAAGTGAACATGTGTGCAAAGAGATCAAAGAGGAGGAGGAACCTCACTTTATAAAACCTCCTTTCAGAGGAATTTTTTTTTTTTTTTGAGACAGCGTCTCACTCTGTCACCCAAGCCGGAGTGCAGTGGCAGGATCATGGCTCACTGCAGCTTGACTTCTCAGACTCAGGTGATTCTCCCACCTCAGACTCTCAAGTAGCTCAGACTACAAGCACATATCACCATACCCAGGTAATTGTGTGTGTGCGTGTATTTTTAGCAAAGGCGGGTATTCGCCATGTTGCCCAGGCTGGTCTCAAACTCCTGAGCTCAAGAGATCCGCCTGCCTTGGTCTCCCAAATTGCTGGGATTACAGGCATGAGCCACTGCACTTAGCCAGGGAATCTATTCCTGGAGCAGTCCAGTCTTGTGAGAGAGAGAACTCACTACAGCAAGAATGGCACCAAGTCATTCATGGGGATCCGCCCCCCATGATTCAAACACCTCCTACGAGGCTCCACCTCCAACACTGCCACATTGGGGATCAAATTTCAACATGAGTTTTGATGGAAACGAAAAAACCATATCCAAACCATAGCAGATGCACTATAATTTTCATGGGCAAACTTAATTGTTAGCAGTCATCTAATGTCATATATTTCTCCAATTACTCATCTACTCTACTGCTTTGAGTAAATAATTATAATTACTAATATTCTGTGGGTTCAAAGGTATTAGTTGTTGATATGGAGGAGAGTCTGCTGACTTGTTTTAAAAAGCAATATTTCATGCCTGTAATCCCAGCACTTTGGGAGGTCGAGGCGGGCAGATCACCTGAGGTCAGGAGTTCGAGACTAGCCTGGTGAAACCTTGTCTCTACTAAAAATACAAAAATTAGCCAGGCACGGTGGCGGGCGCCTGTAATCCCAGTTTACTTGGGAGGCTGAGGCAGGAGAATCACTTGAACCACAGAGGCAGAGGTTGCAGTGAGCCGAGATCACGCCACTGCACTCCAGCCTGGGCAATAGAGTGAGACTGTCTCAAAAAATAAAAATAAATTAAAAAAAAAAAAGCAATATTGCTTGTATTCAACTAATTTGTAATCCTTCCCTATCCCTCCCACCGTCACTCATTAGCATGTAGCACTGGTTAGCGTAACATTGGAAGTAGCCATGAAAATTCATCAAAAACCAATGATGAATGAGTTGATCAAACTACAGCCACATGGACCATTCCAATTACCTCTAGATGCCTGGACATAATTATGGGAAGAACTGCCTTCTTATCAATAGACATAAAAAGTACTTCAGCCTGTAATCCTAGCACTTTGGGAGGCCTAGGTGGGAGGGTAGTTTGAGCCTAGGAGTTTGAGACCAGCCTGGGCAACAAGCAAGACCTCATTTATACAAAAAATAAAAAAAGCCAGGCGTGGTGGCATGTACCTGTGGTCCCAGCTACTCTGGAGGCTGAGGTGGAAGGATTGCTTGAGCCCAGGAGTTCAAAGCTGCAGTGAGCTGTGATTGCACCACTGCATCGGGAGACAGAGTGAGACTCCATTTCAAATAAAAAAAAAAAAAGGACTTTGGAAAATATAGTATCATAGTTTTGATCAAATTATTAAGGGTGATTTAATTTGCCATGTAGTTATGATTAACATGAGTCCCTTAACTTTTCTGTTTTTGTAATGAGTGAGGTAAGGTCCAGCATTGTTGCCCTTTTGGACATGATAAATGTGTCATCTCAGTGGGGAAAGGAATGCAGGCGAACAAATGATGATGAATTGGACCACATGTATGTAGTTAACAAATCCAAAGTTTATGATGCTTATGTTTTAGAAAGAACATAGTATAAGAAAGCTCATGAGAAGTGATAGTATACATTACTTTGTGCGTTTATTTTGAGCCCATTGTTACATCTTAAAGTCATTATAACAGATTTAAAGTTTTCATCCTAGATGTGTAGTGAACCAAATCTTAATCTAAATACTGAGAGGGTGTCAATAATTTAAAGCCTGTTGAAGATTTTGAACTGGTTTAAAATTCAAAGTTGAGTTCCCATCGCTGTTTCTTCTTTTCCATTGTTTCTGGGAACCTTGCTGCTCTTGACTATCCCTGGAAGGACAGATAACCTGGGAATTTCCTTCATAGATAAGAGACAGCTAGTGGAAAGGTCTAGTGAAATGAACATTGCAGGGAAGATGAATGCTGATTGGAAAGTGATATGCTTGAGACAGGATGAAAGTATAGGTACAAGATATACGTGAAAGAGAGGTCACTGTGTAAGAAATAATGGAAGTGGGCATCAGGGAAGAGACAGAGACACAGGATGTGGTAGTAGTTGCATAAATGCAGAAACCAGGCCAGGCACAGTGGCTCATGCCTGTTATCCTAGCACTTTGGGAGGCCAAGCAGGCGGGTAAATTGCCTGAGCTCAGGAGTATGAGACCAGCCTAGGCAACATGGCAAAACCCCATCTTTGGTCGGGGGTGGTGGCTCATGCCTGTAATCCCAGCACTTTGGGAGGCCGAGGCAGGCGGATCACGAGGTCAGGAGAGCTAGACCATCCTGGCTAACACGGTGAAACCCCGTCTCTACTAAAAATACAAAAAATTAGCTGGGCGTGGTGGCGGGCGCCTGTAGTCCCAGCTACTTGGGAGGCCAAGGCAGGAGAATGGCATGAACCCGGGAGGCGGAACTTGCAGTGAGCTGAGATCACGCCACTGCACTCCAGCCTGGGCGACAGAGTGAGACTCCATCTCAAAAACAAACAAACAAAAAACAAACAAAAAAACCATCTTTACTAAAAATACAAAAAATTTGCTGTGCGTGGTGGCCCGCGCCTGCAGTCCCAACTATTCAGGAGGCTGAGGCATGAGAATTGCTTGGATCCAGAAGGTGGAGGTTAGAGTGAGCTGAGATCGCACCGCTGCACTCCAGCCTGGGAGACAGAGCAAGACTGTGTCCAAAAAAAAAAAAAAAAAAAGGCAGAAACTAGTAAACACGCTTGTGACGCTTGTGTCATTTACCAAACCTAGACTGAAAAAACAAAGATGAGATTAGAAATTAACCATAAAACAACTTCTAATATTGAGTTCAAAGTATGTGCGGGGTGTTGTGCTAAATACTTTATCTACATTATTTCACTTAATTCTCAAACTAGTCTTAGAGGTTGGTACTATTATTAGCCTAATTTTACTATTGAGAATAATTGGGGCTCATTTAATACACCGCAGAATGCGGATTAGAACACAGATAGTCTGACTCCAGAACTGGCACTTTTAACTATGATGCTCTATTGTTTTACACTTTAATATATGAGTTAACATGGCAATGCACAGAGCCACTGCTAATCTATGTGGTGGCTTTGTGCAAATCAGAAAAAAACAAAAGGCCCTGCCCACCTCCAGAACAAATGCAGCTCCACAGCTCCAAAGCTTAGAGTGGAGGTGGCATCTCTGACCAAGCAAACAGGTGCTCCGTCCTCCAGGTGATAATGGCCCTTGCAGGGCACAGGCCTTGGATACTAGTCTCCATTTGCCTCCTCAGCTAGACACCTCCCTACAGTGCACAGACTCTATAACTCTATGAGGGGCTTTACCATAATTTATATTAATATATGTTTTTTACCGTTACCACTCTAAGGGCTTGTTTACAAGCTCTCTACACGAACATCCCTTGTTAGCCTCTCCAGATCTAAAGTTCACCTTCCTCCACCCTGGACAGTTGTACCCTTGTGACTTTTATGGACTCCATCAATGGCTCCCATCAATGGCTCCCTTGAGCTCTGGCTTTCAGTTAGGTTCACACAATGGGAGGCACCAGTCAGAAATCCCACGGAAGGAGGAAAGTGAGGCGGGTATTTTGTCTGTTGGCAGCCTTCTCACTGTGCCAGAAAGCATCAGTAGCTTTGGTTTCCCCCTAATGCCTCAGTTTGTCAGGCAGCTCTCTCCCACAGTAATAGCAAGAATCTCTGGTGTCCACTTCTTCCCTTTTGTCCTTCAAGCCTGGAAGCAGTGCAAGGCCCCCTGCTGTTGCTAGTCCTAAGCTGCTTCATCACCCCTTGATCACCTTCTATCTCTACCCATACCATGTGAAAGTCCTGTAGTTAAACTCTTCTCAATTTCCCTGTTGGAGTGAGCCATCTGTTTCCTGCCAGGACGCTGAGTGACACATGGGGGAAACAAACTTTGACTATTTTAAGCAAAAATGGAATCTGGGGAAGGCATGTTTGGAGTCACAGAAAACTAGGGGAGGTAGGAGGACCAGGGTTGGACAACAAGCAGGAACCAGAGGACAGCTGGAAAGTCGAGGAGCAGGAATTGCAACTAAAGTCATTCTGTGGGAAGAGCCCAGGCCACCCACTGCCACTGCTTGAGTACCCACCAACCATCCTGTGTCCTTCAGTCACCTACTCAACAGTCAGAGCTTCTAGGAGAGGGTCTGATTGCCTGTGTCTCCCTGTACCTCCACTCCCAGGCCGAACTGGGCAGAGGACAGGGAAGATCAGACCCCTCCAACTACCATGGTAGGAAGTAGAAGCCACTATCCACCAAGACCACACCCAGTGGGTGATTCTGTTAAAACAAGAGACCAGGGTACTAATAGGAAATACCTCCTCCCCTCCCCAAGAAAGGACAAACATCACTATACTAATTAACAGAAGAATATGAAACTGCCTTTACAACAGGCATCTAAAGTAGTTTTTTTCCTCAAAAAAAACCAAAAAAAACCCCAAAGGTTCATGTAGAGATAGCCACTTCTCAATGAGAATTTCAGTAACAGAGAAGTTCCATACCATTTTTAACCAATTTCTCATAAATGAAAATTCTTTAAAAGGTTTTTAACTAGGTTTGATGTAAAGTTGCTGGTTTTATCCTAACAAGGTGTCCACTTGTCACACTATTTCAGAATTGCCCATTAAAGGGTTTTTTTTTGCCCAATATCTAGCCATGCAAAAATTAGAGGACTCAGAGACCAATAACTTAAAAATCAACTTACTCTAGGAATTCATTTGTCAATTTCAGGCTAGAAATAGGCCCCAACAATTTGTTTTTGTTTTTGTTTTTGTTTTTGAGATGGAGTTTTGCTCTTGGTGTCCAGGCTGGAGTGCAGTGGCACGATCTTGGCTCACTGCAACCTCTGCCTCTCGAGTTTCAAGTAATTCTCCTGCCTCAGCCTCCAGAGTAGCTGGGATTACAGGTGCCTGCCACCATACCCGGCTAAATTTTTTTGTATTTTTAGTAGAAACAGGGTTTCACCACATTGGCCAGGCTGGTCTTGAACTCCTGACCTCAGGTGATCCTCCCACCTTGGCCTCCCAAAGTGCTGGGTCTACAGGCGTGAGCTACCACGCCTGGCCTGGCCCCAAGAATTTTTACATCTTTTAGTCTCTTAAAGGTTCTTTTCTTTACGAGGGCTCCTTCTCTCAGATTCTGATTTCTACCAGTTCTAGATATAAGAGTTAAGAATATAGTTTTATTACGAACTGAAGACAAAGAGCTTATTAAAGAAGTTTAAAGATAATGCCATTGCCGGGCGCGGTGACTCACATCTGTAATCCCAGCATTTTGGGAGGCCGAGGTGGGTGGATCACGAAGTCAGGAGTTCGAGACCAGCCTGGCCAGCATGGTGAAACCACATCTCTACTAAAAATACAAAAAAAGGAGCCAGACATGGTGGTGGGCGCCTGTAATCCCAGCTACTTGGGAGGCTGAGGCAGGAGAATTGCTTGAACCCAGCAGGCAGAGGTTGCAGTGAGCTGAGGTCCCACCACTGCACTCCAGCCTGGGCAAAAGAGCGAGACTCCGTTTCAAAAAACAAAAAAAAGATAATGCCATTTTATTACATTTGTCCACTGTAGTATTTATAATTCATACAATTACTAAATCTAACATAAAATTTAGACCATTATTTTTATAGCTCTTTTGGCACAATGCTTTATCTCAACTCCAAAATTAACTTACTTCACAAAGACAGAGCTGATGAGTTACAAACTTCAACATATATTTTACTTGTCATGAATGAAAGCAATACATACTCATAACTGTCCCCTAGAGGTTTCTTGATACATTTACTGTTACAATGGTATTAATAAGAAGAAATTCTTTTTCTTTGAAATAAGATTACATAGAAGCCATGCCTATATTTTTAAATTGAGAATCTATATTATGTTCAATTGGGTTAGTTGGTTGTATAGATATTTTTATTTACAAAATGTTAATTTATTGGGTACATGTGGAATAAACAGACTGTCCAAGCCAACCAGAACATTTCCAGAGCTGCCAGGGAGATGATTTTCTTTTGTATGACCATATGATGAAATACTGAGATGGATTTTTATGATATAATCAGACATTTAACATTTTTTAGTTTAAGATGTAACGTCTCATATGCTTATGTGTCTCATATGCTTCTTGTCTCAATAATATAAGAAAAATTTTAAGGACACAGTAGAAAAGTTGCATGGAGAAGGCCTACAGTTTTCACATATTTAAGCATCTGTGGTTATGTTCTCAATGGGGTATTTGCCGACAATGTCATCTTATAATGCACATACACATGCTACTACCCTAAATATATACAACTCCATATCTAATGGCCTATAATACTTATTAGTTGCCTGGTAGAGACAAGAAAGTAGAAGATCTAGCCCTTCCATTCCAAGAGCTGATAATATCTATACATCTTTGCCTTCCAACTTAAAAACATTTTCTCTCTCTTAACATAGTCTTGGTCTACTCAAAACCATTGAACGGGTCTTTCAAATTGAAATTGTAGGCTTTGAGCTGTTTTAACAACCAATATCTGTACAATAAAATCAGCAGATCTGAAACATTGATTAAAGTGACTTGGTATCCCGAGTACCTAGAAACTGATGGTCAAGAA
Source organism: Homo sapiens (assembly GCF_000001405.40). Taxonomy (NCBI): domain Eukaryota; kingdom Metazoa; phylum Chordata; class Mammalia; order Primates; family Hominidae; genus Homo; species Homo sapiens. The sequence continues at coordinate 224,588,646 of NC_000002.12, read as the reverse complement.
GAGGCTATTACTTCCTTTTACCAGCTCCTCACATCTTATATTGCTCTTTCACAGACTGGGATGTAGAAAAGGGGCTGGCCCACCCAACTGCCTGATCTCTCTGAATGCATGTGCTCCATATGCATAAATGGAAAGAATAAATGGAAATGAGGCCACTGTTTTCCTGTGTCAGGACACTGTCAGCATGAGTAGGAATACCAATCGCCAGCCATGCAAGATCTAGTGAGTTCCTATTCCAGTGCTGCTTTCTCTGCTAGATCAGGTGGCAGTTTGCAGAAAAGCAACATCCTGAAAGTTTATTTGCTATTTGCAAGTCAGGGAATATGACTGGGCACAGAAAAATAATCTACTGCTGCTTCAGAAAGTATTTCATAGACATTCTGAGGATGTTGCTTCCACAGGAAGGAAAATATCTGATTTCAGAACTGAAGCATATACAAAGTTGGGGCCAAATCCAATATGGGTCTGTGGTTTACAAACTGTGAGATGTGAAAAAGGATGTGATGGCAGGTCCCATCTGTCTCATTCACCCTAGTTCCTGACATACAGTAGCCATTCAATAATAATTATTGAATAAATGAATAACTGAACAAATAAATGAGCAGACTTCTTAATGACAAAATCATTTTGAAGCATTTTTCTGATCCTTGGTGGTTAAAAGCTTAAGGGAAGACACAGTTCACAGTGATGCTTTTAGACGCAGCTAAATTTTGGTTAAGCAACACCAATATACGAAAATCTGGGTTCACAAAGCAAATACATTACAGTTACTATACTTACTATATGCTTTACAATTAAGTAGAAACATACCTTAATGTAGTGGGTTTCTAAATGCTGGCCCATGATGTCTCCTTAGGTTCACAGTGAAATAAGAAAAATTCGTGTGACGTATTGTTCATTACGAGGCTGTTCAATTCAAGGAACTGTCCTTTATTCAAAAATGGATCTTCCCTCATTTCTGAGGTTAAAATACTTTTTAATAAATGATGGGAATAATCTATGCTAGTTGTTCCTTTTTAATACCCTTGCCAATATAAAGTTGCCAAATCTATAATGACTCCCTAGCTTATCAGAAAATATTTTATTAGTCTGAGAGATCCAAATGTCGGAGACTGGCTTAGTTTCAAAATATGACTCATTTTATAAAAGCATACAAGTGTTTTTTGTTGTTGTTGTTTAGAAACCTACCTATTGAATAAAGGAAGTAGTATAACCTTGGCTTTAATGCCCATGTTAATAACAGCCAACAGGTGGTAAGTTGCTGCTCCATGCCCAGTTCTCAGGGCTCTTTAAAACGTATTCATCTATTTAAATTTCACGGTAGCCCAAGGAGGAAGTATTGTTATTGTCTCCCTTTTACAGATGAGAAATTCTGGGGATTGTCAACTCCATGCCCCAAAAGATGCAAAACACAGCTAGTAAAGTGGCAGAATTGAGATTCAAACAATGGCTCCAAGAACACATATTCTTTTTTAAAATATTTTTTTATTTCTTTTTTTGGTTCCTCAGAGATCCCTATTCTGAACATATATTCTTACATTACAAAGAAACTGGGCCATATGAGAGTACAACCAAGAGAAAAACATTGTTTGTTATTATATTATGTTATGGAAATGGAGGTTCAATTAGCATAGAGATTATAAACTCCTATTCAAGGCTGACATTATCTTACATTGAAGTCAGAGCCTCTCCCAATCTTAGTTTATCAACTCAGTTCTTGATAACCTATTTTTAGCTTCAGTATTTACAGATATTGTCTTAAGCAACATTCTTGTTTCTTAAGCTCCTGCTTTAATTAGCCAATACCAAAAAACTCCCACAAAAAAAAAAAAAAAACAAGAAAATATGGTATTTGCAGTGGGGCGTTTTAAGCAAGAAGGGGCTTTAAGCACAACACTCATAAGCTTAGTCATCAGGATTAAGTTAATTTAGGGCAAATTCAACCTTACAGTCAACAAATAAGTGTATTTCACTTTATATTGTTTGCTATTTAAAAGTATTAAAATTCCAGCTTCTAAATGTAGATATCCATCCCCCAAACATATGCTTCTTTAAAATAGGAAGAACACAAACTTTAATAAGAACTCACGTATTCCCTTGCAGAGTCAGAAACCCAAACATAACAGCAATTGGGCAAGTAGGTAAATGAGGAAGTACAATTCATAACAAATGGACAGCAAAACCGATAAGTCAAATTAGACATTTTGACTATAAAGCGACCAAACGCCTCTCCTCCAAAACCAAAAGCCAAAACCTTTTCAAATATACAGCAACTGAATCAGACGGTAATTTTGGCTTTAAAAATCTACAATACTCTTGGTAATGGTAGAAATGATTTATCCGGTAGGTTAAAGATAGGTTTCTATCATTCCACTTAACATTATTTACCAAATGCTGCATTTCATTAATGGAGCTGTCAGTTTATTCTGATGGTAATGAAAAACAGGTTTTAACATGAATAAGCCCTGGGTCCACCAGAAAATATCAGTGAATCAAGAGGTCCCGAAGCTTATGCAGTTTAAGGGAACTTCGTAGATTAAATTTCCACCTTCCAGTCCTGAGAGCTGTGGTGTGCACACCCAGTCCGAATACCTTGTTGAGCATACAGGACACTAATTTCCGACACTGCAGCTAACTCCTGCACAAACTCTTCAAGTTGCAGGCTTCTACTCAAGTACCCATCCCTAGTCCACATGCCCTAGAAAAACACAGGAACCAGTTCGGGACGTAGTTACACATCTAGCACCCCACGCTCCTCCTCAAGACTATCCTCCTGCTGTCCCAGCCCAGTGGGGCCCAGCCCACTACCATCCCGCTCCCGCTCTCCGAACTTCCCCCCTCCCACTCCCCACCATGTGACCAGGACCCTCCCAACCGCCGCTCCGAGCTCCACCAATCAGCAACCACCTCCACCCAGAACCCGGGACCTGGCGCTCCACTTTCAAAAAGGCAGCTTAATCCTCCCGCCCTCAGCCACGCCCCCTTTCCGCTTCCCCGCCCCGCCGGCCCCTCCCACTTCCTTCAGTTCCCTGTTCCCCTCCTCCCCTCCGGTGGCGCCCACCCTCTCCCGGGCTTCGCCCCGCCCACCAGGGGGGCAGCGCGCTCGCCCTCTTCTCGCGAGATCTGAGCGTCCCCCGCGGCGGCCGCCGGGCTCCCCCTCCCGTCCTCCCACCTCCCTCCCCCGGCATCTCTCACTCTCCGGCTCTCCTCCCTCCCTCCTCCCCCCTCCACCCTCTGGGCCGGATCTCGTCTCGCTCAGGCGGAGGAGGAGAAGGAGGAGGAGGAGGACGACGTTCGGCCTGCGCAGTGAGATGTTTGTCCGTCGCCGCCGCCGCCGCCATCGCGGAGGAGCGCGATAAAGGGAGCCGAGCCGGACGTGAGGGGGACCCCGCGGAGCCGCCGCGCCAGCGCAGCCCCCCAGCCGCATCGGAGTCGCCAGAGTCCGAGCCGCCGCCGCCGCCGCCGCCGCCCCCGCCGCCGCCGCGGCTGCCCAGGGGCCGGCCAGCTCCCCAGCCCTGCCCGGGGGTCGCGCCGCCGCCGCCCCCAGCGTCGCCCCTAGCCTGCCTGCCCGCCTTAAATGTGACACCGGCGTCGCGGAGCGCGACCTGAAGCCGCCGCCGGGGAGGGGACGAGCACCATGTCGAATCTGAGCAAAGGCACGGGCAGCCGGAAGGACACCAAGATGCGGATCCGGGCCTTTCCGGTGAGTCTCTCCTCGGCGTCCGGGACCCCGGGGCCGGGGGCCGGGCCGAGAGCCGCACGCGAGGCCCGGGCTGAAGTCCCCCAACAGGCCGCAGGCCCGGCCTCCCCTCCCCCACGCCCGCCGGCCGCGGGGCGCGAGCCTTCCCGGCAACCGGGCGGCGCGGGGCCCCGGCGCGGCCGCCCTCCCGGGCCGTTCCCCGCGCCGGGAGCCCGGGCCTGGCGCCGCGCCCCCGTCCGGGAGCTGCTCCTTCAGCCGCTCCGCGGGCGTCGGCTGCGGCCGGGGCCCCTCGGCCGCCCCACGCCTCCCCACGTTGCCGGGGTTGTAGGCCCAGTCTCCGGCGCTGCTAGCAGCCGCGGAGTCCTCCCTGTGTGGGGCGTGTGTGGAACTTTTCACGTGGGGTTTCGCTACACTTTGAAAATTTACCCAGCCTAGCTTTTAGGGTGATGAAGGGGCTGCCCTCTCTCTCTGCCCCCCTCCCCAGGAAGGTCTATGCCATCAACCTGCCCCCGACGCAGTGACAGTGGTTCCACGGAATGCTCCGTGGTCATAAACTAGTAACATTGGGTGTATTTATAGCGTCTTTCATCCTACAAGCTTCCTAAGCACTTTACAAACTCTTGTGCAGGATTGCCTCGCCACTCGGAGGAAGGCCGGGTGGGGGGGAAGCAACAGAGAGCAAACCGGCCAATTGGTTCTCCATTTCTCAGCCTTGGGAGCCCAAAGAATGAGTGTAGTCGCCTTGCGGAGTAGCTTTGTTTCATCGCTTTCAGTGACAGCAAACGTGTTCTGCTCAGAAACTTTTTCTTTTTTGGCATTACGTTGAGTCGTACCCTTGCGATGTTTAGTATATAGGATATAACTTTGGGTGTCAAATCTGGTTCAGCTTCCCCGTGGCAAGCAATTAAAATGTACTGTTAACGAACTGGGCATACTTGCCTATGTCGCTACAATAAAAGGCATACGTCAAGACAGACGAACTAGCAATCGGACAGAAGATTTTAAAAAGTAAAATTAGAGAAAGATCTTGGTCTTCCCTTCTTAGATTCATAAATACTTCATATGATGTACCAGCGAAAGAGGGGGATTTGTTGTCACTTTTTAAAGCATGCTTTTCCTGAAGCGCAGTTGCAGTGAGGAAAGACTTACCTTGATGTGATTGCCCCAGTTGAGTCAAGTGATTTAGTTTCAGAGAACATGAGGACCTCTCTGAATTCCTAAAATTTAAAAGGATACACCTCATGCAGAATTCTGAAATTGTAAGAACATAAATACTAAAGTCAGTGTGCGAAAACCTCTGCTTTGTGTAAATAGGTACGATGGAATTTAGGAGAATAAGTGTTTTGATAATAATTAAAGATTTTTTGAATGTTTCAAACTTTTTTCTAAGTAAACGTGAGAAATGTTGACAAGCGAGTACTAACGAAGCTTACTAGTATGTTTTCCCTTATAATTGGGCAGAGCTGGGTTATGCATTTGTGAGTGATATTAATTTTCCTACTAAATTCTGACCACTTTAGAGTTTAGAATTACTTAGAATTTTATGAAGTTAATAGTTGTATACAACAGATTTTCTTTTTTTTTGAGACAAGAGTTTCGCTCCTGTTGCCCAGGCTGGAGTACAATGGCGTGATCTCAGCTAACCGCAACCTCCGCCTCCTGGGTTAAAAGCCTCCTGAGTAGCTGGGATTACAGGCATGCGCCACCACACCGGGCTAATTTCGTATTTTTAGTAGAGACGAGGTTTCTCCATGTTGGTCAGGCTGGTCTCGAACTCCCGACCTCAGGTGATCACCGACCTCGGCCTCCCAAAGTGCTGGGATTACAGGAGTGAGCCACCGCGCCAGGCCTATATACAACAGATTTTCTAGCAGTGTGTGCAGCCTTACACTACTCAATTCTTGAAGTCTCATGTTCTAAATAAGATTTTTTGCTAAAATGTGGAGTAACTCAAATTTGACATCAACTCACTCAAGTTAATGGCCTTCTGATTGACCAGTTGTACGTTAATGTATGTGTAATTAAACTCTTTGACCTCTTCAGGTTTCCCTGCTCTTACCTGTTTTGCCATCATTTAATTTGTTCAGCAAATACTGAATATTATGTGCCAGGCACTGTTCTGGGGGTCTGTCAGTATAGCTAGAAAGACCAAGATCCCTGCCTTTTGGAGCTAATATTGTTGGGGAGAAGAGGTGGGAGAGAATTTCATTATTCCTTTAGCTGACCAGTATAATAACGTTGTGTGATACGTTACCACATAGTACTGGAACTGAATTTTTTTTTGTTAGCTTCGTTATGATTATGAGCTAATTTGGATCCATTCTGTCTATAACTTTTGCAGGTTTTTCTGAAAACCTTACATGAAGTAAGTGACTAGTTTTGGTATTCAGTAGTTAATAGCTGCTGATTTCTAAAAGAATTTTTCATTACTGTTTAATAAGTATTAATAACATTCCTAAGTGATTCCCATTGGAAAGAACTATTACAGTTTATGGCCCTTTGTTACAGATAGATGTATATCTCAGTGTTAGGGTGTTTCATAGATTTATCTTACTAACCGTGTGCTTATAGACCTTCAAAATTCCTGTCTTCCAGATTGGCAGTCTTGTTCATAACTACAGACTGCGTGAGTTGCTAGTCAAAAGTAGTTAATACCTAGTGTTCCGTAAAGAAAAAATATGGCCGGGCGCAGTGGCTCACGCCTGTGATCCCAGCACTTTGGGAGGCCGAGGCAGGTGGATCACCTGAGGTCAGGAGCTTTGAGACCAGCCGGGCCAACATGGTGAAATCCCATCTCTACTTAAAATACAAAAAATTAGCGGGGCGTGGTGGCGGATGCCTGTAAACCTAGCTACTTGGGAAGCTAAGGCTGGAAAATCGCTTGAACCTGTAAGGCCGAGGTTGCAGTGAGCTGAGATCGCGCCATTGCACTCCAGCCTGGGCAACAAAAGCGAAACTCTGTCTCAAAAAAAAAAATTGTTTATGGTTATACATATGTACATCCTTAATTGTTTATGGTTCCACATATGTACATATTTAAAAATTATTGTATTTTACATCTGTTGTTTGGATGTATACTTACTGTAATTTAAGGGAAACTGTAGTTTCACCAAAAGTGTCAAGCACTCGGCCGGGCAAGGTGATTCACACCTTCACACCTGTAATCCTAGCACTTCGGGAGAGGCAAGGCAGGCGGATCACCTGAGGTCCTGAGGTTAAGAGTTGGAGACCAGCCTGGCCAACATGCAAACCCCTGTCTCTACTAAAAATACAAAAATTTGCCAGGTGTGGTGATACACGCCTATAATTCCAGCTGCTCGGGAGGCTAAGGCACGAGAATCACTTGAACCTGGGAGGCAGAGGTTGCAGTGAGCCAAGATCGTGCCACTGCACTCCAGCCTGGGCAACAGAGTGAGACTGTCTCAAAAAAAAAAAAAAGAAAAGAAAAATTATATATGTTTAAGATGTACATGATGTTTTGATATATGTATACATTCTGACATGATTACTACCATCAAGCTAACACATAATCACCTCTTTTTTTTTTTTTTGAGATGGAAACTCGCTCTGTCACCCAGGCTGAAGTGCAGTGGCACGGTTTCAGCTCACTGCAACCTCCGCCTCCTGGGTTCGAGCGATTCTTCTGCCTCAGCCTCCCCAAGTAGCTGGGATTACAGGCGTGTGCCACCACGCCTGGCTAGTTTCTGTCTTTTTAGTAGAGATGGGGTTTCACCATGTTGGTCAGGCTGGTCTTGAACTCCTGACGTCGTGATCCGCCTGCCTTGGCCTCTCAAAGTGCTGGGATTACAGGTGTGAGCCGCCACGCCCGGCCAATAGTTCTGTTTTTTATGTCTGTGTGATGAGAACAAGTAAGATCTACTGCCATAGCAAATGTAAAATATGTAATATAGTATTATTAACTGTTCTTAACTGTGCTGCACATTTGATCTCCACAATGTATTCATCTTAAAACTTGTATCCTTTGACCAAAATCCACGCCCCCATTTCTTTCATTCCCCAGCCTAGGCCTTAGAGCAAGACTCTTGTCTTAAAAAAAAAAAAAAATCTCAAGCACTCATCTCAGATTGTTTTACAAAATTAACTTGTAAAAAAATATAGAATTGTGTTTTGAGATTGTTTTCATTGCAAAATAGAGTGGTAATTGAACTTACTGGATATTTTATAGATACTACTCCAGATAAATTCCCATCAGTAATATCAGATTCTTTTTAGTGTTTTGAGTGCATTTTTTTTTTCTTTTTTGAGACAGAGTCTTGCTCTGTCGCCCAGGCTAGAGTGCAGTGGCACGATCTTGGCTCACTGCAGCCTCCACCTCTTGGGTTCAACCGATTCTTGTGTCTCAGTCTCCCAAGTAGCTGGGACTACCGGTTTGCGCCACCACGTCTGGCTAATTTTTGTATTTTAAGTAGTGATGGGGTTTCGCCATGTTGGCCAGGCTGGTCTTGAACTCCTGATCTTAGGTGATCAGCCCACCGCTGTTACGCAAAGTGCTGGGATTATAGCTGTGAGCCACCGCGTTTCAGCCTTAGTGCGTATTTTAAGTATACCTTCATCATTGTCTGTAGAAGTTATAATACACAACAGTTTAATGCACAATTTGCATTTTTAAATAGACCTTTTCCTAGAAGTTCTTTTTAAGATGGAAGACAATAAGGACGTTTCTGTATTTGTAAGCTGTTGACAAAGGAAAAGTTTATTCCAGTTTATAAGCTTTCCCGCCTTGCACAAAATGTATCATTTCACATCTTTTTGATAATGTTTAAATTTTAATTTGTATGCAGAGGAACAAGGACCACAAAACTTTTTAAAGAAAGCAGGCTGTAATTGTGAAACTTCTGGAAATAATGTGGGTCTGGATCAAATAATTCTGCCCCAGGGAGTCTCTTCCTTACTCCTGGGCTTTGTTCCACTATGTAGGATTAGTTGCTTTCAGGTGAACCTTTTATTATCTTTATCTTTGAAAAATCATTTCTTACCATTTTTACTGTCTGGGGTTTTGCCCACATGGGTTTGATGAGCTTGATTAGAATTGGAGAGGATACGTTTGAATGAAAATGCTGTCCTTTCCTGTATCAAACGGTAATAAAGCCTTTCTTGGCCTAGCCTTCAGAGTTTGGGAAACCTGTTATGAAGGTGACTGTCTCCAGAATGTAATCAGGCTCTTAAGATCTCTACCCTGGGGTCCTGGAAGTAGCTTCAGTTAGTTTATAAAAGCTTGCTAACTCATCAGGAGAAAGAGTGTTATGATAAAATGCCCACTCCCTAATGCTAGAGGAACTCCACTTGTGTAGCATGGACAGCAACTGTTTGGAAGTGATTGTTAGCTGGAACATACAGGGCGACTCACATTAGTGAAGGAGTTTTATGTTCATTTGTGATATACTTAAGAACAGGAAGAGTCTTAAGGACAGATGGGTACAGTTAATCTTTTTTTTTTTTTCTTTTCTTCGAGCTACAGAAATGTTTGCCAGATTTGAGGGAACAGCTTTCATCTTCATAGTAGGTTTCTCTTTCTTAGGGAAGGTAGTTGTTGGCATAGTACTACCTGGACTGGTACATAGAGGAAAGCTGGATGGTAGTCTTGCAGATCACACTGAGCAGAGAATTAATTATAAATTTGCTTTTCATTTTTCATGTTATGAAACAAAGTGAAACAGATTCATTAAAGTGTTACTTATACTTAAACTAATACTGTTTATAGTTTTGGGACAGCCAGTATTGTCATAGCTGTTAGTACTACTATGACTTTAGAAGTTAGAAAAATAAAAGCATACGGTTGTTATTAACAAAGTATTTATTTTGTCTTGTCTTTCTAGATAGCAGTTCAGAGGAACCTGGAAAATTATTAGTACCAATATTGAATTAGAAACTATTTAAGTAATATGAAATATAATGTAAAAATTTGGCTTTTTAAGTAATACATAAATCACAAACTTGATTCAAACAAATTAGAGAATGCTTCATTTGTTTGTACATCATTCATTAAATGAAGTTAAGGGATGAAAGCATTTGTCCAGTTCAGGAAGATTATATGATTAAGGCTAGAAAAAGTGGTATGCCTTTTTTTTATATTATACATTGGGGGACTTTAAAGGGAATTTTTTGTTATTTTCATTCCAGAGTACATGGATGGTCTTTAGTAGTCCTGTTAGGTTTATATAAAAGTTACTAGACAATTTGTAGTTTTAAATAATGCAACTTTTTTTTAAAAGTAGTTCTTGTTAGCCCATTGTAAGGTCAACAGAATGTAAAGGTATTACTAGTAAGAACAAATCACTGAGTTAACACATGAATTACAATTAGTTATTAGTCTATCAGTGTCTTGTGAAAACTATTCAACCATAGTCTGTTAAAGCAATGAATTTATTTTAGTAGCTTTTCTAATTATAACAATGATGTATATTCCTGGTAGAAAAATTGATAATTATCTAAATGTACAAGTAGGGAAATAAAAAAAATCACCTGTAATCCTACCACTTGGAAACAAACAACATTAACATTTTCATGTGTTTTTGGAATTTTAATTTCATATTGTTGGCTGAACAGACAGTAAAATTAAGGTAAGATAATCATTGTATATGCTGCTGTTAAAAAATTTCTTACTGTAAATTTTTGAAAACATAGTTTTTAATGACTATCATACTTCAGTTTGCTTAACCATTTCCCTATTGCCAAATATTTTGGTTGATTCCAGGGAGTCCATATTTTTTCTGTTAAAAAAGATTGCAACTATGACTATTTAGACACATAAATATTTGAGTCCATCTATGATTATGGAATTATTGGGCTGCACGTAACTGAAATATATTACCTAATTGACCTCCATAAGGGTAATAATAATAGCTAACACTTTCTAAATGCTTATCATGTACTCTGCATATCTAAACTTAATCATTTGAGCAAACTCTATTGAATACTACTATTATCTGTTCTACAAATGAGGCTTTGAGAGGCTAAATAATTTGCTTAAGGTATTCTTCCAAGTGGCAGAACTAGGATTCTGACCCAAGCAATCTGGCTCTAAAGTGAGCACTCTTAAGAATTAATTATATTTCTCAAGGTTGTATCCGTTTAACTTCTGTGTAGCAGTATCTTACCCAGCATAATGTATGTTTAATTTTATAGGTGAAAAAATAGTACTTTAATGCTTTAATTTGCATTTCTTTGACTACTTAGGAGAATAAAACTATGAATAGTCTGTAGAGAATTTTCATTTACTTTTGCACTGGAGTATTCAACATATGAATATAGGGATGTGACTAAAAAGTAAAGAGACTGAAAGCATAGTAGTTAAGAGTGTGGGCTTGAATACCAGCTCCATGTCTTTCTAGCTGCATCACCTTTTTTTTTTTTTTTGAGACAGAGTCTCCGCTCTGTCACCCAGGCTGGAGTGCAGTGGCGTGATCTCAGCTCAGTGCAAGCTCCACCTCCCGGGTTCACGCCATTCTCCTGCCTCAGCCTCCCTGGTAGCTGGGACTACAGGTGCCTGCCACCACGCCTGGCTAATTTTTTTGTATTTTTAGTAGAGACGGGGTTTCACCGTGTTAGCCAGGATGATCTCGATCTCCTGACCTCGTGATCCGTCTGCCTCATCCTCCTACAGTGCTGGGATTACAGGCGTGAGCCACCGCGCCCGGCCTCTAGCTGCATAACCTTTAACAAGTTACTTCTTGTAGCCTCAGTTTTCCCCTGTGTAAAATGAGACTGCTAATGAGACCCACCTTACAGGTTTGTTGTGTGATAAATAAAATAAAGCTTTAAAATAGAACTTAGCAGATAGTTAACTATTATTATACCAATATTTAGCCACGATTAGGCCAATATTAAAATTGGATGTTGTTTTTGCAAGCAGTTACATCGAATGCCATACACTTATTTTAGCGATCCTGTCATTTTATTGTACAACTTCTAGAACTTAAGTTTTGAAAAGCCTGCAGAGCCAGTTTGTGAATCGTTCTAAGAAAGCATTCTCAAAGGATATGGGTTTAGTACCACTGGGATACTTAAAGAATCCTGTTGGCTCTTGAGGGGTGGCTTCAAAAACAGAAGTTCATATATGATTCACATGTAATCCTTAGAGTAAGTGTGTAACCTCTTGTAACTTTATTGAAGGAATAAACACTCATTTGGTTTGCATGTTCTATAATATGTACGTTAAATGTGCATCTAAAAACACATCTAGTTTTTCTTTTTTCCTTCCTTTCCTCCCTTTCTCCTCCTTCTCCTCCCCCCCCCCCCTTTTTTTTCACTCCTGAACTAGGTTAGGTTGTGGTCCCTGTCCAAAGCTTATGCCAGACATCGTTTTGAACCATGCAGCATTTAGCATAGTGTGAGTGGTTAGTGAATGATTGATTACATGAGAAACTAGTCCTCTAAGCCAAACCATAGTAATTGATAAATTCAGTGAGTCAGCGCAAATGATGCTCTGAAATGTTTGAAGTTTTTGTAACTCTAAGTGAAGTCTTAAGATGTAGTAGAGGGTCGTTAAAGATCATGTGGCACTTCTGTATGTAGCAGGGTAGTCAGCCTAGTCTCCTGGAAAAATGAGTTGAAATTGTCAGTGACCCTGAATTGGGAGTTAGAAGACTTAGTCTGCGGTCCAGTCTTTCTGTTTACTAGCTGTGGTCTACATTTCACTTCCTCCACCATGACTGTTCTTCGCATCTCATCCCTTCCTGTCACACTGTTAAATTGTACACTCTGGTCCCCTATTTCTCAGGCTTATCTTTTTGAATTGAGGTTTCTATTACAGTCCTTGAATTATTGGGCCCAGATGTGGTTTATTGCCACTTCCATCATCATCTTTTTTGGCTTGAGAATTACTCTCCTGCTCTCTCCCTATGACCATCTGACTTCCTGAACTCATGCTCCCTCAGTCATTGAGGAGTTTAATACCTTCCTCACAGATACTATGTTAATACATTCCTCACAGATATTATGTCTAGCCTCTATTTTAATTTTGTTCATTGCATGTGGAAGTCATTCATTTATTCAATTTAAAATACGTTTATTGTGTGTTGCTGCTATGGGTCAGGTCCTGGATCTACAGTGGCGATCAGACAGGCTTGTATTGCAGGGATCTTCACGCTTAGAGCTTGTCATCCTACTAGTTTAAAAATCTTCAAACTTCCATTTTGCATTTTATCCTAGCTCTTCTGTTTGTTAGATGTAGGACTTTGAGCAAATCACTTAGTGTCTTGTCTGTTCCCTCTTTTGCAAAAAGGAAAAAATGATGATACCTACCTCATAAAATTGTTTTAAAGATGGAGTTAATACATATAAAGCTTCTTAGAATAGTGCTTGGCACATAATAAGCATTATACATAAATGCAAGGTGTTATTATTTAATTATTCTATCTTGTTGCTTGGTTCCTTCTCACGTTAATGTGCCCTTTGATCTCAGGAAGACCCATTTATTCTCCCAAGCCATGGTGCTGTCACTTCCACCTATGTTACCAGTTGCCCCTTTCTTACTACCTCCCCAGAACAAGGCCAGAAATAGCAGCAGAAAGCATCTTGGATCGTTCTACCTATTTGCCCCCACTGAACATATTTTCTAGCTACTCCTGGAGAAAATTGCAAGACAGTGGTCTCTAATTTAGCTGGACTCTCAGTGCCTCTGAGCAGTTTCCTTTATGTCCCTGGTCAGCTTCCTCTCCCCTTTCTTGCCTGAGCTATTCCAAACTTTAATCATTGTCCTTAAGCTATCTCTTGAGAATTCTCAAATTGCTCTTACTTCAAGAAACCTAACTACTACATCAGTGTGAAAAGGAATGTAATTAGGTGAAAGTTCGAAGTTCATTCAGCATTCTTCCCTTTCAATTATATTATTTAATCTGCATCTTTATTCATTCTCGACTCCTTCCCTCTGGTCTCAGAGAAGGAAAATGTCTTTTTCCTGTCTTCTGCATTATAGTAACTACCTCCTTTCACAGCCAAGATTCTTGAGAGAGGAGTCTCTATTTCCTTTTTTAGAGCATAATTTTCTTGAGGAGGCCTCAGTCTTTTTTATGACTTTGATCAGTACAGCAGTACGCACCCAGCATATAGTACACAATGTTGAATAAAGGAACTAACAGACTCTTTAAGTTTGTTTCCTCCTCTTTAAGATGAGAACTACAGCAGTCTTTCACAAATTGTGAGGATTAAATGAAATCATGTCAGAAAATGCTAATAGTGGTATCACTATGACATTTAAAAGAATTTCCCAATCATAAAATCAAAATTTTCAACTATAATTCTGTTTCATGTAGGGCAGTTATTTTCAAACGTTTACAGGGAGCCTGGAGGGTGTCTAGGACCCAGGAGGCCTAGGAAGTGTTAAGTAGAAATCTTTGAAAGCTCCCTCTGTGGTCCTTGAGAGCAGCTCCTGTGTTACCATTTGTATATGGGGTTCTGTAAAAGATTTCATTTTAAGAAATGCTGTTAACCATTGCTTTAAAATCACTAGTAATAATTATTAATGAATCTTTTTTAAAGGTGAGGAGAATACTACTTGCTCAACTTGATAACGGTTAATAGGAAATTGAGAACTGATCCTGTAGTTGCCTTAACTCCTAATCCAAATCTGTTGCTACTAGACAGCATTCTTTTTTTTAAATTCAGTTTTAAAGTTGAAAATGTAACTAAGCAAAACTTCCTAATTTGACCTCCATTTAGTACTTGTAATCATTGAGAAAGGATTGGACCCAAATTTACTCTTTAAATGAGAAATGTTACTGCTGAGCAGATGAATAAAACGACTTCAAAGGGGAATTTTTACCTACTTTAAGAAAATATAAGATTCCTTAGAGATACTTTCTTATAAAAGCAAGCCATCATTGCTAAGAGGAATTCCTTCACATATGTGTTTGTAAGTCATTCTTACCTAAAACAGCTCTTAACTGAGCAACACTTAGCCTCTTCTGTTTGCCCTGTCCTCTCCAAAGTAATGGTGAAAAATTCCTTTTTCTTTTTCATCTCCAATTCCTTTCCATTTCCACTAGAGGTTGCCTTGTAAGATTAGTGACAACTTGTTGAATGTCTGACTTGTGGTAGGCTGTTTTAGATACTTTTAACTAATTATCTGAAATCCTGAAAACAATTTTAAGTATAATGTGGTTACTCCTGTTTTAAATCTATTTGGGTCTCAGAGAGGACTAGTAAAATATTTATGATATTACATATACGCCTAGAGAAGGGCAGAGTTGGGATTCAGATTCTAGGTATGTCTGACTGAAAAGTTCATGTTGTTTTCATTATACAGAAAATTAATTCTAAGGTTACCTTTTAAATTATTAGCCAGGGGCAGATCTGGGGACGCTGAAGCTTATACAATGCACTACTCTCTTTACAAAAAGAATCTACCTTCAGGTTCCAGGAGTTGGAAGAAGCCTTCGTAAGCTTCCTTCGTAAGCTTAAGTTTTACTGGCTTTAAGTAAATGGACCATTTATAAAAGTTATGAAAAACTTGGGAAATGTGTATTGTTCAGTAACATTTGAATATATAACTTGTTTAAGGGGACCTTAGTGTGTATTGACTTGAATAAAGCAGTCAAAAGCATAACCTGTAAGAAAGGCTTATTATTACTAGTTGACCTATTTATGAGTTAACACTTTGCTACTTTAAATTGTAAGGCCGACGACACACATTAAAAAAATTTGGTTAATAGAAATTTAAGTATATACTTAGCAAAAAGTGATTCCTTGAAGTTAATATGTCTAAAATACTTTGATTTTTGATTTTTTGTCTTTAAGAATATACTAAAGAGATAGATTAAACAGTAAAATGTATTAGAAATACAAAGATTAAATTCTCTAGTAATAATTTACTACTTTTGGTGTACGCAAATGCAACATGAAAGAAATAATGCTTTTTTGATGAATGCTATCACTAGCCAAATAATAATTTGTGTGCTCTTGTGTTAGTATTTTAATTTTTGAGGGCTAAAAGTGACTCTTGAAATCTTTTTGTGGTGCTATAACAAAATCCTGCAGACTGAGTAATTTATAAAGAACAGAAATGCATTTTCTCACATTTGTGGAGGCTGGGAAGTTCAAGATCAAGGTGCTGCAGGTTCTGCTGTCTGGAGAGGGCTGCTGTCTGCTTCCGACACGATGTCTTGATGCATTGTCCTCTCGGAATTCTTTGGTGGGGACGAATCCTGTATCTGCACATGGCAGAGACAGAAGGGCAAAAAAATAAACTCTCTGTCAGCCTCCTTTATAAGGCCACCTAATCCCATTCACAAGGGTTCTACCCTTATGAGTTAATCACTTCCTGAAGACCCCACCTTTTTTTTTTTTTTTTTTTTTTCTCTCACTCTCACCCAGGCTGGATTGCAGTGGCTTGATCTTGGCTAACTGTAGCCATGCCCTCCAGGGCCTAATGGATTCTTTCACCGCAGCCTCCTGGGTAGCTGGGACGACAGGTGCAGGTCAGCAGCAATTTTTTTTTTTTTTTTTTAAGAGACAGGGTTTCACTGTGTTGCCCAGGCTGGTCTCAAACTACTGGGCTGAAATGATCCACACACTTTGGCTTTCAAAAGTGCAAGGATTACAGGCGTGAGCTGCTGCACCTGCATTGCCGTACCTTTTAATACTGTTAAATTGATGATTAAATTTCAACATGAATTTTGGAGGAGACACAGGCATTCAAACCGTGGCAGAGACTTTTGAGAGAATCTGTTCTTTCTCAACAGATGAGCAAACAGGGGTCTAGAGAAAGTGGTTTACCAAGGGATACACTCCTGACTTGAATTTATGGAAGGACCATGACCAGAAGCTTGATTTCTGGTTAAAAGCTCTTTTCTCTTTAGCAGACTGAAACAAACATGTAGCCGTAATAACTCAATGTTAACACTGGCCTATTTAATTATAAAATGATTTCTCAGTATTGAGCACTCTGATTATTTGAGTTGACATGGTACCCTGGAAGGACACTCAGCTTAGGACACTTGGACTCCTTCATTGCTCTGTGTGATCTTGGATAAGCTTCCTTAGCCTTAGTTTCTTCTTTGTGAAATGAAGAGGTTTTAACTTGGGGTTACCTTAGGCTTATTCTAGCTCCAAAAATTTCAGTAAAAGACAATTGTGTTTATACATAAATCTAGGCACCGACTACTAGTGTCTTTTCCTGTGGCCTTTGTTTGAAATATTTTGTGTGATGTTGCAAAAATTACTTACTTTTTAGTCTTAGATTTTTCTTTATGAATGGTATGGTTCAGTGATGATGGTTAAGTTCTAATGTGAAGCAGTGGGAAAGTTAGCTGTGTTCTTGTGTACATTTTTTTTGGTGAGTTGACAGTTGTAGGAAAGTTTTAAACAGACTTATAGCAGATTTTTGTAACAATTTTGTGTCATAGACCTTTTGCTGTCATATCTTATTTGATTACAGTTAGAATCATTCAAAGACAGAGCAAACTATGGCAGTTCGGTATTTTGTATGTTTTTTTCCTTTCCCTTTGGGTTATGTGTAATTGATTTAGGTACAATCAATTTGTCATTGTCTTACAGTTTATAGAGTTTTTATACATTATCATAGATGAATGTGTAAAAAGTAATTTTATATACATGTGACCCATGTATAAATAAATAGTAGTGTTAAATAGTATAAATAGTAGTGTTTTGGATTTCATAGTATATTGGGAAATACAACAAATTTTATTTTGAAGTGTTGATTTTAGATATAATCACTAATTTTCTTAATATAGAGGGTCTGTAAGTACAATGTTTGAATTCTAGTTATGATGACTACTGTGTTTTTTGGATAAAATGTGTTTAAGGGAGTCCTGTAACATCTCTATTTTTATGGGTGGAAATAGCACCAATAGTAGGACAGTGACAAGCTTTTTACCTCAGTGAGAGTACTTACATTATTGTATCTTATTTGTTGTGGTCATTATCACATTTTGAAATGTTATACATACCTTTTTTTCTATATATGCAAAAGTCATTCACAGAGATATAGTCGAAAGAGTTGTTAGTACTTTTAGCTCAATTGCTCTGTGACTTAAATGGACTTAAATAGGCTAATCTGGAAGCTTGACCTTGTGTCTTTGAAAAAATTGTTTCACATTTCCCACATTCTCAAATTGAGTTTTGGATAGCCTACTCATATTGAGGACTGAAATGCAAATCATAATTGAACCTTCTATTGATGATTTAACTTTCTCATTATGAATGTTACTGTTCTGTAATGTAATGATACTAGAGCCCAATTGAATGTCGATCAGGTTGTGATTTCATGGAATTGTCCCATGCTGCTGTGCTTTTCTAATTGATAATCTTTTTTTTTCTTTTTCCTTGGCATCAGCTCTTTTTTTGGCAGCACTCCCCCACTCCCATCTGTTCTCCACTGTAACCAGAGAAACCAGTTAACCAAACATCAGTAGTTTTTACATTCAGTTTTAAGTCACTAATCAAGGCTATATGTCTCTTCTACATAGGCAAGGAAGAAACAAACATATTTATTGAGCAAGTGCTGTGTGCCAGATGCTTTCACAGACTTTCTTAATTACCCCACAGTCCACCGTCTCACGTTTCTCTGGCCACAAGCAAATGAGGAAAGTGAGCTTTGAAAGGTTAATTTGTTCAAAGTCTGTTTGAATGTGTCCCACTGGGCTGTTTTTCTCAAAGCTTGGATCTTTGGCTACATTTTTGATGGTTGATGTTGCTTAAGGAATAATTGATGGATAAATGGTATTATTGCAGATGTCATAAGTAGTTGTATACTGTTTGGTCATCAAATAAGACTCCTTATCATTAACTGCAAATGGACTGTATTCAGATCATTTTTTTTTAATATTATCTATACATTGTGCCACGCATTGTAAGGGGTACAATAACATAAAGACCTTATCTACTGTGAGGTGCTTACAGTTTGGGAGGGAGCTTCCTTATGTAATTAATAGTTTAGTTGTATCAGATTTAAAAAATACTGCCATTCCTCAGATGCTTGTACCAAAGCTTTTTTTTTTTTTTTTTTTTTTGAGACTGGAGCTTGAAATTAAGATCAAGTATTTTCCCTTGTTTATTTTTTTTCTAGCTGTGTCATTCTGAATTGCCTGGAATTTCAAATTCTCACCCTTTCCCCCACCCACCCTGTTCTAAATTTTTTCTTGTAGAAAATTATTCACAGAGGACTAAAGACTTCTTGTCCTTTGTATGTAGTAGATGTTAAGAATTCACTTCTTTTCATTTAGTTTTAATTTGTCTCATGATGTAGTTCTCTCAGTAATCACAGAACCTTCAAGATGTGTAAGTATATAATAGACTGACATCCTTTCAAATTCAGGCATTTTGAAGGTTATATTTTTTATATCATCTGAAGTAATGTAAATGAAAAGATTTTGCTTTAAAGAAAACAAAGACCATTATAGATTTATTTTTGTTATTGATACTTTTCTGATGGGAAAATTGTAATCCTGGATTGGAGGGAGGTAAGGAGGCAAAGATCACTTTCAAAAATTAAATTCTTGACTTGGTTTTTGAAAGTCTTACTAAACTATAAACATTTAAGAATCCTTAATTATATTTTTCCTTTAAAAAAGCTTTTGTTTCTTTTTCTGCTGAATGAATTTAATTTGCTTGCTGATCATTTTGTAACTTGGCCTTCTTGGGGAAGGGTCCTGTATACATCTGATAATTAGATAGCAAATATTACATGTTTGTGTATATAGATGATAAATGTGTGTGCAGTTTATTTTATTGTTTTGCTGACGCATTAGTTGCTAGATCCCTTAGTGTATTTGCAGTTATTGCAACTTAATCAGTTTATCAATGGGATTAAAGCCCTGCTCAAGTAATTTAGAATGTTACTTTAAAAGAATGTTACTTCTCTTTTAAAAAATATATTAATACATAAAGTTAGAGCCTTTAAATTTTATTGCTCCTGGAATGAAGTATAGCTTAAAGTTTTTATTGTTAACATATTGATGAGGTGAGAGTTGAACATTTAGGCATTTAAAAAATTTTTCAGTAGCAGTTAATGTTGCTTCTGTGTCAGGGATGGGCAAGTGGAAAGATTAAAGCTCATTAGTAACATAATTATTTTGCCAAGGATGTTGACGTGCATTTGATGCCAAGACCCGATCATGTGTATGTATTAATCTGCACTTGAAGCCCATTTCATTTGATATGTAGTTTTTGGACTTATTTGATTTAGGGAAAGATTGTAGCTTATTGATCTGCTTCTGAAGGGCCTATTTCGTCTACCCTTTTTTTCCCAGTTAATATTTATTAGTAAAATTAATGATTAAGCAGCCTTCTGGGTGAGGCCTTTAGGTGAATGGGAAAAATCTGAAAATATTGCTTGATGTAAAATTTAAAAGTGTGTTACTTGTACACTACTTCTGTTAGAAAAAGATTTGATTATTTAAAAATTAGATTAATTGCTGAGGGTAAACACATTCAACCGTTTTCCTGTATCATTGTGCCTTATAAGTAAAAAGTTTGTGTTGTCAAAATTACATTGGTATAACATGGATAAAGTAGTATTCATTCAACAGACATTTGTTTACAACCTTCTGTGTGGCATTGAAGAAAAATGCATAATCTCTTAAGCTCATAGTCTAGTGGAGGAAGATGCATGAACAGATAATTCAGCTACATGGGAGTGTAGTGATGGTTACAAACTGTCACTAGTAGTTATAGACTATCACCACATTCCCATATAAACGAAAATACACTACAGTTTATTTAGTGTATAGTTAAGTAAATACAGTTTACACTATAAAATATCACGGAAGAACTGAGAAGGAGTTGTTAACTTTGCTTGAGGAGTTCAGTGAAGGATTCCTAGAGGTTATGACACCTAGCTGTGTTCAGAAGATATGTGTAAAGAATCAGATAAAGAAAAGGCAAAGCAAAGGAGGACCAAAAGCAGGGGGGAAAAAAGACATGGGAACTGAAATAAGTGGGGAGGGGCTGTGACAGTGATGGAAATAGAGTGAGAAACAGCAAGTTGTATATTTAAGAATTCCCATTGGTTTAATGTTGTTGGGAAATACATGTCAGACAGGTGTGGATAAGTGAGCATAAACTAGGTCTGTGCCTACTATGCTACCATAGAAAGGTTTTGAACAGGGTCATGGTGTGCCTATGTTTATTTTGATTGTGATTTTGAGGGAAGTAGATTCCATGAGGTTGGAGTTCATAGTGTTTGGAAGGCTCTTGCAGTGAACTAGGTGAAAGGTTTTTTTTTTTTTGAGACAGAGTCTCACTCTGTTGCCCAGGCTGGAGTGCAGTGGCACAATCTCGGCTTACTGCAACCTCTGCCTCCTGGGTTCACGCCATTCTCCTGCCTCAGCCTCCCGAGTAGCTGGGACGACAGGCGCCCACCACCACACCCGGCTAATTTTTTTGTATTTTTAGTAGGGATGGGGTTTCACCGTGTTAGCCAGGATGATCTGGATCTCCTGGCTTGGTGATCCGCCCACCTCTTCCTCCCAAGGTGCTGGGATTACAGGCGTGAGCCACCGTGCCCGGCCGAAGCCTAGAAGTTTTAACACCACCCTGGGCAACAAAGCAAGACCCCCATCTCTACAAAAAAAATTAAAAATATTAGCCACGCATGGTGGCACACAACGGTAGTCCCAGCTGCTCAGGAGGCTGAGACGGAAGGATCCCTTGAACCTGGGAGTTTGAGGCGGCAGTGAGCTATGATTGCACCTCTGCACTCCAGCCTTGGTGACAGAAGAAGACCCTGTCTAAAACAAAAACGAAAACAAAGAGAAAAACACCTTGTGACTAATCATCTTCGTGTGAGCAGTTTCTCTCTGTAGTGTAGTAAAAAGTTTTCTTTTGCGGTTTTCACATATTTTTCATTATGTTTAGTGGAAAACTGTAAACCTGGAATAACACGATGGAACCCATTCGACGTGCCCCCAGTGAACCTGGAAGTGCTCCCAAAAAGCAGAGAAAAGTCATGACGTTACAAGAAATTGTTGAATTGCTTGATGTGTACTAGATTAAGTTCTGCAGCTGTGGTTACCTGCCATTTCAAGGTAAATGAAGCCAGGACCATTGTTAAAAGGAAGTTTGTGAAGCCATCGCTACACCTGTGCCAGCTGGTGCAAAAACCTTGTGCTTTTTGCAAAATACTTTTTTATCTCATATTGAATATGCAGCTTGTATGTGGGTGCAGGATTGCTGTAAGAAAAGTATACCTACTGATTCTAATATGATTTAAGAAAAGCAAAGTCATTATATGACAAAGTCAAAGGAAGGTGAAGGATCTAAAGCTGGAGAATATAATGCCAGCAAAGGATGGTTTGATACTTTTAGAAAGAAGTTTGGCTTAAAAAATGTCAAGGTAATAGGAGAAGCAGCTTCTGCCATTGAAGAGGCAGCAGACAAGTTCCCAGACACCATCAAGAAAATCATTGGAGACAAAGGATCTGTCTAAACAGGTTTTTGATGTAGACAAAAGTGCCCTATTCTGGAAAAAAGTGCCACAAAGGATATTGACTAGTAAAGGAGAGAAGCACATACTAGGGTGTACAAGGCAGGAAGGGATAAGCTAACTCTGCTGTTCTGTGCAAGTGCAGTCAGGTTTTTGATCATGGCTGACTTTATCTATAAATCTACTAACCCCTGAGCCTTGAAGAGAAAAGATAAACACTAGCTGCCAGTCTTTTGGTTGTTCAAAAAGGCCTGGCCTGGACAGTGAGAACTCTTTTTCCGGATTGGTTCCATCAGTGCTTTGTCCCTGACGTCAGGAAGTACCTTGTCAGTAAGGGATTGCCTTTTAGTATTTTTTCTACTGGACAATGCACCTAGCCACCCAGAATCTCATGAGTTCTTCAAAACTGAAGGTGTTGAAGTGGTATCCTTGACCTTAAAGTGTTTTTAATTCAGCCTGTAGATGGGGAAGGTGGGGGGTCAATAAGGACCTTTAAGGCTCTTTAAACGCAGCAGTAGTAATCTATGGAAAAGATTGTCATTGCTATGGAAGAGAACCTCAATAGAGGGAACATGATGAAAGTCTGGAAGGGTTACACCATTGAAGATGCCATCATTGTTAAAAAGCCATAAAAGCCATCTAGCCTGAAATGATACATTATTGCTGTAGAAAACTGTGTCCAGATGTTGTACATGACTTCCCAAGATTTACAACAGAGCCAGTCAGAATCACGAAAGACTGTGGTAAAGTGAGGAGTGAAGGGTTTCAGGATATGGATCTTGAAGAAATTCAAGAGCTAATGGACATCACACCGGAAGATGACTTGATGGAGATGAGCGCTTCTGAACCAGTGACAGATGATGAGGAAGATGTAGAAGAAGCAGTGCCAAAAACCAAGTTGACATTAGAGAATCTGGCAGGAGGTTTCTGATACTCAAGAATGCTTTGACTTTTACGACATGGACTGTTTTATGATGTGGGCACTGAAACTTAAAACAAACAGTGGCAAAAGATTTGGGAACAGATAGAAACATTTTTAGAGGAATGAAAAAGCAGAAAAGTCAGGCAAATTACAATGTGTTTTTGTGAAGTTACAGAGTATGGCTCCCTCTCCTGCCTCCCTTTCTACCTCTCCCTCCTCCATCTCTTGTGCCTGTGCCACCCCTAAGACACCAACTACTTCTCTTCCTCCTACACCTCAGCCTACTGAATGTGAAGACCAGAAGGATGGGGACCTTTATGACAATCCACTTCCACTTATTGAATACCAAATACATTTTCTTTTTCTTACAATGTTCTTAATATTTTTTCTCTTTATTCTAAGAATACGGTGTGTAATACATGTAACATACAAAACAGGTGTTAATAGACTGTTTATGTTATTGGTAAAGCTTTGGGTCGACAGTAAGCTATTAGTAGTTGGGGGACTTAAAAGTTATACACAGTATTTTGACTGCTCAGGAGGTCAGTTTTTCCTAACTCTCACATGGTTCAGTGGTCAGCTGTATTCGGGATGAAAAAATGGGAACATATTTGAGAAATACCTTGGGGTTAATGTCAGTAGTACTTGATGATTGGATAAGAAGGAGATGAGAGATAAGAAAAAATATAAGGCTTATGTTTCTAGCTTGTATAATTAGGTAGTTTATATTGCCACAACTGAATTAGAGATTACAGGAAGAAGGTTTGGGCAGGTTTGGATGGTGAGTTGTCAGGGATTTTTGACATGATAAGTTTGATCTGTGTCTGGAGCTTTTGATTGGAGATGTGTAGCAGGTGGTTGAAACAAGAGTTTTAGACTTTGTGGGGAAGATCTGGGCAGGCAGTATAGATTTGGGAGCCACTAATGTAAATGCCAGTACAGAAGTCCCCACCCCATCCACAGGGAATCTGTTTATTCCAAGACCCCCAGTGGATACTTGAAACCATATAGCCCTGAGCCCTATATGTACTGTTTTTTCCTATGACGTTTAATTTACAATTTAGAAACAATAAGAGATTAGCAACAACAATAATAAAGTAAAACAATTATAACTATATTGTAATAAAAGAACATGAATGTGGTCTCTCAAAATATCTTGTACTGTACTTAACCCTTGTGATGGTATGAGATGATACACTGCCTATGTGATGAGATGAAGTAAGGTGAATGATAGTGGCCATACTTCTGTAGTTTTGAGTTGCGACAGCAAAACTAGTGCAGATTCTTTTTCCTTCTCCACAGTTTCGTGGATAGAAGAAGATGTGTTCTTTTCTTTTCTGAGACAGAGTCTTGCTCTGTTGCCCAGGCTGGAGTACAGTGCCACAATGTCAGCTCAGTGCAGCCTCCACCTGGGTTCAAGTGATTCTTGTGCCCTAGCCTCCCAAGTAGCTGAGATTACAGGTGTGTGCCACTGCACTCATCTAATTTTTATATTTTTAGTAGAGATGGAGTTTCATCATGTTGGCCAGGCTGGTCTTGAACTTGTGGCCTCAAGTGAACTGTCCACCTGGGCCTCCCAAAGTGCTGGGATTACAGGTGTGAGCCACCACCCTGGCGAGAAGATTTATTCTTAACATAGATCTTAGCAATCTCAGCATACCTTTTTTTTTCCTTATTAAGTAGAGAACTTTCACCTTTTCACTTAAAGGAAGCACTTTATTGCTTCTCTTTGGCATTTCTGAATTGTCAGCATCACTACTTTTGTGGTTTGGGGACAGTATTAAGTAAGATAAACATTGCCTGGACATAAGCATTGTGATTTTGATCTGATAAACCAGATGGCTGTTAAGTTACCAAGTTTTTAATGGGTGTGGGGTGTGTAACATAGTGTGGAAATGCTGGACAAAGATGTAATTCAGGATTCACATCCTGAGTGGGATGGCATGAGATTTCATCATACTACATAAAATGGCATGCAATTTAAAGTTTATGAATTGATATTTCTGGAATTTTTTATTTAATATTTTCAGGCAGTGGTTGGTTGCTAGTAACTTAAACCAAGGAAGGTGAAACTGTAGATAGGAGGACTGTTGTAGTTTATCTTCTTTAAGATATGGACAAACTTAGGAAATCTGATAGAAATTAGGGACCTACTCTCCAGAAAAGAAGTGCACACACAGTATACTTGGAAAGTTTTGTTTATTGTTTTAGGAACCTCTGGAATCCCTCTTAAGTTTTAGAACCCTGCATGTACGGATAATAGATGTAACCATGACAATGAATGAAAATACATAGAGACCCAGTAGAGAGTGACAAGAGCCAAGGACAGAGTTCTCAGGGTGAAAATGATTTAAATGGCTCTGGAAAAGTAGTATACAAGAGATGTAGGGGAATAATGTTTTCTAAAAGAAAGCTACGTTATACTGAGGTGCATTTATCATAGTGTTATTCTTAAGGTGCCTTTGTTTTAGCTCATATCTGTATATTTGCTAAGCTTGAAAAAGCTATATTTCTTTCTGACATTTATTTGATGACTGTCGATGAGCGTTCAAGAGATTCTATCATTGGGCACTTTCCTTTGTTGATGCATGAGGGATTATACTGTGCTCTGGGCTGTGTTAAATCTACTGACGTTCTCATTTAATCTTCATGACAGCCCTTTGAGATAGATGCTGTTATTGAACCCAGGACTTAATTTTCTCAAGGTCACATGGCTTGTGAGTAACAAAGCTGTGGCACAAACCTAAGGCTGTCTGACAGCAAAACCCATGTTCTCTACCAGTATACTAACTATGTTTACCAAGATAATCAGTGACTGTGATGTTACTTTACCATATTAGCACAATGGAATGTGACATTAGTCCACTGATTTGGACTAGGTTTTGGGATATATAAGTTCTAATCCCAGCTCTATGATTTTGGGTAAGTCATTTAATCTCTCTGGGTCTATTTTTCATTGTCGTCGTCTTTTTTTTTTTTTTTTTGAGACAAAGTCTTGCTCTGTTGCCTAGGCTGGAGTGGGCTGGCGCGATCTCGCCTTACTTCAGCCTCTACCTCCCGGGTTCAAGCGATTTTCCTGCCTTAGCTTCCCCTGTAGCTGGGATTACAGGCACGCACCACCACATCCGGCTATTTTTTGTATTTTTAGTAGGGATGGGGTTTCACCATGTTGGCTAGGCTGGTCTCGAACTCCCAACCTCAAGTGATCTGTCCACCTTGGCTTCCCAAAGTGGTGGGATTACAGGCGGGAGCCACTGTGCCTGGCTCTTCTTCTCATTTGTTAGAAAAATTTTTAACCTTAGCTATCACCAGAAGGAACATTTTTTCCTGCAGCCCCATCTTTTATCTATCAATAAGGCATTAATTTAAAAAGAAAAAAAAAACGCACTACATACAACCTTGTGTAGTAAAACAGCTCTTGATGTATATATGTGAAAATGGTTATGTTATAATAATGTGAGAGTACTTTTACAATGTTTGAAGCCTCTTGGTTTTATAGTTTTAAAATTCTTCAGCTTCTAGTAGAAAAATTTAGTAATTTACTCTGGGTAGAGACATTTTAATACTTTTTCTGGCTTTCAGAGGATCTTAGGTTATAGAGCCTGTAAAGATGATTTGATGTTTTGCTCAGCTATTAGCAGTATAGGTATCTTTGAGGCTTATAGTTGACATTAACTTTTCTCTTTTTTGAAATTGTTCTGAGTATTTTGCTTTATCTATTTGTTACTCAATGTCAAGAGATAGTGTCTTAGTTTGCTTTATTAGAACCTCAGCATATGTAGTCAACAAACTAAAACCACATTGCACGTACGTAGCTATGGTATTTGAGGCCATCATTATTACATGGCCTTGAATCTTCTGTTTGTGAAAAGTTAGCCGCATCAGTACATTTTATATGGATGACATCCTATCAGGATATCTGATTAAAAAGAGGTAGCAGTATAGGTGTAGGGGTAAATTCTTTTACAGTCATTTGATAAAAGTCTCTGACAGACTTAGGTCTTGGATAGGATTTCGGTAAAAGAAAAGAAATTGTTCTGTTAAAGTTCCTTCTCAAGCTCTTCAGAAAAGATCAGAATAACAAGATTCAGTTTGAGTCATTTGCTTAAGGATCGTCTTGATTGAGAGTTGAGCTGGTATTTTACTGCCAGGGTGACTAAAATAACTATTTTGCCTACTCCTTCCTCTTTTCACATTCATACACATCAGACGTGACTTGGAGAGGATTCCACTAACTCAGTAATTTTTATCCAGTTCAGATCAGAAGTTTGTGTGAAGCTGATCAATGTTGCTTAGGTTGTAAATGCAGAACTTGGAGATTTTATGTGGCATTTACAAAGGGGTCATTAGTCATATATTAGCAGAAAATCAGTCACCGAAGTATGAATCCTTGTTATGTGCCATATACTGTTTTAGAGGCTGAGGAATTTGGCAGTGAAAAAAAGATCCCTGCCTTCATGAAGCTGACATTTGGTTGTAGAGAGGGAGACCAGGAAAATAATGAAGAATGTGGGTTGGAGTTGGGGATCAGTAGTGAGGTGAGGCTGTTACTGTAAATAAGGTGGGCATTTAAAACTTCACTGTAAGATGACAGTTGAGTAGAGGTTTGAGCCATGCAGGAAACTGAGGGAAGAACATTTCAGACAGAAAGAATAGCAAATACGAAGACACTGAAATCAGCTTGTTTGATGTATGCCAGGGAGTGCATGGAGCAGAGCGAACAAAAGGAAAAAATGGATGAAGTTGAGAGATTATCAGATCGAATAAAGCTTATAGAACATTGTAAGGACTTTGACTTCAACTCCAGGGGAAATGAGAACTCATTTGAGAGTTGTGAGCAAATGAGTGACATGATTTGATTTATGCTTTTACATGGTCACCCTGGTTGCCTGATGATAGCAGGCCAGGAGTGGAGATGGAGACCAGTTGGAGGTGGTGGTGGTTTTACCAGGATAGTAGCAGTGGAAGTGGTGAGAAAGAGTTGAATTCTGGGGATACATTTTGAAGTTAGAGACAACAGCATTTTCTGTTGGAGTAGTAGTGGGGTCAGAGAGTAGTTAATTATGATCACAAGCATTTTGGCCGGAGCAGCTGGAAGGATGGAGTGGACATTTGTTCAGCTGGAAAAGACTTCAGGGGAAACCAACTGAGGGAAAAGATGAGGAGTTCTGTTTCAGGCTTGGTAAGTTTGAGATGCCTACTACGCATTAAAGTGGAAACATTGAGTAGGTAGCTGGATATATGACTCTGGCATGTACAGAGGGGGCCAGAGAATGTATCAATTTTAAGATTGATTTAAAACCATGAGAATAGATCAACTCCACCTAGAAAATGAGTGTGACTAAAAAAAAACAAAAAACAAAAACTGAGTGTGGCTAGATAAGAAATCGAGAACTTGAGCTTTAGGATTGGAGGTTTAGGTGATAATTAAGAGCCAGTAAAACAGATGAATAGGAGACAGAAGTAGAAGAAAAACAAGAGATTGTAGTGCTTGGAAGTTAAGTGAGGAATTTGTTTCTTTTTTTTCTTCTTCTTTTTTGAGACAGGGTCTTGCTCTGTCATCCAGGCTGGTGTGTAGTGGCGCAGTCTCCACTCACTGCAGCCTCGACCTCCCGGGCTCAAGCGATCCTCCCGCCTCAGCCCCACTAAGGAGCTGGGACTACAGGTGCATGCCACCATGCCCGACTAATTTTTGTATTTTTAGTAGAGATGGGTTTTTGCCATATTGCCCAACCTGGTCTTGAAACCCTGGACTCAAGTGATCCTCCCGCTTTGACTTTCCAAAGTGCTGGGATTATGGGTGTGAGGCACCATGCCTTGCCAAATTTGTTTCAAGGAGTAGGAGTGATCAGCTCTTTCAAATGCTGCTGGATAGGTAAGTAAGAGGAGAACTGAGACTTTGCCCATTAGATTTTGGCAATATAGAAGTCACTGGTGGCCTTCTCAAGAGTAGTTGCAGTGAAATGGTAGAGATGAAAGCCCTACTGGAGTAGATTCAAGATATAATGGAAAGATGGAACTTGGAGACAGTGCATGTACAATCTCCTCTTCTTGCCTGTGATTTTGCCATAAATGGAAAGAGAGATTAGATGGTGCTGAAGGAATATATGGGTTTGTGAGGATTTGTTTTTGACATAGGAAACTGACATTTTTTTTTTTTTTTTTTTTTGAGACACAATCTTGCTCTGTCACCTAGGCTGGAGTGCAGTGTTGTGATCTTGGATCCCTGCAAACTCTGCCTCCGGGCTCAAGTGATTCTCCTCCCTCAGCCTCCCGGGTAGCTGGGACTATAGGCATGCGCCACCACGCTCAGCTAATTCTTAAAAAATTTTTTTGTAGAGACAGGGTCTCACTGTATTGCCCAGGCTGGTCTCAAACTCCTAAGCTCCAGTGATCCTTCTGCCTCAGTCTCCCAAAATGCTAGGTAGGATTACAGGCATGAGCCAGTCCATGTGGTGAAACTGACAGTTTTCAGTATGAATGGAAATTATCTACCAGAGGAAAAATTTTGATGATGCTTAGATGTGTGATTACTAAGGGGAGGAGTTTTCTTTCTTTTTTTTTTTGAGACAGAGTCTTGCTCTGTTGCCCAGGCTGGAGTGCAGTGGCGGGATCTTGGCTCACTGCAAGCTCTGCCTCCCGGGCTCACACCATTCTCCTGCCACAGCCTCCCAAGTAGCTGGGACTACAGGCGCCCACCACCACGCCTGGCTAATCTTTTTTTTGTATATTTAGTATATTTTTTGTATATTTAGTAGAGACCGTATTAGCCAGGATGGTCTCGATCTCCTGACCTCATGATCCGCCCGCCTCGGCCTCCCATAGTGCTGGGATTCCAGACGTGAGCCACTGCGCCCAGCCAAGGGAGGCCTTTTCAATAGGTGGTTTGGCATAGAACTAGAGATTTACTTGTCAAATTTCATTCTGTATAATATTACATTGGGTTCTTGTTAAAATGTCGATTCTGTTTCTGTAGGTCTGGAGTAGGGCCCGAAATTCTGCACTTCTAACAAGTTCCTAGGTGTTGCTTATGTGTCTGGTCCTTATGCTATACTTCGAGTACAATAACTTGGCACTTTGAGCACAAGAACCTAGCAGGTTTTATTGGCATAAAATCAGGTCGGTTGGTGTGTGAATATGATGGGAATTTGTATAGTGTCTCATCGGGTTGTTTTTATTTTCTCAGTGGAATAGGAAGCAGTCATAATCATAGAGTGAGGATGGAGGAGGTGGTATAAAATCATCTAGAAGAGTAGAGTGAGTAGACTGACTAGTGGAATTGTGGGGTTGCATGAAGGCTGCACTTAACGTTAGTGGTTATGAATTTAAACTCAGATGGACCAAAAATATGGGCATATGTTATTCTTTGTTTTCTTTCAGCTATACGGATATATGTCAGGAGTATGTGGGCTGTTGGGATTTAACTTGGCAAGTATTTTGGTGGGAGAGAGATAAGGGGTAAGTGACTTACGGGTATATAAATCATTATGATTTTATTTAAAGTGAAGAGTTCTGCTCCAGGTAAGATTGGAGGGAGGTCTTAAAAGATGAGAAAGTGCTTCTAACAGATCTAGAACCTATTTTTAAATGTATCCTTTTTTTCCCCCTGTTAAAATAGGTTGTTAATGTTCTTATGTGTCATAGATTTATAATCATATCTATATAATACAATATTTACTATATATGGACAAATATAGAAAGACTTTCAACCATTGGTTTTTTTTTTTTTTTTTTTTTTGTCTCTTCTCTCTCTTGGATATTACAGATGACCATGGATGAAAAATATGTAAACAGCATTTGGGACCTTCTGAAAAATGCAATTCAAGAAATCCAGCGTAAGAATAACAGTGGTCTTAGTTTTGAGGAGCTCTATAGAAATGCATATACAATGGTTTTGCATAAACATGGAGAAAAGCTCTACACTGGACTAAGAGAAGTTGTTACCGAACATCTCATAAATAAGGTATCAAACTTTAAAGGACTGTTGCTAATACTATATTGAATGTAGAAAATCCTTTATACCATATTGCACTTTGACCGGAAGTGTTCTTTTTAAAGGTGCCAGAAGCCTATAGAAATTACTAATTCGTGACTGTTAATAAGCACTCATGAAAAATTTATAATCAGCTAAATCGAAAATTTGGATATTTGAGAGATGAAGTTTGTGAGCTATAATAAATGCTTTCTTTAAATCATAATGAAGCAAACTCAGTAATTCACAAATGCTTATTAATATGTTAATTACAAGGAATTTTTTTCCTTAAAATGATTTAATCAGCCCATTTTTACTTTCTCATTTTTCTGTATATTTGAAAACAATAAAACTACGTTGTTTAAAATATATTTCTAAGATGGATCACTAACTAAAATTGACTTTATTTTAACTGAGTTCTGTGGTACATTTGAATTTTTTTTAAAGATAAATTATTGTTGGGCTGTTCACATTATTAAAAATGGTTCTCTGATTTCAGAAAGATGTATTTTTTTAGAACAAATGTTTTTATAGAGTGAACTCTTCCAATGCATGTAAAATGTAATTTCATTTAGAAAATAAATTTTATTACAATGCCTTGCTTTAAGATTGTCAAATAAAATGTGAAATACCACACAGACTGATAAAAACTTCTCATAGTCTTTATGTGGTATTGGGGTATTTATTTTTTAAGTTTTATTTTGAAAAAAAAGTTTCATGAATAGCACGATGTGAACTCTTGTGTACCCTTCACCTAGATTCACCAGTTGTTTACATTTTGCTACATTTTTTTTGCCAGTTTTTCTATTGATATGTGTTATAATTACTGTTACCAATATTATTATTGCTGAACCATTAGAGAGTAAGTTTTAGATTTCATCTACCCCAAAAGACTTTGCAACATTTCTTTTAAGAATAAAGAAATCTTACTTAACCAAAGAACAATGATCAAAATCAGGCAGTTTAACAATATAATACTGTTGCCTAATACATTCCTTATTCAGATTTCACCAATTGTCCTGTTTAGTGGTGATTTCCTTTATAGCAATTTGTTTTCTGATCCAGGATCCAGTCCAGGATCTCATGTTCAGTTCCTCAGCCTTTCTTTGTCTTTCAGCACATTGACATATTTGAAGAGTATAGGTCAGTTGTTTTGTAGATTATCCCTCAGTTTTTGGTGTGTCTGATTGTTTCCTCATGACTAGTTTCAGGTTATGCATTTTTGGCAGGAATAATACATAAGTGATGTTGTGTCCTCAGTGCATCACATCAGGAGGCACTTGATGTCAGTTTATCCCATTATTGGTGATGTTAACTTTGATCATTGGTGTCCGCCAGATTTCTCCACTGTAAAGGTACCTTTTTTCCCTTTGTAATTCATAAGTAATCTGTTCAGATATATTTTGACACTGTATGAATATCCTGTTCCCTAGAAACTTTCATGTGATGGTTTTAGCATCCATTGATGATTCTTGCATGAATCATTATTACTATGGTGGTTCCAGAACAGTAATTTTCTATTTCTGCTCTTTCTTCTGTAATTTCTTTCTCTTAAAGGGAATTACATGAGCCACGCAGTTAGTATCTTATGAAGCAAGGTGATTGTGTTTTTCACACAATCAGCAGTTTTTTATTAAGTGCCTATTATGCACAGCTTTCAGTCATAATGTAGTGGATGCAAAGAGATAAGATACTATCCTTTCCTGGGGTTTTTATTGTGATGTGAGAGATGGATGATACACACATTTAGATAACCGTGTGAGGCATTATATAATTAAGTGGCAAGTGAGTTGCATAGGCAATAAATGGCTTAAGAATTCAAACGGAGGAGAGGTTGCCTTGGGATGTAAGATTTTATGGGAAAGAATGAAATTGAATTGAGCCTTGAAAAATATTTGGGATATATATGAACAGTGTGGTGGAAGGCATTCCATGATGGCAGATGTTGTGAAATTATATAGAGATGAACTGGTTGGTTAAACTTAGGTGGTAAGTAGAGTTTGACTGAGGCATATAATAATTACAGGGATTAGTGGATTGTAGTGTTACAAAGATGGTTTGGGAACAGATTGTAGAAAAATTTGGGTGCCAGACTAAGTAATTTGGACTAAACTGTAGACAGTTATTGGAGGTTTTTAAGTGGGTGAAAATGTGACAGAATATTTGAAGATGTGATTTTAAGTGGGTGATTATGTGGCAGCATATTATGAGGATGCTATAAATGTAAAATTGAGAGGAGGTTTATAAAATCAGGAGAAGACCTGGAAAGATCTGGGTAAAGTGATAGGCTAGAAATGAATGGATGATGTCAGAAATTCTAAACTTAAGTCTAGACAAAGATTGCTTACTGGGAGAATTATAGTGCCACCAATTGCAAATACTGTGAAGTAATAGTGGGAAACTGATTTGAAATGGGTAGAGAATATGATAAGTTTTGTTTAGATTATATTGAAAATGTTTATCCTTGGAAGATACCTTAGAAATCATTTTGCATGTGAGGAAAATTGAGTGTGAGATCATAGTAAGATGCCCAAGTAGAGATATCGTATGTTTGGAGACACATAGATTTAGAGCTTGGGCAGGAACTCAAAATTAGATGTGGAGATTTGGCATTTGGTAACGTATACTGAGGAACAAGTGTTGGAGTTCAGAAAATGAAGAGCCCAGAGCCAAGGGATGAATCTTAGGAGCAAACTATAGTAAGTAGGTGTGGGAAATGGAAAAGACCAATTTAAGAAATTTGGCATCAAAAGGACAAGTGGAAGAGTTTTGTTTAAAGCTGCTGAAGGAGAGAAGATTGGAACAGCTGAGTTATTGGATATAGAGAGTATGGGATTAAGAACAATGGAAAAGAAGTAAACTTGGAAGAGGGGCATGTTCTCATTCGTCAGAGGTTCTATAGGGAATGATAATTAACACAATTAACTTTTATTTAGCATTTACTGTGTGCTAGGCCCAGTTCTAGTGCTTTTACATGTTTTAACTTAGCTAACAGTCACAGCCCAATGTTGCAGATACTACTATTATGTCTGTTTTACAAATGAAGAAACCAAGGCACAGATAATTGGTCATTTGTCCAGGTCCATATAGCTGTTAAGTGGCCTAGCCGGAACTGAATTCAGGCAATGTGGCTTTAGTCTGAGCCCTTGAATTCTCTGTAGATCTGCTCCTAAGGTAGAATGATCAAGTTGTAGTATGCTGAAATTCAGTGTAAGGGGCTTCAAGTTAATGGACTTACTGTCTGTAAACCTCCAGTCCTTTAAATTCTAGGAATCCTTTAAATTTACTTAATAATGGAGTTGGAAATAATATCCCTGAGATTCTTTATTTCTAAAATTATTATGAATCTAATAAACCATCCATCTTCTGAAAACGAGACGAAGAGACTTGGAGTAGCCTTTGTAAGGGATATACTAAGGAATTGGCAAGTGCAGAAGAAGATAGCTTCATAGGAGTTGGCCTGAATGTGTGCTATGTCAGTTTTTTTAAACCTTGGGCACAGGTGCAGAAAAAAACATCAGTAGTTGTGTGTTAGGGTTGAGAAGTGGCTCGTCCAAAGAGTGAGGAGAAGAGAGAAGGCCAGAGTGTGAGATCAGTGTTTCGGTGACCAAGTTTTGGGCTCCAGTATGGTCAATTGGATGTTGAAGATATGGTCCAGTAGATATTGAAGTTACGTGAGCAGTCACTCCATGAGAACTCTGAGTTTCAGTATATTATAAGTTGCTTAAAGTGGTCCCATATTTAAGGTTAACTGTTGTCTTCCTCATCTTAAGCTACTGTAACAAATCCCATAAACCAGGTGGCTTAAACAAATATTTCTCACCATTCTGGCAAGTGAGAAGTCCAAGATCAAGGTGCTTGCAGGTTCATTTTTCTGGTGAGAGTCCCCTTCCTGGTCTATAGACAACCACCTCCTTGCTGTGTCTTCACAGGGCAGGGAGGGAGAGAGGTCATGTCTCTCATGTATCTTATAATGGTTCCATCCTGTTAATGAGGGTACCATTCTCAAGATTTAATTGCCTCCCAAAGGCCCCACCTCTAAATACTATCACATTTGGGATTAGGGTTTCATAATATGAATTTGAATAACACAAACATTCAGTCCATAACAATTATCATTTCAGAATATAGGCAGTTTTTATAATATATTCCCCCAAAACATGCATTCAAGTTGATTGTACTAAATAAATTTTAAAATATACAGTATATGCTAAATTCTTAAATTTACTTTCCTTATACATAGTCATTAATGATCATTGCCGGCATCTGAAAATGTTCTTTTATTTATTCTTTTCTTTCACGCTCATTTGACCAGTCAATTTTTGACTAGGAAATGTAGCAATTTCAGCATGTCTGTTCATTGATTATTTACAGTGAATTAGGTTTTGAAGCCTCTGCTAGTTTCTGTGCTTTTGTTTTCATGTTTACTCCTATTTTATAAAACAATTTTAATAATCATATAAACACAGTACTACTGTATTGAAGGGGACACTATCGAAAGAACTATTAACTGATAGGTAGGACCATCTGACATGTTTGTTTCCTAAGGTAGGACCTCTGACATGTTTGTTTCCTAAGGTAGTAAGTCTCAGTTTGTTCTACTAAATGAGACTTAGAGATGTTACTGATACAATGTGCAAAAGCATAGTTTGCATGAAAATCAGTACTGCCTATCTCTGCATTGCATCTTTTGACTAGAAGGTGAGATATTCTTTCAGGGTTCTGTGGTATCAGAATACCTATCTTTAATCTCACAGAATATACCTTTTTTTGTTGTTCTGAAAGCATTACTGTTTGGTCTGCTCATCAGTTTTTAATTCACAATGCTTTTGGCAGTTAGCTGAACTGCCTGACGAACCATATATTTATTTATTTTAAAGCAAAGTGCTTTTAGTGCTATGGTATACATAGCCAAGACCCATCTTTTCACATTGAAGAATTCCAAGGAAATATAATTTTTACATGGATTGAGGGCTGGTTTGTTATATAGTTTGTTGGTACTTTGATTTCAAGGTGAGGATAGTGAACAAAGTCAAACATTTTGGTAAAGTAGCGCAACACAGACTACCAGACAGCAGATGACGGGAGGCTTCAGAGAGGACATCTCTTTGGGATTGTTGTAGCTGATTGTTGGCTTTCAAAATAAGTTCACAAAATTGAAGCAGGCATAGAAAATATAAGTACTGTTTCTCTAATAAAAGCACTTCTGGTAGGATATTATTTTTCTTGTCTCTGGAAGAATGTTTCCTTTGAGGAAACTGACACCCATAGGAATTTAGTTCATTTCTCAAGACCACAAGGCAAAATTTAGGGTGTAATGTGGCCTTTGTACCTCACCATAAGAAAAATCTTGGTTTAGAAAATGAAAACATTTCAACTTACACAGGAATTTGTTTTTTAACTTTTTTTCTAAATAAAGTAAAAAAGCATAGTAATGGAGGAAAAAAGTTCTGCTTTTCAGATTTAAAGACGTTTAGAATATATATTATTTTGTCAAAGTGTCAAAGGTATCCTGTAAGACTTTTCCCATCACAGAATTCAGCATTCAAAACTGTTTGCCAGGCTCTGTGCTAGGTGTAAGGAATATATTGGTAAATAGAATACATCTGATTCCTGCACTTATGAAACAGATAGTAAACAGGTAAACAAGTATTTAGTTATAAAATATAATCAAGAAAGGACACAGTGATAGAGGAAAAAATGATAAAGACAACCACATAGGTCAAGAAAGGGCTGTTTGAGGAAGTGATAGTGTTTAAACTGGGATTAGAAGAATAAGCGCTCACAAGAAAAGTGGGTTGAAGAGTATTCTAGGCAAAGTGAATGGCTGTACAATATTTTTTTCTGTAAAGGACCAGATAGTCAGTATTTTTGTTTTTCTGAGCCATACATTCTCAGGCACAGCTCCTCAGAGTCTGTTTTTGTAGCACAAAAGCAGCAACAGACCAAATGTAAATGAATGAACATGGCAGTATTCCAGTAAAACTTTACTTTAAAAAGGCAGCAGGCTGAGTGCAGTGGCTCACGCCTATAATCCTAGCACTTTGGGAGACTGAGGTGGCAGGAACACCTGAGGCCAGCAGTTTTGAGACCAGCCTGAGCAACATAGTGAGACCTTGTCTCTACAAAAAAAAAAAAAAAAATTGACCAGGCGTGGTGGCTCACACCTGTAATCCCAGCACTTTGGGAGGCCCAGGTGGGCAGATCACGAGGTCAGGAGATCGAGACCATCCTGGCTAACACGGTGAAACCACATGTCTCCTAAAAATACAAAAAATGAGCCGGACGTGGTGGCGGGCACCTGTAGTCCCAGCTACACAGGAGGCTGAGGCAGGAGAATGGTGTGAACCCAGGAGGCAGAGCTTGCAGTGAGCCGTGATCACACCACTGCACTCCAGCCTGGGCGACAGAGTGAGACTCCGTCTCAAAAAAAAAAAAAAAAAATTGCCGGGCTTGGTGGCACACACCTGTAGTCACAGTCGCTCAGGAGGCTGAGGCCCAGGAGTTTGAGGCTGCAGTGAGCTGTTACTGAACTACTGCACTGCAGCCTGGGCAACAGAGCGATTAAAAAAAAAAAAAAAGCTGGAGGCTATTCTTTGCCACTTCCTAAAGACATTGAATAAAATCCCATCATAAGTAGGGAGCTAAGACTTGGTAATGGAGAGGAATGGGACAAGATGGGGTTGCAGAGAGAAGCAGAAGCCAGATCATATCATGCCAGACCTTGAAGCCATGGCAGAAGGCTTTGTAATTAATTATATGTACGTTAGGAAGCCATTTAAGGATTTTAAGCAAGATAAATAAGTTAGAGAGCATAAGAGTTGAAATAAGGGGACCAGGAAGGAGTAATCCAGAAATTCAGGTGAATAACAGTGATGATTTACACTAGTGTAGTGACAGTTAAGATTGAGAAAAGTTTTAAAATACAAGATATATTTTGGATGTAGAAAGAACGTTACCTGCTAGCAGATTGTTTGTAGGGAATAAGAAACGGACAAATCTAAGATCAGTTTTAAGTTTTTGGCTCTTGGCTAGGCTAGGTGATTTAATTTTCTGATACGGTGGGGCAGACAAAGGAGCTCCATTTTGAACAGGTTAGTTTTAAGATACCTGTAAAATTTGATATGCAAATCAAATTATCCGAGAAGTTTGAACTGGAGATGTGTATTTGGGAATTGTGAACATATAGATGGTACAGGTTGAACATCCCTAATCCAAAAATTCAGAATGCTTCAAAATCCACAACTTTTTGAGCGCCAACATGATGCCACAGTGGAAAATTCCACAGCTTATCTCATGTGATGGAGTCACAGTCACAGCACAGCCAAAACTTTATTTCACAGACAAAATTACTAAAATATAACATTACCCTCAGGCTATGTGTATAAGGTGTATATGAAACAAATAAATTTCATGTTTACACTTGGATTCCATCCCCAAGATCTCTCATTATGTATATGCAAATACTCAAATCTGAAAATTGAAACACTTCGGGTCCCCATGCATTTAGGGTGAGGAGTACCCAACCTGTATTTAAAGCCCTGGAAGTAAATGAAGTCACAGAGACAAGAGAAAAGAGGGCCCAGGATTGCACCCTGAGGAATTTAAACACTTCGTGTTCAGATACATTGAGGATTGCAGTGGAGACTGAAAAGTTGCCAGTTAGTGGTACTTAAGACTTAGCTCTAATCTTACATTATAAGATAATAATATTTGACAGGTATTTAGCAGAGTTACAGTTTTTCACAGCCATTTTGCGTGTGTGTGTGTGCGTGTGTGTGTGTGTGCACGCATATATGTGTATATGTAAGTCAGATACTAAAGCACGGTTTTAAATTTAGAAATAGTAATAATTAGTTTTGCTACTTTTGGGCATGTTAAGGGTGGAGCCATCTTCTTTCATTCTCCTTTCATAAGGTTCCTATTTGGGATTCAAACTTGACAGTTTTTAAGCTTGTTGTAGAGTAACAAAGGACTTGCCTTTTCTTCTTCTAACTCCTGTTGAGCACTTTAATAGTAAGAAATAACCTAGATGCAGCTGCAGTGGGAAAAGTAATAGGTAGAAAATAGAACTGAGCATTGGTACTTAATTCTCTCACTAATAATCTTGAACAAATTACTAAACCTTTCTGGGATTTAAAGTATTAATCTATAAAATGAGTTTGGAGTTGGTCGTTTTAGCCCAAAGAACTTTAAAAATTATGATTATGTGTCTTGATAAGTTTAGGTTATTAAGACTTAGGAAGATAATAGTCTCTAAGACTGTTTATTCCTGTGCCATGTGTTTTGAATAAAAATGTTTCAATTTTTTTTTTTTTTTTTAATTTATTTTCCGAGACAAGGTCTTGCTGTCGCCCAGGCTGGAGTGCAGTTGGCGCCATCTTGGCTCACTGCAATCTCCACCTTGTAGTTTCAAGCAAATCTCGTGCCTCAGCCTTCCGAGTAGCTGGGATTACAGGCGTGTGCCACCATGCTCGGCCAATCTTTGTATTTTTAGTAAATATGGTGTTTTGCCATGTTGTCCATGCTGGTTTTGAACTCCTAGTAGCATCAATGATCCACCCGCCTTGGCCTCCCAAAGTGTTGGGATTACAGGCGTGAGCCACAGCGTCCAGCTTTTTTGTTGTTGTTGTTGTTGTTGTTTTTTGGAGACCAGGCCTTATTGTGTTTCCCAGGCTGGAGTACGTTGGCACAATCTCGGTTCACTGCATTCTCCGCCTCCCAGGCTGTGGTGATTCTCTCACTTCAGCCTCCTACATAGCTGGGCTACCGGCACGTGCCACCATGCCTGGCTAAATTTTTGTATATTTTTTTGTAGAAACAAGGTTTCCACCATGTTGCCCAGGCTGGTCTCGAACTCCAGGGCTCAAGTGATCCATCCGCCTCCCAAAGTGCTGGGACTACAGGCGTGAGCCATTGTGCCTGGCCTCAATTTTTAATTTTCTTGAAGTCAGGGGAGAAACTTTAGTTTTAATATGGGAAGAGCTTTATTATCTCAATTTTGTAATGCTTAGCAGTTTTCTTAGATTTACCTTATGCTTAATTTCTTCATCTTTAATACTCCATAGTAATAATCAAATAACATGGTAACCTCATAAATGAACCTATAAAAATTATTGAACTTTGAAAGTTGGTTTCTTAGAAAAATAGCTGAACAAAAAAAAGTTAACATTTAAAATTAACTTATCTTTTTAGTTATTATTGGAAAGAACATTTATTCTAGTGGTTTTCAAAGTTTTTCTATCCGTATGTCCTATTCTTCAAATAATATCTTACTCCGATTGAATGGGAGGAAGCCAGAATAAGAGGAGCTTCATCCTGCTCACCTTTCCTTTATTCAGAAAACCGCCTGTTGAGCAAGGCTCTGGTGTGAGCATTTGTACTATATCAAGGAAAGATTCCTGCCTTTGTGGAAGTTACGTTTTAGACTTACATACTTGGATCTACGC
Organism: Homo sapiens; assembly: GCF_000001405.40. NCBI lineage: Eukaryota > Metazoa > Chordata > Mammalia > Primates > Hominidae > Homo > Homo sapiens. The sequence goes on along the minus strand of NC_000002.12, from coordinate 224,548,200 downwards.
TTTGTAGTCATAATCTGTTCTAAGCACTTTTGTTTTACCAGTGGGGAAATTGCAGCCTTGAAGGGGACATGGTTTCAAGTTTCAAGTGACTTTCTTTTTTGAATTTCTTTGTAAACTGCAATGTCTTTTTGTAGAACAAATAATTCCTCACCATTTATCTTTTGTACCTAGGGTCTTATTTGCTGAAAATGCTGTCTCTGTGTGAACTACTTTTTCAATATATTTTTCTCCCTATTTCTAGATGGGGAAGAAGAACCAGTTTTAAATTTTATATTTGTTTGTAAGTAAGTTAAGATATTTATGTGAACATGAAGTTGGTAACTTTAAGGTAAACTGTGGACTCTTCTTTATGTCAATTAAACAGACTTCCTTTTATAATAAAGCTTTTGGAGTGCTTTTCCCTTTCTAGGCAAATATTAATTAATCTAATGGAAAACATTAAAATTAATGTTTTTAATGGCATATATATATACAATATATAATGACTGCAGTGAGTTAAGAATATTGATAGAAACACTTGGGAATAAGATTTTCCTTAGCAAATTCAGATTCATTTCAGAGGCCCACAGAGATTGAGTTTCTCCTATGTTTCAGCCACCCAAAAATAAATAAGACATGATTCTTGCCAGCAAGAATCCCATAATTTTAGCGAGGTAATCAGATTTGAGGGGGAGTTACTTTGCCTGAGGAATTCAGGGCAAGGTAGAAAGAGGAGGTCACTTTTGATTATACTTAAAGCATTACTCAAGATTCATCATGTGAGCAAAGCCAAAATACTGTCCCGGTAGATAACAAGGAGAGAAAGTTGAATGAGAAAAATGGCAGGTAGGTATGAGCGTAGTGAGATAGATCAGTATAGATGGAAGGTGAACATGTTGTTCATAAGGATGAACAAAAGCATCTTCGAATGTTTTTGTAGGAAATGAGGATAGTAAAGTGGGTTGGGCTAGATTTTGAAAACCATTGTAGGGGATTTGAGTGTTTTTCTGTTGGTGGTGGGAGCCATTGCTTTTTAATCCTTAGAAAGGCTGACTGCAGTGGAGAAGATGTAGTCAGGCATTTAGGATGAGTGCCATTTTCAGTTCCTTGTTGCTGCTTGCTCATCTTTAGTTTTCATGCTATCTTGTCTTGATGTTTAACTTAAAAGTTGCTGGAAGTACTCAACCCATTATGCTTTTTGGGATGGTGGTGACAGGAGTGAGAAGAGACTGTGAGCTAGGTGTGAAAACTGTTAATGGGTATGATATGGGGATAGTGACCTAAATATAAATAGCATAATCCCAAAAGAGACAGAGACTTGTCGGGGATAGTGTGTGGAAAAGGGATTATTAGAGAGTCAGGAAAACAGCAACCGTGGGATATGAAGGACATTGGAAATTGAATGGTTTCTACATTGAAAGGGATGGAAGAGAAATGATGTTAGGGGAGAGGAGGCTTAAAAGTGTTGTTTTAACAAGTTTGCCCATGTTAAGTATCAGCTATTCTGCTTAAGTTGTTAGGTAGACTGTACTTTGAGGGCAAGTACCCCCCCCCATCCTATTTCTGTTGTATTTTTTAGTGATATTCTTCTGTTACTAAGTGAATAAATGAAGGAGGACCTGTTCATTTATCTTTGTGTCTCCTCTTTGCATGTGGTTGGCACTCAGTTGTCTGTTGAAATGAATCTTTGAGAATACTACCAGCAGTCAAAATGGAAACCACCTTGGTTCATAGCCACAAATAGCTGAGATCCATTTTTTTTTTCTCTGTGTGGGGTAATACCTCTCCCTACTCGAGTTAATTACTAAATCTGACAACCATTTAAAAACACAGGTGATTATCGGGCTATATGCTTCTGTTTTTTTGAGATTGAAGTCTGTCTGTCGGCTTAGAACCAGATCATGTTATCTTGAGAAACCATGGTGGTTTTTTCCATCGTACTCGAGAACAAAAATACTGGTAGCTTTGTTGTCATGCTTTGTGTATGTTTTCCTGATTAATTCTGTCAGTGTGCCTGTTACTAAGTTTAACCATGATACTAATGCTATAATAATAGCTTTTAATGTATATCTTAACCATTGGGAATAGTATACTTTACAAACGATAAGTCATAGTGGTGTTTTTCTGTGGTGTACTGTCATTTTTCTTTCTGCATTCCTTTCCAACCAGTAAGTAAAAAGCTATCATTTTTCATAGTAGTATTTTGTACTGATTGAGAAATCCTGATTTTTCTAAGTCATACTATTTTAAGACCAGTTTAAAAGCATATTTGAACTAAGAATGCCTTTTTTAAAAATGTCAAATTTTATGTGATTTTTAAAATAGTATTTGCTTCAACACGTAGCAAATTATCTTTATGTATGAAATTGTGAAAGTGTATTGTCCTAACACCTGTTCTGTGTTCCTTCTTTGAACTTTGTAACTTTTCCGTAGTGCTATTTATTGTATTCTACTTTGTATTGAGGTCATTTGAATGCTAATATTAGGCTCCCCCTTCTCCCCTCTCCCTCAGAGATTATAAAGTGGCTGAAAGTGTCTTGTATCCCCCATAGTGCCAAGCACCCTGTTTTGCCTGCTGGAAGCAAACATAAATACATGAATTGTCAGTCTGGGGAAATACTTTGTATACTTTTGAATGAGTGGTTGATATCTGATAATAGGACCTGATTTCTTTAAGAGCTTCATTTTGGACACTTAAAGCAAAGAGTAAGAATGGGGAATATTTCCACTGAGAATGAATTTGATTTTGAAATTGAGAATAGTGTGCTTTTTGTGAAATGCTGTTAAGTTACATTACTATGTACGTTAGAAAATTACTTAATGAGGAATCTTCTGGCAGCAATGGAGAAAATTTTTTCCCTACAGTGGCTATCTTACTGTTTTTTTAAGGATACTGGTATAATTTTTCTGATCACTATTGCCATCTTAATTATTAAAGTTAATTAAAAATAATGAGAATAACACAGTCTACTGTATGAAAAGGATAGTGAATTTTATATTATTCAGGAATCTCATCATTAGTTAATTCTTGGAAAGTTTAAAATACCTACAAAACTTAAAATTAATTATCTTGGCCTTAGTAGAAGCTTGTTTGAGATACAGAAATCTTAAGATTGCTATATGTATTATAACAGCAACATCTGTTAACCAAATTTATATTAGTTGTACAAATAATTGGAGTTTGACTGCATTAAGAATTCCTCAAAATATGAGGTAAGAGTTCCTTCCAGTCATTCAGAAATTCTATCCTTTAGAGGAAAGGAAAGCAAGTGTCCTTATTCCTGACCTGCCCCTATTTTTGTATATGACTTCTGTAAAAATAGCAGAACATTGCAGTGTTTCTTTTTAACCTTTTAGATCAGGAATTCTCAGGGTGAGGGAAAGAGCCATGAAGCTTTTTTCTCAAACAGTTCTGTCAGCTGTCCTCTATACCTTATGGCTTGTCTCCCATTGGGATTCACTTTATCTAGTAAGCCACTTTTATTGATAGGTTTGTGTCATACCACTGTGGTATGATAAGGTGGAAAAATTTTGAAATCTTTAAGAATTATTTAATGGCATTCCTTGGAAGACTAAAATTCATGTAACTGGCAAAATTTATAAAGTGACAAACCCCTAGACCACATGTGATTAATGCAGGACTGAAAAAAGTATGTTTTAAGTGGAAATTTAAATGCTATTTTTATTTTTATTTTTTAACTTTTTTTGTATATGTAAGAATGTTTTTGTAACATTACTTATAATGGTAAAAAACTAAAAGCAACTTATCCATCGTTAATAAAGTGATTGAAGAAGTTATGGCATTAAGTGCTATTTTTGTAGGTCATAGTAAATGTTGCATGCTTTTGTATTATGCTGTCTTTAACAGATGAAACAGGCAACATGTTTTGGAATTTAGAGCCAGAAAGATAGCAGGCATCCAGTGGCTGTCAATTATTTTAAAATAGAAGCCCCAATTTAAAAAATCATACAAAACTATTATAAATCATATTTAATAAGGGGAAATGAAGTCTTTTCTGCAGTGGTGCTAAGTAAGGCATTGCAGTGGAACATGATGTCATTGATCTAATCAACCATAGTCACATCACAGGTAAAGAGGTGCTACAGACTAGATAGGTTAGGTGACTTGCTCAGAGCCCTTAGTTAGTGACTTCCCTGGGCAGTTGTCTGCAAAGAGGTTGAGTATCCCTAATCCAAAAATCCAAAATCTGAAACTTTTTTCTTTTTTTTTTTGAAATGGGAGGGGTCTCACTCTGTCACCCTAGCTGGAGTGTAGTGGCATGATCTCGGCTCACTGCAGCTTCCACCTCCTGGGCTTAAGTGATCCTCCCACCTCAGCCTCCTGAATAGCTGGGACTACAGGCACACACCACCACCCCCAGCTAATTGTTTATATTTTTGGTGGAGATGAGGTTTTGCCATGTTGTCCAGGCTGGTCTTGAATTCCTGAGCTCAAGCCATTGTGCCCACGTCAACCTCACAGAGTGCTGGGATTATAGGCATTGAGCCGCCACACCAGGCCAAAATCCGAAACTTTTTGAGTGCTGAGATGATGCTTTAAGGAAATGCTCATTGGAGCATCTCAGATTTTGGATTTTCGGATTAAGGATGCTTACCTGGTAAGTATTATATTCCAAAATCTGAAAAAACCGAAAATCTGAAAAAATCAAAAATCTGAAACACGAGTGGCCTCCAAGTGTTTTGGATAAGTGATATTCAACCTTAGCAGATTTTTATTATCTTAGCTTCTGGGTGAATGTTAAAATACTATAGATTTATAGAATGACATACCTTTGAGTTATTGTACCTCTGTGATACTTTTTAATGTCCTGGTATAATTAGGATGTGCTCCATGTTATTATGTCTCATTTTATGTTTTTAATACATGATTAGTATTTTTTTGATGGACAGTAATGCCAAGTATAAATTTCTGTACTTTGGGGATTTGTCTATATTTGGACCTAATGTTGTCCTGAATTTGGAGACTTGTTTACCAAGGAAGTCCTCAATTTTCAGTATTCCATATCATCATTGATTATGTGACTCTGTTTTAGTTTCAATGAACTTTAGAATTAAAGTTTTTAATTTGTTTTAGCTGATGATTTCTTTGTTTTACCTAGACATTTAATTAGGATTGGCTGGCTGGGATTTTGCCCCAGGCATTGAAATGTAGAGTGTGAAAAAATTTTAATTAATGATTAAAAACAATTATGTGTGTTGTGGGGTATGGGAGAACTGTGCACATTATGTCCTTCAGCTCTCCAGCTAGCCCAAGAGCTGCTGGCCCAGTATTGCTTCCTTGTCAATCCATGGAGATATTTGGGAATGAAAACTCAAGGGCAAAGTTTGGAAGCCTGTAGCTCCTGGTCATTCCTGCTGTTGTCTCCTGTCATCCTCCTTTCCAGCTCCTTTTGTTTCTCTTTACCAGTAATTTGACTGACTTGAGGATGTGTATATTGCAGCTTGGACATTAATTTATCATTAAGCAGGTTTTATTATACAGTTGAAAAATAGGCCAGACACGGTGACTCATGCGTATAATCCCAACACTTTGGGAGGCCAACGTGGAAGGATCACTTTGAGGCCAGGACTTCGAGACCAGCTTGGGCAAAACAGTAAGACCCCTTACCTACACACGCATGCGCGCGCGCACACACACACACACGCACACGCACACAGCCAGAAGTGCTGGCACACACACACACATACACACACACACACACACAAAAAGCCAGAAGTGCTGGCGCGTGCTGCTGAAGTCCTAGCTACTTGGGAGGCTCAGGTGGGAGCATCACTTGTGCCCAGGAGCTTGAGGCTGCAGTGAGCTATAATTGTGTCACTGTACTCCAGCCTGGGTGAAAGAGTGACACCCTGTTTCTTAAAAAAAGAAAAAGGTTTCCTTTTGACAGTAATTCCACTTTAATCTTTGCTAAGGATTTAATTTTTAAAAATGCGAGAAAAGCTATATCCACAGAAACAAAGAATAGTGGTCAAGTTTGAATTGTTGCAGAGTGGTTCATAAGGTTGATATACTCAAATTGTTTAACAATTCTTTCATTGTTTGGAATTAAAATTGCTTTTATGAATAAAGCTTGTGGCATCATAGCTTATGTTTATGATAAAATAATAAGGAAACAGGGCCCAATTTTCAAATAATAATTCAAATTTTTAAAAATTAGTGTATAATAAAATTGGCCTTTATTTTCATATATCTCTGAATTTCAGCACACATAAAGATTCATGTAACCACTGTCACACTTGATATAGAACAGTTGCTTGACCCCAGTAAACTCCCTCTGTTATCCCTTTATAGTTCTCTTAACCCCTAGTTCCTGACAACCACTGATCTGCTATCTTAACACTATAGTTTTGGATTTTTTTTTTCAAGAATGTCATATAATTGGAATTATAGTTTGTAATCTTTTGAGTCTGGTTTCTTTCATTCAGCATAATTATTTTGAGATTGATCCAAACTATTCTATCAATAATTTGTTCCCTTTTATGGCTGATACTCTATTGTATGAATGTACCACAGTTTGCTTATTCATTTACCTGTATACTTGTTGAAAGACATTTTGTGGTTGTGAGTAGAGCTGCTATGAACATTTGTGTGTGATTTTTGTGTGAATGTAAGTTTTCATTTCTCTGTTAAATACATAGAAGTAGGGTTGCTGGGTCACGTGATGTTATTTAACTTCCTAAGAACTGCCAAACTGTTTTCTGGTAAGGCTGTACCATTTTGTTTATGGTAGTTCTAGTTGTTGCAAATCTTTGTCAGCAGTTGATACTGTCAGCATCTTTTGTTTTAGCCATTCTGATGGGTGTGTAGGGGTTTCTCATGGTTTTAATTAGCTTTTCCCTAATGACTTACATTGTTGAACATCTGTTCATGTACAAAATTGCCATCTGTATATCCTCTTTGGTGAAGTGTCTGTTCAAGTCTTTTGCTCATTTTTAAATTATTTGCTGTCATTGCTAAGTTCTAAGAGTTTTTTTTTTTTTAATATGTTCTGGATACAGTCATTTGGTTTTTCTCCTATTCTGTAGCTTCTCTCTGTTACTGTCTCAGTGGTGTCTACAGAACAAAAGTTTTTAATTTCAGTAGAGTCCAGTTTAGCATTTTTTCTTTTATAAATTATGCTTTTGGTATCATTTGCTTAAAATTATCAGATGACATTTTCTTCTTACACTTTATTGTAATCTGACCTTTTTCTTTGGATTACTATGGTGCATTGGACATGATATGATACAGCTAGGTATTTTTCTTCTAAACCAAAGGTTAATATTAAATGTTAATCAGTGGCATTAAAAAAGCAGGGCTCTTCTCACTCATAAGTGGGAGCTGAACATTGAGAACACGTGGACACAGAAGAGAACAACACACACCAGGGCCTGTTGGAGGATGGGAGGTGAGGGGAGGGAACTTAGAGGATGAGTCAATAGGTGCAGCAAACCACCATGGCACACATATACCTATGTAACAAACCTGCACGTTCTGCACGTGGATCCTGTGTGGGTTTTTTTGTTTGTTTTTTAGAAGAAAAAAGCAGGACTCAGAATTGCATAAATACTATTATTACAATAATATAAAAACATACTCATGTTGAAGAAGTTCTGCAAAGGGAAGAGACAGAAATGGCTAGTGTGGGAGCCAGTGGTTTCCTAGTCCTGGATGTTATATCAGAGTCACCTGGGTAGATACTTTAAAATTAGGGTTGTCTTTTGATCTTGTGTGGTCCCCAAATATTTCTTCTTCTTTCTTCTTTCTTTCTTCTTCCTCCTTCCTCTTCCTTCTTCCCTCCCTCCCTTTTTTTTTTAAATATAAAGTTTGGTTTTTAGAGCCGTTTTCAGAATAACACCAAAATTCAGTGGAGAGGCTGGACACAGTGTAATCCCAGCACCTTGGGAGGCCGAGGCGAGTGGATCACTTGAGGTCAGGAGTTCAGGACCAGCCTGGCTAACAAGGTGAAACCGTTGTCTCTACTAAAAATACAAAAATTAGCCAGGTGTGGTGGCGCACACCTGTAATCCCATCTACTTGTGAGGCTGAGCCAGAATAATGGCTTAAACCTGGGAGACAGAGGTTGCAGTGAGCCAAGATTGCGCCACTGGACCCCAGCCTGGGCAACAGAGCGATACTCCATCTAAAAAAAAAAAAAAAAGGTGGAGGATGGAAGGTACTAAGATTTCCCAAATACACCCCTGCCCCAACATATGCACAGCCTCCCCCCCTGTATGCACATCCACACCAGAGTGGTACATTTATTACAATTGATGAACCTACATTGACACGTCATCACTCCAAGTCCATAGTTTACATGAGGGCTCACTTTTGGAATGAACTCAGTCTATGGTTTTGGACATATATTCACTAGTATAGTATTGTACAGAATAGTTTCACTGCCCTGTGAATCCTGTGCTCTGCCTACTTACATACCTATTTTTTTTTTTTTGCTCTCTCTTTAGTTTTGCCTTTTCCAGAATGTCATATAGTTGGATCATACAGTATATACCCTTTTCAGATTAGCTTATTTCACTTTGTAATATGCGTTTAAGTTATCTCTATATCTCTTCATGGCTTAATAGCTCATTTCTTTTTAGTGCTGAGTAATATTCCATTTTCTAAATGTAGTACAATTTATTAATCCACTCATCTGCAGAAGAACGTCTTGGTTTCTTCCAAGTTGTGGCAATTATGAATGAAGTTGCTTTAAACACTTGTGTGTGGGGTTTTGTGTGGACGTAAGTTTTCAGCTCATTTAAGAAAAAACTCAGGAGTGTGATTGCCAGATTATATGGTAAGAGTATGTCTGGTTTCGTTAGAAACTGCCAAACTGCCTTCCAAAGTGACTGTACCATGTTACATTCCCACTGGCAGTGTATGAGATACTCTTTTGCTCTGCGTCCTTGCTAGCATTTGGTATTGTCAATGTTTTGGCCATTCTCAAAGGTATGTAATGGTATCAGATTGGTGTTTTAATCTGCAGTGTCCTAATGACCTATGATCTCCTCAAATGCTTACTTGCCATCTGTATATCTTCTTTGGTTAGGTGTCTGTCAAGATCTTTTGCCTTTTTAAAAATTGAGTTACTTTCTAAGTTTTAAGAATTCTTTATATATTTTGGATAATAGTTCTTTATTAGCTTTGTCTTTTGCAAATACTTTCTCCCAGTCTGTGGCTTGTTTTCTCATTCTCTTCACTGAAGTCTTATTTATTTTTAGAGATAGGATCTTGCTGTGTTGCCCAGGCTTGCCTCAAACTCCTGGGATCAAACAATCCTACCCCCTCAGCCTCGTGAGTAGCTGAGACCACGGACACACTACTGCATCGTACTTAAAATCTGTTTGTAAAAGCTCTTCGGGTGACTCTAATTTTCTGCCTGATTTGTGATCCACTGTGTTGAGCTTTCTCTTTCTTCCTTTGCAAAGCTAGTACCAGGCACAGCCATCAGTTCTCCATTACTTGCACTTCATCTTTTTTGTCACAGCTGGTCCCATCCTGCTCTCAATTTCTCTGGTGTTGCTACTTGTTCTTCCATGTCTCTCCCCTCAAATTCCAACTCTTTATCTGTGTAATTTTAGTATAGGTTTTCTTTAATTATCTGTTCATACTTAATCCATAGGCTGTTTTGGTTCTGGTACTACCTGTACAGCAGGGTTCCCTCCCATTTGCCTTGCTGGTGCAGAAAGTAGGTGATTGTGTTAGGCCATGAGATTAACAATGTTATCCCTCCCACCATATTTCCCATGCTTGCTTTCTTTTTCAATTTTTTTATAAGATGTTAATAATTTGTAAAATAAAGATCCTTTTTTCACTTAATGTGTAGTTTATGTGCCAACTTAACCATCTTTTTAAAAGCCTATTTTAATCTTCATAATCTTCATCTCATTCCTACCATTTTATTGTGTATGTTTGAATAAATAATCTGTTCACTTTCAACTAATTTTCTACAGAAATGTTGGAGGAAAAATTTTTTGTTCATAGAGTAATCTGAATAAGAAGACATTGCAGCAGTGTATCTAAGGCATTCATTTTACTTCTTTCAGTCATGAGTTTGTGTGTGTGTGTATGCATAATTGAAAAATAAACAAAATTAGCTCTTAATTGTAGCTATTTTCTGCTAGTAAAATTCACCGTTATTGGTCAGGATAATTTTTTGAGGTATGATGCAAACAAGGCAATTATGACACATTGTACTAGGAGATCACGTTTTATTTTGCTGAAAGGCAGGTATAAATATGATGACAAATATGTAAATACTTGATATATTTTTTTATAAAATGTACAAATCAGTGATTTGAAAGAACATGCCTTATTTTGTAACATTAACTTTTTATTTAATTGGTCAATTTTTTATTCATTCAACAAATATGCAGGCACATTTACGTGTTCCAAATTCAGGGTGATTTTAATGTAGTTAACATTTAACTTAATTTTATAATATAGCGGTATGTAGAAGTTCATATAAGTCCTTAAGAATAATTAATGGGCTTGATATTCTGATGTTTGAAATACGTATTTTTTTTGTATGTAGCGTAGATTGCTCTTGCATTGTCATGATTTTAATTTAATTGCTACTCTTCAGTAAAGGAATATGAAGCTTGGTGTAAAATTTTGAAAATAAGCACGTTTTCAGCTTGCTGGGTTTTTGTTGGGATTTGTATCTGACAAGTGCTAGATTTAATGAGTTGAAACAAATGATACATTATTCATTTTGTATAAGTATTTCCATTAACTAACTTGATATAGTTAACATTTTTGGAGGAATTTCTGGGTGATGTAACTTGAAGTCATGGAGCTTAGTCTTGTGAACAAAAGATTAAATATATGATAAAATTCTAAATTATGTGGTACAGGCCTAGTGATTTTTATACTGTATATTTAGTAGACTAGATATATTGTCTCATCATTAAATCTAATAACCTCGTTTTCCCCAATATGTAGGAAAAGATTCTGTTTTCTTAGTTTGAATTTATTCTTCCACAGTGTGTTGTGTGTATTTTCTTTGGCACTTTTAGCCACTTGTTCATATTAGATCTGATACAGAATGGCATTTTATTTATGTGTATTTATAATTGTTTTAGAGGTGTCTATATATCTCAACATACATTAAATAGTTGATGTTTCTCAGAAAGCACCATGACTTCAGCTTTTTCCCAATCTGAAAAAGCATAACCACTATTAGAAATTCTCTATGGTAAAGGATATTTGGAGATAAAAAAGTTTTGTTTAGTGTAGAGTTATTGAGAGTTTAGCTGGATTATGGAAGGTTGGTTGGATTTGAATAACTGTAGAAGTTGGCAGTATAGTCCCAAAGTGTTACAGGAACTTGGAGACAAACACACGACGACTTTGTGATAAAACAAGAACCAGAGTCTAGATTCTGTTTCTGAGTGAAATGGTCTTTCTTTTGGGCAGATAGCATAGCAGGAAAGAGTAGTGGTCAATAACATTTTATCAGAGAGGATGGTACTAAGCTTGTGGACTGTGGAAAGGAATTTTTGAAGTCTTGAATAGTCTTTTATTAGGGTTGGATTGGAAAGACATTTCAGGCTCAAGGGAACTTTATGTGCAAAAGCAGGTAATCCTGAAAGTGCTTATGTTGGAGGTGAATCATGGCATTGGAGGGCAGGGATATGAAATAAATGGTGTTATATATACCAAGCACTATTCTAGGTGTGGGATATACACATGGAAAAGATAGAAATCCTGCCACCATGGAGACATTTACATTTTAGTGGAAGAAACAATAAACAAATAAACTAATATAGTAGGTAATGATGAATGCTATGACAAAAAACAAATTGTATGGTGAAGAAGTAGAGCTAGGCTTTCTTTGAAGTAATTGGTTGGGAAAGACTTCTCCAGAGATGAAATTTGAGCAAAATAAAGTGAGTGGGACGAGCCATGTGAATTGAGGCAGAAGGAATGGCAGAGCACAGTTGCTGTATTTAGTAAAGAGGCCATTGTAGCTGAAGTGTACTGAGTAGTTTATTATAGAGTGTTTACGGAGTACTAAGCACTGTTTTAAGTGTATTGCTAGCGTTAATTCAGTTCTTAAAACAATCCTACAAGAAGAATGCTATTTCACATATAAGGAAACTGAGGCACAGAGGTTAAATATTTATCCCAGGTCACCCAGTTTGTTAGGGAGCTGGGATTGGAGCCCAGGTAATTGACTCCAAAATCAGTATTCTCAACCATTATTCAAAGTTGGGGAAGGGAAGGTGTAGTAGGAAATTCAGCAGTAGCATGAAGCCAGTCTTACAGGCCCTTGTAACTTACTATAAGAATATAGGATTTTACTCTGACAATGATGTCAAGTCACTGGAGGGTTGGGAAATACCTAGGAAGTTGATTTATGTTCTGGAGATCAGAAGAGGAGTCTGTACTATACATATACATTTGATACTCTTCTGTGTATAGGTTATAGCTTAAAATATTTCTACTAGCCTATAACATTTCTTTGATTTAAATTAAAGATTCCACTTCATTATTTTATTAAACAGATATGTGCATGCCTGTATATACGAGTGTGTGGATGTGTGTGTGCAAACTAATGAACTCTTCTGTTACTAGGTGCGAGAAGATGTACTAAATTCATTGAATAACAACTTTCTTCAAACGCTAAATCAAGCTTGGAATGATCATCAAACAGCTATGGTGATGATTAGAGACATACTAATGTACATGGTAAGTAGAGCTTTTTAAATGTTTTCTTCCTTTAAGCAGTTAAGCATTTGAAGTTGAAGGCTGGGCACGGTGGCTCACGCCTGTAATCCCAGCACTTTGGGAGGCCAAGGTGGGCATATCATTTAAGGTCAGGACATTGAGACCAGCCTGGCCAGCGTGGCAAAACCCTGTCTCTACTAAAAATACAAAAATTAGGTGCAGTGGTGGGCACCTGTAATCCCAGCTACTTGGGAGGCTGAGGCAGGAGAATCGCTTGAACCGGGGGGTGAGCCAAGATCGTGCCACTGCACTCTCACTTGGGCAACAGAGTGAAACTCCGTCTCAAAAAGAAATTAAACATTTCAAAACACAATGACTTTCTGTCTAACTTAGTTATAGTACGTCTCAGTGTGGAAGGTGGTTTTTGTTTTTTAAATGAACAGTACTTTCTTTGTAAGGGCCAACCGAAGCCTATGTGAATAAAAATCTTTATTTATTTATTTATTTATTTATTTATTTATTTATTTATTTATTTATTTATTTATTTTGAGACGGGGTCTCGCTCTGTTCCCCAGGCTGGAGTGCAGTGGCATGATCTCGGCTCACTGCAAGCTCTGCCTCCCGGGTTCACGCCATTCTCCTGCCTTAGCCTCCTGATGAGCTGGGACTACAGGTGCCCGTCACCACGCCCGGCTATTTTTATTTTTATTTTTATTTTATTTTTCTTTTTAGTAGAGACGGGGTTTCACCACATTAGCCAGGATGGTCTCTATCTCCTGACCTGGTGATCTGCCCACCTCGGCCTCCCAAAGTGCTGGGATTACAGGCGTGAGCCACTGTGCCCGGCCATGAATAAAAATCTTAATTGTTCACATACTTAGTGAATGCTTAGAATGAGAAACTGAAAGGGAATGATTTAATTTTTTTCTTAGTATTTAGCACTTGTCCTTTAAAATGGAAAATATGGAAAAAACCATATTAACATCTCCTTAAGAGTTGTTAAATGACAATGAGAAACAAAAGCTGAATATTCTCTTACAAGTTTTTAAATCCTTAATTCTTACATCTTCAGTGAGAGAGGATGTCATATTAATACAATTATTTTTTCTGATAATCATACACTCATAGCTGCCATCTATTTTTCTTAATAGTATATTATTGCAGTGCAATATTGCAGCTAGTCTTGTTTAAGGATATTAGCTTCTTCACATGTATATTCCATTTTTCACCGGCTATTGCTGTATTTTGTTTTCATCAGTCAAGAAAAAAATCCTGTTCAGCAAGATCATTTGGAAAACACTGACTTTGATCTCAGCTGTTTAATAACTTTCAGAGAGATTAAATTCCAGTTAAAAAAAATTTGGTGCTATAGAATGACGCTAGATTCATTAAGTTTAATTACTGTATCACTCCAAAATTAATAAGTTAATGACTTGTTTTACATCAGTGTTTATGTTTGTGTATTGGATATAATTATTTTTCCCAAAGTTTTACCTTTTTATATTTTTGTTTCTAGTTTTTTTAGTTTTAATGTAGTGATGAGAGCTTGTCCTAGTTTCTTTTACTTGGTAGAATAAAGCAATGTTTGGGAAGAATTTCCAATGAGAACAAACAGCTGTAAAGTTTTTTGTTCTGCTCTGTGAATTCAGTCAGGCCTATTACCCCTGGTTTTGTAAGGGCTTAGTGGCAAGGGGGTCAGGGAGAGGCCACTTCACTTTTAAGGGATTTGATAAAAGGTATAACAAATTATTTAGCTTTTCTGAGCATTATTTTTCTCATCCGGTTATAAATTAACCTTGTGTTATCATTTTGAAGTTAAATGAGATGGTATGTGACAACATATATTATCTGGCATATAAATTTGAAATAAGTTAGCTTGTTGTTTTCGAAGTTCTAGATATGGTGAGTCTTTAAATCGCATCCTAACTATCTAACATTAAGATAGAAAACCACTTGTAATCTTACGGTTTATTCTTTTGACAAAAGAAGAACTTTAAAATTTTATACACACGCAGACTCTGATGTTATTTTTAAAGTGTGTTTTGTTTCAGTCCTCCTCCTCCCTTTTTTTCTTTCTTTTTTCTTTTTTTTTGCAACAAAATCTCAAACCTTGAATTCTGACTCTACACATGGTCAAGAAGTTAATTAGTTCACCCCTCAGGTTCCTCATCTATAAAATGAAAATAATATTGGGTAGAGTAGTCATGAGGCTTCAGTGGAACAATTCATGTAAACCACTTGTAGGGCTTGGCCCATAGTAACATGCTCATTAGAGATTAACTGGTATTATTTCTTGTCCCTTCATCTTTTCATCAAACCCATTCGGTAGTACCACAGTGCTGCATGAACTGAAAATTCATACAGGGTAGATTGATGCCACTGTTTCACTGTTTGTCGCATCACAGACCTGTGGTCAACCCTTCACACTGCCCAGCAGTTTCACTCTTTTTCTTTAGTCAGCTTGCTCCAGCAGTTATTTCTCTTCAGACCTCCATCTCTCCCTTGGGTTTCCTCCCTTGTAGTAAATGATCTTACTTTCTATTTCTCAGAGAAAAGAGAAAGCATCAGGTAGGAACTATGCTCATTTTTTGCCGCTAAATCTAGAACTTTACTTGTATTTTCTCCCCTTTTATGTTTTTCTTTTTCCCTCCTCTTTTAGTGGAGGGTGGTGTCCTCTTCTGTCAGGCCACATCTCAACCTGTGCTATGGGTCAATCCCTTTCTACCTTGTCATGAACCTTAAGTATTTTAGGGTTCTACCTTTCATATTGGATCTTACTCAACCAGCATTAAACATGTTCAAGCCACTCACTCAATCCTCAGAATACAATTCTGTTAAATTCTCTGGTGAACCCCTGCACTGTCTCCCAGGATCTGTCGTGTGTCATTCATAACTAAATGTGTTGTAAGAAATGTTGACATTTGCCATCTTCCTTTTCTCATCTTTCATACACTTTGAATACATTACAGTTAAGCTTCTACCTCAACTATTATGTTAAGTTTTGCCCTTACTAGTATCACCATGGTATCTTTTCATCTCAGAATAGAGAGACTGCTAATCCCCATTCTCCTTGTTTTTTTTTTTTTTTAAGCAGCATTTGCCACAGTTGGTCATTCCTTCGTTCTTCTAACATGTTTCCTTGATTTCTGTAACAAAGAACTCTCTTTGTATGCCTCCTACCTACCTTCTTACTGTTTCTTAGCCTCTCCTCCTCCTTCAATGACTACTAACTGCCCCCACCATCCCCCCTTAAATAGAGGCATTCTTGGGGTTTAGTCCTAGTTGTTCTTCTCATGGTACACTCTCTTCACCTTATGTAGCTTCATGTGCCTCTGTGCAGATGATTCCCAAATTGTGTCTCTAGCTTCATTTCCTGAGATTCAGACTCATATATGCATTTGTCTAGTTAATGGAGCCTTCATTCTCTGAAGTACTTCAAACTTGGCATGTCCAAATGAGCTCATAATCACTATCATTCAGTTGATAATCACTATCATACTGAAACCTGAGAATTATTCTTATAAGTTCTTTTTTTCTCCCTACATCATCTGTTGCTAGACTCTCCAGTTTTCTCTTTATTGTCTGTTACTCAACATCAAACCACCTTCATTTCTCTCTTGAAATATTCAGTGTTGCTAGTCTTACAGTGTTCACTGGGCTCTTCTCTGTTTTCCATATTGCTCCCAGGATTACTATTTTAAAGCCAAATCTGATCATGTCACTGCCCTGTTGAAATCCTTATCTCTCATCTTGGAATTCTTTTACATATCTTCTGTCTGGAAATGTTTCTAGAATTTTTTTTTTCTTTAATGTCACTTGCTCTACTTATTCTTTATGTCTTACCTTATATTTCTGGTAAGCTTTCCCTGACCCACGTACTCCCCACTGGCTGCAGTTGCTCTCATTGTACCTAGTACTATTCCTTTGCAACATTTATCACAGTCATTAACCAACTATTCAGTGTGTAGTTTGCCCAGTGGAGTGTATGAGGATGGAAACAGTGTTTGTGTACTATTATGTCTTTAATACCTACCACAGCTCCTTGTACAAACTAGGCACTTACATATATCTTTAATGAGTTGGTGCAGAGTTATATTGTATGTTTTTTTTTTTAAATAAACTACACTTTTTAAAAATGCTTATTAAAAATATGCTATTTTAGGCCAGGCACAGTGGCTCACCCCTGTAATTCCAGTACTTGGGGAGGCCTAGGTGGGTGGATTACTTGAGGCCAGGAATTTGAGACCAGCCTGGCCAGTGTGGTGAAACCCCATCTCTACTAAAAACACAAAAAATTTGCTAGGTGTGGTGGTGCGTGCCTATGATGCCAGCTACTCGGAGGCTGAGGCAGGAGAATTGCTTGAACTTGGGAGGCAGAGGTTGCAGGAAGCCAAGATCATGCCACTGCACTCTAGCCTGGATGACAGAGTAAGACTCTTATCTCAAAAAAAAAAAAAAAAGGCTATTTTAGGTTCAAAAAGAAAGTGTTGATACCTTCATGTTCTACAAGATAAATTTTTTAAATTTTCATATCCTTCATTTACTTACATTGCCTTTTTATGTGTAGTGTTCTAGGCTTAATTAAAATCTACTTAAAAGTACATTTTTATGGGGTTTTTTTGTTTGTTTGGTTTTGTTTTTTGAGACAGGGTCTTGCTCTGTCGCCCAGGCTGGAGTCCAGTGGTGCTGTCTTTGCTCACTGCAGCCTCCGCCTCCTGGGTTGAAGTGATCCTCCTGCCTCAGCCTCCTGAGTAGTTAGGACTACAGGTGCATGCCACCACACCTGGCTAATTTTTGTATTTTTGGTAGAGATGGGGTTTCGCCATGTTGGCCAGGCTGGTCTCGAACTCCTGGGCTCAAGTGATCTACCCGCCTCAGCCTCCCAAAGTGTTGGGCTTACAGGCATGAGCCACTGTGCCCAACCAAAAGTGCATTTTAAAATTAAGGTAAAATTTAATGTATGTTGAAATGAACTAAAGTGTACAAAATGATTTTTGACAAACATATGCACCTCTCTAACCGATACCTCATTTAAGATAAAATATGCTTTTAATTTTTCAGAAATCAAAAAAGTTTTTCTCTGTGGACATCTCCACTTTTTTTTTTGTAAGACTTTTACCCTCAACCTAGACTCTTAGGTTATATTACCAACTATGCAGGTTTCTTGTGGTTACTGGCTCTAACTATTGGGATTTCAGATCTTAGGCCCAGAGCAGGAGGAGAGAAGAAACTTCACTGTCTGCCCACCTACTACCTAATCAGCTAGCTGACTTTTGTTTTTGTTTTTGTTTTGTTTTGTTTTGTTTTTTTGAGACGGAGTCTCACTCTGTTGCCCAGGCTGGAGTGCAGTGGCGCGATCTTGGCTCACTGCAAGCTCTGCCTTCCGGGTTCACGCCATTCTCCTGCCTCAGCCTCCTGAGTAGTTGGGACTACAGGCGCCTGCCACCACGCCCGGCTAATTTTTTTGTATTTTTACTGGAGACGGGGTTTCACTGTGTTAGCCATCATGGTCTCGATCTCCTGACCTCGTGATCTGCCCGCCTTGGCCTCCCAAAGTGCTAGAATTACAGGTGTGAGCCACAGGCCCGGCCTAGCTGACTTTTACTCTTAACAAGGAGGTGTCTGTGTCTAAAATGTTATGCATTAAACTATGGGACACACTGCCTCTTGAAAATGTAAATAAAGTCACAGGTTACATGGAGGTAACGATTGTTCAAAATTTGTCCCACATAACTTTGTTGTTTGGCAGGTTCGGTGTTGCAAAAATCAACTCTACATCTCTCTTGATGGAACATGTGGCCTCTAGTTTCTGCCACTCCACCCCTTCCTAATGCTTGAGACTTGCATTACCTGTTTGGCTCCTGAAAGCATTAAGAGTTTGTAATCCCTGCTTTACTTACATACGTTAATTTGATTCATTCTTTTTTTTTTCTTTTTGAGAGGGAGTCTCGGAGTACAGTGGCACGATCTCAGCTCACTGCAAGCTCCGCCTCCCGGGTTCATGCCATTCTCCTGCCTCAGCCTCCCAAGTAGCTGGGACTACAGGCACCCACCACCACACCCGGCTAATTTTTTTTTTTTTTTTTTGTATTTTTAGTAGAGATGGGGTTTCACCGTGTTAGCCAGGATGGTCTCAATCTCCTGACCTCGTGATCTGCCTACCTCGGCCTCCCAAAGTACTGGGATTACAGGCGTGAGCCACCACACCCAGCCGATTCATTCTTTTATTAAAGAAATAACTCCATGTTTAGCTTATAAGATAGTTTGGTACTGGTTAATATGTTTCACTTTCAGTTTTAAATTATTCAAATGATTAATGATTGGGAAAAGATTTGACATTACAGAAAATTTGTTATATACGTTATATTACAGCCTGAATTATTGATACAATCCATAAGTATTTATTAATATTTGGTTCATTTTTCTCTTTCAAGCTATGAAAATGAATATAATGTTAAGGGAAAATTATAGATAGTATTCCATAGACTACTCAAGCAATTACAGTTAATGTCAAAGGGAACAAAATGATTTCCTATCTTGATCTTCTGTTAAGAAGGCTAATAGAAGAATTGCTGTGCAAAACTTTATGGAGAATTTCAAAGGTATTTTTGTGTTTCTTCTTGAATTTGTATTTCCAGTCATTTTCACAAACAGCAAAGGTATTCTGAAAGGTATTCTGCAAATACCTTTGCAGCAAAGGTATTTGCAGCAAAGGTGTTCTGCAAATTATTCTGAAAGGAGATTAGAGGGAATAAATTCAAAGGAATGGGGAGAGAGTAACCCAAGAAAGGAGGGTCACTGCTTCTTTGAGCTATTTGGAAAGTCATCAAGGATGGGTAAAGAGATGAAGTGGTGTGTAAAAATAACTTTATGAAGAGGAGAGAAGCTGAGAAACTCTCTTTTGGTATTCTAGTCTCCTTAGTAAGGTAGAAGGTAGGACCATCAGTTTAGGGTGACAGAAGCATGTGAGTTGTTGAGCCCTTAAGGAGTGTGGTAGGCTACTCCCCAGCCCCCTAATCCCGAAATATGTCCATGACTAATCATTGAAACCTGGGAATATTGCCTTTATATGGCAAAAGGGACTTTGCAGATGTGATTATGTTATGGATTTTTAGATGAGATTATCCTGGGCTGTTCCCCTGGGCCTGATGTAATCATACTGGTTCTTACCAGAGAGATGAAAGAGTCAGTCAGAGAAAAAAGGCGATATGATTGTAGAAACAGACTGGAGTGATGGACTTTGAAAATGGAGGCGGGGGCACTAGTCAAAGAAGACAGATGGCCCCTAGAAAAGCAAGGAAATGGGTGCTCCTGAGAGCCTCCATAAGGAGCCAGCCCTGCCAACATCTTTGCTTTAGCCTGCTGAAACTGATTTCAGTTTTCTGAATTCTAGAATATAAGAGAATAGATAAACCACAAATTTGTGGTAATTTTTACAGCAGCAATAAGAAACTAATACAAGGAAAAAAAATGGAATGCTCACTGTGCTGTGATCAACTAGGTGTAAATAAATGGATTATCTATAGTTGTGAGGGGATAATTTAGGTGAGTTGGCACAAATTTTGTATAGTGGAGCCAGTTAGAGTTTGACCTTTTTCCAGGGTACTTAGCCTCAGAGAAGAGTGTTCAAAATAAGGAAAACCCACTGATAGAATTTTCCCTCTTGGGTGTGGGGGAGAATTCTAAGATAGTAGCGTTTTTGAAATGGTTGCTGTGGGTCTGTGCTGTTAAAGGAAGCAAGTGAATCTCATATGGTCCATGAAATAGAAGTATTACGTATTTGGGATCAGCAGACCTAGAGATCTAGTGAGAATGAGAAACGGGATCGTTCAAGTGTAACAAAGTAGGAGAGGTGGGAAGAAAAAGATGATCTTCAATGCCAGAGTTATTTGATGTCTTCTAATGATGAGGTTCAAGGTTTGCTTATATCAATGTGTGGCTGGAGGGAATCTTGATAAAATGCAAGATTAAAATTTAGGCATCTTTAAGGAGTGTGTCAGATTGCTCATTAGTGTGAACGTTGTAGTGCAAATGTTGCTCATGGTGTGAACCAAAGGTAATAGGTGGCAAGGAGCAGAGTTTAGATGAATACTATACGCTATTTGCTAAAGCTACCGTGGAGAATTTGTGTGCCTTTTTGGAGGCCAGAAGATAGGATAAGAACATAGAGATGATGGAGTCTGTGGGTCTGTGTTTTCTCATGTACATTTTGATGATTTTAGCTCTTTAAAAAGTTTGTTCACAATATTCTAGGTTGCACATTTAGAGAATTTTGAAAATAACTATATTCTGGAAAAGCACAGATAGATTAAGAATTTTCCTGGCACCTTCTCTGCTTTCAGAATGATGTACTAGAAGAAACAGGATGCAGTGACTTTTGGGCTATACCTCTTCAACATTTTGACTGACTTTGCTTTTGTAAGAAAGGTCTTTTTAAGACAGGCTTTCCCCATTTGTGCTCTAATTTTTATAGCTATGACTGACCAGTATCCAGTACCCCGGCATCTTTTTATAGTTAGAAGTCACATACTAGGCCTTATGTCAAGGAAACCAGGGCATCATGAAATACTGTAAAGGTTAAGAATGTGCCTGATAATAAGGGTTTCTTCCTTCCTTAAATTCCTGCTGCTTTTTAATTTTATTTTTCTTGCTACTTAAAAATGTTATTTAATATTTTTCAGCCCCTATCTGAAACAGATTAATAGAACAGTAAACTTTTTTTTTTTTTTTTGGAGACTTAGTCTTGCTCTGTCGCCCAGGTTGGAGAATGATAAACTTGATCGCTGTGCCTTGTGAACTGTTTTCTGGGTATATGCAGTGATGATTTTAGCAGTCCATGACATTAAGTTTAGGAAGGCAAGTATTCAGTGTTTACACTGCCTAACATGAAGTAGACCCTGTGGTCAGAAATAGAGCACATTATTTGTTTTTCTTTTCTTTTTTTTTTTTTTTTTTTTTTTTTTGAGACGGAGTCTCCCTCTGTCGCCCAGGCTGGAGTGCAGTGGTGCAATCTCAGCTCACTGCAGCCTTCGCCTCCTGGGTTCAAGCGATTCTTCTGCCTCAGCCTCCCGAGTAGCTGGGATTACAGGCGCCCACCACCACGTCCAGCTAATTTTTTGTATTTTTCTTAAAGACGGGATTCACCACGTTGGCCAGACTGGTCTCGAACTTTCGACCTCAGGTGATCCACCTGCCTTGGCCTTCCAAAGTGCTGGAATTACAGGCATGAGCCACAGCGCCCAGCCCGGAAATACATCACATCTTGATAGAGTAAAGGGAATGAACTTGTATACATAAAGTGGACTCTGACAATGTATATGGGAAGTTTGGAGTAGTGAGAAGAATGTTTAATGTGAATTAAGAAACTAGTTCCTGCTTTGTCATTAATTTGCTCAAGTTATTTACCCTCTCAAGACTCTTGTTTTCTTATCTGTAAAATTATTGGACAAGAGATCTGATTCTTATCTTTTGGGAGTCATAGATCCTTTGGAAAATGGTCATATTTCACGAACTCTCTCCTGGAAGAGGCAGGCATGTGTGCATGCACATACCATAGAACACATACTTTGTGCAGTTTCAAGGGGTTTATGGGTGCCTGAAACCTATCTATGGAATCTGTAAGGATATGTTGATTAGATTATTTTAAATGTTAGAGCCCTTTTAGCTCTTAAGTTTTATACCATCTTAAAACTGAAAGTGAACAGCTAGATGTAGTGTCTGAGGAATTATGATAATGAAGGAAGAAAACAGAGTAGATTAAGTTGATCACAGTTTCTTTAGGAACTCTTCAAGTAGGTTAATATAAGCCTTCCTTGGCTGAGTCTCCCCAACACTGCTACTCAAAAGAGCAAATAATACTTTTACCTTTGGTGCGTGCCAGGCACTGTTTAAGCACTTTATGTATGTTTATTTAATCCTAACAATATTATTATCTTATCATTATTTTTGTTATTTTTAAGCAATACTTTAGGAGATCAATAAAACAAAAAAATTTATTGTGTTTCTTTGAAGGTAAATGTTTTTCCAAATACATAACAACAGATATCATTTATTACATACCTGTATCACTGTGCCACATGTTTTAAATACTTGACCTTAAAGTTGAATGTTATCTCCATTTTTGTGAATGGAAAACTGAGGTTAGAAAGATTAAGAATGAGGTTAGAGAGATTAACCCGCCAAAATCATACATTTACTGAATAACTGGAGTAGAACATTGGATTTAAGCCTTTGAATTTGCAGTGTTTGATTTTTGATTCAAATTTGAATTTAGAAGTTGATTCTAAAGCTCATGGTCTTCACCACTGTGCTCTATCAATCACCTCAGTGCAAAAGAATTACATTAATTGACTGTTTAGTAGAGTTTATGATAAACCCAGAATTTTAAGGTGTATCACTTGTTCCATATATTGAAGCATTTAGTTTGTTTACATTTAAAATAATTACTGATACATTTGGGTTTAAATTTACTGTCCTGTTTTTTTTTTCTGTCTCATCTGTTCTTTATTACTTTCCTCAGCTTTTTTTTTTTGCTTTCTTTAGATTAATAAGTGTATTTTATTACCCCCACCCCCATTAGCTTATTATTTACATGTTATTTTAGTAGTTACCTTAGAGATTATATGCATTAGATTAGTTTTTTGTTTTGTTACTTACCACTTTCTGGGTAGGGCAAAGGTCTTAGAACATTTTGACTTCTTGGGGTTTTTCCCCTTTGGTTTTTATACTTTTGATCCTGGGTTGTTTTTGTTTTGTTTTGTGGGGGAAACGGGCAAGCATGGTGTTTTAAAATTTGAATTCCAGTATTGTTTGTGAAAAATTGTGGAGGCCCTGCATGATACCTTCCTCCAAAGTAAATTTAATTTTGTTCCGGCAGGCAGGTAAAGTACAGTCAGATCACCGTGATCTAGTTGAGGCTAGCTTTTAGTTAGTGTTGGTCTGTTAACAGTTTGCCTTTATTTCCAGGACATACCTATTCACAGAGCATAGTTCCTCTGGGGTCTGAACTGAAAGAAAGCCTGAGGTGTTTGCCAGGTTGCCTTCTGAATTAATGTTCCTAGAATTCTAACAGTTGTCTCTTCAGCACAGATCTTCAGCCTCCCTTTGATAGTTTCTGTTTGGATTCTTGGTGTCATCACCCCTTGCTTAGGGTGCTGTATCAGTAAACATCTCAGTGAAAAATTTCTTGCAGAAATTGCGGCTCTTTGTGTTTCTCTCCTCTTCAGAACCTTGACATCTTAAGTCCTAGCTGCTTGGTAACCAACTCCACTTTTGTCTTTCTGGTTGGGCTCTTATTTCCAGTCCTCCAAAGACAGCAAGTGACTGAAGGGAACCAGTGAAGGCTGGTATGGGGCTCCTCTCAGTATGTTTGCCTTTTCTCCGGAATCTTGGCCCTACAAGTCTAGGTTGCCTTTGTTACTCTTGATGCTTTTAAACACTGGGGGTTTTTGGTTTGTTTTTTTAATTGTGGTCAAATACATATAAAATTTACCATCTTACCCTTAAGTGTGCAGTTCAGAGCTATTAAGTGTACGTTCACATTGTTGTACAGAGCTGTCACCACCATCCTCTCCAGAATTCTTTTCATCTTGCAAAACTGAAATTCTGTACTCACTAAACAGTAACTTTCCATTTTCCCCTCCACCAAGCCTCTGCCAGCTACCATTCTACCTTCTCTGTTTATGATTTGATCACTCATTACCTCATGTAAGTGGAATCATAAGGTGTTTGTCCCTTTGTCACTGGCATATTTCACTTAGCATGTCCTTAAGGTTCATCGTATTACGGCATATGTGAGAGTTTACTTCCTTTCTAAGGCTGCATAATACCGCATTCTATGTGTAGACCACATTTTGTTTATCTGTTCATCTGTTGATGGACACTTGAGTTGTTTTCACCTTTTGGCTACTGTGAATAATGTTGCTGTGAACACGAATGTACAAATACCTCTTCAAGATGTGCTTTCATTTCTTTTGGGTGTATACCCAGAAGTGGAATTAGTGGATCCTATGTTAATTGTTTTTGTAATTTTTGAGGAACTGCTATATTGCTTTCCACAGCAGCTATACTATCTTAGGTTTCCACCAACAGTGCACGAGAGCTCTAATTTTTCCACATTCTTGTCAAAACTTGTTATTTTGTGTTTTGTGTTTTTTTTTTTTATAGTAACTCTTCTAATGGGTATGAGGTGGTAGTTTTTTATTTTCATCCAGCTTTTATAGTTGTTCTTCCAGGGGCGTTGGTCTTACAAAAGCTTTTCTTTCAGTACTAAAGGTGGAATAACATTTTGAGGTAGATGTTATTTTACAGATGAGGCAACTGAGACAGATACTAAGGTCACACCTAGTAAATGGCAGACAAGACTGAAACAGAGGCTATTTGGTTCTTGAATCAGTGCTCTTAACCACTGAATTGTATTGCTTCTCTAATACAGGTCTTCTTTCCTGAAAGATAGTCTTATAAATTCATTGCTCTAAGACCTCAAAGTGTGATTAACTGTTTTTTTTCCCTCTGACCTCTAGATTATTAAATTTGAAGTAGAGAACAGTGTTTTTATTTTATGATTTATTGCAGTTTACACAACTTTAGAGAAACATGGGTTTGATTTGTCCAATATCTTGGTAGACAATTCTTAAATGGAAATTATTTTTAAATAAAAAATTTTCACAACTGTGTTTTTCTTGTTAAAATTTTTCAGACCCCTGAGAAGGATTGTTTTTTTGAGACGGTGTCTCACGCTGTCACCCAGGCTGGAGTGCAGTGGCAGGATCTTGACTCACTGCAAGCTCCGCCTCCCGGGTTCATATCATTCTCCTGCCTCAGCCTCCCAAGTAGCTGGGCTACAGGCTCCCGCCACCACGCCTGGCTAATTTTTTTGTATTTTTTAGTAGAGATGGGGTTTCACTGTGTTAGCCAGGATGGTCTCGATCTCCTGACCTCATGATCCGCCCGCCTCGGCCTCCCAAGAAAGATTTTAAGAAAATTTTTACTGTGGTGGAAACTCTGAGCTTTTTAGTAGTGGCTAAGTCCACCAGGTTTTTTGACACCATATCATATGCTTCTCTACCAAATTTATCAGTAATATTTTTATATCTAGAAATGTTTATCTGTACAATTTACTAATTCATATGTTACTGGTGCTGTTTTAGAAGTGTAGTCAGTTACTGGTATCATGGAAAGTATTGAGAAAGTTCTTTAAACTTCGATCTAATTATAATTAGACTTTTTTTCCCCCACTATGATTCTGCAGTAGAAACTTTTTACTACTTTTCTGCTCATTTAAAATTTTTCTATTTCTGTCTTCATTGTGTTAAACCTTTTTAAATCTGTATTTATTTCATGATTTGAAAGTGAACTCTGAAAATATTTTATTACTTGTTAATAGAGGATTACCTTAGTGATTAAATTTGGTAAGGCAAGTTCTAACATGTTCTGACAGACTTGTCATAGAGTTATTTGCCTCTTTTTTTTTTTTTTTTAATTTTAAATGTGAGTTTAACTTTTCAGGGTTTATCTCTAGCTTACTAGCAGAATAAGTATTTAATATTTATAAAGATTTTTTTAACCCTGTTTACATTTGTCTTTTCGTATTCTCTTTTACAGTAGTAGACAAAAACAGTTACAGATGTTCTTAGTATGAGGATAAGAAACTGAAAGAAGAACTATTTAAGAGTTTGATTAACCAGCTTGACAGTTAGCTTAAAAGACCAACTTTCACAGCAATTCACACATTGTTAAACCTTTTTTTTTTTTCCTAAATAAATAGCTACTGCTGGCCATATGTGGGACCAGGCAGAGGATAGATGAATAAGTACTAATAAATAACTATCCTTGGTCTATTAGGAGTAGTAGTAAAAGTACTGAACTACTTTGAGAGGCCGAGGCGGGTCAGGAGTTAGAGACCAGCCTGGCCCAACATGGTGAAACCCCAACTCTACTGAAAATACAAAAATTAGCCGGGCATGGTGGCACATACCTGTAATCCCAGCTACTAGCGGGGCTGAGGCAGGAGGATCACTTGAACCTGGGAGGCGGAAGTTGCAGTGAACCGAGATCGTGCCACTGCACTCCAGCCTGGGCAACAGAGCGAGACTCTGTCTCAAAAAAAAAAAAAAAGAAGTATGAAACTACTGGACTTTAAAGCAAACATGTTATTAAAAGCTCCCTTAAACTTTGTAATAGAACCAGAGGACTTTTGTATTTATATTTATACTAAGCTTTCAGAGTTGAATGTGACCCAAAGGTTAGTTTTAGAATTTGTTCTCAAACACCTGTTTACTCATAGTTACAAATGAAACATTAGATAGGAATGATAAAATAACAATTTTTAAGTTGTTTCTTTCCTTGGGTGCACCATTGATTTTGCCTAGAACCCATTTATCCTAGCTTGCTTTTCTGTAACATAATGACTATTAAAAATATTTACTAAACTTTTTCTTGCAGGTAAATTAAGTAGTAAGAGTTAAGTTGTTTTTTGGACTTAATTTTCACATTTGTTTTTATTTTAACTTTTTATTTGATTTGTTTGTAATGCCACTCCCTGAGTAATGAAACTATTTAGCGCACTTTAAGAGACACCCCTTGACTTTGCATAGGTTTAGCTTCAATAGGAACTGTATTTTTGCATTGTGTGTCTTGACACCTTTGAGCATACTTTTATGTGCTGAATTTGATTTCTTATACATCATTTAACTATTTAGATATGTTGGTAGGGTGAAGAGGAAGAGGCACATCTTTGCCAAGATGGTGGAAGTAGTAATATCTGTGGTCTTGTAGGGCCAAGCATTTTGTTTGTTGGTGTCCTCGTGTCTTCTGGGCATGCAAAGAGCCCTAGGTCTTGAGTAAGCATTTGCAGGAGTTTTCCATGGAGGTCACCTGGTTGAGCTTTCCTTTTCTTGTGGCTTAGAAAGACTCCATCTCTCTCCAGTCCAACTCCTGGAGACCTGCCTGTCCTAGTTGATGTTTTAAAACTGGTGGTGCTTTTGTATTTTTTTATCCAGCCTTTATAGTTGTTGGCAGGGAAGTTGGTCTTAAAAGCTATTTATTTTCAGGACTAGAAGTGGAAATGAGTGGAATAGCATTGTGAGATAGATGTTATGTTACAAATGAAGTGCTTATGTTACAAATGAAGTTGGTTTATCAAGCTTACTGTATGGATGAAGTCAGATGCAGAACCAGCTGTGAAAAGGGGGGCATGAGGTGGGTCCCCACCATTGGCTCCTGTCTCTCACCACAGGTCCACCTAGCTTGTGAAAGTTTTTGCTCATTGCAGGCCTGCTTGGCCAAGGAATAGCAACCCTTGAGAGAGAACTGTAAATAGAGATTTAAAATGTGGTTTATCTCTGTGGTGATGAAACTCACATCCCTTTATGTAAACATAATGCTTGACTCACATTAGGCTTTCGAACATGTTTTTCAGAACATTTTATATTTAAAATGCCTGTTTTTGGCTTTAAAAAGGCAAGTAGAAAAAGCCACCAACTTTCTATCTCTGCTAAGGTCTCTTTAGTAGATAAGTGACTAATGTCAAACTCATACTACATTTTGGTCACTACATTTTGGTCAAAGCCTGGGATTAAGACATTTTAAAATCAGTCTTTAATTTTTTTTTTTTCTCTTTTGGAATGATTTTTAAAATCTTGTTCATACTTTGAGTTTGCTAGTTAGAGGTAACCGGAGCTGGGACTTTTAAAAAATCTTAAAAAATAGACACATAAAAATTAAAACCTCACAAGAATTTAAATGATATTAGAATCATATCATGTGCATATCACAAGTTTACTGTGAATATATGTGTGCATTTCTGTTTAACATATGCACACAAATACTCAAGGGTTATGCATCTGTACCCTTAATTGTACTTGATGGTAATTAATCATACATGTCAGACATTTAATATAAATGATTATTTAGTATTACTATTAATAGTTTTATAGAGCCACACTTAAGTTTCTGTGTTTCTTCTCCATTTATTAGCTCTTTTTTATCTATAATGAAATTTTAGGGTTATCAAGTTTTTCTTAATATTATATGTCATTTAATTATCATCACACATCTTGACAGTCTCAAGTTGAAAGACAAAGGCTTAGCTCTTACACCACAGTAACCCATGGCTTTAAACATTCTGTGTTCTGCCTACACCTTCCAGCTTCAGGTTGATTTTGTCTCTTACCCGAAATGCTTGTGACCATAAGTGTTTTCAGATTTTGCATTTTGGGGGGATTTTGGAATATTTGCATATACATAATGAGAGATTGTGGGGATGGAACCCATGTGCTAAACATAAAATTCATTTATGTTTTATATACACCTTATATACATAGCCCAAAGGTAATTTTGTACAATATTTTAAGTAATTTGTACATGAAATAAAGTTTTGGCTGCAACCCGATGCATGAGGTCAGTTGTGGAATTTACTTGTGGCATCATGTTGATGCTCAGAGTTTCAGAGTTTGGAGAATTTTAGATGTCAGATTTTTGGATTGGGGTGCTCCAAACTATGTATTCTGATCACATGCCTTGGCTTCCTTTACTGAAGCATCATTTTCCTCTATACACAGCATTCCTGAAGAATTCATCAGTTCTGACTGATGTCTTTCTGCCTTTTTGCCAGAGGGCTTAAGATAGCAGACATTGTAGGCCATAAGGTAATAGATTTACCTCCTTTAGTAGCGATACCATCACTATGCTTAAAGTTGGGACAGGGGAAATCCAAGCCATGGGAGACCGATAGCAAATAGAAGGGGAAGAAGTAGTGAAGTGTACATTTATTTGATCCTGCATGTATATTATTTTTTGGTGAGAGGATTTTCATAGGAAATGATATTAATGTTTTAGAGATTATCTTTACCAGCCATTTGTTTTACTGAGGGCCACAATGAATAAGTGACTTAAGGTCACATAGCCAGTTAACAGTAGAGCCAGGATCATATAAAGAATTCCTAACTTCACATCAAATATTATTCTTACTATTAGAGGTTTTTTATTAAAAAATTTACCATAAGTGATAGATCCCCCTTAGAAAAGTTTGATAATTTCCATACAGCCCAGTAATTCCTCTCTTAGAATCCACCCAAGAAAAATGAAAGCATATGTCCACAAAAATATTGTACCCAAATGTTTATAGCCACCTTATTTGTAATAGACAAAAAATGGAAACAACCCAAAGTATCCATCAGCTTATAGATAAGCAAAATGTGGTGTATCCATGCAATGGAGTGCTGTTTAGCCCTAAACAGAAGGAAATACTGTTGTATGTTACAACATTAATAAACCTTACAAACTTTATGCTTAATGAAGGAAATCAGACACCAAAGATTACATATTACAGGATAATTATATGAAATGACCACAAAAGGAAATTTACAGAGACTGAAAGCAGAAGTGAACAAAGGACTTGTCAGAATTGCCAGTACTTTCTATTCTAGCTGCAAATCCCGATAAAAGGTTCTCTCACTACTGTTAGGCTACTTTTCCAGTATAATCTTCCATATTCTTCACTTACCAGTTGAACTTTGTGCTTATTGAAGTTCTGTTGTATTTTTCAAACCTGTGTATTCGAATTGTACTTATTATTAATATATAATTAATATTGTGTAAATTGATAAAATCTTGTGAAAAAAATAAAATTTTTTATTTGGCAAGCTAGATTGGATGCTTTGGAAAGACTTCATAAAAGCAAATGGCTACATACTGGTTTGAATTAAGTGTAGGTAATTTAAGACATTAGAGTGAAAATAGTAAAAAAAAATCTAGAAGGATTTTACATTCAGATTACTTCACAAATGCCTCTAGTTCATGCTTCACCTTAATGAAACTGAGCTAGGAATGCTAGACAATTTATTATGTATGAGTGTTTATAAGTACACTATTTGTTTTCTTTTTGAAATGGGGTCTTGCTGTGTCATCCAGGCTGGAGTACAGGGGCTGGCTCATTGCAGCCTCTGTCTACTGGGTTGAACTGATTGTTCTGCCTCAGCCTCCCGAGTAGCTGGGACTACAGGCGCGCACCAACATGCCTGGCCAATTTTTGTATTTTTAGTAGAGACAGGGTTTCACCATATTGGCCAGGCTGGTCTCAAACTCCTGACCTCAAGTGATCCGACTGCTTCGGCCTCCCAAAGTGCTGGGATTACAGGCGTGAGCCACCGCACCTGGCCTGTATGTATACAATATTGAGCTTCAGTCACAGGACTCATTTTCAAAGAAAGTCCTGATGTCTGAATGAACGTTTATATTTTTAAATTAAAATGTTCAGGATGCAAATGTGTGTATATGTTTAATAGTTTCCCTGTTTTACTACCTGTCTTTAGCCATTCAGATAGTGTTTTTGATCACATTGGTTAAAAGGTATTCTCCTGTCTCTGGTGCTTTTCTGTACAATATATACTTATATGTAGAACTTAGAAAAATCAAATGTGTAAAATAGTTTAAGCAATAATAGTGATTATTTTTATAATAAAAGGGATTCTTGTTGGTTTTTGAATTATTAAATTTATGCTAGTTTTTATTATGTACATATTGTTCTGTGCTGAGAAGTAAAACACGATTAGTTATGACAGTAGGAAAAGGTTGGGCCTGGAGGTCATGTGAGATGAAAGAGGAGGTTTACAGGCGGTGGCTCACACCTGTAATCCCAGCACTTTGGGAGGCCGAGGTGGGTGGATCACGAGGTTAGGAGATGGAGACCATCCTGGCCCACATGGTGAAACCCCGTCTCTACTAAAAATACAAAAATTAGCCAGGCATGGTGGCGGGTGCCTGTAATCCCAGCTACTTGGGCGGCTGAGGCAGGAGAATCACTTGAACCTGGGAGGTAGAGATTGCAGTGAGCCGAGATCACACCACTGCACTCCAGCCTGGTGATAGAGTGAGACTTCCTCTCAAAAAAAACAAAAAACAAAAAACAGTGTTAGCCATCAAAAGCAAGGAGGGAGGCTGGGCTCAGAGGCTCGCGCCTGTAATCCCAGCATTTTGGGAGGCCAAGGCGGGCAGATCACAAGGTCAAGAGATCGAGACCATCCTGGCCAACATGGTGAAACCCTGTCTCTACTAAACATACAAAAATTAGCTGGGTGTGGTGGCAGGCGCCTGTAGTCCCAGGTACTCACGAGGCTGAGGCAGGAGAATCGCTTAAACTCGGGAGGCAGAGTTCACAGTGAGCCAAGGTCACGCCACTGCACTCCAGCCTGGTGACAGAGCGACACCCCATATCAAAAAAAAAAAAAAAAAGCAAACAAAAAAGGAGGGACGTGGTCAGAGGGAAACTTGGAATTTAAGATCTTGAGGATGGAAGTGTGAAGTCCAAGAAGTTCAAAGTCATCAATAAGCATTTTGAACTCATCAAAATTGATGTTAAGATTTCAAAAATGTGATGTGAGCTTGTGCTGAGATTATATAGAATGTAGAAATGTGAGCACTGAAGAAGATAATATAAAAAATAGCTTTCCTTGTTATTAGGTGTTAAACCATCATACAAGATGAATGAAAGGAGAAGGTTGGAGGAATGATGTCATATGAAGCAAGAACTGCACGTGGAGAATTTAATTAAAATTGTTTGGGGCCGGGCATGGTGGCTCACGCCTGTAATCCCAGCACTTTGGGAGGCCAAGGTGGGCAGATCACTTGAGGTCAGGACTTTCGAGACCAGGCCAACTGATGAAACCCCGTCTCCACAAAAAAATAAAAAGATTAGCCAGGCATGATGGTATATGCCTGTAATGTCAACTACTCAGAAGGCTGAGGCAGAATTGCTGGAACCCAGGAGGAAGAGGTTGCAGTGAGCCGAGATGGCACCACTGTACTCCAGCCCAGACAACAGAGTGAATGAGACTCCATCTCAAAAAAAAAAAAAAGTTTGGAAAGTTGA
This sequence comes from Homo sapiens, assembly GCF_000001405.40. Lineage (NCBI taxonomy): Eukaryota > Metazoa > Chordata > Mammalia > Primates > Hominidae > Homo > Homo sapiens. The sequence goes on along the minus strand of NC_000002.12, from coordinate 224,515,681 downwards.
TTAGTATTATTCTGGTTACATTGTTAATATGGTAGAGCTCTGTTCATGTTCACCTTATCGTTAGCTATAACCTGTAGATTCATGTTCAAGAATCTGGTGAAAGATATGGGCTTTCTTTCCAAAGTACTTAAGCGTGAACAAACATATAACTTAATAATTTTAGAAGGCTCACAGACCCACCAAAGCCCAGAGAGATCCTTGCTGAGACGAGAAAGGAATTACATTACTAATCCTTCTGTGCATTACAAAAAACAGTAGTTTTATTTCAGTGTATTTTGCTATCAATATGGATTTTCAAGGAATGCACAACACTTCTGGATTATCTGTGCTTTATAAACTGAGATATCTGTAATCATGTTGGTAAGAACTTGAAAGTAATAATCTGTTTGAAGTGACAGTAAGTAGAGGTGTTTTAATTATGTAATACTTAATGCTGCTCTATTTTATGCATTAAAGCCTTTTAAATATTTATCAGTAACAATCAATCTAAGTTGTATAAATCCGTACTTTATTCAACTCTCAGTTTTACTTCAAAGAATATGATCTTCAACTACAGTATTTAAGAACGAACCATGTTTGAGTATGCTGTAGCTTTGGGGAGAAAGTGTGCTACCTTACTATTTACCTTTTTTTACTCTGTTTTTTTCTTCCTGGCTATGATGCTTACTTTTTACCCTTTTTCTTTAGGTAAATGGGCCACCATTTATAGCCATTGTCAATTGTAAAAACTTAACTTTATATAACTTGAGAGGTGCTGGAAAGTTGCACATTGCTTAAGATCATTTGAAGTGTTTCTCACCTGAAAAATGATTGCTTTTGGAATTTTATTTCCTTTATTTGTTATTGTAGCACACAATAATTATTATGCTCACAAGAACTGTACTCATATTTATATGACTTTAACTGTAGGACCGTGTGTATGTACAACAAAATAATGTGGAGAACGTCTACAATTTGGGATTAATTATTTTTCGAGATCAAGTTGTACGTTATGGGTGTATTAGGGATCATCTACGGCAAACTCTATTGGATATGATTGCAAGAGAGCGGAAAGGAGAAGTCGTAGACAGGTAAAATTTCTCTCTTTACTCTTGTGGTTTTGGTTTTAGTGATTATATCTTGAGAACGATTCACTGTCTTAGTTTTATTAAAATAAATAAAAGTTTGAATGTTGAGCACATTGGGAAAATCCTCAGAAACTTAGTATCAGAGTTAACAGTTACCCAAAATTTAATTTGAAAGCACACATCTTTTATATTTTTAGAAGAGACTATCCTAAGCTTTTATTTAATATGCTTTTCAGCTAGCCGTCACTTTTGGCTTTTCATTTATTTTTCATGCCAGCATTTTTTTCTTTTTTTCTGTGTAATAACATTTGTATTTTTTTTTCTTTAAGGGCTTTTGTCTGTCCTTCATTCCTAACATTTTTGAAGAAAACTATTGAACATAGTCTAAAATGACTAAGAACTCCTGTGCCCCTTTTAAGTCAGATTTCATCCCCCTTCATAACAATGATTGCAGTGTCATTTTGGTGATGCTGCAGCTAAAGTGGCTTGAAATGCATGATTTTTTTTCTCTCCTTATCTGTTTTCAGAACAGCTGTTGGATGAAAACGTGTAAAGTTCTTTTTATTTCGTCTTTGGTGCTTGATCAGCATTGTCCAAAATCCATGTAGTGCAAAAAGTTATATTGCCCAGGAGTAGCTGTATATTGGACCCATGTCTGGCAGTACAGCTTAATCTGCCTATCTCCCTCTCTCCCTTCTTCCAGATAAACAGCCTCTCTGTGTTTTCAAATACATAGAAATATTTAGACATTTTAGAGTAAGAACACCTTGAGAGAAATAGCTGTGCAGTCAAGATATGCTTTCCAACTTAAAATTAGGCTAAATCCTTTCGTTTTACATGAGTGGCCTATTGGAGATTGGTCACTTCAGTAAGAGTTAAATGTCCTGAAGATATTTTTACCTACTCCTTTTTGTAATTTTTATGTGAATTTTTAAATGTAATTTAATTATCAAGTGATAATAACTTTTTTCGACAGAGGCGCAATAAGAAATGCTTGCCAGATGTTAATGATTTTAGGTCTCGAAGGAAGATCAGTCTATGAAGAAGATTTTGAGGCTCCTTTTTTGGAAATGTCTGCAGAATTTTTTCAGGTAATCCGTGAAAATGTAAATAAATAATCTTTTAAGATGTTCTTAATGTTATTTAATATAGTTACTAATTTAACTATTTTGACCTTTTTTAACTGAGACCCATTAAGGGAGGGGAGTATGCAAAAAATGCCCATCAGCACACTACCTCACATTCTGACCATTCCAGTTAAGCAACTCATCGATAACAAATTGAAGAGGTTGAACTTACACACATGGTTTTTAAAATAACAGAGATGACCCTTGAACAGTGTGGGGCATAGGGATGCTGACGCCCCTGTGTAGTCAAAAGTCCACATAAAACTTTTGACTCCCCAAAAACTTAACTAATAGTGTGCTATTGACTGAAAACCTTACAGATAACATAAACAGTTGATTAGCATATATTTTGTATATGTATTGCATATTGTACTCTTACAATAAAGTAAGCTAGAGAAAAGAAAGTGTTATTAACACCATTACACGGAAGATAAACTGTAATTTACTGTTCACTAAGTGGAAGTGGATCATCAGGGTCTTCATCCTCGCCTTCATATTGAGTAGGCTGAGGAGGAGTAAGAAGAAGGAGGGCTTGATCTTGCTGTCTAAGGTGGTAGGGGAGGAAGAAAATCCACTTCATGGACCTGTGCAGTTCAAACTTGTGTTGTTCAAGGGTCAACTGTATGTTATGAAACTGTAAACTTAGAAATATCCTTAACTTTTTACTATATCTAATATTATAAATTATTTAAGTACTATAAATTCACAGCAGTACATCACCAACGAAGTCTCATCTGCAGGCTTTTAGTCACTTAAATTACTAGTAAAACACACATAAGGATATGGATGATTCTGTAGTGCATATTTGCCTAAAGGTTGTTGATTAAAATATTACAGGCCAATGGTACTATTGATAGAAATTGGCAACAGTGGTCCAAACCAACTAAATTGCTAAAAGTAAAGCTAAACTGGTACTAATCTGTAATGAAATGATGATAACAACAATAATTGAGTACTAGTAAACATAAGATAGTAGTTATAAGGTAACTGTAACAAGGCATTTTTCCTGAAAACCGTAACTACCTGAGCAGTTAACAGTAGGAATTTTGTAGTGTTGCCAAAACAGATGTATTCGTAGGAAGCTAAAGTGTTGGCCGGGCACAGTGGCTCACGCCTGTAATCCCAGCACTTTGGGAGGCTGAGACGAGTGGATCACTATATCAGGAGATTGAGACCATCCTGGCTAACACGGTGAAACCCCATTTCTACTAAAAATACAAAAAAATTAGCCGGGCGTGGTGGCGGGCGCCTGTAGTCCCAGCTACTCGGGAGGCTGAGGCAGGAGAATGGTGTGGACCCGGGAGGTGGAGCTTGCAGTGAGCTGAGATCGCGCCACTGCACTCTAGCCTGGGTGACAGAGCGAGACTCTGTCTCAAAAAAAAAAAGAAAAAAAAGATGAATAGTTATTTAAAAGCTCTTATTTTCAAACTTTAGTGTACATGTTTACTCTTTGAGACTGGGAGTGGGATGGCACTGGAAGACTTAATTAACCAGCAGTATGCCAGCAAAGCTTATGATAAACATGATGAATCTTTCTGGTTATAATTTTACATTAAAACAAATCAAAAAAGAATGTCCCACTGTATCTTGGAGTCAGATGCTTCTAAGCTTTTGACCCTCACTGGCGTGTATATACTTGTTCTGCTATTTTTTGGAGTACATTGGCACAGTTTGAAAAACATTGCTTACAGATAATGTTTTAATTTAGTATTATGTAAATACCAAAGGCTTTAAAGGATATAATTCAGACTATATCAGTCTTTCGTGTAATGAGAAATTACACAAAATGCTAATAGTACTTATTTTATTTAGGCTGATTTATTATAAACACTGTAGAAACCCAGCTAAAAGCAAAAACACTCTTTTCTTCTATGTTTAAAAAATATATATATTTTTAAATGGCAGATGGAAAGCCAGAAATTTTTAGCAGAAAATAGTGCTTCAGTATATATAAAGAAAGTAGAAGCTAGAATTAATGAAGAAATAGAACGAGTGATGCACTGCCTTGACAAATCAACGGAAGAACCAATTGTAAAGGTGGTTGAAAGGGAACTCATTTCCAAGCACATGAAGACTATAGTAGAAATGGAGAATTCTGGGCTAGTACATATGTTGAAAAATGGAAAGACAGAAGGTAAGTGTTACCGATTGAAAAATAATTAAATCCTTACTCTGCCTTATCGATATTTTTAAAATTTTCCTACAATTAAAGCAGATAATATCAGCTTTCAAGAAGTTTTGGTGTGTATTGTTAATTTGTCTCCATTGTTAACTTTAATGGGATTTCCAAGCTTGATTCTGTCTTACTAACGAAGATTTTAGATATTTCTAATGAATTGAGCATTTCCTGTCTTTAAGTCTCATTTTACATTTAATCCAGAAGATAAAAGGTGTAATAGTATTGGTGAGCCCAGTGAGCTCCTCATTCATTCCTGTACTTCCTGTATACCAAAGGGTGTGGGCTCTCTTTAGTCCTACATACTCTCTTGGGGTTTTGTGATTCTCTTAAAACCTTAAGTTTCCACCTTAAGATTTTTGTAGACTTTCCTTTGGGATTTAGTTGTGACAGGGTGCTGAAAATGCAAAAATATTTGTGTCTTCCATATTGACATACTTAGATAAATTAGATTGGTTTGGGGAACACTGAAGTTACAGAATGGAAAAGGAGGAAGGAGGAGTGCATAAAAGTAAAGAACATTTTTGAGATAACTAACATTTGTTTTTTATAGCTATTTATTTTCCTGGGGTAAAAGAAAAATTGTGACAAGTATCCTAGAAGAAATTACAAGTTAAAAGAACAATAACCATATCCTCTATTCTTAGTTTCTGATGCTTTGTTTTAAAACTTTGCCTTTACCACTTATATGGTATTAGGAAATAAAAAACATGGTACTTTGTTCTCCTGCTTCCTAGACGAAATCTAAGCAATATTTTATCCACTTCTTTTTAGTAAAAGAAATACATATTGCCTGTTGGGGTCATGAGCTATGTAGGGAATGAAAAAATTTTTTAAAGGAGAATTATAAAGAGAAGGAGGATACAAGAGAAAGGAAAACGAAAGCTGGTGGGAAGTTGAGCCATGTTTATCTCTAGTGGAATCCTTACCTTGTGTTTTAAAATTGTTAAATGTTTGTATATATGAGAAATCCCTGAAAAGTTATATGTAATTTAAAAAAACAAAAAAAAAACAAAAAAAACTAGAGAGGCTTCCTTTTTAAAAGACTCTTCAGTTAAACCTTTTTTGTAAAAGCCAAAAAAAAAAAAAAAACAGAAGTCATCTAGTATATTTGCTGTGTTTTCTAAAATTGAGGTCCAAGTCAGGGGTTGGCAAGCTTTTTTGTTGTTGAATAAAATGGCTTGTGAGCCACGCAGTCATAGTGAGAAAATAGTCCTAGACAATAACAAATGAATAATCCTGTGTTTCTATAAGACTTTATTTATGGGCCCTGAAACTTGAATTTCATATAATTTTTATGTGTCACTAAATAGCATTCTTTACAGTTTTTCCTCAGCCATTAAAAATGTGAAAACCATCCTTAGTTCATGAGCTGTACATAAATAGATGGCAGGCTGTATTTGCCCCACGGGTTCTAATTCGATGACCCTTCTCTAAGTGGTCTCTGGTAGACTGGGACTTTATGCAAAGCATTTGCCCTGCTTAAACAAAATGAGTATTGATAAATTATGTAATGTACTGTTTAGGTATTGAATGAATGCTTTCTTACCTACCTTAGGGGATAGGAAATGTTTGATGGAGAGGTTGTTGGGCATACCTGAATTACAGCATCTCTGTAACCTGTGTGGAGATGTATGTAAAAGGTGTCAGGTATGCCTATCATGGCGAGCACTTACGTGAATGAAGGAATACCATAATAGTACTCACCAGAGTTCTCCTTTATTTAGTACCTTAGGTTTCCAACAACACAGTAGCTATCTGTGATTCTAAATTAAATTTTAAAATCCTGCTTTTGTCCAGGCAGGGTGGCAAACGCCTGTAATCTCAGTATTTTTGGGAGGCTGAAGCAGGTGGATCGCTTGAGCTCAGGAGTTTAAGACCAACCTGGGCAAATTGGTGAAACCCTGTCTCTATGAAAAATACAAAAATTAGCTGGGCATGATGGCACATGCCTAGTCCCAGCCACTTGGGAGGTTGAGGTGAGAGGATCATTTGAATCTGGCTGGGGAGGTCAAGGCTGCAGTGAACCAAGATGATGCCACTGCACTCCAGCCTGGGCTACAGAGGGAGATCCTGTCTTAAGAAAAAAAAGGTGGGGGGGTTAATTTTTCTGAGCTTCCGCTAGAAACCTGGTGGCAAAATATCCTAATTGTGGTAGGCCCTGCTCTTGGAAAAAATGTTGCTCTTGTTGAGAATATAGCAGAGCCAACTTCACCATTATGAAGCCAAATTCTCATAAATCAGAAAATGAAAAACAGTTTTCTCACTGTGAATGGAGGATAAATTGGATTGATTATTAGATGCAGATAGCACTATGAAATGAAGTTCAGAGGTATCTTTTTTTTTTTTTGAGACGAAGTCTTGCTCTGTCGCCCAGGCTGGAGTGCAGTGGTGGGATCTCAGCTCACTGCAAGCTCTGCCTCCCAGGTTCATGCCATTCTCCTGCCTCAGCCTCATGAGTAGCTGGGACTGCAGGCTCCCGCCACCACGCCCGGCTAATTTTTTGTATTTTTATTAAAGACAGGGGGGTTTCACCGTGTTAGCCAGGGTGGTCTCGATATCCTGACCTTGTGATCCGCCCGTCTCAGCCTCCCAAAGTGTTGGGATTACAGGCGTGAGCCACCGTGTCTCGCCAGTATCTTATTATTTTATTAAGTGTATGTAGAAATAATGATATTTAATTTTTGCATGCCAAATTATTTTCATTTACTTTTACATTCCCTTTACCCCAACATTTAAATACAATGAAATTGTAGTAATTTATGTACAACTAAATACACAACATGTAATATCTAAGCAAAACTTACAACAACATAGGATTGAAATAGACAAGTTGTGAACCATTTTGTTAGAAGTATTTGGTGTGCCACATTTACTGTAGTATGTGTCCATAGATTGTTGCATTTGTAATACCTGTTCTAAATATGGGAAACTTGGTTGTAATTTATGCTAAGTATGTGAGAAGCTATAAAATTGCCATGTGTAGGTTACTATGGGCATATATTATTAATGGAAACTAACTAAAATTTGCTGCTGAAAGTCACTGAAATAAAGTTTAGTAAAACTTTGTAAATCTTGCTTTGAAATATTTTAAAAATGTATACAACTTTAAGCTCTAAACTACTCTTAGAACTGTAGACCAAGGTAGGCAAATTAGGGCCTGCCTGGTGCACTACCAGTTTTGTTAAAAAAAAAAAAAAAATCAAGAGTATTTACACATGAAAATTTATATAAATTTTCAGGGTCCATGAAGTTTTATTTGAAACATAGTCACACTGAATAATTTATGTATTATCTGTGGCTACTTTCTTGCTACAGCGTCAGAGTAGTTGAGTCAGAGCTCTATGGCTCACATTTTAAAATATTTATTATCTGATACTTTACAGAAAAAACATTGGTCAGCCTCTGATCTAGAAACTCTTAATGCCATTTTAAAAAGTTATTGATTGTAAAACTTTTAAAATTATCATTGTAAAGTTCTGACACTGTGTTCTCCCAGTAAGTTGTTATTGCAAAGAAACACTAGACATATGGGAAAACTGTATTTTAAAATCTGTATTTTAGTCTTGTGAAAAATGATATTAAAAAATGGATAGGATCCAGAGTTTTCATTCTAAATTTAAAAAGTATAGTGAGATAGACCAAATTTTGAAGTACAGATATTGGCTTAGGATGCTACCTGGGAAACATTAGGGATTGCTCTCAGGAAAATATTGAAGAAGTGGTATTTATATTATACATTTCATAAAAACTTTACCTGAGGTGTAATGAAGTAAATCCTAGTATAGTTCATTTGATTTGTTTTCATGATTATCAGTTAAACCTTTGGAAATACCCATAAGACTTAAACTGGCTTTAAAATTTCTTCCTCATTACAGGGACTACCAATTACCTCTTAATTAGTGACCCTTTTTGTAGACGTTTTGTAGTGTCATTAGGTCTGCATTAGAGTTATGTAGGATAAAGTATTTATGAACTCAAAACTGCAGTTGCCATGTTTTTGTGACATTACTTGTTTATTATGGTTTTTGACATCTCTTCCATGTAAATTTAAATTTGCTAGGACATTTAATTGATGGTTTCAAAGCATCTCATCTAAAAGTTGTGTTTTATAAATTACAATAATAACCATTAACTAGCCTACTTCTTCATGTTTTCATATCAATATATGTATATTTTTAATAGTCATGTGGTCAGCAAATGGGGGTAATGGAGAAATAAGCTTCTCTCAGTATTATAGCGTGAACAGAGATTCGTGTTTTTTTCTTTAATCTTTAATGTAGCCAATTTGTGTTTTCTGATTTGTAGACCTTGGTTGCATGTACAAGTTATTTAGTCGTGTGCCAAATGGTTTGAAAACAATGTGTGAGTGTATGAGTTCCTATTTGAGGGAGCAAGGTAAAGCTCTTGTTTCTGAAGAAGGAGAAGGAAAGAATCCTGTTGACTATATCCAGGTAAGTAAACCCAGAAGATTCTCTGTGTTTATGATAAAGGCATTTTGACAAGTGCTAAAAAGGCCACTTTTACCATGCTGTGTATTGTGTACTTTCAACTTAATTGTCCCAGTAGTAAATTAATATTTGTAATTATCCTACATATTTTAGGATTTTGCAAGGTGTGCGTATTTATATCAGGGAGCTAAAATTCAGCTGCTACTTTTCATTTAACTTCTTTGATGAAGACCTTGTTTAAATAGCCTCAATAGTGAATGTGAGGTTCTTTGGTATGCCTTAGTGTTTGTATACTGTAGTATATTGGAAAAAACAACTGGTTTAAGTATTTTTTGTTTGAAAATGTTTTGTTTTCAAGGAGTACTATGAATAAATTATGTGCCATGTTTTGTGTTTTAACATAATCAGCTTTTTTTGGTACATTTTTTAAGCTAATTTTTTTCACTGGCTAACCCATTCCATCAAGACAGGAGAATGAGAAACAGTGAGGAGGTTCTTTGGTTCGTTTGCATTGTATTAATACATATATGGAAGTTATAATACTTCTCTCATTGACATTTTTAATAGAGGCTTAGATATAGGCTTGAAAATAATATCAAAACTGTAAGTTTAAAAATGAATATACATGTTTATTACCAGCAAAGTTAAGATAAACATACATGGTCATAAGTGTATTATTTATGGAAAAATTATTATAATGTGTCCTAAATTTTGTTTTTATTTCTAAGGGCTTATTGGATCTGAAGAGTAGGTTCGATCGCTTCCTCCTGGAATCATTCAACAATGACCGTCTCTTTAAACAAACTATTGCGGGTGACTTTGAGTATTTTCTCAACCTCAACTCCAGGTCTCCTGAATACCTCTCATTATTTATTGATGATAAGCTGAAAAAGGGAGTCAAAGGGGTAAGTAGTAATGCATTTGAAAATAACATTTAATTTTATTTAAAGATATAAAATTATATGTAAAATTAGGACATTTCACAGATAAAAATTAAGCATGACCCATTGCTGTGCTTAAATGGGTGCCATGGTCTATTAAAAAATATTGTTTGAAATACTTGACATGCCCAAACGTAGTTAGACATTTCACTTAATGTGTAATTGGCTTCAAAAACAAGCAACTGGATGGGCTTGGTGGCTCATGCCTATAATCCCAGCATTTGGGGAGGCCAAGACAGGAGGCTCTCTTGAGGCCAGGAGTTTGAAATTAGCCTTGTTAACTTAGTGAGACTCCATCTCTACAAAAAAAAAGAAAAAAGAAAAAAATTAGTGGCACACAGTGGTATACACCTGTTGTCCCAGAAGCTGAGGCAGAGGATCACTTGAGCTCAGGAGTTCAAGGCTGCAGTGAGCTGTGATCGCGTGACTGCACTCTATGCTGGGCGACAGAGCAAGACCTTGTCTCAAAAAAACTGAACAACTGTCCAGGTATGGTGGCTCATGCCTGTAATCTCAGCACTTTGGGAGGCCGAGGTGGGCAGACCACCTGAGGTTGGGAGTTTGAGACCAGCCTGACCAACTTGGTGAAACCCCATCTCTACTAAAAATACAAAATTAGCTGGGCATGGTGGTGGATGCCTGTAATCCCAGCTACTCAGGAGGCTGAGGCAGGAGAATCACTTGAACCCAGGAGGCGGAGGTTGCAGTGAGCCAAGATGACGCCACTGCACTCCAGCTGGGGCAACAATAGCGAAACTCCGTCTCAAAAAAAAAAAAAAAACTGAACAACTACACAGCTGTAGTTGGTAAACAGTCATTTTTATGACTGAGAGTTAGGCATGCTGAAGATAAAGAACTAGAAAACTTTCTAGTAGAGAGTGTTGTTTGCTCTCATCTGGTTCTGAAGGTTATATGTCAAACAATAATTGGATGCCAAGAATATTAAGGCATAGATAGAGTAGATCTCATCTCAGAAAATGGTTGGTGTAGCTCAATTTCAAGCCTTTGTGATATATGATATCTCTGGAACCTGAGGAGCTCACGACAGCATAGAAAATCAACTGAAGCATAAAACATGCTCACATCTGAATTGGTCTCTTTTGACTTCATTTTGGAATTTGTGACACCAAAGGGAAAAGCAACATGTCGTCACAGGTTTTACAGGCAGTAGCTGCAATAAGGGAACAAAATCACTAAGGTTGCACAGAATAGAAAAGTCTATTAATTTATGCATTCATTTGGTCTTCCGTTTTTCAAATATATTAATACAACCTGCCACAGAATCCTTTTGCCCTTATTTAAAAGTAAGGGCAGCCAGGCACAGTGGCTCACGCTTGTAATCCCAGCACTTTGGGAGGCAAAGGCGGCGGATCACCTGAGGTTGGGAGTTCAAGACCAGCCTGACCAATATGGAGGAAACCCATCTCTACTAAAAATACAAAATTAGCCGGGTGTGGTGGTGCATGTCTAATCCCAGCTACTCGGGAGGCTGAGGCAGGAGAATTGCTTGAACCCGGGAAGCAGAGGTTGCGGTGAGCCGAGATGGCGCCATTGCGCTCCAGCCTGGGCAACGAGTGAAACTCCGTCTCAAAAGAAAAAAAAAATAGAAATAAAAAAATAAAGTAAGGGCAATGGCCTTTTTACTGTTTGGATTATAACAAATTATTGCCTTTTGTTTGCACAGTTGAGGCTTTCAGTGAGCTTAAATGAAAAATTCCGTCTTTTGGCTGTGTAAGTTTTTGCCTGCATATGCAAAGGCTTCATAAAATAATCTCTGTGACTAAAATTTCATTTCATCTGTTCTCAATCATCCCTTAACCCAGCGCTATATTACCTTATGCCTCCAATTCAGTGGTAGCCCTCTACGGAATAGAATTCCACTCCAACCCCTCATTCATGATGCACTAAATGAGAATGTAAGAATGATGCTACTGTGTGAAGTAGGAGACACTTTCTCAAACCGTATCCCTTTTTTTGATGTATGTCAACCAGATATCTATGTTTTCAAACAATAGTGTTTTTAAGCTGTAAATGAACCGTAGTACTGCTTTTGTAGAACTAAAATTGTATAATTGTTACATCATCTTAATTTTGCAGCTAACAGAACAAGAAGTAGAAACAATATTGGATAAAGCAATGGTCCTTTTTAGGTTTATGCAAGAAAAAGATGTATTTGAACGTTATTATAAACAACACTTGGCAAGGAGACTTCTCACAAATAAAAGTGTTTCTGATGACTCTGAAAAAAACATGATATCTAAGTTAAAGGTAAGGTGTGTTTTAGATGAAATAGAGTGCACCTAACTGAGGTTTATTATGATTGTGTACTGACAACGTGATTGGAAATTAATTTGGTAGATTATTAAGTGTTTATTTCTAGAAATAAAGGTAGATTGTTTTGGAGAAGAACACAGACTACACTAACATTTGTTCAAGTTCAGGGACATTCAGAGTTTGCTGGAATTTCTGTTGGTGTGTCAGGATACATTCATGGAGGCCTGGAAGGGAGGATTAGTAAAAGGGAAACAATAAAGAGGCTATGCTGTGTAGTTCTTTTTCACAAAGTGTGGTCCATAGAATACTTGCACGTGAATCACCTGAGATGCTAGTTAAAAACAGTTCTGGGCCCTGCCTTTCATGGGGGTATATTGGAATCTCTGAAAGAATCTGGGAATTTGCATTTTAAAATCCTAAAGTTTGATAACCACAGGCACAGAGCAACTGTTGGAAAAATTTACAGGAAGATTATCAGGGATAGCAATAACATGAAATAATTTATTTCTTTCTGTACTTTCTCATAGAAACATCTACCATTTATTTGTGTATATTTGTGTTTTTCCTCCACAGACTGAATGTGGATGTCAGTTCACGTCAAAACTGGAAGGAATGTTTAGGGATATGAGCATCTCAAACACAACGATGGATGAATTCAGGCAACATCTACAGGCAACTGGTGTAAGATTCTGCGTTAATTTCTACTTAGATATTCATGTAAAGTCTTTTGTAATGGGTATATTTTCATCCACTTAGCAGATGACAGTTGTTTCTTTAAATGTCATTAGTGACAACATGTGTTTTATCTGTGAGTACTTAATTTTCCTTCACATTGCCTCTTATTCTGTGTTTATGTTAAAACTTTTTATTCTTTTAAAATTTAGTTGTTTCTTCCCACTTGAAGGAATACACTGACAATTTAATAAAGAGAATTATTCTGTTGTTAATAAAGATAATACAAATCTATTATAAATTGTGGAAAGAGTACTGGGCTTAACACAAGTTTACTGAGTTTCAGTACTCTTCTTTTCACTTTACCCCAAGATTGTGTCATCTTGGGATAGTCACCTGACCTTCCTATACCTCACTACTATTATTCTCCTCTGTAAGTTTAGCTTAAATGGGACTTACATCCTAAGGGTGCGTAGCAGGTGAAGTGAGACTATAAAAACACAGAAATTAATGTATTATAAATGTGTTTGGTATAACTCCCCAAAGGTGGTGAGCTGGAACTTCTTTAGCTTTGGAGTCTGATGGGAGTTTTATGAGCATTTAATGAAATTCAGAATTTAGTTTCATTTTTTACTCTGATTTTCAACTTAACCTTAAGTTTAGAGAATTGTACAGTTTTTAAATTTTTAAAATCACCGTGTACCACTCTATGGTTAAAATGTGTCACAACCATTTAACAGATTTGTGAGTCTTTTCCTTTGGTATCTAAATATGAGATCATCACTTCTACTGGCCTTATAGTCTCGCAAACCAGATACGTGAAAATACGTAATTCTGTAGAATAACCATTCATTTCTATGAAAACATTCTGACTCTAATGTAAATAGTTGTATGATTTGCTTTATAAATATCAGTGTTTACAGTGGAGAAGAGCTGAGAGGAGGAAAGATGCAAGTCCATGACAGAAATTTCGGGTGGACAGGAAATAGTGGTGTAATTATCCTGGATTTTTATTTTTAGATTGTTTAGGAATTTATAGTTAAATCTAATATATTGATATATTTTCTTGTATTTTTTTGTTTGCTCTAGTAAGTTTTTAAATTTTTTTCTTCCACTAATCTTACACATTGAAAGCTATAGGGAAGATTGGGCTAGATCCCATGCATATTGATATGGGATGGATGGACTGTCCACTTTGTGACCCTCCCTTCCCCTAACCAACTTGCGAATGTATAAACAGTTCTCCACCTCCCCCAGTACACCATCTAAGAGTCTCCTCTATGATCCTCTCTTCTGTGCATCATCCAAGTTTATTTTCAGTTTCCTTAAAGTTAAGTAATCATTTAGTGGATACTTGTGAAGAAATCGGAGTGTAGAATGCTTCTTGATATTCATAAACTGATTCCTCCCCTTAAAAATTTACATTACTAAATCATTGAGGTAAGATAAAAATGGAATGATGGTTTATAACACATCCTGAATATCAATAATAGAAATAATATTTAATCTTTAAGAGTTTTTGTTGTGCCTTATTGTTGTTTACTTAAAAATTTAATTTGTTTAAAGGAAGAAAATAATTGTGACAGTTGATACTAGCATAGAAGTAGTTATTCATTGTACAGATATTTGTAGAGCACCTGCTCTGTAGCACTGGATCTATAGTGTTATAGCACTGGATCTGTATGCAGAGGTTGTTAGAATGTGAGCTACATGCTAAAACGTAAAAGTTTTAATTAACTGTAGTTGAAATAGGTGCTGGAATATTAGAAATATGTATTAAGATAGTAAAAATATTTTAAAACTGAGACGAAGGATATTATGCTAGAATTTTCTCTAAAATGATATAATTGACCCTCCTTGACCTTTTATTTAAAAAGGCCCAAACTTTTCAGTTCTCAGTGATAACAGTAAGACTTGATTTATGTGCCAAAAACTATTCTTTGGTCAGTGTTTTTAAATTAACATAATAAGCAATAATTAAGCTATTTGCCATGTAGTTAAAATTTGGGAAACACTGGGTGGGTCTAACCTTTAAGGAAATCTGTTTTTTTGCCGGGTGCGATGTCTCACGCCTATAGTCCCAGCACTTTGGGAGGCTGAGACGGGCAGATCATCTGAGGTCAGGAGTTCGAGACCAGCCTGACCAACATGGAGAAACCCCGTCTCTACTAAAAATACAAAATCAGCCAGGCGTGGTGGGCATGCCTGTAATCCCAGCTACTCGGGAAGCTGAGGCAGGAGAATCGTTTGAACCTGGGAGGCGGAGGTTGCAGTGAGCCGAGATCGTGCCATTGCATTCCGGCCTGGGCAACGAGCGAAACTCTGTCTCAAAAAAAAAAAAAAAAAGAAAAGAAAATCTGCTTTTTTTTAAATTAGATATTAGACATGGAGCTAACTGCTTTGGTAAATCTAACACAATGTCTAAACAGAACAGAAAGCAAATCCTAGTTAATTTTGAGGGGAATATCTCTTTCTGTTTTACATAGGTATCTTTAGGTGGTGTTGATCTTACAGTCCGGGTGCTCACGACAGGATATTGGCCCACTCAGTCAGCCACACCAAAGTGCAACATCCCACCAGCACCAAGACATGCTTTTGAGATATTCAGAAGGTAAATCAAAATCAGACTTTGTATCACTGTGTACAAGTAAGTGTTCAAAATTAAAAATGAATTTGAACATTAGTATCCGTAATTGAGGATGAATGTATTCCATTTATTACCTCGTGATCAAAAGGAGCATTTATCCTGGCATACAGCAATTTCCCCCTCTATAGGATCTTGATGAGTAAAGTAAAGCAGGCATAATTTATCTCTAGAAAGATTGTTTATATGCTGGCATTTGAAATGCCTTTTATTTAGAGCAGCAGTAAAAATGGAAAAAGAGAAAGTAAATGATGATGGAAAACTAGACCCAGAGAATTCCTTGGACTTTTCTGAACACTTCAGCTAACTCCAATTGTTGGAAATACGTGGATACCTTATTCCCACTAGTACTCAGAGTCTCTGAGATGGCAGTTTTGATGAGGAAGAGGAGCAAGATGAAAAAAAAACAAGAGTGATATGCAAGAAAAAAACAGAGAAAGATCCAAGCAAATATTTTTTTTGGGCTGCTGAAAATAATTGGCTTATCCAGTGTGGAGACTGCTTTGTGAAAAGACCACTCGTGTGAACACTAGGGATGAAGATGAGTGTATCACCCCCTTCATCGAGCAGCCTAAGGTGGACACTTAGACATTGTCTGTGAGCTGATTGCACAAGGGGCAGAAGTTTTTGCAGTGACCGTAGATAGCTGGACACCCCTGCAGGGTGCTTATAAGTGGAATAATACCAGAGTGGCTTCTTTATTTCTTCAGCATGGTGTAGATTAGTTATCAGTGACCAAACAAAAGGTCTCTTGACCCACTTGCATCTTGCTGCTGGGATCAGAGACAGCAGAGCTACTCTAGAACATCTACTGGTGAACTGTTAACCTCAAACCAGATCTGAAAAAACAACTGGGAAGAAACTGTATTTGATATTGCCAGGAGGACAAGTATCTGTCACGACCTCTTTGAAATTGTGGAAGGCACTGTACAAATTCTTCACCTTAGTCTTAATGATTCTAGTAATTGTCTTAAGTGTCCAAGTACCAGTGCCTTCTTTGTGTGAGATGTAAAATATTCCCATAGTAAAAGGTTGACATCAAACATCTTACTACAAAAAATTCATTGGTACTTATTAAGATGTTCTTCCAGGTGAATTGCCTGACCTTGATGTCAAAATGTATTTGAAAGTTGTTTGAATATATCTTGAATGATTTCTGTGGAGTTTGTGATTTGTATCAGAAATAATTTCGACTTGCCTACACTTAAAAACTTGACGTGGGTTGTACAGAAACTAAAGATATTTTTGGTGCTGATCCAGGAGATACGTATTTTTAAATAGCCCATATCCTGGATCTTTGTTGAGTATTCAGCATATTGACATGTATCTTTGTAAGGTGAAGTAACTAAGAATTTAACTTAAAAAGCCTCGAACATTCTGGTGCTATTCCTGCTGTCTTCTCTACATTACCATAGCCAGTTGCTTTCATTTTGAACCAGAAGCACTAGCATATTATTGACTTGTAGCTTCATAAATTAAAAAAATAAAAACTAGATTTTGTCTTTTAGAACATAGGCCATTTTCCAGGAAAGCAGCTAGGTTTTAATCCATTAATCTTGTATACTGTCTCCACCACCACAATTCACATAATCCTGTAGACAGTCCTGCTTCACCCTGGTCAACTGCATGATCCTTATTGTAATAGTGAATCAGTATAACACTTTAGACATGCACACAGATAACACGCTGTTGCAAGAGTTCATGATATGTCTGCTGTCCAACTAGTTTTATTTGCCTGATCCTACTGGTTTAGGCACTGCCTATAGTCTCGAGTTCACAGAAATGTTGGGTTTTTTCCCTCCCCAAAGTCCTCATTTTTTATAAACTGTAGAAAGGCAAAATGACAAGGGAAAAGGAATTCTAAGAGTGAAGGGATGATTGTTATATTGGGGCAAGAACCACAGAGTGGCTCAGGCTTTGGAAAAAATATGGTGTGGATAGTGACAAAAAACATAAATATAAAAATTCAAGAAAAACTACCAGTTTTGAACAACAAAAACAAAGGGAGAGTTTATCCTTTATAATTTTAATATGTAAGAAAAAATTACATAAACTTTTCCCAGAGGAATATTTTATAAATGTGCATTGAGTATTTTTCGTACTGTGGTATAGGAGTATATTTTGTACTGTTGATGTCTGCTACTGACTTAGAACAAATTGATTATTGGGTTACTATGGAGAAAGGTGGTCTTAAGAACAGCAAGGGCTGAGCAGCAGTAGGTTGGGGCAGAGTGTACAGTAGAAATTATTTAGTGTGGGGCCTTTGTCATTTAATATCTAGCTGAGTTACTTAGGACTCTCTCAAGGTCTTGCCTATAGAAAGTTGAAACTGAACTTGATTCCTAAAGTTTCCTTTAAGTTTTAAAGTCCATACACACACACACACACACACAAATGTTTAAGGGATGTTATCCTGTAGTTTGTAATTTCAAATGTGTAAGTTTGTTTGATTTTCTAAAACCTGGTTTGATTTACTGAAGGTTCTACTTAGCCAAACACAGTGGTCGACAGCTCACACTCCAGCATCATATGGGTTCTGCAGATCTCAATGCCACATTTTATGGACCAGTTAAAAAGGTAAATATTGATAGTTTGAACGTATTAAGTAACTTAAAGTTAGTCTATTAGAGCTGATGTGTGATTTATGTTGACCTGGGTAAATTACTTACTTCTGTTTCTCTGCCTGTCTCACATGTTAGAAAGGTTAAAAATCCTAGCTTTGATTTATTACTTCTGTTCTCTCAGTTGCTAACTGCACCTTTGAAAATATGAAGACTATACCAGTATAGTCTTCCCTAAGGACTAAACATTAGGATAATTACATATTTTATTCATAAAATTAGGTTTGAGAAAATATTGCATAAAATAGTAAAATGTAAGTTGATTTCAGTGCATACAAAGCCATGAGCCCCTTTTCAAAATTCTGTCACCTATAATCTTTATTTCTAATAAATCAAGATTGGGAAAATTAACATTTGTGATTTGTTAGATATATAAATGTTATTAAAGTAATTTAAAAAATTAGTATTAGACCAGTGATTTGCCTTCATTTTTAAAAAGCAATCGCATTTTTATATCTAGATTGTGAGGTTTAGAGTAATAATTTATTTTCATTACTTGATATGAATCAGGATTTTTTGCCTTCAGAAAATATTAAGTCTTCTAGAAAAACTGTAGAAATATACCTAAATTGTCATCTAGGAGGCAAATAAGCTTTAGATTTTAATGAGAATTTTACTAGTTTGGTATGATGAATCACTGTTAACATCAGATTAAGTATTGCTGAAAATGCCCATAAAAATATTCTAATTTTGATATTTAATTGAAATGGGAAATAGTGCTTTATAATTTCGTTAAATAATATTCGACACATATTTAAGTGTAAGTGGGAAGGACAAGGAAACTAAAGAACTCAGCTTTTAATTACTGCCTGCTTTTGTTTTAAAAGAGGGTTTTTTTTCCCTAAATAATCATGTTCTTTTGAAGTTTATTAAGCAGATCAGTAGATTTTTAAAACATATGCATATGTTAATTATTGAAGAATTAGAAAGTTCCACTTTGTATCCCTTAAATCGTAAAGCAGGAATAGGCTTTGAGAATGGCAGTTCCCCCCTCCTCCCCCAGCCCCCATGCTATGCTATGCTATTTTTTGATCTCTTACTGTGATCACATCACACAGAAAGAAACCTAATCCTGTTACTTTTGGTGGTAGTATAACAGTAGTGGTGTTTTGTAAGTCTATTATTATTATCATCCCATAGTGTACTGTTAAAATAATTTTAGCATTAAATACAGGGAATTGATTAGTTACTTGTTCAGATAACATTAAAATGTTCACAATGGGGGGACAAGGGACAGTCCTAAATACTGTTTGTGTGTGTGTGCACACATTTTAAGAAATAGATTTCCTTTATATAAATAAGTTATGTAGTTTTGTTGGGGGAGGATGGAGATTATGGGACCTATTTCTGAAACATACCATTAAAGTTACCAGAAAATTGGTCAGGCGTGGTGGCTCACGCCCATAATCTCAGCATTTTGTGAGCCTATGCGGGCAAATCACTGGAGCCCATTAGTTTGAGACCAGCATGGGCAACATGGCAAAACCCCGTTTCTACAAAAAATACAAAAGTTAGCTGGGCATGATGGTGCACACACATGGTCCTAGTTACTTGGGAGGCTAAGGTAGGAGGATTGCTTGAGCCCAGGAGGTTGAGGCTGCAGTGAGCTGTGTTTGCGCCACTGCACTGTAGCCTGGATGACAAAGTGAGACCCTGTAACATACATATGTACGTACATACATACATTAATGTTACCAGGAAATGATTGTGTCTTTGTTTATATTTTTTTAAAAATGAAACAGGAAGATGGATCTGAAGTTGGTGTTGGAGGTGCACAAGTAACTGGCTCTAATACACGGAAGCACATATTGCAAGTTTCCACTTTCCAGATGACCATATTAATGCTCTTTAATAATAGAGAAAAATACACATTTGAGGTATGGATTGTGGTTATATACATTTTAACTGTGTTGTTTCTAACTCTCACTTGTTACTTGAGTCTTTCTTATTTGAATAACCTTTAGAGAGTCTCTTTGGGTACTTTTAGAGAAAACTGTATAAAATGGATCATGGAACTGTATGAACATCATACATGTATTGAGTTATGTCTTATTTTTAAATTAACTTTATAGAAGTACTTTTATATAAAACATACCTTATATAAGTAGACAATTTGATGAGTTTTAAATGAGTGCATCTTTGTAACTACCATCACAAGAATATTGCCCGAAAATACAGAGCATTACCTCCAAAATTGCGTTGTACCCCTTGCCAGTCTATTCCCTCCTACCACCTCCAGCCCCAGGCAGCCAGTGACCTGCTTTATATCACTATAAATTAGTTTTGTTTTTTTTTAGACTTTCATGTAAATGGAATCATACATGTTGTCTGTATGCTTTAATCCTTTGTCAGTTCACCTGCATTTGGGTTGATACCGGATTTAGGCTAAGTAGAGCTATATGTTTAACATTTTAAGAAACTGCCGAACTGTATCCCAAAGCAACTATACCATTTTCCTTATTTGCCAGCAGTGCAAGACGGTCCAGTCGCTCTACATCATCTGCAGTCTTTAGATTTTGAGCCGCTTTAGTTGGTGTGTAATAGTGTCTCATTTTGGATTTAATTTTCTTTTTTTTTTTTGATGATGATGTTGAGCATCTTTTATGTGTTAATATGCCACTGATATATCTTGTTTGGTGAAGTGTTTGTATCTTTTTTGAGTTGTTTTCTTACTACATTGTAAAAGTTCTTTATAAATTCTGGATACAAGTCCTTCGTCAGATATATGTGCTCTGAGTATTTTTTTCAGTCTGTTGCTTGCCTTTTCATTTTCTTAATGGTGTCTTTTGAAGAGCAGAGTTTTAAAATACTGAAAAAGTCCAGTTAATCACTTTGCTTTTTGTAGTTTGTGCTTTAAGTCCTAAGAAATTATTGCCTACCCTGAATTTGTAACGATTTACTTTTATTTTTTCAATAGTTCGTAATTTTAGCTTTTACATGTATGTCTACGATGAATTTTAGGTTAATTTTTTTATATAGTATAAGGTAAGGATTAAGATACATTTCCCCTCACGCTGTCAGTTGTTTGTTCCAGCATCATTTGTTGAAGGCACTATTTTTTTCCCACCGAATTACCTTGTCGTCATTATTTAAAAATCAATTGATCATATATGGGTGGGTCTATTTTTATGCTGTCTGATCTGTTTCATTGATCTCTATGTCTGTCTTTATGCCAGTTTTATGCTGTCTTGATAGTGCAGTCATTTTTCTCTTTGCACCCATCTTTTTTCATTAGAGTAACTAATTTTATAATATGCTTTTTTTTCCTTTTCCTTTTCTCCCAATTAAAATATGATTTGATTACATTAAATCCAATTAGTCTTTTCCTGTACATTTAAAGGGTGTTTTGGGGTTAAAATGAAGGTCATGTGATTCACATTAAGTTTAAATTTAAGGTAATGAATATTTTGAAAGACTCAAAATTAATTCCATATTTGTACTTAATTGAAAACCAATTTTCATATACAGGTGAGCACAAGAAAAAAAATAGTGTGTTTGAAATTAAGAGCAAGTTCTAGGCCTATTTAATATTCATGTCCATACTCCCATTTATGTATCCCATTTATATGGGAGTATGGAAGTTAGTATAATTAAGAGAGCCATCATTTTTATGTGATATATTTAAAGGGAATGCTTGAAATCTAGGTATTTTAGTAGCTCAGTGGCTAAATTGAGAAGTTTTTCTTATGGATTTCCATGTGGGTCTTACCTAGGGAGTAACCTTGAATTTTTTTTACTTTTATTTTTATTTTATTATTACCTTGATTTTCAAGCATGAGTTATATTTGATTGAGTCCCAAGAATACTGATTAAGCAAGCGTTGAGTACCTTACCCAAACCTAGGCTTTTCAAACAGAGGTGGAATTAAATTATCTCTAACAGCTGTTTTTGTGTAGTCATTTTTTTAATCTGCGGCTCTTAATGGATAAAATATTTTAAACAAAATTAGCTACTTGGTAAATGCTAGAGTTGATTTTCAGAGTCCTGGCTTATAAAGACCTGGTAAAAAATAATGGGATAATAAAAAATACGAATTCATTTTTTAAAGCTGTTACTGGAATTGCTGGAAAATTTAGTGGTTCAAGCTTTTCCTTTTCCCATCTGACTTGGAATCATTGATGCTAATAAGCAGTTATTAGATGGAAGGTTAAAATTAAGTAGAGAATATCTGTAAGTTTTCCAACTTTAGCTAAGTCACAAAGCAGAAACTGATTGTAGTGTATATAGAATGCCATGCCTATGGCTCCAAAGCCTTCTGGCTGCTGACACCTCAAATCTGGGGCATTGTGAGAAGGCACAAGAAATGTGTCTTTACTCAACACCACGTGTTTCTCTACAGTCTGTTGCTAATGTTTTATTAGCTAGCCTTTTTAAAGAAATCACCTCCACAAATTAGTGGAGATAGTTAAAAGTATTTAATTATAATAATTTAAAGGAAGGTGAACTTTTATTTTTGAATATTCTGTGTGAGTTCAGTAAGATGGTGTATTGTTTAATGCCACATGACGAATTTCAAAAGTTAGTGATTTAAAACAACCACTAACAATTTATTATCTCTCGTTTCTGTGGGTTAGGGATTGAGAAGATACTCAGTTGGGTAGTTCTGGCTTGGGGTTCATGAGGTTGCATTTAGATGTTGTCTGGGGTTCTGGTCATCTGACGGTTTGACTGAAGCTGGAGAATACACTTCCAGGGTGGTTCACATGGCTGGCAAATTTGTTCTGGATGTTGTTAAGTGGCCTTAGTTTCTCTGCACATGGGCCTTTTCATGTGGCTCTTTGTCCTCAAATCTTGGTGGCTGGTTTTCCCAAGAGCGAGCAATCCAGAAGACCCAGGCAGAACCTGCAGTGCCTTTTTGATCTTTCCCTGGAAGACATGTAGTGTCACTTCTCATTTTCTTGGTTGCCCAAGTCAGCCCTGATAGTGAGAGGACCACACAAGATTAACATATACCAGGGTTATTACGTGCTGTCATAGAAGCTGGCTACAACAGGTGGCATTAATTTGTAGTGTCATATTTAATCTGTAGTAGTCAGGCTGCTGCTGAGGTTTTTTCTTTTCATGTTTTTTGAATGACTAAAGGTAAGTTTATTGTGATTTAGAACAGCTAAAAATAGGAAATACATACAGTGGTAGTCTGTACCTTGGACTTTAGTAATTAGCAGTGGGTTTTTGAAAGAGGTATGGATAAGAACTATTAATACATATTTTTGTTAATGTTCTTTATTTTTTATAATTTTATGAGAATGAGTCTGAAATTTAAAAACTACAGACAATAGCACTATTAATGTCAGAATTTAAATAGAAAACTTAACAGTAGTATTTGATATTCATCAATAATTTATAGCAATCATTAGGGACATAACTTCACAATATAGAAAGGAAAATGAAAGTACAAGGGAAAGTAGACAACTCGAGAATCATGGAAATTCCTTACAAATTTATTGACTAACCTGAGTTGAAAAGGGGGATATAGGAAATTTGAATAACACAATTAGCAAGTTAAAATTGAAGGCTGTTTAGCGAACTTTGAACTCAGAAGGCAAAATAGACATACTGCTCTCAGGAAATATCTGAGGCTAGCATAATTTTTTTGCTAAAACTGAGCAAGGAAAATACAAAAGAGAAAGAAAGCTTAAGGTTATTCATCATTCTGCCTTGCTCCTTAGATTCTAATACACTGAAAGCATAAATCTCAATATTAGCAAGTCATATTCAGTAGTGTATTGAAAGAATAATGCACTGTGTTCAAAAAGGATTTATCCCTACAATACAAAGAAAGGTCAGCATAGGAAAACTTTTTGAAAAGATCGTTATTAAGATATTGTAATAATTGTAAAAACAAGCAGTTGCCTAATTGCCAGGCACCATTTTAAGGAGAAAACCATTTGATCTCTATAGATGAACAAAAAGTATTTGATAAAAGCCAGTCCTCATTCCTTATAAAAGTGGGGGACTCATCGCCACCTTAGAATGGATTGCCCTTAATGCCATAAGGTTGTATCTGATGACAAACTAAATCATTGTAGTAGTTAGTAGGAAAATACTAGACACCTTTCTATTAGACTGAGGAACAAGATGAAGTTGCCTATCTTTACTACTACTATTATGCCTTGCTCTGCAGGTCCTAATATACTAAGAAGAAGAAAGGAATGAAATTCATAAGTATCAGGAAGAAATTGAAAAAATTATCAAAATCTGTAGATAATATGATTGTCAATTTGGCAATACATGATAATCAGTGAGAAAACATTTCTTTAGAAGAGTTTTGTTGGAAAGAAAATACCTTTTCAGTAAACCAGCATTAATCAGTAAATGACATGAAGAAAAGGATGTTTTATTAAGAATCATAGCCTTCCCAGGAATCATCTTAACAAGAACTGTGTAGACAGGGTACTTATACCAAGAAGACAGTAAAAGCTAAAGAATATGAAAGGGTAAATGTACCCAAATGGGAGAATTACAAGTTATAAGTGTGCTGTTTTTAAAAGTCACCTATAAATTCAAGGAAATCTGAAATGAAATGTCCAAAATATATATATTTTTAAATAAAACTCGACAAGCTGATTCCATAATTCATCTGGACCAGAAAATGCACAAGATTAGGCAAAACTACTTTTGAAAAGGGATGGGTCTTAGGTAGGAAAGCTCAGTGAAAGGGGAAGGAATTTGTCCTAATAACAAAACATACCATATCACGTTTTTTTAATTTATAATTTTTATGGGTACATAGTACATGTATATATTTATGGGATACGTGAGATATCTTGATACAAGCATATAGTGTGTAATAATCACATCAGGGTAAATGGGGTATCCATCTTAGCATTATTTGTGTTATGAAAATTCCGGTTGTATTCTCTGTTATTAAAAAGTATACAAGTTAACATTATTTAAAATGCATAGACAGACAGCTCATTTGAACAAAAGGGAGTCCAGAAGCAAACTAATATATTTGTAGGTGTCTGGGATGTGATAAATGTCTTTTTTTTTTTTTTCTTTAAAGCTCTGGGATGTATGTGCAGAACGTGTAAGTTTGTTACATAGGTATACTTGTGCCATGGTGGTCTGCTGCACCCATCACCCTGTAGGGTCCAGCCCCACAGGGTCGGTTGTTTTTCTCCCCTTGTGCGGAGACGAGAGATTGTAGAAATAAAGACACAAGACAAAGAGATAAAAGACAGCTGGGCCCGGGGGACCACTACCACCAAGACGCGGAAACCGGTAGGGCCCCGAATGCCTGGCTGCGCTGTTATTGGATACAAGGCAAAAGGGGCAGGGTAAGGAGTGTGAGTCATCTCCAATGATTGATAAGGTCACGTGAGTCACCTGTCCACCAGCCAGGGGGCCCTTCCCTGTTTGGCAGCCGAGGCAGAGAGAGAGGGGGTTAGAGAGAGAGGACAGCTTATGCCGTTATTTCTGCATATCAGAGACTTTTAGTACTTTCACTAATTTTGCTACTGCTATCTAAAAGGCAGAGCCAGGTGTACAGGATGGAACATGAAAGCGGACTAGGAGCGTGACCACTGAAGCACAGCATCACATGGCATGAGATGGTATCTCATTGTGGTTTTGATTTGCATTTCCGTAATGACCAGGGATGATGAGCTTTTATTCATGTTTGTTAGCAACACAAATGTCTTCTTTTGAGAAGTGTCTGTTCATATCCTTTGTCCACTTTTTGATGGGGTTCTTTTTTTCTTGTAAATTTGCTTAAGTTCCTTGTAGATTCTGGATATTAGACCTTTGTCAGATGGATAGATCGCAAAAATTTTTTCACATTCTGTAGGTTGCCTGTTCACTCTGATGATAGTTTCCTTGCTGTGCAGAAGCTCGTTAGTTTAATTAGATCCCATTTGTCAATTCTGGCTTTTGTTGCAGTTGCTTTTGGTGTTTTAGTCATGAAGTCTTTGCCCATGCCTATGTCCTGAATGGTATTGCCTACGTTTTCTTCTAGGGTTTTTATGGTTTTGGGTCTTATGAGTAGTTTTTTCTCTTTCTGTGAAGAAAGTCAATGGTAGCTTGATGGGAATAGCATTGAATCTGTAAATTACTTTGGGCAGTATGGCCATTTTCACAATATTGATTCTTCCTATCCATGAGCATAGAATATTTTTCCATTTGTTTGGTTTGTAGTTCTCCTTGAAGAGATCCTTCACGTCCTTTTTAAGTTGTATTCCTAGGTATTTTATTCTCTTTGTAGTAATTGTGAACGGGAGTTCACTCGTGATTTGGCTGTTTGTCTATTATTGGTGTATAGGAATGCTTGTGATTTCTGCACATTGATTTTGTGTCCTGAGACTTTGCTCAAGTTGCTTATCAGCTTAAAGAGTTTTTGGGCTGAGACGATGGGGTTTTCCAAATACACAATTATGTAATCTGCAAACAGAGACAATTTGACTTCCTCTCTTCCTGTTTGAATACTTTATTTCTTTCTGTTGCCTGATTGCCCTGGCCAGAACTTGCAATCCTATGTTGAATAGCAGTGGTGAGAGAGGGCATCCTTGTCTTGTGCCAGTTTTCAAAGGGAATGCTTCCAGCTTTTGTTCATTCAGTATGATATTGGCTATGGGTTTGTCATAGATAGCTCTTATTATTTTGAGATATGTTCAATACCTAGTTTATTCAGTGTTCTTAGCAGCAAGGGGTGTTGAATTTTACCAAAGGTCTTTTCTGCATCTATTGAGATAATCATGTGGTTTTTTCATTGGTTTTGTTTATGTGGTGGATTACGTTTATTGATTTGCATATGTTGAACCAGCCTTGCATCCCAGGGATGAAGCCAACTTGATTATGGTGGATAAGCTTTTTGATGTGCTGCTGGATTCGGTTTGCCAGTATTTTATTGAGAATTTTCACATCGATGTTCCTCAGGGATACTGGCCTGAAATTTTCTTTTTTTGTTGTGTCTCTGCCAGGTTTTGGTATCAGGATGATGCTGGCCTCATAAAATGAGTTAAGGTGAAGTCCCTCTTTTTATATTGTTTGGAATAGTTTCAGAAGGAATGGTACCAGCTCCTCTTTGTACTTCTGGTAGAATTCGACTGTGAATCCGTCTGATCCTGGGCTTTTTTGGGTTGGTAGGCTATTACTGCCTCAGTTTCAGAACTTGTTATTGGTCCATTCAGGGATTCAACTTCTTCCTGGCTTAGTCTTGGGAGGGTGTATGTGTCCAGGAATTTATGCATTTCTTCCAGATTTTCTAGTTTATTTGCATAAAAGTGTTTATAGTATTCCCTGATGGTAGTTTGTATTTCTGTGGGATCGGTGGTGATATCCACTTTATCGTTTTTTATTGTGTCTATTTGATTCTTCTCTCTCCTTTATTAGTCTGGTTAGCAGTCTTATCTATTTTTTAATCTTTTCAAAAAACCAGTTCCTGGATTCATTGATTTTTTTTTTTGAAGAGTTTTCTGTTTCTCTTATCTCCTTCAGTTCTGTTTTCTCTTATCTCCTTCAGTTCTGATGTTAGTTATTTGTCTTCTGCTAGCTTTTGAATTTGTTTGCTCTTGCTTGTCTAGTTCTTTTAATTGTGATGTTAGGGTGTCAATTTTAGATCTTTCCTGCTTTCTCCTGTGGGCAATTAGTGCTATAAATTTCCCTCTACACACTGCTTTAGCCGTGTCCCAGAGATTCTGGTACGTCGTGTCTTAGTTCTCATTGGTTTCAAATAACGTATTTATTTCTGCCTTCATTGTGTTATTTACCCACTAGTCATTCAGGAACAGGTTGTTCAGTTTCCATGTAGTTGTACAGTTTTGAATGAGTTTCTTAATCCTGAGTTCTAATTTGATTCCACTGTGGTCTGAGAGACTGTTTGTTACGATTTCCATTCTTTTGCATTTGCTGAGGAGTGTTTTACTTCCCATTATGTGGTCAATATTAGAATAAGTGTGATATGGTGCTGAGAAGAATATATATTCTGTTGATGTGGGATGGAGAGTTCTATAGATGTCTGTTAGTCGAGAGCTGAGTTCAGGTCCCTGAATATCCTTGTTAATTTTCTGTCTCATTGATCTGTCTAATATTGACAGTGGGGTATCAAAGTCTCCCCCTATTATTGTGTGGGAGTCTGAGTCTCTTTGTAGAGACTTTATGAATTTGCTTTATGAATCTGGGTGCTCCTGTGTTGGGTGCATATATATTTAGGATAGTTAGCTCTTCTTGTTGCATTGATCCCTTTACCATTATGTAATGCCCTTCTTTGTCTTTTTTTATCAGAGACTAGGATTGCAACCCCTGCTTTTTTTTTTTTTTTTTTTTTTGGGGGGGGCGGGCTTGGTAAATATTCCTCCATCCCTTTATTTTGAGCCTGTGTGTGCCTTTGCATGTAAGATGGGTCTCCTGAATACAGCACACTGATAGGCCTTGACTCTTTATCCAATTTGCCAGTCTGTGTCTTTTAATTGGGGCATTTAGCCCCTTTACGTTTAAGGTAATATTGTTATGTGTGAATTCGATCCTGTCATTATGATGTTAGCTAGTTATTTTGCCCATTAGTTGTTGCAGTTTCTTCATAGTGTCAATAGTCTTTACATTTTGGTATGTTTTTGCAGTGGCTGGTACCGATTTTTCTTTTCCATATTTAGTGCTTCCTTCAGAAGCCCTTGTAAGGCAGACCTGGTGGTGACAGAATCCCTCAGCATTTGCTTGTCTGTAAAGGATTGTATTTCTCCTTTGCTTATGAAGCTTAGTTTGGCTGGATATGATATTCTGGGTTGAACATTCTTCTCTTTAAGATTGTTGAATATTGGCCCCCCCCACTCTCTTCTGGCTTGTAGGGTTTCTGCAGAGGGATCTGCTGTTAGTCTGATGGGCTTCCCTTTTTGGGTAACCTGACCTTTCTGGCTGCCCTTAACATTTTTTCCTTCATTTCAACCTTGGTGAATCTGATGATTATGTGTCTTGGGGTTGCTCTTCTGGAGGAATATCTTTGTGGTGTTCTCTGTATTTCCTGAATTTGAATGTTGGCCTGTCTTGCTAGGTTGGGGAAGTTCTCCTGGTTAATATCCTGAAGTGTGTTTTCCAAGTTGGTTCCATTCTCCCCGTCACTTTCAGGTACACCAGTCAAACGTAGGTTTGGTCTTTTCACATAGTCCCATATTTCTTAGAGGCTTTGTTTGTTCCTTTTCATTCTTTTTTCCCTAATCTTGTCTTCACGCTTTATTTCATTAAGTTGATCTTCTGTCTTTGATATCCTTTCTTCTGCTTGATCGATTTGGCTGTTGATACTTGTGTGTGCTTCACGAAGTTCTTGTGCTGTGTTTTTCAGCTCCATCAGGTCATTTATGGTCTTCTCTAAACTGGTTATTCTAGTTAGCAGTTCCTGTAACCTTTTATCCAGGTTCTTAGCTTCTTAGCTTCTTAGGGTTAGAACATGCTCCTTTAGCTCAGAGGAGTTTGTTGTTCCCCACCTTCTGAAGCCTACTTCTGTCAGTTTGTCAAACTCATTCTCCATCCAGTTTTGTGCCCTTGCTGGCGAGGAGTTCTGATCCTTTGGAGGAGAAGAGGCATTCTAGTTTTTGGAATTTTCATCTTTTTTGCACTGGGTTTTCCTCATCTTCATGGATTTATCTACCTTTGATCTTTGATGCTGATGACCTCTGGATGGGGTTTTTGCATGGGCATTCTTTTCGTTGATGTTGAATGTTATTGCTTTCTGTTTGTTAGTTTTCCTTCTAACAATCAGGCCTCTCTTCTGCAGGTCTGCTGCAGTTTGCTGGAGGTCCACTCCAGACCCTGTTCACCTACGTATCACCAGTGGAGGCTGCAGAACAGCAAAGATTGCTGCCTGCTCCTTCCTCTGGAAGCTTTGTCCCAGAGGGGCACCTGCCAGATGCCAGCCGGAGCTCTCCTGTATGAGGTGTCTGTTGACCCCTGCTGGGAGGTGTCTCCTGTCAGGGAGGCATGGGGGACACGGACCCACTTGAGGAGGCAGTCTGTCCCTTCGCAGAGCTGGAGTGCTGCGCTGTGGGATCCACTGCTCTCTTCAGAGCCAGCAGGCAAGAACATTTAATTCTGCTGAAGCTGGGCCCATAGCTGCCTTCTTCCCAGGTGCTCTGTCCCAGGGAGATGGGAGTTTTATTTACAAGCCCGTGACTCAGGCTGCTGCCTTTCTTTCCGAGATGCCCTGCCCAGTCAAGAGGAATCTAGAGAGGCAGTTTGGCCACAGCAGCTTTGCCACCCGCCCAGTTCGAACTTCCTGGAGGCCTTGTTTACACTGTGAGGGGAAAACCGCCTACTCAAGCCTCAGGAATGGTGGACGCCCCTCCCCCCACCAAGCTTGAGTGTCCCAGGTTGACTTCAGACTGCTGTGCTGGCAGTGAGAATTTCAACCCAGTGGATCTTAGCTTGCTTGCTGGGATCTGTCGGGGTGGGACCCACTGAGTAAGACCACTTGGCTCCCTGGCTTCAGCCCCCTTTCCAGGGGAGTGGACGGTTCTCTCTCGCTGGGGTTCCGGCTGCCACTGGGATATGAAAAAAAACTCCTACAGCTAAGTTGGTATCTGCCCAAACAGCCGACCAGTTTTGTGCTAGAAACCCAGGGTCCTGGTGGTGTAGGCACACAAGGGAATCTCCTGGTCTGCGGGTTGCAAAAACTGTGGGCAAAGCGTAGTATTTGGGCCAGATAGCACAGTCCCTCAGGGCTTCCCTTGGCTAGGGGAGGGAGTTCCCTGACCCCTTGTGCTTCCCAGGTGAGGTGACGCCCCACCCTGCTTCTGCTCACCCTCTGTGGGCTGCACCCACTGTCTAACCAGTCCCATTGAGATGAACCAGGTACCTCAGTTGGAAATGCAGAAATCACCCACCTTCTGCATTAGTCTCGCTGGGAGCTGCAGATCGGAGCTGTTCCTATTCGGCCATCTTGCCAGATCTCAAATTTGTCGTTTCTAAAAACTGAATTTAATTGTTTTTTATTTGTGGGAATGAGAAGAGGGTAGTATTAAGACCTCAATTCCATGGATCACATCAAATATAAAATTCCAGATAAATGTGAAAATCTAAATATAAGTGCAAATCTATATAAATAATGGAAGAAAATGTTGAATATTTTGGTAACCTTAATGTGAGAAATGTCTTTTTAAAAATGTATTACCAAAATAATAAAGGAAAAGATTAACAGATTTAACCACATAAGTGATAACACATCTATATGATGAGATACATTAAGTTAAAAATAGACTAGGAGAAATTACTTATAACATAAAAATTGAAAACCATAATCTATAAAGAGCATCAGTAAATCAGTATGAAGGCAAACAATTGAGTATAAAAACATGAAGGAATATAGATAGAGAAAGCATAGAAGATTACAGATATCCTGTAAATATAAAAATATTTTTTCCCATAGTGGTCATGAGAAGTACAAATTAAAATAATGAGATTTCATTTTTAGCCAAACATGAGCAAAAGAAAATCTGGCGTTGAAGAGGGTGTGAGGGAGTGGATATTCATATACTATTTTTGTGGGGGGTTAAATTGTTAAGCAACTTGAAAGCAGTTCATTAGTATTTATCAAATACTAAAAAAAAAAAATTTTGAGACAGGGTCTCATTCTTGCCCAGACTGGAGTGCAGTGGTATTATCATGTCTCACTATAACCTCGACCTCCCAGGTTCAAGCCATCCTCCCACCTTAGCCTCATGAGTAGCTGGGACTACAGGCTATTTTTTAAATGTTTGGTAGAGAGCAGATCTTGCTATGTTGACCAGGCTGATTTTGAATTCTTGGGCTCAAGTGATTTTCTTACTTTGGTCTCCCAAAGTGCTGGGATTACAGGCGTGAGCAACCGTGCTTGGCGCAAATATAAAATATTTATAACTTTGAGGAAGCAAGTGCATTTCTAGAAATTTGCTTTTGAAAAACAGGCTTTCGTGCTCAAAGTCAGAAATGCATGTACCAACAGAACATTGGATCCAGTCTAAATCTCCACTTGTGTCATGATAGAACAGTACTATGGAATTCCTTGTAGCTTTAATCTCTTTTTGCTAGCTGAAAAATCTGAAGAAATTAATAGAAAAATTCATGTTATGGTCTCATTTAACACTAATACTGGTGTATAGGTGGATGTGTTCGTGTACGTTCATGTATATGCATATACTTGTATTCATGTGTATATATAGATGAATAGGAAAACATTGCTTTTAAAAAGTAATTTAAATATACAATTGATTACCAGAGTGCAGGTAAAATAGTAATAGTAAAGATAGGCATCCTTATCTTGTTCCTAACTCTAATAGAAAGATGTCTAGTATACTAACTACTGTTATGCTTAACTCTCTCATTATATATACAACCTTATGACTTTAGGGGCATTTCATTCTGTTCTTAGGCAGCTAAGAATTCCCCACTATAAGGTTTTAGGACTGACTTTTATAAAATACTTTTGGTAATAGTTACCTCTTGGGATGATCTGTAATCTTAAAATACCACCTAAGGTATTTCTGGTTCATTGAATATGATTAAGCAATAACTAAAGTATGTAAATAAATCACTTTTAGCATGTATGTAATAATAAACATCTTCATTCTAATAATAGCACCTATTTTCTGGGATTAGCATTTATACTATTTGAAATGTCTAAAGTAGGTAGATATAACCAGAGATTATTTGAAGAAAATGAATATGTGTAATCACTGAAAATCACATTTCTCTGAATCCTTGCCTACCTGACAGTTTTTTAGGAGAACAGAACTGTTGCTCAAAGACTTGTCTAGAGAGAATGACTGACTCTCCAGATCAGTTACTCGTATAATCTGAATATCACCATCTTCATGCCCACTCTTCATAAGCTGCTTTTGAGAAAGAGACAGATAGCTGTATACAGTGCATCAAAGCAATAAATCCTAGTGTCAAGACTTTTACTCAATCACATATCACTATAGACATGTAGAGACTAAATCATATAACTGTACAGTTTCCTTGCTGTCCCACTGACAGAATAGTGAATTTAAAATTACACAGCATTCTTTCCTGAGCTGCTTTTTCTCCCCTAGTATTACACTTTATTCATACCATTCACATCATTATTCATAATACGCAGTAAAGATTATTACCTGAACTTCAAAACAGATTGCTTGTTGATATTTATGTTTAATGTAATTCCAGGTTTTTTTTTTTCTTCATTTGGTCATAGAAGCATACATATGGTCAGTCTGGATGGTAAATTTTGATTGTATGGTAGAAGGCCTGAGCTCAGGCTTACCTTCCTTTTTTCTATGAAAGAAATTACTAAGCAAAAGAGTAGTCTGGATAAACTTGGATGGAAGATTGTAAAATATTTATAAAATTAGCAATTATATGTTGGTTAACACTTTATTTTTACCTAAATGTTGAAGCAGGTTCCTGATAATCTCTGCTGGATAACATTTTTGGATTAGCCATTGTATCTCCTGAAACAAAAAAGTACATGTCTTTTTAATATTTTATAACTTGAATCACCCTTTCCTCTCGTTTGTTCAAATAATGAGATTTTAATGATGTGTCATAGTACTCAAGAGAATTCTTTTTTGTGCATTATTTATTTAATGGAATTACCTCTTTTTAACTACTGCTTGGTCAGTTTACTTGCTAATTAACTAACTTTAATCTTTCAAAAAGTCTAATTATGTTAATCTGATGAAATTTCAGGAAATTCAGCAAGAGACAGATATCCCTGAAAGAGAGCTTGTTAGAGCCCTACAGTCCCTCGCCTGTGGTAAACCAACACAGCGGGTTCTTACAAAAGAACCCAAATCAAAGGAAATAGAAAATGGTCATATATTTACAGTTAATGATCAATTCACATCCAAACTACACAGAGTCAAGATTCAAACAGGTATCTGGAATTATATTTTTCCTCTCAAAAAATTATATATTTTTCTCTTTAGAAAAAAAATCTCATCTATTGGATTTCTTTTAAAAATACTCCTTTTCTGGTGCTGCATGATACTTAGGCTTAAGAAAGAAAGCAGCTTTTATTGATAAGTATTTGTATCAAAATGCATTTGAATCCAAG
Organism: Homo sapiens; assembly: GCF_000001405.40. NCBI lineage: Eukaryota > Metazoa > Chordata > Mammalia > Primates > Hominidae > Homo > Homo sapiens. The sequence continues at coordinate 224,481,711 of NC_000002.12, read as the reverse complement.
TACAGTAAGCATTTTAAAAAGTAATTTATAGTGTGAACAAAGTATTTCTTTTCATGTTTTTCAATAAATAGAATACAGTTTATGAACATATTGGTACTTAAAATTGTTTTTAAGTTGTTAACTAATAGTCAGTGGAAGTCTAATTTTAAAGCTGATTTAGAAGTTTTTCAGAATTGGGAGACCTATATAAAAGTTTGATGTTTGGATGTTGCTATTTATATTTTGATAAATATTTTTTGTTTCAAAATCTTAAAACCCATATCCTCTTTAATTTAAAAACATAGAAATGATACTGATGTGAATGATTTTTAATAGAGCCATATAAGTCGATAATGAAAATTCTATTCATTAAACATTTAACATAATGTAAGATGCTTGTTTTCTGTGTATTTAAAGGGGAAAAAAGGCACTCCACCCTTGCTGATTGATGTTTAAAACTAATTGTTTACTACTTGGCTTAAAAACTAGTATTAGATAGGCTTCCTAGTACTAATATATTCATTACAGCCAAATATGTGTGCAATAAAACAGTGTCCTAAGATAAATAAGATGATCTTTTAAATGACTGTCATTTGTTGATTTTAAAAAAATGTTATTTATATTGTATATTATGATAGTCTTTTTAAAAGTAATGTTAAATATACAGTTGATTACCAGAGTACATGGATTCTAGAGCTTTATATGCACACTTAAATTTTTGTTTTTCATTTTGATCTTTTTGTTTCGTATGTATACTTTGTAGAACAGAGTAGTGTCTCTGGCAAGGCTTTGCCCCCTTTGTCTTGTAGTTGTAAACTGTATCATAGTAATCTGCATTAGCCAAGATTGGCCCATGTCTTGACATAAATATATATTAAGAATAAAACAAAACTGTGCTAGCCAGTGTCATGGAATAAAATTTATTTTTCTTCCAATGCAAGACATAACTACTTTATACATTTGGGCAGATGCAGGTTTTGGATTTTAGGGCTCATTTGTATCCTAGAATTAGAGGAAAATATGTGGGAATATTTATCTGGATTGCCTTACCCTCACCCTACTGTACCCTAAATAAGTAACTGTCTTTGTTATCCCAGATTCTATCATGTCCAGCAATAATAATATCAGATATTAGTATTATGTTTAAAAAAGTCTTCATAGATTTTTAGATTTTCGTGTTAAGTGTGCACACTTATGTGTGTATCTGGAGTATGTGTATGTAGTGTTTTAGGTATGTTCAAAACAGAAATATATATATGATGAATTTCACTAGAGCTTAAAAGTTCTTTTCAGCAATAAAATTCTACAAAGCAATGTTTTTTTCTTGGGAATGGTTTTTAAATGATCTTGGCTCTTACTCATAGTTTAAGTCAAAATTTTCTCTTTGGTGGTAAATATTGTGACCACATTGGTTTTACTGTCAAAGGCTCAGTAACATAATCAAATATTCGAAGACTCAGACCCTACCTATTTATGCTGCTTTTACTGTAGCCAGTAGTAAAAGTTCATGCAAAGAAGTTAAAGGAATTACTAAAATAACACAGCCTTTGAAAAGAATTAGATTAATTGTAATCTGGGGGGGCAGTTTCCAGAGTTGACAGTCTTCACCACCACCACCACCACCACCACCACCTGCCTTTCTCAAATTCCATCCCCCAGCGTGCATATAGGTCATATATAGGCACTTGCACAACAACCCCTTCTGCTGCACTCAAGTGAGGAGTGTTGTGTTAGGCTCCAGAGTGAGCCCCTCCCCTCCCATTTAAAAAGAATACTCATTTTGACTCATCAGCACGATCTGCACATCCATGTTTTTCTGCAGGTATTTAAGAAGACACTTATTTAGGTGACCACATCCAGATGAGCCAAAGGGATTGTTTAAACAACTACTTTTTTCCCTGCAACTTTGTATTTTTTGTTTTCAAATCCACAAAGAAAGTGAAAAGCACTATAATGAATATCAATATGGCTGTGACCTACGTTTACCAGTCATTAGAATTTTGTCTTCCTCCCTGCCTTCCTCTGTGTGTGTGTATGTGTTTGCTACAGCATTTGAAGTTAATTTACAAATATCTCAGTAGTTTCCCCCTAAAAAACTTTAGCACACGTCTCCTATATCATATCCAAGAAAATTAATTTCATGTCATCTGTTTACCACCCATATTGCCTCAGTTGTCTCAAAAATTTCTTTTATATCTCACTTTTTGGATCCATGATTCCATCAAGATTTCCACATTACATTTAATTTTTATGTCTTTTTAGTTTCATTTAAACCAGTACCTCTATCTTTTTATTTTTTCATGACATCAACTTCTGAGGAAAAGCATCATAAGCATCATTCTTAGTAGATTATTTTCATCGAATTTTTTTTTTTTTTACTAAGATATTGATTATCTTACACTTGGGAAATGACACCGAAAGCAGTATTTTTATCCAAAGGATTCTAATTAGAAACAGTTGAATGGATACGCACACCAGAATGATCTTCTAAATTGTACAATCTGCTGTCTCGTGGCTATCTATGCCCATGCCTCAGTCAGCAATGCCCCATGTGCTGCTTTGCAATTTTACGGTTTCTACCTCCAGAAACTTCACATCTATCTCCTTTTGGTGAACGAATAAAACACCAGTTTTCTTTTTCTGCTATTTCATTCAGAGCAGAGTTGCAGGAGAAGACGACTTCTGTATTTCCCTTAACAGTTGCTTTGAAGACTATAGGGAAGAATAGAGTAAGACTCCTAAAGATTGGAATCTGGTATGAATTTGTGATGAGGTTGTGACATAAAAAGCATAATAAAATATATGACAAGAAATGGTTAGATAACAGAACTCTAGGGAGATTTTTGGCAAGGAGATTTTAGGAACTGACATCCTAGTGGTACTTTTAAATTATTTATTTCACTGACTGAATCTTGGCAGTACATACTCTTGTCTCCTCATAAAGCCTTAGAGATTACAGCTACATTTTGAGTTAGTAAGACAACAGATACCTATCTGAGATAATTTTGGTGAGTTTTAACTTGGAGCCATGGTAATAAAATAATCAATTGACCTCTGATAGTCATAAGCAATGAAAATTATTTACTGGTAATTTTACTACTGAATATTTTCAGCTACTGTTTTTCTTCCAGGTAAGAAATTATATTCTGCATAAAAACAAAATCAACTTTATTATCTCAAAGTTAAATTCCTCATTTTTGAAAAGGATAATTTAGTATTCAAGTAAACATTAAGACAGTTTCTGAATGCGTACTTGAATTAATAAGTGTGTATATTCAGAGGCTGAAATTGGTTTTTATCTGTGGATTACATTGAATTATAATAAGCTTGCTTATAAACCAAATTTTAAAATTAGATTTATGATAAATGTCTTTATTTCTATTTTAGTTGCTGCCAAACAAGGTGAATCCGACCCAGAGAGGAAAGAAACAAGGCAGAAAGTAGACGACGACAGAAAACATGAGATAGAAGCTGCTATAGTGCGGATAATGAAATCTAGAAAGAAGATGCAGCACAATGTTCTAGTAGCGGAGGTGAGGACTCTTCACTACTGGGCTAATATAGAAAAAACAGTAACATTATTAACAAAATTATTGTATTCAACTAATTTTAAAAACAATTTTACAATTAAGAAATCCTAGTGATGTAACACTTATGAAATGTATGGCACTCACTTGGTAACTAAACATGGTGATACATCCAAATATGTGCACACTCTCGGAACCAATGTGTTTATAACTAAAATGATAGTAGAATATTGTCACATGAAGTATTAAGAAAAGATTTTCACTGCTATTAATACCTTTGTGTAAACAAACTCCCTTTACTTCTAAAAATTAATAATGGTTACCATTCATTAAATGCTTTCATTTTACAAATTGGGAAACTAAGGAGGGGAAGACCCCTTAGGAAGCCATTAAGATAGGTGGGAGAGGATTAGGACCTGGGTAAAGTATTGGTAGAGGGTAGAAAACTGAATCAAGATAATTGGGAAGTAGAATTGACAGACTTTACTGATTGATAATGGGAAGTGAGAGGGAGAAGTTGAAGACGCCGTTTAGGTTTCTGGCTTGAATGAGTAGATAGAGGTTTGTTTCTTTAACCAAAAAGAGAAGGGTAATGTAATGTGCCGCTGTGGTCCAGATGTCACTTAATATTGTTTTGTACAAGTTGACTTTATTGTGTATTGGCACATCCAGGGGCAGGTGGAAGACAATAGACATGAGGGCTAGAAGTTGCATTGGGAATTAGCTATATGAGAATGCAGTTAAAACTACAGGTGTGGATTAAATTGCTCAGTGTTAGCATGGAGAGCAAGAAAGAACTATGGGATAGACCCCTCCCTTATTTTAGGAACAGTGAGTGTAACAACAGAAACTCTTTAGAGCACTGGTTTTCACAGTGTGGTTCTTGGAACAGCTACCTTAGCATCACCTGGGAACTCATGAGAAACACAGATCCTTAGGTTCCACCAGAGCCTGAGAATTGAATCAGAAACTCTGAGGATAGGGCCCAAGAGTCTGGTTTTTTAACACGAGCTGTAGGTGATTCTGATGTTTTTTCAAATTTGAGAACACTGCTTTAGAAGGAAAAGAAAACAAAATGACAGTGTCCTATGACAAGGGAAGAGAATTACAAGGAGTGAGTGGTCAGTAATATAAAAAATCATGGAAAAACCAAGTTGAATAAACACTTTGGCAATTACGTGACAGGTTAACTTTCTCAGACATTTTCATTGGACTCGTGAAAGTGGATATCCAGTGGTAGTGCCTTGAGAAGGAAATGGAGGTGGAAACCACCAAGAGTGGCTTATTCTTTGAGGTACTGGCTCAAGGGAAAGGGCAGAGAGAGTAGTATTAGAGGATTCAGTGTAGAGTTGAAGGGTTTGGGCTTTTTCCCCCCCAAAATGGGAGGATACTGAGCATGTTTATATCCTATGAATAAAGAATGGATCCTTAAATTGAAAAAAATGAGATGAAGGGATAAATACCACATTCTAGAAAAGGAAAGGTGAGGATTGTATAGAGAGTATGATGATGGTAGTGTACTGACACAGATGTTACTGAACATGCCTCTTCCTGAGAACCTAGGGCAGGGTGCAGGGGTATGTGCTAAGCAAGATTTGGTGTAAGTATGGATAAATGTACATGTGTAGGGTGGGTATTTAAAGAACTTCAAATTGAAATGGCTTCTTTTCTCTATGTGAAACCCGATATGAGCTTGGTGCAGGACTGGGTTGAGGAGTTTAAGGGGATTGTCAGAAATTTGAAATAATACTTGTCGAAGAATGGTGCTCAGGAACTTGCTGAACTTTTGAATACTATAAATTTGTGTTAGTCTACACCAGAGATTGGCAGATGTTTTTGTAAATGGCCAATTGTAGCATGAAAGCAGCTATAGATAATACATAAATGCGTGTGACTCGCGGTGGCTCACGCCTGTAATCCCAGCACCTTGGGAGGCCAAGGTGGGCGGATCACCTGCGGTCAGGAGTTCAAGACCAGCCTGACAAACACAGCGAAACCCCGTCCTACTGAAAATACAAAAATTAGCTGGTGGTGGGTGCCTGTAATCCCAACTACTCGGGAGGCTGAGGCAGGAGAATTGCTTGAAGCTGGGAGGCGAAGGTTGCAGTGAGCCGAGATCGTGCCATTGTACTCCACCCTGGGCGACAGAGCGAGACTCCATCTCAAAAAAAAAAACTAATAAAAAATAAATAAATACATGTGACTGTGTTTCAGTAAAATTTTACAGAAACAGGTAGTGGGGTGTATTTGGCCTGTGACTGCAGTTTGCTGACTCCTGGTGTACACATACGGTGTTAACAACTACATCTTTACTCAGCAAAGACCTCTGTGGTAGGTTGATAATGATGTAGTACATATAGAATATAGGTTTAATCAAATAGTGTTTATGGGATAGGACCAAAAGAATCAGGAGTAGAAGGTCCTGTTGAGAGTGCAGCTTTCAAGAGAAGTGATCTTGAATGCAGTTTAGGCTCGGTTAAACAGGGGAGGGAGCAAGTCGATAGGAGCTGTTAATAGGCTGGAAGAAAAGAAGGGCAAAGGGTGGGAGATCTCAGGTGATGGGTTGAGAGCAAGTTTGTCGATACAGGAGTGGTAATCCTGGAAGGGCGATAAATTGTAGTTGCAGAATGAAGTGCTGAATTTTCAGATTCCAAAGAATTATCAATCCATTGTGGCTTTGGGAAATGAACTGATCAACAAGAGTAAAAGCAAAGCTGGCTCATGGATGCATTAGAGCAAAGAACATGGACTTTGAGGTCAGAAAGGTTTAGATTCATCTCTGTTGGCTCTGTTATTTACTACTTGTTGATGTCAGTTTTCTTCTCCGGCTTTATTTTCCTCGTTTGTAAAATGAGACAACTTATTTTGCAGGGTTAAGAACATTAAATAGGCCGGGCACGGTGGCTCACGCCTGTAATCCCAGCACTTTGGGAGGCCGAGGCAGGCAGATCACAAGGTCAGGAGATCGAGACCATCCTGGCTAACATGATGAAACCCCGTCTCTACTAAAAGTACAAAAAATTAGCCGGGTGTGGTGGTGGGCGCCTGTAGTCCCAGCTACTCAGGAGGCTGAGGCAGGAGAATGGTGGGAACCTGGGAGGCGGAGCTTGCAGTGAGCGGAGATTGCGCCGCTGCACTCCAGCCTGGGCAACAGAGCAAGACTCGATCTCAAAAAAGAAAAAATAAATTAAATAAACTCATACATGCAAAATGACAGATGAATAGTGCATAGACAGACTATGACTGCTGCTTTAGTTATTATTTTATTATTATATATAGCACAGTACTTAGAATCCTGATAGTACTTGGAAAAAACCAACAGAAGCACTTACTATGATTGGGCAGCATTATTCTTTATTCTAAGGCGTTACATCTGTTAACACATTTAGTGTACACACCAGTGGGCCAAGGTCCCAGAGCTAGTAGTGGTAGAGCTGAGTTTATCCAGGTACTCTGAGTCCGGAGTTTGTGTTCTTTAATACATAGGCTACCCAAGTTCTGTGAGTTTTGAGTATAACTCAGAATTCAGTAGATAACAGCATCAAAACGGTTAAACTATAGGTGGCATATGCTCACACTACTGTAATTCCAACTAATTCAATTATTCAACTGCTATCCACTTTAGCATTCACATTCTGATTTGAGGAAGTGTGTTGTAACCATAATATTACATTTTCAAACAGAACCTTTTTAAAGTTTCTGTGCTTTTATCTTTGGTAATCCAGTTAGTAAAGTTCAGTCTCTGAGTGTTAAAATGACATATCAGTTCTGTTCAAAGATACGAATTTTTATGTGTTTATATAAAAATACTATCTACTTTCTTTTTTAGGTAACTCAGCAGTTGAAGGCGCGATTCTTACCAAGTCCAGTTGTTATTAAGAAACGTATTGAAGGACTTATTGAGAGAGAATATTTGGCACGAACACCTGAGGATCGCAAAGTATACACATATGTAGCATAAAATGCGTTCAGAAATTTGATTTATTCTTGGACTGTACTCTTCGCATGGACTGGGAAGTTCTTTTAAATCATTAAATATTAAGACGACCATCTCTTCTATTAAATTACAGTACATGTTCTAGACCATTGAGATCAAGCCTTTACTCCCTTTGAGAGTTTCCAACATCAGTTGATTGAGCTTCAGGCTTTACAACGTTTATCCCTGTAGAGATCATCTTTACAGTTCCTCGGGAAAATGTGAATGTGCTGCGTTTTGTTTTCTTTACTGTATGAAAACAGGAAAATAAAAGAGAAATTTAGAAAATACAGCTCATTACAATAAAATTGTTGGATTTCATTTCCCCAGGTCTTCAGTGTTGATGTAAATGTGTTTTGTAGTGTTGCTTAGCACTTTGCGCATTGTGTAAGTTGGGTAACAAAAATGGCAAAAGAAATGCAGATTTCCCAGTTATCTTGCTCTGAAGACATTTCTTTAGCTAGTCTTATTTAATTTTAAAGGTTTGATAAATATACAAAGACCCAAGCATACAATTTGAGCATGCTGTATTCTACCACTTGCACTTACTCATCTTCTAGCCTTATGACCAGGAACCTTTGTTTTGGGCTCAAGTACACATCCTGATTTGGTTTCTCCCTGTTGTAATTTGAGATTTCCCAAATTAAGTCTTATAATGATTAGGTTTTGTTCTGAGTTATTTCTAGAGAAAGAAAGTATTTTAGTATGTGTAAATTGTACAATAATTTTTTTGCTGTTGTACTCACTGCTAATAGTGGATTGTATAGGGTGGTGTTTTTATTTCATTTATTGTAGACAAAAATAATGAATTTAGTATACACATACCCACTAATTCAAGTATGTCAGAGCACAAAGTTGGCAGCTGGTTATATTTAATTCAGCCCCTCTGAAAAGCACATACAGTCTATACTTTGTTTATAAATACCCTAGGTCCTCCCTGCCCCTAAATATATATTTTGGTGAAGCTGTGGTGCACTATTAATTTTCTGTTTCAAAATGCAATCTAAAGATGCAATAAATATGATGACCTTGATAGTTTTAATGAAATCTTCAATTCTTGCAGCTGTGTTTTGGAAAGTGATTAAGCAATATTTCTCAAACCTGATGATTCTTGGATATTTAGCTATTGTCCTCCAAAGAGTCATCGTTTCACGTTTTCAAACATGTGCTTTGTGCTGAAGATTCTTGTCAGATATCCTGTGCTTCCAGAGTATTTTTATCTTCAATTTTATTTAATTTTGTTTCATTTTGTTTTCATAAGACAATGTTTCAGATATGTAATGGGGCAAACCACTATAGATTTCTGTTGGATAGAAAAATGAAATGTTACTAATAAGTTTAAATTGACCCTTCGTTGACTATCAGTACTGTTGATACATTTATTAGAATGTATGTCTCAGAAGATGGTTTCTGTTTAAATTTATGGTCAAGTTACAACAACTGAATTCTAATATGGATTAAAAACTCCACATAAATATTTTTCCCCATGCGTCTTGGGTTATAATTTTCCTTTTAGACTTGCAAATATGCTTTTATTGCAATTTTGTCTCCATCTGTACTGTAGAATTACAAGCCTTGTGCTCTTTATCTCTACATTTTCCACTTCTACATGATGCAATTAAGATGCCAATGAAAAGTATTGTGAACATTATTCTCAGGACACTTTTACCATACTTGAGTAGTACTAAGTCAGGTGTAACATGGAAAGCTAAGGGTTTCACCTTCTGATTTTGACATAATTGGAAATTTTCTATAATGGTAAGATGTTTATAGGAAAGTAATGGTAGTTCATGTTTGAGAATTTTTTTATTGCTTTCATTTCCCAGTTAAATGATATTTAACACCTGGGAAAACAGGACAGCTCAGATTGTCGAGTTAGTAAACATGAGCGATGTAAAAACTTTATTTGAAATCTCCTAAGTGAGACATTAAACATTTTAGTGCTAGTTTAAGCCATTAAAAGTAAAGTTTAAGTTTACGTCATTGTCTCAAGTGTGGCTGTAAAAATCAGATCTAGAGTTTAGAGACATACTTGTTAACTTTGGAGCACAGGTTTGATATTTATGCTTCTAAATACATTAAAACATTTCTGAATTGCAGTTGAATGGTTGGAGATTGCTGGCGATGTGATGCTGCACTGAAAAAACTGGTCACACAAAATGTTTATATGTTTGACTGCATAAGTATTATTTTAGGTCATAAAGGTTATAACAAAATACATTTAACATTGCTTTCTTTTTAGCAAGAGGTCACAGATGCTATTTTTTCTCAGTTTTTAATGCTTTAATTTGAAAGAAAAATGCATCCTAACCATTCCATCCTGTTGGTGCAGAGAAATTTTGGTGATTTATTAGAAGACTTTTAAGGAGGGTGGATACATAGTTTTTCAACTGCAAAAATCATGTCATCTCTTCAGTAACTGTTAAAGTGTAATTCTCTGCCTTCATTATCAAGTCCAGGACAGTGTTTATTTTGAATCGTTAACATTATTTAAAGACTGAAAATTCATTGCAATTAGGGAACGCACAGCCTCACAAAAAGTGGTTGTGATTGCAAGGATTCTTTATGTCAGTGAACTTAAAAAGGGAATGGGGGAAGAGATGCATGCCTTTCTAAAGGTATGCTAGAGTCACCTGTGTAGCATTGTAATTATGTACTATCAAACCCCCAAGATGCTGATGATAGGCCTTCTCTGTAAGAATCCTTCTCATAGTGAAGCACTGTTGATGTTTTGTTCACCGGATATGTTGGGTAGCAGAAAAGGCCTAGAACCAGTTTTAAGATTATGCCTACATCTCTAGAAGACTAGTACACTGGCATCATCTTAGGTTTCTAAATATTATTTAATTCCTTAATTTGGAAAGCAGTTTTAATGTTTACAGTTTAAGATACTCATTTTCAGTAACTAGTGTTAAAGATTTTTATCTTTGCCTGTCTACTGTAACTTAAGACTTTCATAGAATAATTTTTTATAGAGTATATGGTATATTGTGTCAATCTTGGAAGGAAAGCTGTTGCATATCAATTGTAGGTCATGTATTTTACTATATGTTGCATAGTATTTTGCATTCTGTAAATACGAATGTTAAAACATTTCAGGTCAGCAAAATTAGAAGTCATTTCTAGTCCTCAAAGCAGAAATAATTAGAAATGTTAACATTTAAGTGCTTATCATATGCCAGATACTATTCTGAATATTTTATGTATATTCATTCATTTAGTTGTCATATTGGCTTTATGTGACATAACTGTCATTATACCAGTGTTGTCCAAGGTTGCTAGCAGGAAATGGCAGAGCCAGGAGTTGGACCTAGGTTTAATCCTATCCATATTCCATGTTACAAATTGACATGATTTTCCATATTAAAAAATTTTCATTTATTTTGTACCTCATTCACATGAATAGTAATGTGACAAACTAAAGTTAATACATGAAGCATTGCAATATGGAATTTTGCACATTTTTGTTAGCTTTACATTATTTGCTGATACCAACTTTTGGTAGGAAGGAAAACAGGGAAGGTGATTGCTGCTATTCTGGAATGTGTCCATTGAAAAGAAAATAGGCGCTTTGTCTCCTACAATCTTAGAGAAAGTTTTACATACTTAAGTGGGTACCACAGATAGGCATGTACCTTAAATTCAAATCTACAGTTTTACAAAATGTTTTCCTTTGTGTGCCTTTCCTATGTCAAATTAGCCAGAAGGAAGAAGAGACGTTAAGAATGGCAGATAAATTTAACAGGTAATGATACAGAGATTGGCCATTACGCCAGCTCTCAGGAGAAAAACAACTAGGATGTCTTGAAACCCGTGCATTTAATTTTAGAAATGGCAAATTTGTAAGCGTGTCATTTAAGTAATTTGATGCTCAGTTTTAGGGTCTAAGTTGACCTCGAGTGAGCCATGCAAAAATAGCTTTAAAATTATACATGAGCAGCTCAAAGTAAACGTGTATTTTTTAGTAACAATGAAATTGTCAAATTTCAAGATTTTAATAACAGGACAGTTCAACTAATAAACTTTATTGCATACAAGATTTATTGCAATGTGGGAAAATTAAAATTCTCAGTCTCAGAATTCTTTCTGCAGTTGTGATTCTTGAATAAATGCCTCAGCACGATGTCTGGTATGTAGTGGATGTAGGCACTCAGTAAATCTTCAGATGAATGTGCTAAATGATCACTCAGTGTCTTGAAAGAAAATCTTTAAAAGAATTGAACTTCACATTAAAATTTGTACTGCACTATTGGGGCTATGACAGTATAAGGATATTTTTATAAGTAGAAGTTATTTGATACTTGACTTTAGGTAAAAAGTGGAAAATACAGACCAGCTCTTACGTGGTTGCAGATGGGTGTGTGTGTGTGTGTGTGTATGTGTGTGTACAGCATCTTGCTCTGTCATCCAGGCTGGAGTACACTGGCATAATTGCGGCTCACTACACCCTCAACCTCAATCTCCTGGCCTCAAGCGATCCTCCCACCTCAGCCTCTCAAGTAGCTGGGAGCACAAGTGCACACCACCATGCAAGCTTTTTTTTTTTTTTTTTTTTTTTTGTTGTTGTTGTTGTAAGTAGAGACAGGGTCTTGCTGTGTTGCCTAGGCTGTCATCAAACCGCTAGGCTCAAGCAATCCTCCTGCCTCGCCCTGCCAAAGCGCTAGGATAACAGGCATGAGCTACTGTTCCCAGTCGGCATGTTGTGTTAAATGCTGACTTCTAAGCCCTCTTGCATAGCATCTCTGTGATAAGAACTTGACCGGTATTAGATCATTTGGTCCTATGGAGAGCCTGTGAAAAAACTCAGGCTTAGTGACATAAAAATTTTTACGAAATCCCACTAATAGTTAATGGGGTGCAGGAATTTGGACCCAAGTCTCTTAATTCCAAAACCTGTGCTTTTAAAAGCGTGTGTCCCCAATTACTGGCTGTTTTGGCAGACTGCACAGAACCTTGAAAATTGAATTTGAATCTGAAGGTAGATTTTCTTGGCACATATTTTGGTGAAAGTTTGCATTGTTTTATTAGAAAATGTTTTTGGAGAACTTGATCTTGTAAAACTTTATAGATCCTTCACAAAAAATAGGCAATATCAGCTATGCATGTTGGTATATGGTATAAAGTATTTTCTTTCTCATAAGTTTATACAACTGATGTCAGATATTAATACCTACAGAATGAACCTTTTTACTTTCTATGTAATACTATCTTCTGTATTAAAAAATTTTTCTAATGGAATGGAATTGTAGACTGAAAGAGACTGAGGAAGCTTACCTCAAGAGTGTGAAATCAAGTGAGGAAAAGGACAGAATTTGCATTTGTTCCAGTGCAACTCTAGCAATAGGCAACCAGTGTATGTGTGTGACTATAAAATAGACGGTCACAAACCTATTTCAACATCTACATCTGATGGGGGAGAGGGTGCTGAGGAGGGTACCCCTCAGGGCAAGAAAGTCTGTATGCATACTGTGTTCATCGCATTTTAAAGATTCTCCTCTTAAGCTTGCCTACAGACTCATGCAATACTCCTAAGAGTCCTTTTTTTTTTTTTTTTTTTTTACCAAAATTAGTATTATCCAAGTTTGTAATAAGGCATCCATATTCTCCAGTCTTCCCTTGAGCTAATTAAAAATTAATGCAAGCCACCAGGCCCGGTAGCTCACACCTGTAATCCCAGCACTTTGGGAGGCCGAGGTGGGCGGATCACCTGAGGTCGGGAGTTTGAGACCAGCCTGACCAACATGGAGAAACTCCGTCTGTACTAAAAATACAAAATTAGTCGGGCGTAGTGGCACATGCCTGTAATCTCAGCTACTCAGGAGGCTGAGGCAGGAGAATCACTTGAACCCGGGAGGCGGGGGTTGTGAGCCGAGATCGCTCCATTGCACTCCAGCCTGGGCAACAAGAGTGAAACTCAAAAAAAAAAAAAAAAAATGTAAGCCATTTTCATAGAAATGAAAGTTTGTAATCATTAAGGCTATACAAGAGTGCTATAGATTTTTAAAAGCAATTCCAAAAGAAGCGTGGCAAGTGCTTTGGTGTTTTTCAATCTAGCTTCACACCAGATTTTCCTAGAAAAGCTTTACAAAGAAACAAAAAAGTAATGTCCCTCGTGGAGATTATTATTTAATAAGCCTGAGGTGATTCTTGTGGGCAGCTAAGTTTGAGAACCATTGCTTTTGATTGTACATGGTACAATAAAACATAAACTTCCAATTTCACTGATCAGATGAGAATGTTGATGTGATTTGCAAGTTGTGGGGTTTTCTTTAACATAATTTATCTGCAGTTACAATGCCTCATCTGGTTAAGACAACATGTTGATCAAATGAGGTTTGATTACAAAGTGGACCAGTTAATTTCAAGCTACTTACTCATGGTCACAGATGACAGTATTAATCACAGCTAACCAACTCTCAGTGGATCCTAATGGGTAGGGGGAGGAAGAGGGAGAATTGGTAATAGTGTCTTCCTAGGCAAAGGGCAACCTGTGATCTTACCATTTTAATTAGGTATTCCCACTGGGAGAAGTTGAATTTAGAAACCAAGTGTTCAAAGCTCAGTGACCTCTATCCCATTTCTAAGAGTTTAGATAGCAACACTAAAAGAGTGATTCTAAGTCTAAGAAAAAAGCGAGTGCCTACTGAACAGATTTGGATTTTTTTTTCCCCATAGCAACCATTGGTTGTGAAGCAATTTAGTGAGATCTGGGTGACAAAAATTGAGATGTTTGTACCACCAACTTTGTAAGATCATAAACATAAGTATAAACCGTAATCTTGGCTATTTTTATTGCAACCTAGATGATGCAGTGTTTCTACTGAGATTTAGTCTTTGATGATTGTCAATTTAATCTGACAGGAGGTGACTCCCTTAAGAACCATGGTACTCCCAACTCCCTAATACTCAAATGTAACTTTTGGGTTTTTTTTTTCGAGACAAAGTCTTGCTCTGTTGCTCAGGCTGGAGTGCAGTGGCATGATCTTGTCTCACTGTAACCTCTGCCTCCCAGGTTCAAGCGATTCTCCTGCCTCAGACTCCCAAGTAGCTATGATTACAGGCGTGCAGCCACCACACCCAGCCCATTTTTGTATTTTTAGTAGAGACAGGGTTTCACCATGTTGGCCAGGCTGGTCTGGAACTCCTGACCTCAGGTGATCAACCCGCCTCAGCTTCCCAGAGTGCTGGGATTAGAGGTGTGAGCCACCATGCTGGGCCCCAAACATAACTTTTGGATTATTTCTCACTAATGAGCTTTCATAGAATGATCCATATTCTCTTGAGCCACAAATTAAGAGAAATACATGTTTGTAAAACTTTTATGTCTTGTAAACAAAATGAGACTCATAAAACTAATTTCATCAAATTAGTACACAGATTAAGGTCTTAAATATGTAAGAAAACCTATGAACTCTTTGGCAAAATCAAACTCCAATTCTCGAGATTGGTTAAGCAGGAAGGGCCCCTTTCCAGCCTGTACTTTGGCCCCTAAAGATGCACCTTCCCTTTGGAGACTCACTAATTATTGCTGTTCTCATGACCCTGGCCACAGTAATTGCTCCTTCGGCCTGCATGTGGATACACAGCCTATTAATGTTTACTTCTCCATATAAATTTCCTTTTCCATAGGACTTAACAATACATCCAGTGGCAGTACTGAGTGATGCATGGCTTTGTCACTACTGTGGGAGACTTTCCCTTCTACAACCTCTCTTAGAAGATTGAAGCTTAAATTCCCAAAGGAGCAGCTGGTGGCATGCTGTCACTGTAACAGCTCTTAGCAGGGTATCTGTCACTTAGTGAGTTCTCAATAAATGCTAACTTCATTCTGACCCATTAATGACAACAGCATTCATTTATGAGACAATGGGGAGGGTACCCCTACTTTTGTAGAGTTAATGGTCTTGCATATGAACCCGAGCTGTCTCATTAGCTTGATTACATCATGCTGTAATCAACTGAGCTTATTGTGTAGAAACTGATTTATAAACAAAGCCAGATCATAGTATTCTCCCCTCTCTTTTGCTAATGTAACTTCCTGAAATATACAAATTATCTACTAAGAACTTCCTATAGTCCTTAAAAATTCCATTTTCCTCACTTTTTGCAATCAATATGACCCAAAAAGAACTAAAACAGCTGTGAAAAGTCACACTACTGAAATCTATTTTTGCGTACGTTTTTTGCACTTGTATGCATGTATGCATATATGTGTACATTAGTGTGCACATTTGTATATGCATGATGAGTGACATCAAATCTTAAAAGTAGACAGCCAAAGGGCAGATTGGTAATTTTTTCTTTTTTTTATATTGATAATATCTGTTATAAAGGACTAGATACACAGTTCACCAAATGGCAAACCACATAGTAATAAAATGAGTCTAAACCCTGATTTTATTTCACTACCTTTTACCTTTGTTAAGAAACAGCGTATTATTAAGTAAAATTCTGTATTAGACAAGAAAAGTATATACATGAACAAGGCCATATAGATGGAACTTTTTAGGAAATGTGTTTACTAAGAAATAGAATGTTTTTAAGTTAATTTCCCATTGCTAAGTGCATCATTATCAGGTGACATGCTGTGAATACCTCCCTTCCTTGGTAAAAATACTAGAAATATATAAAATATATAAAGAAGTCTACATATATACAAAAGTGTTGTTTATCTAGCACAACCAAAGATTTATATGATTTATGCAATGGCTGTGAGTTGCCCCCCTTTTCACTGTGCTAGACTCTCAAAGCCTCCTTGCTTCTCTCGTGCTAGAGACTGGGAAGCAAAATCACTAACGTGGCAAAATGGCTACGCAGGAGTCAATGAGGATGAAACAGAAGGAAGGGAGCAAGGAAGGGCTTGGTGTTGTGAGAGTTTGTTTAGATGTGGCAAGACAATTTGGGTTTAGATTCTGAAGTGCAGAGAAAATCTAACCTCCAGAATTATGATGTGTAACTGTATAATTTAAAATTGTTGGCCGGGCAAGGTGGCTCATGCCTGTAATCACAGCACTCTGGGAGGCCGAGGCGGGCAGATCACTTGAGGACAGGAATTTGAGACCAGCCTGGCCAACATGGTAAAACCCCATCTCTACTAAAAATTCAAAAAGTAGCTGGGTGTGGTGGTGCGCACCTGTAATCTCAGCTACTTGGGAGGCTGAGGCAGAAGAATCGCTTGAATCTGGGAGGTGGAGGTTGCAGTGAGCCAAGATTATGCCACTGCACTCCAGCCTGGGTGACCAAGTGAGACTCCAAGTTTGTGGTATTTGTGTTAGAGCAGCCTGAACAGACTAAGACACATTCTCACCATAGAGAAAAGAGCTTGGGACTTGACCACAGTCTAAATGGTACAACTGCCAGATGTAGTCTTCTGGTTGCCAGTCGAGGACACTTGACTCCTTAATTGCATTGAATTCATCCACTATGTAGCATTTTCTTTTGAAAATTCTGATCTACCAATAGTGACAAACATTTGTATTTTTCTTGAATTTAATGGAAGTCCAACCATGGTAAGTCAACTTCCTGTGGTTAGGTATGAGTTGTTTCCTGATGTAGAACCCAAATGATATAGTTTAGATTTGTGTCCCCACCCAAATCTACTGGCAAATTACGATTGGATCATGGGGGCAGATTCCCCTCTTGCTGTTCTCATGGTAGTGAGTGATTTCTCATGAGATTTAGTTGTTTAAAAGCATGTAGCAACTCCCCCTTCTCTCTCTTTCTCCTGCTCCTGCCACGTAAGATGTGCCTGCTTCCCCTTCACCTTCTGCCATGATTGTAAGTTTCCTGAGGCCTCCCCAGCCATGCTTCCTATACAGGCTGTGGAACTGTGAACCAATTAAACAGTTTTTCTTTATATATTTCCCAGTTTCAGATAGTTCTTTATAGCAATGCAAGAATGGACTAATACACCAAGACACGTATATATCTACTAGTCCTTCCCAAGCAGGCTTTCAATTTCCCAGAGTCCCTGGAGTGATTGGATGTATTTTCATACACCCCCACCCCCCAAAACTTTTTTTTGTTATTGTTTATTATTTCCTTAATTTTGAATCCGTGTCAGAATGAAAGCTACTATGAAATGGGTTATTTTTGCATGAGTATATACATTTCCTGTTGTTGCTATAACAAATTATCACAGACATAGTGGGTTAAATTTATTCTTTTACAATTTGGAAAGTTAGATGTTCAAGATAAGTCTCACTAGTCTAAAGTCAAGGTGTCATTTGGGTTGGTGCCTCTTGGAGGCACAAGGGGAGAATCCATTTCTTTGCCTCCAACTGCTTCCAGGGGCTGCCTACATTCCTTGCTTATGGGCTCTTCCTCCATCTTCTAAGCTAGCAGTGTAGCATCTTTAAATCTGTGTCCTCTTGCACTTTTTTTTTTTTTTTGAGATGGAGTCTCGCTCTGTTGCCCAGGCTGGTGTGCAGTGGTGCCATCTTGGCTGACCTCAACCTCCGCCTCCTGGGTTCAAGCGGTTCTCCTGCCTCAGCCTCCCAAGTAGCTGGGACTACAGGTGCCACCACACCCAGCTAATTTTTGTATTTTTAGTACAGATGGGGTTTCACTATATTGGCCAGGCTGGTCTCAAATTCCTGACCTCGTGATATGCCCGCCTTGGCCTCCCAAAGTGCTGGGATTACAGGTGTAAGCCACTGCGCCTGGCCTCCTCTTGTACTTTTTTCTGCTGTCACATCACTTTCTCTTTGACTCTCTCTCCTCCTAAGAACCCTGTGATTACATTAGGCCCACAGCTAACCCAGGCTAATCATGCCTCTCGAGATTTTTAACATCATTACATCTGCTAAGTCCCATTTGTCATACAAAATAACATACAGGTTCTGGGGATTAAGATATAGACATCTTGGGGGGCCATTAAATAGCCTACCACACCAAGTAAACAAATTATTTTATCTTTTCTGCAATGTCAGATTTATAATTAGTTTAACGAACCATATGTCAAGGTTTATTTTCTTTATAGATAGAAGCCTGAAAAGTTTAATAACTTCCACACAGTAATGTGATCAGAGTTTATTAAAGTAAGATCAAGACATATCAATGTGAGATCAGCATGTAAATTCTATTTTGTTTTTCTCGTATTGACATTTCTTTTCTTCTGTTACTCTACAACATGAAATATTATTTCTGAATTTTTTAAAGGCCACCCTTTTACATGATTGTACAATTCATTTGAGGAAGGCCATGTAAAGGTGTTTTTGCCAGTAAAAACTCATGTAAAATTAAGTCCAACAGTATAATTTTATATCTTAATTCTTTTCATGCTGATGGCAATATATTTGATAATTTATCATCCTTGGGTTTGGAATATTAAAAGTAACTTGAAGAATTGATGTAGAATTGGCCGGTTGATTTAGCTGGTAGCTATCAATAATCCACAACATGCAAAGCACCCAACCGTCATAATCTGTTTTGTGTTACTATAAAAGAATACCCAACACTGGGTAATTTATAAAGAAAATAGGTTTATTTAGCTCATGGTTCTGCAGGCTGGGAAGTTCAAGATTGGGCAGCTGCCTCTCGTGACTTCTGGTGAGGGCCTCATGCTGTGTAAAAACATGGCAGAGAAATGGAAGGGGAACCAGGCAAGTGCAAAAGGGGAAAAATATGAGGAGCAACCTTGCTTTATAACGAGACTTTCTCAGGAACTGATCTATTCCCACAAGAACTAATCTATCCCATTAGAATTAACTCAGTCTCAAGAGAAAGACATTAATTCATCTTAATGACCCAATGACTACTTACAGGCACCACTTCCCAACACTGCCACATTAGGGATGAAGCCTCAATATGAGTTTTGGTGGGGACAAACCATATTCAAACCATAGCATTAACCAATCACTTTAGAGAATGTACCATTGAATGGGAGAAGTGAGACAAATGACATGAATTTATAGCAATATGGGAAGTTCAAGCACTACTTAGGAAAGAGGCAATAAATCCAGAAAGACTTTGTATTGTTCCTTGCTCCTTCAATATTTCATTTTCACATACCTACAATTGGGAAAAATTAAAAAATAAAGGGTGGTTAGGAAGATACTGTTTTTTTTAAAAAAATTAATAGACTTTGTTTTTTAAGAGCAATTTTAGATTTACAGGAAATCTAGCAGAAAGTACAGAGTTCCCAAGTTCCCATATACCCCTTCTCTCTCCTGCTATGGGTTTTGACAAGTGCATAATTATTATGTATCCCCCATTACAGTATCATACAGAGTAGTCTTGCTGCACTAAAAATTCCCCATGCTCATCTTTTCATTCCTTTTCTCCTCCTCTCAAACATCTACTAATTTTTTTTAGTCTCTATAGTTTTGCCTTTTTCAAGACATCATATAGTTGGAATCATACAGCATGTAGCCTTTCAGACTGGCTTTGTTCACTTAGCAATACACATTTAAAGTTCCTCCATGTCTTTTTATGGCTTGATAGCACATTTCTTTTTTATCATGGAATAGTGTTCCATTGTATGGATGTACCATAGTTTCTTTACCCATTCACTTATTAAAAGACATCTTGGTTGCTTCCAGATTTTTTTGTAATTATGGATAAATCTGCTATAAATGTCAGTGTGCAGGTTTTGTGTGGGTGTAAGTTTTCAACTCACTTGGGTAAATACCAAGGAGCAGGATTCCTGGATGATAGCTTTATAAGCTATCTTTAGCTTTATAAGGAACTGCCAAACTGTCTTCCAAACTGGCTGTACAATTTTGCATTCCCCATCAGCAATGAATGAGAGTTCTTGTTGCTTCGTATACTTACTGGCATTTGTTATCATCAGTTTGGGGATTTTATCCATTATAATAGGCATGTCATGATATCTCATCGTTATTTTTAATTTTCAGTTCCCTAATGACATATGATGTTGAGCATCTTTTCATATATTTTTTGCCATCAGTAGATCTTCTTGATGAATTATCTGTTCAGATATTTTGCCCACTTTAAAATTGGGTTGTTTTCTTACTGTAGAGTTTTAAGAGTTCTTTGTACATTTTGTATGTAAGTCCTTTATAAGATACATGTTTTGCAAATATTTCCTCCCAATTTGTGGCTTGTCTTCCATTCTTTTAACAGTGTGTTTTACAGGGAAGTCTGACATTTTAGTAAAGTCCAGCTTTCATTTGTTTCTCTTATAGATCATGCTTTTGATGTTGAATCTAAAAACTCATTGTCAAACCCCAGGTCACATAAATTTTCTTCCAAGTAATTTTCTGAAAGTTTTAGAGTTTTGCATTTCATATTAAATATACTGTTGACCCTTGCACAACATGGGTTTGAATTTTGAGGCTCCACTTATACGTAGATTTTTTTTCAACCAAATGTGGATGGAAAATCTAAAATGCAGTATTTGTGAGATGTGAAACCCATGTGTATGGAGGTGTGACTTTTTGTATACACAGGTTCCACAGGGCCAAAGGCAGATGAGCATGCATGGATTTGGGTATACATGGGGTGGGGGTGGGGAGATCCTGGACCCAATCTCCAGTGTTTACTGAGGGACAATTGTATAATTCATCTGAGTTAATTTTTGTGAAATGTGCAAGGTCTGTGTCTAGGTTCTTTTTTTTTTTTTTTTTTTGCATGTGGATGTCCAGTACCATTTATTGCAGGAATTCTCTTTTTCCATTGAATTACCCTTGTTCCTTTGTCAAAAATCAGTTGAGTATGTATTTCTGTGTTCTCTATTTTGTTCCATTGATCTATTGGTCTATTTATTGGCCCATGCCATGCTGTCTTAATTATTATAGCTCTATAATAATTATTGAAGTCAGGTAGTGTCAGGCCTCTAACTAGAATGTTTAGTTTTTGATATGGCTCTTACATGTTTCCATGAAATATGACTGTTAAGAAGTTCTTTCTTGAAAAATTTATTTTTTTTCTATATAGTGAACACTGCCATGTTACATTTTATTACACCTCCAAATTCTAGAAAATTTTCTTTCTAACCTCATTTACCTGCAGAACAATTTGACTGGTATCAATCCTTTCTGAATGGGAAAGGACTATTACCTAGTAAGGGAAAAAAGGTAGTCCTCTTTCTAAATTCTGATTGTTTGCATAAAATGGATTGTTACATTGAATGTAGTATGCCTAAGCGGCTCTCACTCCACAATTCTTATTATCAGGGAAATGTGAGCATAGTGCAGACTAAGAACATGCCATCTTGATCTCTATCCTTCTCCAAGTTCTTTACCCACGTGTCTCACTGATGTGGAAAGAAAATGCTCTCTCACCACTGAAAACTAGAGATGGGTACCATCTTCAACCCTGGTGCCACAGATGTCAACTGAGATGATACAAATGAGACTGACATATTTGCCATCAGTTATCTTGCAGGGGAAAGCTCACTTACCAAGCAGTTTCCTCAGGCCAATGTAAGAAAATAATAACTCCCATGAGCTTCCAAATCTCAGGGCAGATCACCTCTAAATTACAGGAGATAAAATTGCCCCGACATACTCACTGGCCCAAGGTAAAACCTAAGCTGGGGCCTCCTGCAGTCAGACCACCGTGGAGACTGACAGCCCACGTCCCCAGTAATACGATACAATTAGGCTCTACGATTGCAGGTGAGGATGGGGCCAGCAGCAACCATGCATGGGTCCTGAATAGCATCAGCCACTGGAAGACAGGATGCCAAACTGAAGAGTTGATAAATGGCCCCAGTAAGACAGAATTAATGCAGAAAGCAAAAGATAATTTAACAATATTTAAATGTATGTCTTCAAGGATATTGCAACAATAAATCTTTATGGTCAGGAAAAAGCACCAACCAAAAAATAAAAATAAAAAATAAGAAAGACTTCTTAGAAATTAAAAAAAACATAATTGTCAAAAAATTCCTTAACACATTGGAAGCACTGAATGGGATGAACATTCCCAACAATGAAAATATTTTGAAGGGTAAAGAACTCTTCCAGAGTGCAGAGCTAAACAATCAAGAAAGAGAATTTAGAAAAGAAAAGGTGAGACATAAAGAATAGACCAAAGAGGCCCCATATTTGTGAAACAGGAGTGTCAGGAAACAAGCAAATGGATGATAAGCCATAAATAAACACAAAGACCAGCCTGAGCAACATAGGGAGACCCTGTCTCTTTAAAAAATTTTTAAATTAGCTGGGCACAGTGGCATGCATCTGTGGTCCCAGCTACTAGGGAGGCTGAGATGGGAGGATTGCTTGAGGCCAGGAATTTGAGGCTGCAGTGAGCCATGATTGCACCACTGCACTCCAGCCTGGGTGACCAAGTGAGACTCTGTCTCAAATAAACCAAACAATAAAAGCAACAACAACAAACCCTCCAAAACAAACAGAAAGAAAATTTCCTGGCTGGGCACAGTGGCTCATGTCTGTAATCCCAGTGCTTTGGGAGGCCAAGGAAGGAGGATGGCTTGAACCCAGGAGTTTAAGACCAGCCTGGGCAAAACAGCCAGAACCCATCTCTAAAACAACGAAATAAAATCATTAACCAGGCATGGTGGTGTGCGCCTGTAGGGCTATGTACTGGGAGTCTGAGGTGGGAAGATCATTTGAGCCCAGGAGTTAAAGGCTGCAGTGATCTAAGATCAATGTCACTGCAGTCCAATGTGGGTGACAGAGCATGACCCTGTCTCAAAAAAAAAAAAAACAAAAAAAAAAACCAAACTCCCCAAGTTTAAGAATGGCATGAACTCTAACTCAAAATGCCTCACAAATGTTCAGCACGAATATTTTAAAAGTTGAAACAAATTGAAAAACATACATTTGATTTCTCAGGATAAAATGTGTTTTCCAAACTGACAAACACAATAAACCGTTTGCCTACAAGGGAAAAAGAAGTGGACTGACATCGGAATTCTTGTCTCCAATACCAAATTCCAAATGCAGTGTGGAGCAAAGTTGGCAATTTCTGAGGAAAACACATTTGCTGAGAGCTCTATACCAGACAAACAATGGGGCATCTCTGAGGGCAAAAGAAAGCTGCTTATGAACCAGCCACAAAAGTTTCTAAACAGAGTATTTTTGGAATTCTCCAGCCAAAAGTAAATTTGTATCCAAATTCAAATTTGCAAAACTGTGAGCCAGTGAACATGTAACAAACAATGATGAGCAAAAAAACTCACTCTCCGACCTAGACCTACTGTATCAAAAACTTCCATTTAATCAGATTCCCAGGAGAGAAGCTCTGCTTAAAGCAATTCTGAATTCCCTTCCAACTGCCATCTGCTGAATGGTAGGACAAATTTTAAATTTTAGTCCAATTTAGTTTTATGCCAATTTGGCTTAAAACAACAATTGATGTACTCTCTAAGCTTAACTTGGTTTACGGGGGCATGACTGTGCAGATTTTGGTTTCATTGCACCTTCCCTGATCTTTTCTAGCTTGATATCTGGAACATGGAGTGGAGCTGAGTCTTGTGTTGTTTTCGGGTGAAAAAAGGCTTCTGATCTTGAGTTGGTCCTTGGGTGTTGATATGGTTTGGCTGTGTCCCCACCCATATGGGGACCCAGTGGGAGATAATTGAATTGGGGGGGCGGTTTCCCCCATACTGCTCTCATAGTAGTGAATAAGTCGCACGAGATCTGATGGTTTTATCACGAGTTTTGGCTTTTGCTTCTTCTTCTCTCTCTTTGCCTGCTGCCATCCATGTAAGACATGACTTGCTCCTCCTTGCCTTCTGCCATGATTGTGAGGCCCCTCCCCGGCCACGTGGAACTGTGAGTCCATTAAACCTCTTCCTTTTGTAAATTGCCCAGTCTCGGGTATGTCTTTATCAGCAGCGTGAAAATGGACTAATACAGGTCTGCACTGGCTGGAATCTGCCAAGAGGTGGATGGTCCCATCCAACTCTCAGTATCCCCTACCTGCATCTGGCTTCTGGAAGGGGTGAACTCATGGTTTATTCATTCTAGGCTCCAGGAGATTCACTTGCCCCTCCCTACTGCCTCATAGGCCTCCTCTCAATTCTCAGTGAAGTTGCAGCCCCTCACCCACATCCTCCATCCCCACTTTAGCTCATGCGCCCCCACCACAGACTTTGCCCTACCTGCTGCTTGTTAATTCAGTGTCCCCATCTCTGAAGATGTGAACAAGGGTGGGGGCCTCACACTTAGGTCCCCACTCCTGGCTGCATAACTACACCGCCTATCTTCTTATGTTTCCTGGGGCTTCCCTTGTTTGAACTGGGCCGTCCTGGCCTTCAGGTTCCTTCCACATCCCAGCTGGGAATAGAGGCCTCATAGTCATTTTAACACAGGTTTTCCTCACCAAGCCAAGGCTCCAAGAAGAGGACTTTGGGACACTCGTGTGACTTCCTCCCCCTGTGCCTCAGTCTCCTTTTGCCTCTTTGTCTTGCCCTTCCAACTACCTTCTCAGCACCAGAAGGGACGAACCCCCCATTTATTTCTTCTGTTAGTTATCCTCCACCTGTCTGATTGTAGCCTCCTGGTTAAACCCCCATGGCAGACAAGATGATTTTCTATGAACTCTGGGAAAAATTCCACATCTTTCTGATCTACGCCTAGCATTTGATATATTAAGTGATAGCAAAGGAGTTTAGGCATTTCTTTGTTTTCCACTGACTTTCAAGCTTATTCGCCTATTGTCTTACTGCAAAATGCCACTTAAATGTCAGAAACTGAGCACTCTTTGTTCATCATTACATTTCTTCTCTATGGAAGAATCTTAATAATTCTCATTTTAAAACATCTCTTGATGGTGAGTGAACACCTTAGATTCAAATATGTGGCAAATAGAAAAGCATATAAAAGTTTTAAAAAACATTGCCTGCACTATGCTACTTAAACTATGATTAAGTCTAAATTATTTTCATAGGGGAATTATGAAGTTTTACAGGCTGTAAAAAAGAATTTTAAAAATAACAGTGGCATAATATAAAAAAGTAAAAAAGAATTCAGTAAAATTCTTACAGACCTACTTTCTCTCGATGGGCAATGAAGCAAGGTTAGACATTAATACATAAAAAGATGACAAAATTATCCCATTTGGAAACTTAAGACTACTCTTCTAAAACACTCCTAACAGGCTGAGTGTGGTGGCTCATGTCTGTAATTCCAGCACGCTGGGAGGCCAAAGTGGGAGGGTCACTTTAGCCCAGGAACTTGAGGCTGCAGTGAGCTATGATCACACTACTGCACTCCAGCCTAGGTGACAGAGTGAGAAACTATCTCTAAAAAATAAAAATAAAATAAAATAATAATAATAAAATTAAATTAAAATTAAAACACTCCTGTCAGAAAGGAAATAAAAATTGAAATTATGATCTCTTTACAACTGAATGACAATGAGAATATTAGATGTCAATAACTACAGAATTTGGCCATAGCCATACACTGAAGAAAATTCAGGGTAAAATGCTTTTATTATTTTATTATTATTATTATTTTTGAAATGGAGTGTCACTCTGTCACCCAGGCTGGAGTGCAATGATGAGATCTCAGGTCACTGCAATCTCCGCCTCCTGGGTTCAAGCGATTCTCCTGCCTCAGCCTCCCGGGTAGCTGGGACTACAGGCATGTGCCACCATGCCCAGCTAATTTTTGCATTTTTTGTAGAGACGGGGATTCACTATGTTGGCCAGGTTGGTCTCAAACTCCTGACCTCAGATGATCTGCCCGCCTCAGCCTCCCAAAGTGCTGGGATTGCAGGCATGAGCCACAGTGCCCGGCCAATGCTTTTATTATTAAATAAGAAAGAGACTAAGCATTCAATTCAAGCATGTAATGAAACAACCACAAAACAAGTCAGAAGAAAAGAAAATGATATAATAAAATTAAAACTAGAAACAAATGGGTGAGCAAACGAAAATAGAAGTGATGGATAAAACCAAGAGTTTTGCCTTAGGTGGGAGTGAGTAGGTCAGTGACAGAAACAAATTGGTTCTCAAGTTCATCTGAAAGTAAATGGAGACTGTTGGTTAAAGAGGTCAGATTGGACACATGCATTTAATCTCCACTCCCTATTGACATTCTACAAAAATGAGGGTAAAGGAGTCTTTAGTTGTTTATTTGTTTGCTTTTTGCATAATCCTCAAGGACAAAGAGGGCAAGAGAAAGCAGTAAGGAAAGTTAGGATCTGCAGAGACGTTCCTAGAAAGCTGACTCATCAATGGACAGTGGAGAAAATCAAGCAGCAATTGATTGACTCTACAGAGCCTTCCAAACTCTCAGGATTGGACCTATCAAGAAGCCATGAAAGTGGATGAAAAGACCAGAGAGGATTATTTGCTAGTCTGTTTAAGAAGTTAGACCTTCAGTATCTTTTCCAGCTCTCCACAGAGCCTTTAACTGGCTCTCTTCCACTTTCAAATTTGGACTGAAGTTGTTGGTTTTCCTGGAGAGAATAAAACAGAGGGCACCAGAACAAGTTGAGGGTGAAGATATCTTTCTGAAAATGGAGAGGTAAATGAAAGCTGATGTATTAAACCTGAGACTTGAAGCCCACTTCCCCAGCAGAGCTCTCAGAATGCTGGCAGCCAGGCAGATGAATCCTCTAGGCAGATGGACTGGGTTTCCCCCAAGACAAGAGACACAGAGATGTTTACATCAGGGATGCCCTAAAGAAATGGCCCAGCCAGAGCTTTGCAAAGTGAAGATGGTGGTCGACAAACCTCACACTCAGAGCTTCCAATCTGCCTTTGGATGCCTATTGTAACAGCGAATGACAAAAGCATAAAATATGAGAGACCAAGATAGAGAAACTTACTTAGAAGCACAGAGAGACTCTTCAGGGAGAAGGAAAATGTGCAAGAACTATCTTCAGAGGGCTAACAGAAGATATGGTATCAGTGAAGCAAGAACAGGATGCTCTAAAAATAAAAGATATTTAGAGAGTTAAGAGCTCTTAGAAATTAAAAATATCATCATAGAAATGAAAGACTCAATAGAAGAATTGGGAAATCAAGTTGAGGAAATTTACTGGAAAGCAGGGAGGAAATGCGAGAAAAAAGATTGAGAACTGGCTCAGGATGTTAGATATCTAAATGGAATTCCAGAAAGAGAGAATAGAAAAAAAAAAAAAAAAAAGAAGAAGAAGAAAGGCAAAGAAACAGTTTTGTCCTAAGGCTAAATGAGTTTTTCCCATGGAACGGGCCTACCAAGTGCTCAAAGTAGACACAATACAAAGTCTATCATTATGACACAAAATTTCATAACACTAGGAACAGAGAAAAGAGCTTACAAATTTTCTGACAGAGAGTGAAAGGCTTCGTACAAATATCAAGTATCAGAATGAATGATATTCTTGACAGTAACATTGGAAGGTAAAACACAATAAGGAAGTGCATTCCAAATTCACAGGAGAATGACAGTTTCCCAACAAACATGAAAAAAGCTGCTCGATATCAGTAATAAAAGAGGACAATTGGCCGGGCACGGTGGCTCACGCCTGTAATCCCAGCACTTTGGGAGGCCGAGGTGGGTGGATTACTTGAGGTCAGGAGCTCAAGACCAGCCTGGCCAACATGGTGAAACCCCGTCTCTACCAAAAATACAAAAAAAATTAGCCAGGCATGGTGGCACACCCCTGTAATCCCAGCTACTCGGGAGGCTGAGGCAGGAGAATTGCTTGAGCCCAGAAGGCAGAGGTTGCAGTGAGCCAAGATCGTGCCACTGCACTCCAGCCTGGCCGACAGAGTGAGACTCTGTCTCAAAAAATAAATAAACAAATAAATAAATAATTAAATAAATATAAAAAATATTAACACTGCTCAGTGTTGGCAAAGATACAGGAAAACAGACACAGCTTTCAGTTGTTTGAAACAACTAAAATATACCAGGGTCCACATTACCTGCAGGAGATACCAAAGGTCATTCTGGTGTCAAATTGTTTTGTTCTGGGTTTGACATTGGACTTGAGAGTTAGAAAATCCAGGACCTTTTTCAATTCATTCACAATTAATCCAAGAAACCTGATTTATCAATTTAATGCTTATTATGTTCTGGAAGAAATGCATAGGCTTGTAATGATAATTAAGATTCAATCTCATTCTCAATGAGATCTTGGGATTCCTGCAAGTTTGGCCTTCACTTATGCAATCTGTAAAATGAAGGCATTGGGCTTAGATGACTTAGATGGTTTCTTCAGTGTCTTACAGGCTTACATGTTATATTTTTGAATTGCTATAAAGCATGTTTTGCAAATTCTGACACCAAACA
The DNA here is from genome assembly GCF_000001405.40 of Homo sapiens. Classification (NCBI taxonomy): domain Eukaryota; kingdom Metazoa; phylum Chordata; class Mammalia; order Primates; family Hominidae; genus Homo; species Homo sapiens. The sequence goes on along the minus strand of NC_000002.12, from coordinate 224,453,062 downwards.
ATGTTTTGCATTCCTATAGCACAGATAAACCATGTTTATAGTAGCCTTACTCATTCTCCATTGGGCCTTAGGTGGTACAGTGATGTCCAAGTGACTCGTGACCTCTCACTTCTTCCACTTTTCCAGGTAGAAGATCAGCCTTGCTCAGCCTCCTGGATTAGATGTTTTAAGAAAAGGAGAATTTGCATCAAAGTTCTGACATTAATTGTTTGAGGAAAAGAGGTAGATTTCCTAAAAATTCCCCTGAAGCCCATAGGATATATTCTCTTCAAAATAATGAGTGGGCCGGGTGCAGTGGCTCACACCTGTTATCCCAGCACTTTGGAAGGCCATGGTGGGCAGATCACTTGAGGTCAGGAGTTTGAGACCAGCCTGGCCAGCATGGTGAAACCCTGTCTCTACTAAAAATACAAAAATTAGCCGGATGTGGTGGTGCATGCCTGAGGTTGCAGACAGCCGAGATGGTGCCACTGCACTCCAGCCTGGGCAACAGAGCGAGACCCTGTCTCAGAAAAAAAAAAAAAAAGTTATATCCAGTCAAAATCCTAGAATCAGGTCAATGACTGTTTTTGATTACCTATTCTAACTCTAATGGAGATATGCCAAGGAAAGTGAATAACGCAGTAAACTTTAAAAAGTAAGTTCAGACATGTTCCTTATTGGCATATTTTAAAAAGGGATTCTAACATGCAGCCTCAAATATTTCTGAGAATTAAGTAAACATGTTAAATGAAGGAAAAAAATCTCTTATTCTCATAAATGACAAAACTGTACCATAAATGCAAACCAATTTAAGAGAATTAAAATTGACTTTTAAAATAAACTAAAACTTCAAACATTATGTTAAAAAAATTTTAAAAAGGTGAGACTGAAGATTTTGAAATTAACATGTTCTATTTCACAATTTTACTTATAGAATAATCTCATCATTCATAAATATAGAAACAGGAAAGGGGCTGCTTTATTTGGGGAAAAAATATTTCTCATGGTAGTGTTTCTCGAAGTGTCATTCATGAGCTACTTTTCTCAAAATTATCTGTGATGCTTGCTAAAAACACCCTGATGTCTGGACTTCTTCCCACACCACTGAATCAGAATCTCTGAATGGTGGGCCTGGGAATATTTAAATTTAACAATATCCACAAAGTATTCTATTGCACACTAAAATTTGAAAACACTGCCTTAGACAGCTATTAAAATTTGTATGTAAATGTCACGGATGGGCAGCATTTATACACGTTAGAGTTTGTATGTATATGTGATTTTTTTAAATGGTGGTATTTTTGAGTTATTGTCCCATATAATTATTTAGTTAGTTAGTTAGTTAGTTAGTTATGTTTTTTGAGATGGAGTCTCTCTGTGTTGCCCAGGCTGGAGTGCAGTGGCGCGATCTTGGCTCACTGCAACCTCTGCCTTCCGGGTTCAAGTGATTCTCCTGCCTCAGCCTCCCAAGTAGCTGGAACTACAGGCACGTGCCACCACCCCTGGCTAATTTTTGTGTTTTTGGTAGAGAGGAGGTTTCACCATGTTGGCCAGGCTCGTCTCCAACTCCTGACCTCAAGTGATCTGCCTGCCTTGGCCTCCTAAAGTGCTGGGATTATAGGCGTGACCCACTGTGCTCAGCCAAGGATTTGTGTATTAATATTTTATTTTAAATTTTATGATTGCTTTTAGACAATTATTTCATGTCATTAAACATATATGCAAATATGTATATATATATGTATTTGTGTGTATACATATGTGTATATATATATGCACACACACACACACACATATTCCTCAAGTTTCTTATGCTACCATAAAGTTTTGTCAGGAGCTTGAGTGGCTGTAAGAGGAACCAGATAAGAGAGAACAATAGTGTATTAAGGGAAGAGAGTGCGAAGGAGAGATGAGAACCAAGAAATCCATCTATGATGACTTTGAAAATGGAATTGGAGATCTGCCTGGGGATGCCACACTCCACTTCTTCACATTCATGTGAGACATGGGGAAGGCCAAGGGTTGAGAACAGGACGCCCTTCCCATGAGAAGAGCAGTCTGATTGTCTTGAGTGGCACAGTTAAGACCCAAAAATACAGTGGTTAAAAGAAATGGGCCGGGCGTGGTGGCTCACACCTGTAATCCCAGTACTTTGGGAGGCCAAGGCGGGTGGATCATGAGGTCAAGAGATCGAGGTAATCCTGGTCAACATGGTGAAACCCCGTCTCTACTAAAAATACAAAAATTAGCTGGATATGGTGGTACGCACCTGTAGTCCCAGCTACTCGTGAGGCTGAGGAAGGAGAATCGTTTGAACCCAGGAGGCAGAGGTTGCAGTGAGCTGAGATCCTGCCACTGCACCCCAGCCTGGTGACAGAGTGAGACTCCGTCTCAAAAAAAAAAAAAAAGAAAAAAGAAAGAAAGAAAGAAATGGAATGTTGGAGGGGACTGGCAGGTGGAAAATTTCAGACTTAACATGATAAGTAATAGGAAGCCACTGTAGCTTCCAAGTGAGGTATCTATCAGACAGGTCCTGGAAAACAACTAGATAAGTAAGTTTAAATCAACCAGGGGGAAAAAAGATTAAATGCCTTTTAACAATCATAATTAAAATTAATTAAAATATCCAAAGTAGAAATATAATTTGGATTTTTCCCAACCTCGACAAAATAAAATATTTGATTCTGGATAACCACTGGTACTTGCTACTTTCAGATAATTCATTCTTATTCTAATCATGCTCCCCAGTTAAAAATATAGCATATCAGGATTTGAATCTGATTTTAAGTTCTTAAACTTCAAGTTGACTGTATAAAAGCTAGAGAAAAAATACTTAATTAGTATAACATTTAATGTTTTATAGGAGAAAATTTTGCTCTACAAGTTCCCAAATAATATATACCACCAAAGTTTTTATTCAAAACACAGACAATAATACATGAATTCACTTGAAGAATAATATTCTCTCCCATTGGGTCTTGTCAGCAAATGTCTAATAGTAGTTTATAAAAAGAGCCCACTGTAGCATTGATTAGTTGTTACTATTTTTTTGGAAATTAAGAGTGGATCATGGAAAGAACATTAGTTATTAATTTACAAACTGAGCTTGGGGTGAGACCTCAGGGCAGGGGCACAACCTTTCTGTGTGTAACTTAAACAAGGTAGTTTGGGCCAAACTGATTGGTCCAATCAAGCTCTCCAATCAAATGTTCATATGTGTGTGTGTTTTGCCAACATTTTTTTTACCATTGGTTTTATGTGACTTGGCACATAAAACACTTGGCGCCATGTGTATGGTCATATACAGGGCATATTTGTCACTACACTGGCACCATGATCTATGGTCACATGGGGTCACCTGACACATTTATATAACCTGCCTAGCCTCTTACGGCATTTGAATCAGGCTACTGGAATAAGACCTACTTCACCTTCAAAAATTGTCATAAACTGGCACTCACTGAATCCACCAGGGGTCAGCACACCAAGCATTATCACCCCAATATTGATAGGAATTGAACAAAGAACAAAAATTTAGAAAGCTGAGAAAAGCCAAATATCCTTTGAAATGTGCATTTGCCCATAATTTTTTTTTTCCATTCAGGTCAGGCAAGTTGCCATATTTATGTTTGTTTTCAGCTGCTTCTGTCCTTCCCTCTGAGGACCAGGAACTCAGCAGTCATTAACCCTGATTTCAACTGAAGATGACTCCACAGGTTAACCTTTCAACTTATTTCCCTTGCACAAAACCCGTGGCAAATACAGATATCCCATAAAAAGGGAAAACTGTTATGAGAGAGTCTGGATGAAGAACAAAATAAATTATTTCATGGACCAGAAATTGATCGGAAATGCAATGCTATACAACAGCCAAAGCCACACGAAAACCCTCACTAAAATAATTATTGCAGAATATACTTCAGTAGGAAGGAAAATAAAAAACGTAGAGGAAAGATATGGAACGCAAAATAAGGAGGGGAATCACAGAAATTGATAAAGTATAAATGAATCTTTATAAACCATTGACTATAAAAATATTCTCAATTTTTATTTGTTGTGCTCTAAGAAGTACAAAACTAAAACTCTCTAGATAATAATAAATTGAAGAGGAAATGTAAATGTGAAGTTAATATGTGCTAAGGACTTTTTGCCGTTGTTCAGAACAAAAAAGTAAAATTACTAAGCATTTTGTATTATTTAGAAAAATATATGATGAATATGTATGTTGACAACTAAAGGTAAATAGTCAAAAAATGAAAACACTATAAGTAACTTCCAAAACAAAAGGGGGTAATATAGCAAGCTTCACTAATTCAATAAACTATTAAAAAAAGGAAAGAAAAGAAAGACAAATGAAGGTGAACAGAAAATCAAAACTAGGAGGGTAGAAATCATTTTAAATCAATCAATAATACAAAATTAGAAAATGGAGTAAGCTTGCTATAAAAAAGTAAGAGACTGTATGATTAAGTTTTTAAAAACTCTAGGCATAGTGCCTTGGTCTGTTCCAGCTGCTGTAACAAAGTACCATCAACTCTGTATAAACAGCAGAAATTTATTTCTCATAGTTCTGGAAGCTGGGAAGTCCATCATCAAGGCAACAGCAGACAGGTTTTCTAGTGACGGCTCACTTTGTGGTTCATAGATGGAGCCTTCTAGACATGTTCTCACATGGTAGGACAAGGCAGATCCCTGGAGCCTCTTTTATAAAGACATTGATTTCACTCTCATGACCTAATCACTGCTGAAAGGGCCTACCTCCTAATACCATCACATTGGTAATTAAATTTCAATATACAAATTGTGGGGGTATAACATTCAGACTATAGCATATAGTATTCTTTTTTTTTTTTTTTTTTTTTTGAGACAGAGTCTTGCTCTGTTGCTCAGGCTGGAGTGCAGTGGGAAGATCTCAGCTCACTGCAACCTCCGCCTCCTGGGTTCAAGCAGTTCTCCTGCCTCAGCTTCCCGAGTTGCTGGGATTACAGGCATGTGTCACCACCGGCTAATTTTTGTATTTTTAGTAGAGACGGGGTTTTACCACGTTGGCCAGGCTGGTCTCGAACTCCTGACCTCAGGTGATCCACTTGCCTCGGCCTCCCAAAGTGCTGGGATTACAGGCGTGAGCCGCTGCGCCTGGCCAGCATATAGCATTCTTATAGAAAATACACACAAAATGAAATCAATGAGATAAATTGAAACTAAAGGGATGGAGAAACTTGTCTCATGCAAACAGTAATCAGATAATAAACCTAAAAAGCTGGAATAGCAATATCGATTTTAGACAAAATATAATTTATATTATACTATATATAAATACATTAATTTTTACATAAAATATTATATAAATAAAAAAGGAAAGAACTTAAAAGTAAGAGAAACATATAGTACTCTTGAACTTATAGGCACCTGAAAGATGGACCATACTCATTTTCTGGTCACACTGAAACTAAATAATAAAAAAAGAAGGCCGGGCGCGGTGGCTTACACCTATAATCCCAGTACTTTGGGAGGCCAAGGCGAGCGGATCACCTGAGGTCAGGAGTTCGAGACCAGCCTGCCCAACATGGCGAAACCCCGTCTCTACTAAAAATACAAAAAAAAAATTAGCCAGGCGTGGTGGTGGGTGCCTGTAATCCCAGCTCCTCGGGAGGCTGAGGCAGGAGAACTGCTTGAACCCAGGAGGCGGAGGTTGCAGTGAGCTGAGATCTTCCCACTGCACTCCAGCCTGGGTGACAAGAGCGAAACTCCTCCTCAAAAAAAGAAAAAAAAAAAAAGAAAAAAAAAGAAACTAAATAAGAATTCAACAATAAAAAATACCAAAATGAGTAAATAAAAGTACTAATAAAATAAGTAATATACACACACATTTGGAAACTCTAAAATGTAATCCTGAATAATTTGTGGATTAATTTTAAAAAGATGGCACCATGGAAATGACAGCATATGTAAGACGAGAATACTAATAAATGTGTTACATACCAACATTTGTGGAATTCAGCAAAAAGTTATTAGAATTTCATTTTGTGGGAATAAATCCCAGTACTTTGCGAAGCCAAGGCAGGAGGATCACTTGAGGTCAAGAGTTCGAAACCAGCATGGCCAACATGGTGAAACCCTGTCTCTACTAAAAATACAAAAATTAGCCTGGTGTGGTGGCGCGTGCCTATAGTCCCAGTTATTTGGGAGTCTGAGGCAGGAGAATTGCTTGAACCCAGATGCAGAGGTTGGAGTGAGTCGAGGTGATTACACTGCACTCTAGTCTGGGCAACAGAGAGAGATTCCATCTCAGAAAAAAAAAAAAAAGAACAGGAGCAGAAAGTAACAAAGTATTAAAAAAAAGGAATGAGAATCAACAAAATCAAAAGCCGTTTTTTAATCTATAATAAGAAATAAGAAGAGGCAATATCTATTGATTTAGTAAGCATTTTTTAAACTACACATGAACATTTAAAACTTTGATAAAATATTTACTTTTCTTAAAAAATATATGAACTGCAGAAACTAATCCAAAACGACAAAGAAATTTTGAATAAACCCATAGCCATAACAGAAATTAAAGTAGCCCTCAAAAGGTTCTCCTAGCATTCTCTCTACCCCTTGAAAAAAGATTGTGTCTTCTAGACATGTTTAGAAACCAGGCCAGATGATTTTTACAGGGAAGGTCTTACCAAACTTTTGAGGATCATTTGTCCTATCGTTTTTTTCTTTTACTTTTTTTTTTAACTTTTTTTTTTCTCTGTCACCCAGGCTGAAATGCAGAGGCGCGATCTCGGCTTACTGCAATCTCCCCCTCCCGGGTTCAAGAGATTCTCCTGCCTCAGCCTCCTGAGTAGCTGGGACTACAGGTGCGTACCACCACGCCCGGCTAATGTTTTGTATTCTTAATAGAGACGGGGTTTCACTATATTAGCCAGGATGGTCTCGATCTCTTGACCTCGTGATCCACCCGCCTCGGCCTCCCAAAGTGCTGGGATTACAGACATGAGCCACCGCGCCCAGGCCATTTGTCTTATCTTAAACCGTTTCAGAGAAAAAAAGAGAGAGGAAGTTATCGAGCTAATTTTATGAAACTTATATAACCTTGATACCCAGACAGGACAAGGACAGCAGAAGAAGAGAAAGTCACAGGCAAATGCAAATAGAATTCAGCTTTATATATATCTAAGAGGCCAAAGCGGAACTTTTAAGGGATATTTTGACCTAGCCTCAGAATACTCCAATGTCTTCTCTTGGTCATGCACACCAGCTCTGACTCAGTACAGCAGTTGCCCACACCAGCATAACCGGGGGGCACATAGAGACTGGTACCCTTTTAAAAATTAAAAATCAGGCTGGGCGCGGTGGTTCATGCCTGTAATCCTAACACTTGGGGAGGCCAAGGTGGTGGATCACTTGAGCTCAGGAATTCGAGACCAGCCTGGCCAACATGGTGAAACCCCGTCTCGACTAAAAATACAAAAGTTAGCTGGGCATGGTGGTATGCACCTGTAATCCCAGCTTCTTGGGAGGCTGAGGCACGAGAATTGCTTGCAGCAGGGAGGTGGAGGCTGCAGTGAGTCAAGATTGCGCCACTGCACTCCAGCCTGGGTGACAGAGCGAGACTCCGTCTCAAAAAAAAAAAAATTAAAAATCTACATAGGTTATTAACTTCTCTAAGAAGTGCTACTGTAAACTGTTTGATTTTTTAAGTTAAACTTTCTATTTTGTGATAATTATAGACTCATATAAAAAACATAGTATGTATATAAACGTATAGGTATAATAAGGTAAACAATATAAGATATAATCATGCGCTGGGTGCCATGGCTTCGGCCCGTAAACCCATCGCTTTGAGAGGCTGAGGCAGGAGGATCACCTAAGAACAAGAGTTCAAGAGCAACCTGGGGATCCCCGTCTCTACAAAGTAAAGATAAAAAGTTAGCCAGGCATGGTGGCACACACCTGTAGTTCTAGCTACTCGGAAGGCTGAGATGGGAGGATTGCTTGAGCCCAGGAGTTTTAGGCTTCATTGAGATGTGATTGCGCCTCTGCACTCCAGCCTGGGCGACAGAGTGAGATCCTATCTCAAAAATAAATAAATAAATAAATAAATAAATAAATAAATAAATAAATAAAAGAGAGATCCTGTTTACCCTTCATCCAGTTCCTCCAATGGTAACATCATGCAAGACTATAGTGGATTATCAAAACCAGATATTAACCTTGATACAGCCAAGATACACAACCGCTCTAAGACTGCAAGCAACCCTCATGTTACCCTGTTTACTTTTTTTTAAGTCCCATATTTGTTTAATCCGCATGTGTTTGACCATGGAATCCTTTTATTCACCCAAAATCTACTGAATCCTACAGAGCACACTTGGGAAAATGCTGTTTTCAGTCTTTAGTTGATGGGACTATTAAGCCCAGTGTTCATGGCATGTTAGGATCAGGCAACCCTTTGTAAAAACATCTTTTGAACTTTTTGAGTGTTCCATCTGTAAGGGAACATCTGATTTGCTTCTTGAGGTGCAACAGAGGAAGCCCGATCACAACTGGTCTGGCTTCCCTCTCTTCAGGTGTGGGTGGCTCATCTCTTTTGCAGGCAAGGTTGGACGGTACCCTCCAGCCCCCAGGTCTAGGCACAGGTCTTAAGGGAGCGCTGGGGGAAGCCTTACTAGGGGCTTCTGGAACTGGGTGGGAGGGAGTCAGAAATTCTTAGTCCCTTTCGACTCCTAAGATTCCATGATTCTGGCTTCGGTTCGTGCCTTGGGGTTCTCTCACTTCCCACATCTTGCATCTTTCAACATATCACAGCACTTTGAAAGCCAGGCTGGATGGTCCTGTCTTTACCACATGATGTCACTCTAAGAAAATTAGTAACCCCCACTGGGCATGGCTGTGGCTTTTATATGCTGAAGATATCTGAGACTTGGCCTATAAAACAAGCAACTTATCAAGTTAACTGTCTTCAATTCGGTGCACATTTAACTTAAGACCATCTCATAGGCATGACAGCTACCAGGCTGTGGCTGAGATCCCACCCCTCCTGGGGAAAGACTTTTGGGACGGGGAGGAGAACAACCCAAGGATTAGAGGGCATCTCTGGATCAAACCTTCAGGAGAGCAAATGGAAGGAAGGAAGGAATGGCTAGAAACTGGAACTTCCACGATTGACTTTTTAAAGCAAGTTTTATTACTTTTTCTTAAATACTTTTCAGGAGTAATGTTCCTTTTGGAAAACCCTGGCTGGCCTCAACTGCTAAGGGAAAACTGACATCTGTTCTCCCATCTCCTGGGTGGGTGGGAAAAGTGGCAGGAGTCTGGCATGGTGGTATCTGCTGAACAGATCCCAGAGGGAGGAGGATGGGGTAGGAAACAGAAGAGACCTGCCTGTCAGGAACACGTGACAGCTCGTGGAGTGCAGAGCTGTGGCCGAGAGGCGAATCTCTCACTTGGGGCTGGAGTGTGAGCCGTGTGCATTTATGTGAGGGTGCAAGCAGCAAAACCGTTGCAACTTCCTGATGCTCAGGGAGGAAGGGAAGAATGAAAAAATTAAAAAATGAAGCCTGGAGGGGCCAGGCGCGGTGGCTCACGTCTGTAATCCCAGCACTTTGGGAGGCCGAGGCAGGCGGATCACAAGGTCAGGAGATCGAGACCATCCTGGCTAACACGGTGAAACCCCGTCTCTACTAAAAATACAAAAAATTAGCCGGGCGCGGTGGCGGGCACCTGTAGTCTCAGCTACTCGGGAGGCTGCGGCAGGAAAATGGCGTGAACCCGGGAGACGGAGCTTGCAGTGAGCCGAGATCGCGCCACTGCACTCCAGCCTGGGCGACAGAGCCAGACTCCGTCTCAAAAAAAAAAATGAAGCCTGGAGCTCTTCAGTGTTCATTTGTTTTTAGTTTTTAGAGCGGGGAGAGAGGCTGTGAACTGCAAAACAGTTCAGGGAAGTGGGTTTGCGGCGAGAGGGGTAACGGGCGCCAGGTAGGCCGGCCGCTTCTCTGAGGGTCTCTTCATGGCACCTGCTAGTTGCTGAACCCACCTGGGCGCAGTTCTCCGAGCAGGTGGAAGGAGTGCGAAAGACAAGCCTCAAAGGGAGGAACCCGTGCGGGAGCCGACAGCTTTGGACGTCATTGTGCCGGCTATGAGGAGCCACAGTTGTTAGAGGAGGGAAGAGTCAGCCACAGCCGGTTCGCTTAATGAGATGGTGGAGGGCGTGCTTCCTGAGCTTAGTGAGAGAATAATTACTATGAAAAGGAGAAAGGCCGGCCAGCTTTAAACACTAAGCTCCGCCTAGAGGGAGGCCCAGTTTCGTCCTTCGCGCTCCCCTCCTCCAGGAAGCTTTCCGGGATAGTGCCTTTTCCCTGCGGACCCCATCAGAACCGGATGGACCAGGTCCCCAGGCAGCCTCGGCTCGGCGCGTCCTCGGTCTTGGCCCTCGGGGCCCCGCGAAGGCCCGGGGGACGTGGTGCCCGCAGCCGGGCGGGGATCCTGGCAGTGTCAGGGGGTGACTCCGGCGGGGCGCGAGGGCTAGGGCGCGGCAGAGGTGTCGCGGGTTCGAGTCCTGCGGGGACCGGGCAGGAGCAGCTCGTGGAGCGCAGAGCTGTGGCCGAGAGGCGAATCCAGCCAGCCCTGTGTCCCCGGGGATTCCCCCGCGGCGTTACACGTGGCACCGGCCGGCGGGGAGGTGGAGGGGCGCGGTGGGGCGGGGGTCCGGGTCCCGGGGCGAGTGCGGAAGCAGCGGGACTCGGCCGCGCCGCCGGCCCGGGGTCCGGGCGATGGGACGCGCGGTTCCCCTCCTGCAGGCGCCCGGAGAGGTGGGGCTGGACACCGGCTCTGGGGGGTCTGCGTCCTCCCGGGTTGGCGGGGGGCGGCGCGGGACGCTACGCTTCGGCGTCCTTCCTCTCCCTCGCTGGCTCTGGGCCTGAGTTCTCTGGTTTTGTTTCATTGCCCTCTGTTAGTCTGGTTCCTGAATCCTGAGTTAGGCTTCACATTTTGAATTCCTCCCAAATCCATGTCCCTTGAGCTCAAAGCCGTTTGTCCCATCTTTCACAGCACACAGCAGTCACTTTGCATCCTACACAAACAAAAAGTCATGGAAACTATATTTTTTCTTTTTTTTTTTCTCTCTCTCTTTCTTTCTTTCCTTTTTACGAGTATCGCCCTGTCGCCCAGGCTGGGGTGCAGTGGCGCGATCTCGGCTCACTGCAACCTCAGCCTCCTGGGCTTAAGCGATTCTCCTGCCTCAGCCTCCCGAGTATCTGGGATTACAGGCACGCACCACTAGGCCTGGCTAATTTTTTGTACTTTTTTTAGTAGGGACGGGGGGTTTCACTATGTTGGTCAGGCTGGTCTTGAACTCCTGACCTCAGTTGATCCACCCGCTCAAGCCTCCCAAAGTGCTGGGATTATAGGCGTGAGCCACCGCACCTGACTGAAACTGTCTTCTTTTACTCTCTAGTACCCCAGTCCTTACCCCTCCCCCATGTCCATCATGAAAAGATCCAGTGATGGGTGAGACAGCGGGTTCTCTAAGTGGGTTCTCAAACTGGAACAGTCGGTCCCACAGTCTCCTGAGGCCCCCTGACCCATCTCCTTTGGATGAGGTTTATGGCAATCCACTCTTCTTCATTCCTATTTTTCCCCTTGTGGTTATGACTGTGTGCTGTCCTGGATACTGAAAAGCTTGTTCCTTCTTTCCTCTTTGCACTAAAATGTGCCAGCACTATTGTTAGAGGAAGAGTCAAAGAGGTGAGGGTGTGTAGCTGGGATGAAGCCACGGATATCTGAATGGCAAGCCCGCAAGCCTGCAGAGGCAGGGAGCACTGACTACCTGGGCCAGAATAGAACCTGGAAGTTCCGGTAATGCGTTATCAAGGATGAAGCTTCTCTCTTCCCCCTTCTCACTTGGGTGAGTCAGGTTTTGCTTCATAAAGGCCACGTTGTCACAGGTTGCTTATGTAATGCTCACCCAATGAAAGGAAACATTCAAAGGGTGACTTTGCCATTTGGTTGCCAAATTAATGCCTTAGAGAAAAATGGGTAGAGTTAGAAGGGACCTACCCCCAATAACTCAATAACTGGGGAGTAGAAAGTAAACTGTAGGAATGAGAAATAGCTTGCCCCTTTGAATCTTCACACTGATCAACAGGGATTCCAGTTCAAGTGAGTGGGTTAAGTAGCTAGAAAACAAATAGAGCAGGTCCCCAGCAATGCAGAACAGTCATTACTTCACAGCTTTCAGCTGGAGAGTGTTGGGCGAAAAAAAAAAAAAAAAGGAAAGAAAGAGAAAAAGAAAAATAGGGAGAAATACTTTAAAGCATCGCATTGAGCTAAGAGGTAAAGGAAGGCAATTATGAGTAAACTCAATTCAAGAAATGTAATTTTAATGGATTAGATGGTTGCTTGCAAGCTGAAGATGGGAAATGTGGCTTTAATGATGAACCGTACAAAGTATTTTGTAGACTGAGGATATTTCATTCCATTACTCTCTTCTTTGGATTATGACTTTGTAGGAGAATATGGAAGTTGTGATCAAAAGAAATCAATTCAAATCTGAATTTGGGCCTTTCTAAGATGCATGATCCGGGGGGTGTAGGGGTGGAGGATAGGACGTAGGGAGGGAAAGTTACTGACTTCTCAGAGACTCTGCTTCTTCATCTGCTAAATAGGATTTTTGTGAGAATTAAGTGATATTAAGTACCTGTGTACTCCTGGTAGCTGCTATTAACAAATATAATTGTCATTACTAACATTGGTATTCATAATACTAAACTATTTTTGTAGAAGTCATGCCACAGCTTTAATAGGCACTCAATAGATATTTTAAAAAAATAAACAAACGACCCGAATTCATTAGTAATACTGTCTATGTCTTATACATAGTCACATACTTCCTGTTTTATCTGAAAAGCAGCACAGTTGTCCCCGAGTATCTGTGGGAGATTGGTTCCAGGATATAAAAACCAAGGATACTCAAGTCCCTTATATAAAATGGTGTAGTATTTGCATATAACCTATGCACATCCTCTTTAAATTATCTCTCTAGATTACTTATAATACCTAATACAATGTAATGCTGTGTAAATAGTTATTTTGTTTAAGTGATAATAAGGAAAGAAGTCTGTACATGTTTAATACAAATGCAAGCATTCATTCTTTTTTTCAGAATATTTTTGATCCAAAGTTTGTTGAATCTATGGATGCAGAACCCACGGATAAGGAGCACTGACTATATTACACAAACTAATCTAAATATTGGCATTTTCTTAGTTATAATCGGTTCTATTTAAGAATAATAGATAAGTTTACACACTGTGGCACAAAGGAGCTGGTAACAGCTCTGTAATCAAAGTTATGATCAATTAAAACAAAAAATGGGAAAGGAGACCATAGTCAGGACTACATAGAGGGACAATTTGTCTTTCAAAATCCATTTTGACTTCAGGAAATACCCAGTTTTTCTTGTCATTCCCAAGGCTAGCCTTCCCAGGGTGCAAAGGAGCTTTGGATGTCAGAAAAAGCGGAAGCTATTCTTCCTGCCTCTGGAATTTTTACATTCCAGGGGTGATAGAGAAAAGGGAGAATAATTAAATAGTAAGTAAATTAATAATGTTCTCATTCTGCTCTCAGGGCCATACTATGGGATTTACATGGCAAAGTTTGAGTTTATATTATAAATAAATCCTTTAGGCATTTTATGACTAAATCTCTTAAGCAAAGGCCTGTGAAGACTTGCCTTGCCTCACTGAAATGTTATTTATAAAGTATCCCAATTCTATGTGATGAATTATGTTTGGAGTAAATAAAGGATTTGGTAGGTGGGAGGGTGTGGTGGTGGTGGGGAAAAGGCACAGCTGGGTGGGATGTATAAACAAAACCTTGACATAGGGGCTGTGAAAGTGGAGAGGAGAGTTATGTGGTCAAGAGTAGAGTGACTTCTATATTGACATGACCATCCTCATGATGGTGTAAGGTTGGGAGGTGGAAGAACTTGCACTGGGAATAGGAATTAGCTCACAAATCCAGAGGCCAGAGCATTTAGCCATGCTGGACAGGGCAGGAGGGTAAAGGAATGGTGGCTATGAATAAGCTTAAAGCCCTGGACAGGAATTTTTGTGTGATGCCAGGGGCAAATGTGAAAAAAATGACAAGGTTCAAAAGAAAGGCAGAATGTCTTCTGTGGCCATGCTAGAATTTCCAGTGTAGCAGGTAATTTGGGGCAGCCACCTCCTTAGGAATGCCTAAGATTATTTCTCTGGAACTCATCTGCAAAGCAAACATACTGATTTTACTTAGATTGCATATTTATTTGGAGTGGGTGGCTGTAGATTAAGGAGATAGCAGTGGCTAATACACTGCTTTCCCCAACTGCCTCTTGTGTTATTTAGATCTTTTAAATTGTAAGAAGAAGTGGGAGGAGGAACAGGAGGAAGGGGAAAAGGAGGAGGAGGAGAAGAAAAGGTAACTGCATTAGTCAGGATTCTCCAGAAAATCAGAACCAACAGTATATATAAATAATAAATAGAATGATATTTATTATAAGGAAATGGCTCATGTGATTATGGAGACTGCGAAGTCCCATGACCTTCCATCTGTGAGCTGGAAACCCAAGAAAGCTAATGGTATAAATTCCAGTCCAAGTGTGAAGGCCTGAAATCCAGGAGCACCAATGGTATAAATCTCAATTCAAGGGCAGGACCAATGTCTCAGCTCAAGCAGTCAGGCACAGAGAGAGAGAGAGGGGTCAACATTTGTCCACCTTTTTGTTGTATTCAGGTTAGGTGATATCGACTCACATTGAGGAGGGCCATCTGCTTTATTCAGTCCATAGATTCAAATGCTAATCTCTTCTGGAAACATCCTCACAGACACCCCCAGAAATAATGTTTCACCAGATATCTGGGCATCTCATGGCCCAGTCAAGTTGACAGATAAATTAACCATACAGTAACTGCAAAAAGTGGAGTTTTATTATAAAGATATTAGGGCAATTATGGCTCTAGTTACTTCCCATAGAGACCCAGCAGCCCTCACACACACTGTAAAAGAATCATGGTTGGTGGTGCAGAATACAGGAACCAGGAACCAGGTTACTACAGGCATCCTTAATTATCCTCTTTCGTGATTCACAGTCTTTGTCGTCATTGTTGCTGCTCCCCAAGGCACCAAGTCCTCTGACATTCATCTTCCTTCTGGGATCTCTTTGATATCAACTGCCTGTGTCTGTGTTGCCCATTAACATCGCTCTATAAAGAATACCCAACTGGTCCAATTTAGTCACCATGATGCCAGGATAGATGTCCTACCCTTCATAGGTAGCAGGAGAGGGAAGTCACTCCCGAAGTCTGTGATTTCAGAACTGTCTTGCCTCAGCAGGAGCCTGTAGGAGAGACCTCCGTAGAAGGGGCTGAGGCTTCCCCAGGAAATGTACTGTTTTCTACTCTGAAAGTGAGCTCAGATCAGGAGCATAAAGGACTGGGAAACATGCTCAAGTTCCCCTGCCTCAGCACCTAGTGAATATGTGGAGAGGAAGAGGGACTTCAGTGGGTATGAGAAACACTCTCCATCTGAAACAACAACCCCCTGTCTTAGACTGTTTTCTGTTGCTTATAACAGAATCCCTGAAACTGGGTAGTTTATAAAGGGAAGGGATTTATTTCTTGCAGTTATAGAGGCTGGGAGATCCAAGGTTGAAGAGTTGCATCTGGTGAGAGCCTTCTTGCTGGTGGGGTTTCTCTGCAGCGTCCGGAGTTGGCACAGGGCATCGCATGGCAATGGGGCTGAGTTTGCTATCATGCTAACTCTGGTCTCTCTTCCTCTTCTTATAAAGCTATCGGTACCACTTCCACGATAACCCATTAATCCATTAACCCATCAATGGATCAATCCATTTGAGGGCAGAGGCTTCATGATATAGTCACTGCTTTTTAAAGCCCCATTTCTCAATAACTGCCACATTGAGGATTAAGTTTCAATGTGAGTTTTGGAGAAGACATTTAAACCACAGCACTCCTTTTACAACATTACCGGCAGGTTACTCAGGCTCTCTTTGAAAATGACAATAGTAAATAATAACTCAATTTTATGGAGTGTTCATTGCCTGGCAGGTATAGGCACAGTGCTAAGCCTATACCTGCCTATGTGATTCTCTGCTCACAGAATCACACATATTCACTGCTTCTTATCAATGTGATGAAGTAAGCACTCTTGATATAACTGGCCACATTTTGGATGAATCATCTATTCCTGTGTAACAAACCACCCCATAACTTAGTGGATTTCAAAGGCCTCCTCTTTTATTTGTTCAGATCCTGTGAGTCAGGGCTTCAGGTAGGGCTCAGCAGGTCATTAATGGTGGTAGGTCCTCAGCTGAGCTGGCTGGGATGGCTGGGTCGCTCTGCCATGATATTGGCTGGAGTGGGGCTGGAGGGTGCAAGATGGCCCCACTCACAGGTCTGGGCCTTGGTGCCGGCTGTGGGCCGAGGGGCTTGGGTTCTCCTGGGTGGTCTCTCTTTGTCTCCCTGGTCTCTCATCCTTCAGTAGTTTAGCCTAATCTTCTTGACATGGTGGCTGTCTTCTAAGAGGGCAGATGTGGAAGCTGCAGGGTCTCTTAAGAAGGAGCCCTGCAAGTCACATGTTGCTGCTCTGAAACATCCTACTGGGTCAACCAAGTCACGGGGACAGCCCAGATCCAAGGGGAGTGGAGACAGACGCCCCCTCTGGATGGGAGGAACAGTTGGTGGCCATCTCTGCAGACGACCCACCCCAAGGATGCACACTCACCGAAGATGGTAGGTCTACCTCTTTCCTCGAGTCTGACCCTCAAGTCCTTGCTTGAAATTGCCTCAAATTTCCAGTAACAGCCAAGTCAAAATTGGACATTTGTATTTGTTAGAATTTTTTTCCATTTAGTTGAAATCTAATTCCCGTTCCAGGGTGGTGATATGAATTTAGGCAGGCTCTTTAAACCTTCCTAGTTATGAAATGAACTATTTTCCTTGTCAAGGATTAGCTCATGATGGTTGTGGCAGAAGACCCCAGTGTTAAAGGAGATATAAATACACACACACACCCTTTTCTGCTGTAAAGTGGTTCTGCCCTGGGGGTGTGGGGGTGGGGGGTCACAGAACAAGAAAATGTCGCAAAGAAAGCCCTTAGAATACTTTGTCTTTATAGCCTTATCTCACATAAAATGGCTATGCTCATAGCTCCGAACGATTATTTTCCTCTTATCTCCTACCCTTTTGAATATGCCTCTTTTCAACTATTTTCTTTTTTCTTTTTGGCCTGGATTCAGCTGATGAATTGTCAAGAGAAAGAAACTGGATAGCATTCCACGTTTCTCATTTTTGCAGAGCATAGTACACTGAGAAACACTCTAGGAAAGCCGGAGCCATCAGAATGCTCAGCAATGGCCTCCCAGAGCTTAGATTTTTATGGTAAACTGAATATTTAGCTCTTAGCATTTCAGCTCCTGTTGGAAAAATTTTAGAAAATCTACTTATTTCTTGCCTTTGTAACCATAGTATATGAACATATTTGAATTTTGATTCACAAGCAAATGTCTCTCAGTCCAGTGTAAGCGTGGTGGCTCACGTCTATAATCCCAGCACTTTAGAAGGCCAAGGCAGGTGGATCACTTGAGGTCAGGAGTTCGAGACCAGCCTGGCCAACATGGTGAAACCCCGTCTCTACTAAAAATACAAAAATTAGCTGAGCATGGTGCCACATCCCTGTAGTCCCAGCTACTTAGGAGGCTGAGGCAGGAGAATCGCTTCAACCTGGGAAGCGGAGATTGCAGTGAGCAGAGATCACGCCACTGCACTCCAGCCTGGGCAACAGAGTGAGACTCCGTCAAAAAAACAAAACAAAACAAAACACCGCATCATTTTCTGAGGGAGTTGTAGTGGGACTGTTACGGGTGGAGGGTGTCCAGGACAAAATGAACAAACAAAACAAGCAAAGAATGAAGCAACAAAAGCAGAGATGTATTGAAAATGAAAGTGCATTTCACAGGGTGGGAGCAGCCCGAGCATAGGGGCTCAAGAGCCTGGTTACAGAATTTTCTGGGGTTTAAATACTCTCTAGAGGTTTCCATTGGTTACTGGGTGTACAACCTATATAAATGAAGAGGATGAAGTAAAGTTACAAAGTCATTGACTCGGTGTACGCTCTACGTAAATAGAGAGGATATTTCCTGTCATAGCTGGAGTGTTTCCATTTGAGTTAGTTCTAGGAAATCAGCGGAATTGGCCTTATGTTCCCTGCCTCCAGACCCTATTCTGCCTCAGGACCCACCCAGTGCCTGGCCTGAAGATGAAACCCTCAGGAAGTGGCTTTGTTGACAAAGCTGAATAGTTTAGTATAACTTTCCTTGTTCTGATAAAAATTAAAGGCAGACACTCTTTTCTGAAAATGCTATCTACCTGGAGATTTTAACTGTAAACTTAAATTCTTTCTACCAAATGAAGGGAAACGATTTTATCATTATAATCTTGGAGAATTTTACTCTTGTTGTATCTGACTCTTAAAGAGGAAAGAAGTGATTAATATGGGATTGGTCTATATCAACACGGAATCCCAGTTCTCCCCAAAAGGAAGGCTCTGAGCAATAGGGGATGTGAAGTTTTATTGGGCTATTATAGTAGATCGGCATGTCTGTCTAAACACATTCTTTTATAACTTCCATTTCAGTTGAAACTTTTATCTCTCACACGTTTCCCCACTAGACTTTTGATACCCTCTGAAAGATAAGATTTGTATACATAACTATGCTTTAGGGCTGGGTGCTGTTTGTATTTGACTGGATAAAGTTAACTTTGAACAAGAGTTATTTGGTGATTTTTATTTTAAAAAGGAAACCCTCCCAATATAGTTACATTATTTGTCTAATCAAGTATGGTTTACGGAATAAAAATTTCACATGCATGTTCCAACCTACATGTATAACCAAGAAATGTGATAACTAAAGAGGTTCTGGAGTTACAAAAGTTAGAATCATTTCTGTAGTTAATAAAACCCAATTAATATGGGTATTATACATCAAATCATTCTCCACAGCTGTCCCCTTGTGTTTGCCCTTCATGAGTTCCTTTATTTGTTTCTTCATTTATTTATTCATCAAGCTTTCAAAAACCTAGTATGTGTCAGGCACTGGGAATCTAAAGATAAATAGAACTGTAGCCCTTCCCCTTTGGAGAAAGATATTCAAGGGTAGTGTTGCAGTGTGCTAAGTTCCGTAACATGGATATGAATGTGGTGAGGCCTACAGGCGTCAGAGAAGGCTTTTGGAGGGAGCAATGCTTATGCCGAATTTCTAAGAAGGAGCAGGAATTCACCAGGTGCCAAGCGGCGATGAGGTTTAGGCACAGACATTTAAGAGGCAATTTACATGTGAAAAGGCAGAAGAATGCAGCTTGTTGGGGAAGCTGCAAGCAATTGGATGCAGCTGGAGATCTGTTCTCTTTGGGAGGTATGCCTGCCTGCCAGCCATGGAAGGCCTGTCGGGCGTGGGGCTCTCGAAGCCGTTGGTGTCAGGCCCAGGAGCTGCGCTTTATTCTGCAGGGCAGACAGTGGGAATCCTGAACGGTTTTAAGGCTCTGTAAGTAAAAGTGGTGGTGGTTGTGATAGGTGGAGAAGAGGAAGGTCAAGGTGGGAGAGGGGTGAAGAAGAAACACAGAGGTAAATAACGCTATGGGCGGAGGCTATCCTTTGGCTCACCTTAACAAATAGGGATGATAGGCCGGGCGCGGTGGCTCACGGCTGTAATCCCAGGGCTTTGGGAGGCCGAGGAGGGCGGATCACGAGGTCGGGAAATCGAGACCATCCTGGCTAACACGGTGAAACCCCGTCTCTACTAAAAATTAGCCGGGTGTGGTGGCAGGCGCCTGTAGTCCCAGCTACTTGGGAGGCTGAGGTAGGAGAATGGCGTGAACCCGGGAGGCGGAGCTTGCAGTGAGCTGAGATCGCGCCACTGCACTCCAGCCTGGGCGACAGAGCAAGACCCCATCTCAAAAAAAAAAAAAAAAAAAAAAAGTAGAGATGATAGGTCGGGCGGAGTGGTTCACGGCTGTAATCCCAGGGCTTTGGGAGGCTGAGGCGGGCAGATCATTTGAGGTCAGGAGTTTGAGACCAGCCTGGCCGACGTGGTAAAACCCGTCTCTACTAAAAATACAAAAAAAATTAGCTGGGCATGGTGGTGCATGCCTGTAATCTAAGCTACTCGGGAGGCTGGGGCAGGAGCATTGGTTGAATCTGGGAGGCAGAGGTTGCAGTGAGCCAAGATTTTGCCACTGCATTCCAGCTTGGGCAACAGAAGGAGATTCCATCTCAAAAAAAAAAAAAAAAAAAAAAAAAAAAAAAAAAAAGGACGATAAGAATATGGCCTGTCTTATAAAATTGTTGAGATGTTTCAATGATTTAATACATGCAAGGCATGATAAAACAGCATCTAGCCCATCACTGTAAACAGTAGCTGTTGTTAATAGAAGCCTGCAATGCGATAGAGTATGAACTCAGAAAGCTTGCTCTGGTGGTCCAGCAGAGAAAGGTTTAGGCGGAAAGGGCCAAGGAGAAGGTGTTTGAAGTTCACCAGAAGAGAAACCATTGAACCAGAAAATTGATTCAAAAGATATTTAAAAGATAACTTCTTCAGGATTTGGCAGCTGACAGGATGTGAAGAGTGAGAGTGATGAATCATGGGTGACACCCCAAGTTGCTGGCTTGGCAGTCTGGGGGAGTGAGGTGTTAATAACAAGGAAAGGAAAAGAGGAGGAAGGGAGGGTTTGGAGCAGGCTGGGGAGGAATGAGCTCCGTTTTTGACATGTTGTATTTGAGGTGTCTGTGGGACACCAAAGTGGAGATGCTGGCCTGGATCCATGGATCAGGCGTAGGAATTTGGATTTGAGACTCATCACGACATGGGTGTTAGGGAAGCCATGGGCGTGGTTGAGCTGGTACAATGCAGATGGGGCACAAAGCGTGAGCAGCATCTCCATGGAGGTCTGGATCAGGAGAACACTGGACCCTTTCCTTCTGGGGTGATGATGATGTGAGAATGAGTCCAAAGTTGTTCTACTTGTGTGGGAATGATCCATCAGGAAGCCAGCCCATCCACGGGGGAATGGCTGCTGGAGACAAGAGAGGAAGAAAGAAAGAATCTCCAAGTGACTGGAAATGGTGACTGGGGATTATAAGGGAGGAAAATATCTTTTCATCCTAATTTCATGGCCTAAGGCTCCTAAAACAAATGACTGATTAACAAGAGAAAAGCATGCAAATTTATTTAATATAAGTTTTACATAAGGAAGTGAAGACCTGAAGAAACAGTTAAGCCAGTGTTTGTTTGTTTGTTTGAGACAGGGTCTCACTGTGTTGCTCAGGCTGGAGTACAGTTGCACAGTCATGACAAAATCATGGCTCTCTGCAGCCTCCATCTCCCCTGGCTCAGGGCTCAGGTGATCCACCTCAGCCTCCCAAGTAGCTGGGACTACAAGCGTGCATCACCATACCCAGCTAATTTTTCTATTTTTTATGGAGACGGGGATTTGCCATGTTGCTCAGGCTGGTCTCAAAATCTTGGGCTCAAGCGATCTTGACCTTGACCTCAAGTGATCTGCCTTGACCTCCCAAAGTGCCAGAGTGTTTTCTATAGTAGGTTTGATAAGGAGTGGATAGTCGTGGAGAAATAAGAGAAGGCAAAGAGTGTGATCTAATGGTATTTAACTGGGGGAAACTAAGTAAGGCCCACCTGTCCAGATGCTTCTCTGTGCCCCTTCATCTTCTGAGATAAGGATGTTCCTTTCCTCTGGTATAGGAAAGGCACCCCTCACATGAGGTTTGTATGACTTGCTTCAGGGGTGAAGGGCAGGGGAAGATCAGAAGACCTTCCTTCTTCTGCATTTTCTCATATTCCTTCATTTAAAATATTCTGGAGTAGTGTGTCCTGAACCTCATCACTTGAGGAGCTACCAGAGTCCCTGTAGAAATGTTCCCAGGCAGGAGAGGACAATGGTGCAGTGTGAACTAACTGCTTGTTAGTGTTGGGCAGATGGTGATGAAGAGCAGTGGGTGATGGGGAAGGTGGGAACTAGATGCTGGCTGGAGGGCAGCTGCTCCCCCAAATAACTGCTGTTTATTGAGCATTACTGTGTGCCCTTCATGGTGCTGAGCCTCTCAGATGAATGTGTTAGTCCTCATAGCAACCTTCTTAGTGGCTACTATTAGCGTCTGTGTTGCACCAATTAAAAAACAGTCTGACTGGGCATGCAGGCCTAGCTGGGAAAATCGCTTGAGGCCAGGAGAACAAGACCAGCCTGGGCAATGTACTGAGACCTCACCTCTACTAAAAATAAAAATAGCTGGTGTAGTGATGCGTTCCTGTAGTCCCAGATACTCCAGAGGCCGAGGCAGGAGGATCCCAGGAGGTCAAGGCAGCAGTGAGCTATTGATGCAGGATTTTTCTCAGCCCATTTGCTGGACTCACAGCAGGGGCACCCTGTCTACCCGGCCCGCCATGCTCAGCCCCTTGCAGGAAGGAGCACATGAGCAAGTGAGTGTAGGACCCTGCTGGACAATCTGCTGAAACAGGAGCAAGCTCCATGCAGGGCCCAAGGCCAGACCAGGTGTGTCTCCTCAAGCAGAATGCAGGCAAGGGTGCTCAAGCCCCAGAGTGGGTGTTAGTGTGCTAATTAGTTATTTTAGTTCTGCCGTCCATAGCTCAGTGGATGGCAGTGTGTTAGCAGCTCAGTTGGCCCCTGCCCCGTTGCATGGAGTGGCTGCCCTCTGCCAGTGAGGGCAAAGGACCAGTGTAACAGCCTTTCTGGGTACCTGTACTCAGTGGGTCCCGAGCTCTTGTCCAGTGTCCAAGAAGAATGAGGTCATGCTTGACAATTGAAGAATGGTGAGGGCAGAGAATTTTATTGAGGGATGAAAACAGCTCTCAGCAGAGAGGGGAGCTGGACGGGGGACGAGAAGGGCAGGTCATCTTCTCCCGAAGTCAGGAGGTCTCCTCCCCAAAGTCAGGCCATCTCCCCTCTACCAACTGAGTATGGGGTCTTTATAGGCACAGGATGGGGGTGGGGCAGGCCATAGGTAGTACTGGAAAAGGCAACTTTTAATTGGCCAAAAGGCATTATTCAGAAATAATCAATTGGGAGAGAGCGAGTAAACAGGAATAG
This sequence comes from Homo sapiens, assembly GCF_000001405.40. Classification (NCBI taxonomy): domain Eukaryota; kingdom Metazoa; phylum Chordata; class Mammalia; order Primates; family Hominidae; genus Homo; species Homo sapiens. Next base: position 224,429,915 of record NC_000002.12, on the reverse strand, counting down.
AAGTTCTCACTCTGATCCATGGGTTTCAGGCTGTTTTTGGCTTGAAGGTGGGGTTTCACCAGGGACCTGCTCCTATAAGTCTAGGATTTCTCTGCCTCCTGCCTCTATCACTATGATTGTGCCACTGGATTCCAGCCTGGGCAACAAACTGAGACTGTTGAGAGCGAGAGAGAGAGAGAAAGTCTTAAAAGGATGACTTGCCCAAGGTCCCATGTTAGTGAATGGCAGTTTCAGGCTGTGAAGAATCCACGTGTGTCCACCTCCTGAGGCTGTGTAGGATCTCTTGTGGGCCAAGGTTTCATCAGGAAACAGATGGCACTTTCAAATTGGGTGGTTTGAGGTGAGTTAAGTGACAAGTTTTAATGGTGTGAGCAGGGTGTAGGGAAACCACAAGGAATAATGCAAGACATCAGGGGAGGAACCAGGGGGTGCTATGGCAGCACTTAGTTCTGGAGGGGTAAGGGGAGAGGCAGCCATGGAATCCTGGAAGGGGGACAAAAGGAGCTGGGACCTGCGGAGTTGGTCAGCCTGAGATGACCCTGCAGGGAGGGAGGGAGCCAGAGAAATAGTTTCCTGCCCTTGTAGTCCTGCAGTGTCCAGAGCTCCTCACTGGCCAAACTCAAGCAGAAGCCAAAGGGCAAGAGGCCAGTCTCAGGGCACAGACCAGGGAGGAGAAGGGTGCAGAGTGATCGGGAAGAACAGGTGGAAGCCTCCAGCACAGTCAGGGCAAGGGAGTGGGGCTGAGAGAAGTGGGGCAACAAGGCCATCCTGGGGCCAGGATCAGGCAAACTTAGCTGCACCGCTGGCTGTGAACTGGAATGAGACACTAGGAGCCCCCCCAGGAGATCCAGCCCAGGGCATCACTGTGGCACTACAAAGCCCCTTAGGCATCTTTGCCCAGTTCCAGAGCCCAGAGGACTGACAGTGACTAATGCCACACTTGGCACATCAAGAGCTTCCTCTCCCAGAACCTCAACCTGCCCTACACAGTATTTCATGACACTTGTTAAGGAAATTCTGTCACATTTTTCCAGGGCATTCCCAGCAGTCAAGTACATGTCAACAGTGTGAAACTGGTCTTTGACCTGGAGACCACTTAGAAGGGCTCTGTCTGCTTTCTCCAGGGTAAAAGGGAAGTGTGTATGTGCCTGTGTGTGTTGTGTGTGTGTGTGTGTGTGTGGGTTTGTGTACGTGCCTGTTTGTGCTGTGTGTGTGTGTGTGAGTGTGTGTGAGGCCGTGACTATGTATAGGCATTGTGTATAAAGAGAGAGAATGGGGCGGGGCGCGGTGGCTTACGCCTGCAATCCCAGCACTTTGGGAGGGGATCACGAGGTCAGGAGATCGAGACCATCCTGGCTATCATGGTGAAACCCCGTCTCTACTAAAAAAAATACAAAATTTAGCCGGGCGCAGTGGCGGGTGTCTGTAGTCCCAGCTACTCGGGAGGCTGAGGCAGGAGAATGGCGTGAACCCGGGAGGCGGAGCTTGCAGTGAGCCGAGATAGCGCCACTGCACTCCAGCCTGGGCGACAGAGCGACACTCCGTCTCAAAAAAAAAAAAACAAAAAAAGACAGACAGAGAGAATGAATGAATGAATACATGAATGAATGTGCTGGAAGTGAGATAGGATAAGACAGCCATCAGAGCCGGACTGCCCTCCTAAGCAAAGTGCCCACACAGCACGCTTCTTATCAGCACCTAATTCCTCCCCAGATCCTTATATTATGACTTGGTCCTAGGTAGCTGGCTGAGAGCAGGACAGTTTGATGAACTCGCTACAGAATTACAGCAAAATTAGAGTGTGGAGATAGGTGGCTAGGTTCTCAAATTCACCATAGATCCTGAAGATAGTGACCAGTGGTGATCTTTGTGTAACCTTTTATATGGTGCCTTCGGGTGGTTTTAGTATGCTTCCTGCCTCCTAAGAACACCCAAAAGAGTATTGTTTTCAAATTCTGATTTGGGTAGCTCTGAAATCCCATTCATTCATTTGTAAAAATTAATATGAGGAAAAAGCATTTATTCAGATCTTACAGTGAACAGGAAGCTAAGTTAGATGGAAGTGGAAAATTATCATGCCGACATTCTCTGGGGGGATGGGATCTGTGGGGAATAGTTTTCATTTGCTGACCACCAGCTGTGGCTTTGCTGGCCCCGCACAGATCACACATGACACATGGCACCTAAGTCCCCAGATTGGTTCTAGGATGGTCAGTCTCGTTCTCACTTCCTTAAGTTTTGCTTGGCCGTCAAGAGGCTCAACACAAATGACTGTGTTAGTTCTTCCTCCTTGAACATGTTTCCACATTTTCCTGCTTTTGGTTTCTCCTTTTATTCCATGTCATCATTATTTCAATTTATAACTTTTATAGTAAGGATGTTGCAAACCTGTTTGGAAGGAGGTAGAGGATAAATTATTATAAAAGAATAGAATGGAGAATGTAAGATGTAAATAACACATCGGTTTTTTTTCTCCCCAAATCAGACTTAGTTGCTCTGATATTACCTGTCAAATAGCCATAAAAGTAAAACACTAGAAAGTAGTTATTAAAGACCATTGCAGTAAGTGATCGTCCAGGCTTTATCTGGCTTACTAATTGTATTAGTCTCTCCAGGCTGCCATAACAAATTACGACAGAGTGGGTGGCTTAAACAACAGAAATGTATTTTCTCACACACAGTTCTGAAGGCTGGAAGTCCAAGGTCAGGTCAGCATGGTGGGACTCAGGTGAGGCTCTATTCTTGGCTTGCAGAGGGCTGCCTTCTTGCTGTATCCTCATATGATAAACAGAGTGACAGAGAGCTCTCTGTTGTTTCTTTTTATAAGGACATGAATCCTACTAGATCAGGGGCTCATCCTTATGACCTTTATATTGATCTGTTCTGACACTGCTATAAAGAACTACCTGAGACTGGATAAATTATGAAGAAAAGAGATTTAGTTGACTCACGGTTCTGCAGGCTGTACAGGAGGCTTGGCTGGGAGGCCTCAGGAAACTTACAGTCATGGCGTAAGGCAAAGGGGAAGCAAGCATGTGTTACCATGGCAGAGCAGGAAAGAGAGAAAGAGAAGGGGGAAGTACCACACACTTTTAAACCATGAGATCGTGTGAGAACTCACTATCATGAGAACAGCAAGGGGGAGATCCACCCCTGTGATCCAATTGTCTCCCACCAGGCCCCTCCTTCAACACATAGGGATTACCATTTGAGGTGAGATTTGGGTGGGGACACAAAACCAAACCATATCAACCTCATTTAACCATCTTCCTTAGAGGCCCCATCTCCAAATACAACCACATTGAGGATCAGGGCTTCAACATATGAATTTTGATGGGGAGGGGAGGCATGGTCAGTCCACAGGGCTAACCAAAATGATTTGAATGCTAGATCCCGTAAAGCATGGGTTATGCTTTGGCTCTGGTCTTTAGCACCATCACAGCTGTATGTCTCTGTTCTGCATTCAGATTTTATTCCTGAATTCCTTCATGAGATGCATTTTGTTTATTTTCTGAGTACCCCACTAGAATGGGAGAAAACAAGGATTTTTGTTTTTGTGTCTCTAGAACCATGCCTGGCACATAATAGGACCCAATAACTAGTCACTGAATGAATACATAAAATTATGGTATTAATTTGTAAGTTAGAAAAAAGAATTAAATGCAATTACAGATATTTTGAAAAGGGACAAAAATTCTGAATTCTCTGAAGAGTGAGAAGTTTCTCTAGGCCATCCATCCAACAAAAGGTTTTTCAGGTTCATAGCAAGGAGCCACTCACACCACCCTCATGCCTTCTCACTGTGTATTCAGTTTCAAGCTAAAACACCCATCACAAAGCCCATGCTATCAGACAGAAGAGTCAAAGGGCACTCTATGAAATAGAAAATATATTTTTCTTGTTTTTGATATATTAGATAATTTCTCACAATGGTGATATTCGAAACCAATGTATTAGTCTGTTTTCATGCTGCTGATAAAGACACACCCAAGACTGGGCAATTTACAAAAGAGGTTTAATGGACTTACAGTTCCATGCGGCTGGGGAGGCCTCACAATCACGGTTGAAGACAAGGAGGAGCAAGTCATATTGTACATGGATGGGAGCAGGCAAAGAGAAAGAGAGAGAGCTTGTGCAGGGAAACTCCTGTTTTTAAAACCATCAGTTCTTGTGAGAGTTATTCACTATCACAAGAACTGCATGGGAAAGACCTGCCCCCCGCCGATTCAGTTACCTCCCACGGGGTCTCTCCCGCAACACGTGGGAATTCAAGATGAGATTTGGGTGGGGACAAAGCCAAACCATATCACTCAACATATTAGCAATTGTTTCCATAGCAACTGAAATATTTGATTAATCAATAAGCTGTTTTGCCATTATCATTTAGAAATTGTAGTATACCCACCACAGCCTGCATTTAATAGTTTCCAAAAACTCTCAAAAGTATTTAATAAACAACTGTTATTTTGGCATATGATAATTCTAGGAAATTTGTACTTTCTTCCCCCAAACATCAAAATTTCCATTTGTTCAGCAATGTCATTAAATATGAAAAAATAAAAAGAGGAATATCACTCTTAAAATTATGATTTCTTTTTCATAAAAATACATATTTTTATGAAGAAAATGTGATTTAATTAAATTAATTAATTTATTTTTGAGATGGAGTCTCACTCTGTCACCCAGGCTGGAGTGCAGTGGTGCAGTCTTGGCTCACTGAAACCTCCGCCTCCTGGGTTCAAGTGATTCTCCTACCTCAGCCTCCTGAGTAGCTGGAACTACAGGTGTGTGCCACCATGCCCGGGTAATTTTTTTTGCGTTTTTAGTAAAGACGGGATTTTGCCATGCTGGCCAGGCTGGTCTCGAACTCCTAATCTCAGGTGATCCACCTGCCTTGGACTCCCACAGTGCTGGGATTTCAGACATGAGCCACCATACCCGGCCAAAAATGTGATTTTAATAATTGTGTTCTTTTTTCCTTTTATTTTTAGTTGGCACATAATAATTGTACATATTTATGTGATGGAGTGATATTTCAGTACATATATACAATGTGTAATGATCAAATAAAGATAATTATCATATGCATCACCTCTAACATTTATCATTTGTGTTGTGGGCATTCAAATTCTTGTCTTTTAGCTTTTTGAAAATATATAGTAAATTATTGTTAATTGTATTCACCCTACAGTGCTACAGAACACTAGAACATATTTTTCCCATCAGGCTGTAACTTTGCATCCATTAACCAACCTCTTTCTATCCTCCCCTTCCTCCATCCTTCTCAGTCTCAAATAACCACAATTCTACTCTTTACTTTTATGAGTTCAATTTTTTTCAGCTCCCACATGAGTGAGAACACGTGGTATTTATCTTTCTGTGCCTGACTTATTTCACTTAACATAATAATATCCTCCAGGTTTCTTGATATTGCTGAAGAAGACAGGATTTTATGCTTTTTTATCGCTGACTAGTATTCTGTTGTGTATATATACCACATTCTCTTTACCTATTCATCTGTTGATGGATATTTAGGTTGATTCCATCTCTTGACAATAGTGAATAGAGCTGCAATAAACATGGGGGTGTGGATTTATCTTTTATATACTGATTTCCTTTCCTTTGGATAAATACCCAGTAGTGGGATTGCTGGATAGTACGGTAGTTCTATTTTTAGTTTTTTTTTTTTTTTTGGAGAAATCTCTGTACTGTTTTCCATAGTGACTGTACTAATTTACATTCCCACCAACAGTGTATAAGAATTCTCTTTTCTCCATATCCTTGCCAGGATTTGTTATTTTTTGTCTTTTTGATGATAGCCAGCCTAACTGGGGTAAGATGATATCTCACTGTGGTTTTGATTTGCATTTCCCTGATGATTAGTGATGTTGAGCATTGTTTTATATACCTGTTGGCCATTGGTCTTCCTTCTTTTGAGAAACATCTGTTCAGATCCTTTGCCCATTTAAAAATAGGATTATTTGTGTTTTTTGCTATTGAGTTCCTTGTATATTCTGAATGTTGGTTCCTTGTCGGATGAATAGTTTGCACAACTTTTCTCCCATCCAGCAGGTTGTCTCTTTACTCTGTTGATTCTCGTCTTTGTTGTGCAGAATATTTTTAGTTTGATATAGTCCTATTTGTTTTTGTTTTTGTTGCCTGTGCTTTTGAAGTCTGACCCATAAAATCTTTGCCTAAGCCAATGTCCTAAAGTGTTTTCTTCTAGTAGTTTTACAGTTTTGGGTTTTACACTTAAGTCTTTAATCCATGTTGAGTCCATTTTTAAATATGGTGGGAGATAGGGATCTAATTTCATTCTTCTGCCTATGAATATCCAGTTTCCTAGCACCTTTTATTGAAGAGACTGCCCTTTCCCCAGTGTTTGTTCTTGGCGCTTTTGTTGAAAATCATTTCGCTGTAAATATGTGGACTTATTCTTGAGTTCTCTATTCTGTTCCATTGGTCTCTGTATCTGTTTTTATACCGATACCATGCTGCATTGCTTACTATAGCTTTGTATTATTAATATATTTTGAAGTCAGATAGTGTGATGTCTTCAGCTTTGTTTTTTTGCTCAGTATTGTTTTGAATCTTCATGGTCTTTTCTAGTTTCATAGAAATTTTAGGGTTGTTTTTTCTATTTCTGTGAAGAATGTCATTGGAATTTTGATGGGAATTGTATTGAATGTTTAGATTGCTTTAGTTATTATGGTAATTTTAATAATATTAATTCTTCTGACTAATGGATCAGAAGAATTAATGCCAGAATTAACGCATGGAATGTCTCTCCATTTTTTGTGTGTCCTCTTCAATAAGATATTAAGACTTTAGAAAACATTGTTAGAGGTGGCTGGTGTCAGTATTGAGAAGAAAATATGAAACATTTTAAATTAACATCTTTTGTTTTGTTTTGAGTTAGAGACTTGCTCTGTCACTCAGCTGGAGTGTAGTGGCGTGATCATGGCTCACTGCAGCCTCGACCTCCTGGGCTCAAGTGATCCTTTCACCACAGCCTCCCAAGTAGCTGGGACCACATATGTGTGGCACCATGCCCAGCTAATTTTTTGGGGGTTGGGGGGGGATGGAGTCTTGCTCTGTCACCCAGGCTGGAGTACAGTGGCATGATCTTGGCTCACTGCAACCTCCATCTCCCAGGTTCAAGCAATTCTCATGCCTCAGCCTCTTGAGTAGCTGGGATTACAGGCATGCATCACCATGCCCGACTAATTTTTGTATTTTTAGTAGAGACGGGTTTTCACCATGGTGGCAAGGCTGGTCTCAAACTCCTGGCCTCAAGTGATCCATCCACCTCGGCCTCCTGAAGTGCTGGGATTATAGGTGTGAGCCACTGTGCCCAGCCCCAGCTAATTTAAAAAAATATTTTTTGTAGAGATGGAGTCTCGTTGTACTGCCCAGGCAGGTCTCAAACTCCTAAGCTCAAGGAATCCTCCCACTTCGGCCTCCCGAATGCCTCCACAGGCATTAGCTACTGTGCCTGGCCTGATATCTTTTTTGTACAGTCAAATCAATATCAGAAGAGAGGAAAATGTCCAATCTGACTCCATTCACTTCATTATTTTAATACAGGTGGAAGTTGGGAGTAACTGTTGAACCAATTAACCAGGGGTCTTCTTTGTCTCCCTAGTGCAATTGGTCGTGATTAGCAAATATTTACTGAATGGAAGTGAATTCATTGAGCATTCCTTATGTGCACAGAACCATGCCAGGCATTGTCAAGAATAGAGCAGGATTATAAGGCAGGATCTCTGCAGCTTGAGGTTTATAGTCTCTCTGAGGAGATTATTGATGTAATGACCAGCAAATGATAGGCCGGAAGAGCATGTGCTATTTACGGTATTGAGTTGCTCAGCACTTTGCTCTGGCTCGTCTTCTCTCTTTATACTTACCCCATTGGTGACCTCACACAAAGCCTTTTATTGGCTTTGAATAGTGTCTTTATGCTGTTGACTCTCAAATGTGTATCTTCCACCCAATGTTCTTTCATCTGCATCTCAAATTTATACGTTCAAGACACCCTCCACCAAACCTTCTCCTTCACCAACTAGCATCCTCCCAGTAAACATCACCACCCACCTGGCTGTTTAAGCTGTGCAAGCCAGATACCTGTGAGTATTTTCATTTCTTCCCTTCTCTCATCTCTCACATCAAGTTTACCCCAAGCCTTATGGACCCCACCTCTTCTACCTCCCAAATAATTCCATTTATTTTCACCATCTATGCTGCCTCAATGCTAGATTGAACATCTATTGGCCCTCGCTGCATTAAAGTAGCAGCCTCTTAACTGGTCTTCTGACACAACCCATTCTCCTCTTAGCAGTTGATGTCAAAAACATAAATCGGATTATATCACTCATTTAGATCCTTTGCTAGAATCCATACAAGGGATAAAATTGCATAAACCTATATACATGTATACAAATGAATGAATGCATGTAAACGTTGGTAAAAGCTGAATAAGACCTGTATCTAGTTAATAGTATTGCACCAATGCCAATCTCCTGATTTTGATATTGTATTTTATATATATACACACACACATATATATACATATATACATATATATACACATATATACGTATACATATATACATATATATGTGTATATATATATATACACACATACATACACATGTAAGATGACACCACTGGGGGAAGCTGGATGAAGGGTACACAGAAATCTGTGTACTAACTTGGCAACTTCCTATGAATCTATATTTAGTTAAAAACAAAATGTTTTTTAAACACTTGCAATCATCCATTGGCTTCTGCTGCAGCAAATCCAACCCTTTACCACAGCCTGCAGAAGCCATTCCCTGCTGTGACTCCTGCCAACCTCCTTTGTAACCCCACCCAACCATATCATTCTCCTACCAGTTACCCTGCCTCAGCTACACTGTATTCCTAGCAGTTCCCAAAACACAGCAAATGCCTTTCTGTCCCAGGACATTTGTGTATGCTGCCCCAGCTGCCTAGAATGCTATTCCTATGGCTGGTTCTTCCTCATCTTTCAGAGAAGTCTTTACTGACATCTCATGTATACCAGAGCCCCACTAGGTTCTTTTCCTTAACAGAGCTGTTGTGAGTTGTAATGAGTACTAGCTTAGTAGTATTCATTGATGCTTATATTCTAGTGAGAGCAAGTGAAAACGCAGAGATCATATCTGCTTTATTTGTTAATGTATCCCTGTTCACTAGTATAGTGCTTGGCCTATAATCAGTGTTCAATACATAATTATTGATAAAAAGAAAGAAAGAAAAATAAATATGCTTTAGGGTCCCAGAAAATGGGGATATCAGTTTTGAAGGGAGCTTTCAAAAAGTTGCATGCAAGAGCTTGCTAAAATCCAAATTAACGCAGGGTATTGTGTTTGGTAAAATGTTGCTGGTGTGTGTGTGTGTGTGTGTACACATGTACAGTTAAGATTCTGCCTTTGAAATGTAAATGTATATCATGGATATGTACAGTTCTATTTTATGTTTTATTTGCTTTGAAATTTTGCAATCTATTATAAAATAAATTCACGAACTACTGCAAAATCTAAACACTTTGTTTTCACCAATGAACTTTGAATTCATTTGGACTCATTTTACCTGACATTTTTATGCAGGATAAAGGAGGGAGGTACTGCACTTAGGCTACTTTAATTTTTTATTTTTAAATTTTTTGTAGAGATGGGGTCTCACTTTTTGCTCAGGCTGGATTTGAACTCCTAGGCTCAAGCGATCCTCCTGCCTCAGCTGCCTGAGTAGCTGGAACTACAGGTGCATACTACCATGCCCAGCTTTGACAATTTTATTTTTTAAAAAATTTATTGTTTTATTTTTATAAAAGTTCTAAATGTACATTTCACGGTAATTTGGAAAATACAAAAAGATAAAAATGAAAAACATCATAGTTATTCCGTAATTCAGAGAGTCACATTTTTTTCTAACTGTTCTTCCTATAAAGATTTCTTTACCAAAATTAGAAATATGCTATGCATGAAATATTATATCCTTACTTTTATTTTTTTTCTTTTTGAGACAGAGTCTAGCTCTGTCGCCCAGGCTGGAGTGCAAGTGGTGCGATCTCGGCTCACTGCAAGCTCCACCTCCCGGGTTCATGCCATTCTCCTGCCTCAGCCTCCCGTAGCTGGGATTACAAGCGTCTGCCCCCGCGCCAGGCTAATTTTTTGTACTTTTAGTAGAGACGGGGTTTCACCATGTTAGCCAACATGGTTTCGATCTCCTGACCTCGTGATCCACCTGCCTTGGCCTCCCAAAGTGCTGGGATTATAGGCGTGAGCCACTGCACCTGGCCTATATCCTTACTTTTAAAATTTAACATTAACATAAGCAGTTTTACATCAGTCAGTAGTATTAGAAAGCAGCTTCTAAAATGATAATGTTGGCTGGGAGAGGTGGCTCACATCTGTAATCCCAGCACTTTGGAAAGCTGAGGCGGGCAGATCACTTGAGGTCAGGAGTTTGAGACCAGCCTGGCCAACATGGCAAAATCTTGTCTCTACTAAAAATAAAAAATTAGCTGGGTGTGGTGGCGCACTCCTGTAATCCCAGCTACTTGGGAGGCTGAGGCAGGAGAATCCCTTGAACCCAGGAGGGGGAGGTTACAGTGAGCAGAGATTGCGCCACTGTACTCCAACCTGGGCGACAGAGTGAGAATCTCTTTCCTGCACCCTCCCTACACACAAAAAAAGATAATTCCACAATTTATTTCACTATTCTCCTAGTGTATGGCTACATTCTAACTTATTATTATCCTATATGAAATTTAGGCATTTTTTTCCTACTTTTACAGATTCTCAATGTGACAATATTATCCTAAGCTTCCTGCACATTTATTTCCTTATTTTTTCTGGAGAGAAATGTTAGTATTTGGTTCTGGTTTCCCAAGCTTCAAGTTGGAGAGAAAAGTGGAGGCAGTGGGTTAACTTAAATTTCCAGAGCATTCCTTTGCATCAGTGCAAAGTTAAAATTTTTGGATAGATACCTGTATTTTGGCTGGTCCCATGGTGCTGGAGGAATTTAGGGCATGATTAAAAGAGATGAAAGGAAACAGTGTCAAGACCTAGAAAATCTAGTGTGTTGAGCCTGAAAACAGGATTTCAAGCTTAGTGAATTCCACATTCATGGCTGCATATCTGGTCAGATTTAGGCCACTGGGTAAGCATCTATGGAAGATATCACTGACATTTAAGATATATATATATATTTTTTTTTTTTTTTTTTTTTGAGACGGAATTTTGCTCTTGTTGCCCAGGCTGGAGTGCAATGGCGTGATCTTGGTTCATTGTGACCTCCGCCTCCCGGGTTCAAGTGATTCTCCTGCCTCAGCCTCCCAAGTAGCTGGGATTACAGGCATGTGCCACCACACCCGGCTAATTTTGCATTTTTAGTAGAGATGGGGTTTCTCCATGTTGGCCAGGCTGGTCTCAAACTCCTGACCTCAGGTGATCCGCCTGCCTCGGCCTCCCAAAGTGCTGGGATTATAGGGATGAGCCACCGCACTTGGCATAAGATATATATTTTTCAACCTGAAAGCAAATGAACAACTGAAATTACAATAGGCTGATAGGTTTTCTAGAAAAGTAGTCATTTTTATTTTTAATGAGGTAGATGATAACTACTATGAGTCAAATAAGTATTTTTGGCTCTTTCATCTGTGTCTTAAAGTATTTAATTTCAAAATTATGTTGACTGAACACAGGAAGAAATTTTTCACAGGTTTGATTGTGGTGAAATACAGTGCATTAATAACAAGGTAAACAATGTCAGAGCCAAGCGTGGTGGCTCATGCCTCTAATCTTAGCACTTTGGGAAGCCGAGGTGGGAAGAGCACTTGAGCCCAGGAGTTCCAGACCAGCCTGGGTAACACTGTGGGACCCCGTCTCTACAAAAGATTTTTTAAAAATTTAGCCGGTGTGGTGGTGGACTTGAGGTCCCATTTCTCGGGAGGCTGAGATGGGAGGATCACTTGAGCCTGAGAGGTCAAGGCTGCAGTAAGCCATGATTGCGCCACTGTACTCCAGCCTGGGTGACAGAGTGAGATCCTATCTCAAAAAAAACAAGCAAGCAAGCAAACAAACAGACAAACACCAATGTCATGTGTGTGTTTGTATGTGTGTGTGTGTGTTTATAGACAGAAAGCTTTAGTGTAGAATTATATATTCTGCAGATCATGGAATCCAATATATCCCTGTAGGTTGGAAGTTTCTTCTTAGACCTCTTAAGAGCCTATGTGGTGACTGGGGACAAATCAGTAACTTCAGAACAATAAAGCCTGGCATAAATATTCCTATCTTCAAAGCTGCAGTTCCAGTAGAGTTAAATTCCTTTAACACTGTATTTCCTGTTGTTCAGGAGCCTGCATTGATCACAGAGATAGGAATCTCACAGTGCTTGTGTCATGCTTTCCTTTGAAGGCATGCTTGGGTGTTAACTAATTACTAGGCGAATGGACTATTGTTTCTAAGATTTTTTTTAAAAGCATGTTTGTTGATATTATGATTAGGCTATTTACAGAAATCTTTTCAAGACATTTTCTGAGTATCTCTCTGTAAAATCAGAAATAAAATTAATATAGATGGTAGAGTGGAGAGCAGCGGTGTTAGTTAGCTCTTTTGACAAGAATGTGGTGCTAATGAAGGCACCATTCCCTGAAGCCCAGAAAAACAATTCCATCCATACCAAGTGGATAATTCTCCCAACCTTCACCAGCTTTCTCAAAACTTGAGGCTGTTTGTCATGAGAGGAGCAGGGTCAAGGGAGAAAATGGTGCAGCCCAAACTTACCTTCCCCATGGCTCTCCTCCTGGCGATGAGTTGTCATCATGACCATTTTTGAATATGATGACTTTCTTTTTAGTTAACAGAGAGTTGAAAATATGCCTCATTAATTAACACTGGCTTTACCTTGCAAATGCCAGGTATCAGCTGTCAAAGCTAATACTTCAGGTTAACACAAAGAGGACATAGTCTGTGCTCACAGAGAGAGGACCTGCAAGGTGTTGCGTGCCTGCGGGAAGCCCTGGGGGTGGCAGTTGCAAAGCCGCCTCTTGTCCAACAGTCAGTGGTTTGCTTTGGCCATGGCTCTCACTGCATCATTGCAAGCAGTCAGAAAATGTTCATTGATGAGATCAGGAACAATGATGCCTGCCCTTTCAAAACCACATCTGACTGTCTCTCCACCTTCTAGCCCACCCAGAGGAGAATCCATAGCTGGCATAACCTATAAGTGGAGAAAAGGAAGCTAAGAAAGGATTTGCTGGTCATGTCTTTAACGCTTTGAAAAGTATATTGTCTAATTTACTGGGAGAACCTAACTGTGGCTTTTTTTCCTCCATGCTTTCTCCCATCATGTTTACTATTACTGCTTTATTGCTTGAAACCATCACACACACACACACCGCCAAAACCAAGTGTCATTGGTGACATTTTTTTCGTTTTCATTTTCTTTTTCTTCCTTTCTTTTTTTTTTTTTTGAGACGGAGTCACGCTCTGTCACCCAGGATGGAGTGCAGTGGTGCAATCTCGTCTCACTGCAACCTTCACCTCCCAGGTTCAAGTGATTCTCCTGCCTCAGCCTCCCAAGTAGCTGGGACTACAGGTGTGGACCACCACACATGGCTAATTTTTGTATTTTTAGTAGAGACGGACTTTCACCATATTGGCCAGGCTGGTCTTGAACTCCTGACCTTGAGATCCATCTGCCTCGGCCTCCCAAATTGCTGGGATTACAGGTGTGAGCCACCGTGCCCGTCTGGAGATATTTTAAAATAAAAACAAAGCTATAAAAATATACATTTATGAAATTTCAAATGATCTCTACTTTCAAATGATCCTAATACTCAAATGTAAAGTGTTTCATTTCTTTTAAGAAATATAGCTTCCATGGTACTGGAGAGTTTTACCATTTACTATAAGAGTAAATGGACATGGTAAACCAATTCAAGGGATGTCAAATAATGGCTGCTCTTTTCCTTAATGAAATCTCAAGGTCTGTTTGCTTTGGATGGCCAATGAGCATAGTAGACTTTAATTAGCTAATTTATTTAATCTACTATTTTTCTTAAAGTTATCATAGATATCATGATATTTCTCTCCTAAGTACTGACTATGCATCACTAAAATGTAAGAACATTTTCCTACCCACCTACAATACCATTATCACATCTAACAAAATTAGTAGTAATTCCTCAGTAGAATTTAATACTCATTTTTTTTTCAAGTTTCTCCAGTTGTTCCTAAATGTCATTTACAGTTGGCTTATTTGAACAAGATCCAGTCAAGGTCCACATATTGTGTTTGGTTATTATAACTCTTAAGTCTCTTTTAACCTAGACTAGGCCCTTCCCTCTGTCTCCACATCATTGACTTAACAAGGAAATCTGGCTAGCTATTCTGTAACACTTAGCCTTATTTTATTAATTGTTAAGCATGAAGGCAACAATGGGCACACTAGTCTTGCCATCTCAATAAAAGTTGGTATCGTTATTACATAATTGATCACTTAAACCTAGGGTTTACTGAAACCCAAACTCAAGAGCAGAGAAAACGTAAAACAAAATAAAAACCCTGGCCAGGCACGGTGGTTCACGCCTGTAACCCCAGCAGTTTGGGAGGCCGAAGCAGGCAGATCACCTGAGGTCAGGAGTTTGAGACCAGCATGACTAACATGGCGAAAACCCATTTCTACTAAAAATACAAAAATTAGCCAGGTGTGGTGGCACGTGCCTGTAGTGTTGGATACTTGGGAGGCTGAGGTAGGAGAATTGCTTGAACCTGGGAGGCGGAGGTTGCAGTGAGCTGAGATCACACCACTGCACTCCAGCCTGGGTGACAGAGGGAGACTCTGTCTCAAAATAAAATAAATAAATAAAGCCCTGACCTTGACCTGAGTACAGTTCTACATGTAGTTGTTCTATAGCAAACTCCCTTTGATTATTCCATGAATCTGAGTCAATGGGCACTTTTCACTGATTCGGTGCCCAGTTCCTTTGAATGCCTACTGTGATTTCCTTCTACCTGTTCTTCATTCTCAGTTCACTTTTCAGACAGCCAGCAAGCTTTACACCTTGGTTGCTTTTAGGTATGCAATTCCCTCCCAGCTCTATAAGTTATCTACCTGGTAAGAAGAGTGTAGTAAGTGGGAAGATGTTTCCTGAATTTACCTTTCAGTGGGTTATATCTGGTCTGCTTCTCTACCCTATTCTCATATGGAAAAGAAAGTCCCCATGACAGAATGGCAAATTAGTACTAGTATTCTCTCCAATAACTTTAAATTTTCCAGGGGGCATGCACTGGGAATGTGGGGCAAGGGTTCTTCATTCATAATGAAAGAAAATTGCTGTTTAAAAAATGTGGCCAGGTGTGGTGGCTCATGCCTGTAATCCCAGCAATTTGGGAGGCTGAGGTGGGAGGATAGCCAGAGTTCAGCAGTTTGAGACCCATCTGGGCAAAAAAGCAAAACCCTATTTCTTCAAAAACTAAAAAAAAAAAAAAAAAAAAAAAAAAAAAATTAGCTGAGCATGATAGCACCTCCCTGTAGTCCTAGCTACTTGGGAGGCAGAGGTGGAAGGATTGCTTGAGTCCAAGAAATCAAAGCTGCAGTGAGTTATGATTGCACAAATGCACTCAGCCTTGGCAACAGAGCGGGACCCTGTCTTTCTCACTATATATATGACTCCTACATGAAATATTTAGAAACTTATACCCACTGGTTAACTAGTATGGGTTAAGTATTATTATTATATTTTTACATCTGTAGACTAAAGTGCTTCCATTAGACTGCTTTCTAGTTGCAGTTAAAACCATATTAAACTTGGGTGAGCTGAGGCAATCTATTTTCTTTAGTCTTATACTCTCAATCTAAAAGGTCAGGAAATTGGACTAGACTTGTTTGTTTGTTTGTTTGTTTGTTGCGTTATTTTTGCGGGAGGTGGCGGTTTTTTTTTTTTTTTTTTTTTTGAGACAGGGTCTTACTCTCTCGCCCAGGCTGGAGTGCAGTGGCACCATCTCAGCTCACTGCAACCTCCGCCTCCTGGGTTCAAGTGATCCCCCCGCCTCAGCCTCCTGAGTAGCTGGGATTACAATTGCATGCCACCATGCATGGCTAATTTTTGTAATTTTTAGAGACAGGGTTTCACCATGTTGCCCAGGATGTTCTCCAACTCCTGAGCTTAAGTGATCTGCCTACCTTGACCTCCCAAAGTGCTAGGATTACAGGTATGTGCCACTGCGCCTGGCCCTGGACTAGACTTCTAAGGTCCCATATAGCTGTTGAGCTTGATGACTTAAGACATTAATAGCAACCACAATTTTTTCATTTTGTCTCTTCCCTCCTCCCATTTGTAGCCTCTTCTGACAGGCTCTTGCCTTTCCGTGTGTAGGGAGCCTCTGTAATGGTTAAGGAGCCAGGAGTCAAGAAGTCCCTGCCTGTTCTTGGCCAGGTGAGGTAGGTCACACCTGTATTCCCAGCACTTTGGGAGGCTGAGGTGGGTGAATCACCTGAGGTCAGGAGTTTGAGACCAGCCTAACCAACACAGTGAAACCCCATCTCTACCAAAAATACAAACATTAGCCGGGCATGGTGGTGTACACCAGTAATCCCAGCTGCTGGGGAAGCTGAGGCAGGAGAATCACTTGAACCCAGGAGGCAGAGGTTGTAGTGAGCTGAGATCATGCCACTGAACTCCAGCCTGGGTGACAGAGGGAGACTCCATCCCTCCCGTCCCCCCGCAAAAAAGTCCCTGTTCTTAATCTTCAAGTAAGACTTTGCTGAACAGATAATTTCTATCCTATAGGCTTTAGATTTCCCTTATATAGAAACTACTCAGCTTTCTACTTAAGAACAATAAATCCAAATGCATTTATGTTAAAATGTGTGTTCTCATAAAGTCGCTCAGAACTGGTTGGATTAAAAATATGGAGCAAGCACATACAGTAGTACCAAATGAAATCACTGAAATTCAGTACACACATTGCCTACGCTAAAGAAAGGAAAGCATTGTCGGGCACAGATCCTGTGCCAGGGACATGCAAGCTCATTATCTCACTAATCGCCACGAGCTGGCTGGCCTGTTTTGGGAATGAGCAAAGCCACTTGGCCTTGTGCATAACACAGCGAGGATTCCAGCTCGGGTCCTCTTCCCACCCAGACCAGTTCTCTTCCCACTGTTCAAACTCAGCTTTTAAAGTTGTGTATTTGAGCAATATTATTGTTTATATTTAGACTGTGTGTAATTCAAGAGCTGCCCCCATTTTTCTCATGTATTATCCCACAAAATAGATACCACAGATAACTTTAGAAAGCTTTTCAAAATGATTCATATTTGGAGGAAAACTCAGCCACAAGATATTTGTACCAGGCAGCCATAGAAACCACAGTCTCAGTTTGTGTCTTATAAAAATTCTGTAATGAAGCTGAATAGACCAAAATTCCTGTTTCAGGCTTTAAAAATGGATTGGTTATTAATGTGAATGGTTATTTCCTCCTCTTCTATTTTCGCTGTCTGGTCGGCACAGCCGTGGCCTTTTCAAGCAGCTGGGATATAAATATAAAGTGGGAATGGAGGCCCATTAGGAGTAGAAGAACAGCTGACGGAGCAGAGCAAAGCGCCGGGCTCTGCAGGGCCAACCGACCCGTCCAGGCACGCTAGTTTCGGTTGGATTGACTAGTCAGCTTTATGTGGAACAGGCTTTAATGATTTACAGGTTGGCATAAGAAGCCTTGTTTCTTTCCATGAGACGGTCCATCTCTATTTGTAATCTACGTGGTAATTAAAGCCAGACTTTTTGACGGAGCATCATCTTTGGCAAATAGTGAGGTGTGGTATTAGCCCCTTTCTAGCTTATTTTTAAAGGTGCACCTTAAGTGTTTAAAAATTGTCTATGGTTTGAAGTCAGTTGGCGTCATCCTTACCAATTTATAGATGTGTCGCTTCATAAATGCAAGTCCTTAATTTGGAAAGGCACTTGTCTAAAAGCAAAGTGAACATTTATAACAACATTTGTAATTTCTCTTGCAAACCCTTGGAAGGATTTTTGTTTTTGTTATTTTGTTTTGTTTGTTTCAGGAGGGATCATTTCTTAAACTTCTCATGAGGGAGGATTGCTGTTGCTGATTAATGATGGTTGACTTACGACTCAAACTGTGGACAAAGAGCTAACATTTTTCTATCAGGGGACTAGAGGTCATGTAATGCATCAAGTAGAAAATTCACCATATATATTCAGCTCCCACCTTACGGCTGCACACATTTGTGAAGTGCCCACTAGGTGCCAGGCATTGTGCCAATGGTTGGTTGTATAGATATGATCTTAGCCCTCCAGGAGCACACAGCTATTTTTCCCAGTTCAGTGAATCCCATTTTTTTTGGTAAAATTTAAAAAAAGGATATATTTTTTAATATATATTCATTCTTTTTTCTACTACAATAATTAGAGATTCTTTTGCCATTACATAGCTAGATGTCATATGATGAAAACTTCTATTCTCCCGTTTTCCACTTGTTTCTCAGTTTTCTCATCTGTAAAATGGGCATAATGATAGTACTTACCTCATAAAGTTGTGGTGAGGATTAAATTAATTAGTATATATCAGTGTTTAAAACAATACCTGGTACAAAGTTAAGTGTTCAATAAGTACTAGCAACTATTCTCATTGTCTGTCCAGTAATTATCTGGATTTGCTGCTTCTCTGGGTTACTGGGAGCATTCTGAATCACATGGCATTTTTCCAGAGGCTCCTCCAACAAAAGCCTTCTTGCCAATACCCTAGCCAAACTTGTTCTTGAAGAAATTCCTATCTTAGCACATGGTACCGTCAGTTACATAAACCAGCCCTTCATTCCACCAGGCTCCCACCTGCCACAGGGCATTTGCATAGGCCGATTTTGGCCCACTTCTCCCAGTTAACTCCTGCTCCTCTTCAAAGATCACAGCTTAAGCTTCTTCTGCTAAGATGGTCTCTGACCTCCATGAATAGGTCAAATCCTGTGTAACTTGTCTAGCATTTGCTACAGGTGCCATGTTACTTTAAGGATTGTCGAAGTATTTGATTAATATCTGACTTTCCCACCAGAATATAAGCACCATGAGAGCCAGGGCTGTATCAATTTTTGTTAATCATGATATCTGCTGCATCTAGCCCAGTTCCTGAACTACACAGCAGTTGTTAAGAAACATTAGAACTGGGATTCGAAGGCTATAGTTCATGTGTTATTCAAATTGGTTCATGCATTATTTATTATTTAATTACACATCTAATACATGGTGTTTATTAGATGTGTAATTTATCTGTGATAATAATGCAGAAATATAGGAAGTAAGAAATGAACCTGCTCTTGGACCCTGTGATTTTATCTCCCAGAGGTATTTACTATTGATATACTATGAATACAAGTTTGGCTGATATTCTTCCAGACTTTTTTTCTATGTTTACCAATCATACACACATATACATATGCACATATATAGTTCTTATAGGAAAAAGAATCATATCCTATACGTGCTTTTGTTTCAACACTGTGATGAACCCATCTTTTGAGGTGTGTGCGTAACAAAGAGGTCTAAAAGATCATACAATGAGTACTTCTGTACTTACTACCCAGCTTAATAAAGAAGTATTATCAATGCACTTATCTTATTCCCCTACACACACCTGAGGCAACCCTCAACTTGAATTTGCTGTTTCTCATCCCCAGGATTTTCTCTATTCTTTGATTACTGAGGTTTATATCTATAATCATTGGAGAGTTTTTTCATATTTCCAAATTTTATATCAATGGTATAATTCTGTATGCACTTTCTGCAACTTGCTTATTTCACTCAACATTATGTTTGCAAGTTTCATTCGAAATAAAATGGGGAGCATTTATTTTCCTTAACATAAATACGTTACTGTAAGAATATAATATAATTGATGATCTATTCTTCTACTGGGGTACATTAATTTTTTAATTTTTTAATTTTAATTTTTTTTTTGAGACAGAATCTCACTCTGTGGCCCAGGCTTGAGTGCAGTGGCATGATCATAACTCAATGTATCCTTGACCTCCTGGGCCTGGGCTCAGGTGATTCTCCCACCTCAGTCTCCCGGGTAGCTGGGACTACAGGCACGCACCACCATACCCGGCTAATTTTTTGTATTTTTTTTTGTAGAGGCAGGGTTTTGCCTTGTTGTCCAGGCTGGTCTCAAACTCCTGGGCTCAAGTGAGCCACTTGCCCTGACCTGCCAAAGTGCTGGGATTACAGATGTGAGCCACTGTGCCTTGTCTAGTATGCCTTTAGAGAGTCCTCTCACCTCACCCCTGCCTCTTTGGTTTTTTTTTTTTTTTTTTGGTATTTCAATAAATGCAGCTACAAACAGTCTTGAATCTGTCTTCCTTTGTGCATTTGCAGAGGATTTCTTCAGAGATTATACCTGGGAGGGCACGCGCTGAGGTACAGGTTATGTAAATCTTCAACCTTATTAGCTGTTGCCAGATCTAGTTCTGTTGAGTCTGAGAACACATCACTCCAAAATATGACTTAGGAGACCAGAATATGCCACCCCAAAATATACTTCTTTGGCATATTTTGAGCTGGTTATTCTGAGAAACTGCAGACACAGGAGTAGCTCAGAAAAGCTGTCCTATGGAAGAAATTTACATCTATTAAGGAAGTCTCTCTAGGTAAAAGTATCTGTATCAGGAAGAGGGCTGCTTGGAGACAGCTTTTATCACTTGGGAGACTTTTAATTAATTAATTTATTTGAAAAATGGATACATAATAATTATATGCATTTATGGGGTACACATGATATTTTGATACATGCATAAAATGTGTAATGATCAAATCAGGGTAATTGGGATAGCCATCACCTCAAACATTTATCATTTCTTTGTATTGAGAACATTCCAAATATTCTCTTCTAGCTATTTTGAAATATACAATAAGTTATTGTTAACCGTAGGGCATAGCAAGACAATCTTTATTCACCAGACATTTCCTCCTCTCACCCTCCCATAACTTGTGTCTTCACCACTACCCAGATGCACCAAGCTTCTGTTCCTTTCTGTAGCTCACAATGCTATAGAAGCTTTAATTATCTGAAAGTCTCATACCCTTCTTTGAGCCTCATATTTTGTGGGACTTCCATGTACACGTACATAATTAAATATGGTTTTTCTTCTGTTAATCTATCTTATGTCAATTTAACTTATAGCCTAGCCAAATAACCTATAAGGGTAGAGGGAAGTCATTTTTCATTTTCCTACATCTCCAAAGTTTGTTCTTTCTTTTCTTTCTTTCTTTTTTTTTTTTTTTAGAGATGGGGTCTAATTCTGTTGCCCAGATTGAAGTGCAGTGGTGCAATCATGGCTCCCTGCAGTGTCAACCTCCTGGGCTCAAGTGATCCTCACACCTCAGTCTCCCAAGTAGCTAGGACCACAGGTGTGTTCCACCATATCTGGCTAATTTAAAATCAAAAAAATTTTTTTTTGAAGAGACAGGGGTCTCATCATGTTGCCCAGGCTGTTCTCGAGTTCTTAGGCTCAAGCAGTCCTCCCGCTTTGGCCTCTCAACTTGCTGGGATCATAGGCAGGAGCCACCGTGCCCAGCCTCTTTCAGTGGTTTTGTTGTTGTTTTTTTGAGATGGAGTCTTGCTCTGTCGCCCAGGCTGGAGTGCAGTGGTGTGATCTCGACTCACTACAACCTCTGCCTTCTGGGTTCAAGCAATTCTCCTTTCTCAGCCTCCCGAGTAGCTGGGATTACAGGCGCCCACCACCTTGCCCAGCTAATTTTTGCATTTTTAGTGGAGATGGGGTTTCACCATGTAGGCCAGGCTGGTCTCGAACTCCTGACCTCAGGTGATCCGCCTGCCTTGGCCTCCCAAAGTGCTGGGATTACAGGCGTGAGCCACTGCACCTTGCCGCTTTTGTTGTTGTTGTTTTTACAGCTGCATAGTATTTCATTAAAATGATGTACACTACTTTATTCCCTATGGCACTTACCGGATTTTATTTGAGGAGTTAAAACAATGTGAAATGTAAAATCTTTCATGTTGCCATGTCTACAGTAGTAGAGCACTTGGGAGCTTGGGGTATTTAGCTCCTTTGGTCCTCTCTGTTGAGAAAGTCAGGTTACTTATCACCATTGCTACTTGTTGTCTTCAACAAATGATGAAACCAAACCTGAGAATTTAGGAATCTCAGGTCCTCGCTGGGTGAGCAGCAGAACCAGGGGGAACAGCCAGCCCTCTGACTCATGGCATGTTCCACGTGACTTCTCTGCCTTAGCTGAGAACTATAACTGACCAGGGCACGGGAAACAAAGTCACAGCAGAAGACCACAACAAAGAGTGAGGAGGAAACATGCCTTCTTTGTGTGCACCTGTGAAAACACAGGGTATCAGCTCACAGGCTGAGACTGGGCTGCATTGTCCTGGAAAAGGGGGAAACAGATGGCAATTTAAGAGGAACCTGATAGCATTGTTTGGGGCTGGGCAGGAGGCGTCCTCTGGGAAACTAGGAGAGAAGCTTTCAGCTAAGAGCCACAGCAGCATGAAAAAGGCGCTTACTGTGGCCACTTCCTCCTTTCCCACCTCTGCCCTAGAAGGAGCCCTTGGGAATGCACAGCCCTCCATTGTTTGTCTGGTGCTGTTTCTGCCAAAACTCCCAGGAGAAGCCCGGAGCCCTGACCCAAGGGCCTTTGGGTGTGTGTGTGTGTGTGTGTGTGTGTGTGTGTGTGTGTGTGTGTTGGGAGAAGGGCGGAGCACAAGGATGGCACTGGCTTAGGAGTGTCCATCATAGGGAAGCACACATTAACCAGAAGTGATATGATTTAGCCATGTCCCCACCCAAATCTCATCTTGAATTGTAACTCCTGTAGTCCCCTCGTGTCATGGAAGACACCCAGTGGGAGGTAATTGAATCACAGGGGTGGGTTTTTCCCATGCTGTTCTCTTGATAGTGAATAAGTCTCACGAGATCTGATGGTTTCATAAAGGGCAGTTCCCCTGCACACGCTTTATTGCCTGCCACCATGTAAGACATGCCTTTGCTCCTCCTTTGCCTTCTGCCATGATTGTGAGGCCTCCCCAGCCATGTGGAACTGGGAGTCAATTAAACCTCTTTGTCTTTATAAATTACCTGTCTTAGGTATGTCTTCGTAGCAGTATAAAAATGTACACTAATACAAGAGGCATCTAGAGCATGGGACAGGAATAATGTTAGGGCTCTGAGAATAATCCCTACTCCTTGGATCTTGGTTTTCCTTTTTATGTGTCCTGAGCCTAAATGACTCTTACCTGAATAGCTACATGGTATTGTCCCCTTAGGAGTGGTGAGGGAGCATGGTTTAAAACCCAGAAATCCAGGCTCTGCCAATAACCAATTGTGTGGTGTTGGGAAAGTATCTCAGCCTCCCTGGGATTCTGATCCCTTAAGAGATGCCAAGATTCCTTCATTCATGACAGATCCATTTAGTCCTGTGCTGTAGGTTCAGGGTTAGAGGCTTCAGTCAGGAGTTAAAAAAATAAGCACCATGTGGTCCCTTCTCCACACCTTTTCTCCAAGTAGTGCCCCAGGTTCTAGAATGCCTCGCCCCTGGTTAGCAAGTGAGTATCACACAAAGAACCAGAGTTAAGGTTGTTTGGGAACGAGGAAAACAGAGGCTTGAATGGCTCTGAGGTTCGCTTGGTGACAGCTGCTTCTTTGAGTTTGCCTAATTGAGAAGGGGAAATGAGTCACAAATGTTAGCCTGAAACACTAAATGATGCTGTCTGCCCAGCCAAAGCCATGTTCTGAAGTCCTCATAACACACTCCACTCTCCATTTTGCCCTGGGTGCCACTTAAACATTGCTTGTCTCTTAAACTGGGTACTCCTGGAATCCTATCCTCTTCCTTCTTCTGTCCTTGTTGTGTCTTCTCTTTCTGGGTAGTCACATCCTTTCCCATGGCTGCCTGAAGACCAGCAGTTCCCCAATTCCTATTCTCTGGTTTACTGTTCCCTTCAAAGCTGTAGTGAACAGGCCACTGGACATCTCAACTCTGGCCATCCCACGGGCATCCATGCACAACACAACCACCCTGCCCTCCTCATCCTCACTCCTAACTGCCCTCCTTTCCAGTATTCCTTATCTGGTGACTGACAGCTTCACCCAAACATCTGCAAGTACCACCCTGGAATGCCTCCTGGACTAGCCACCACGGTTTTCTGCCTGCATCCAACCAGCCAACAAACCTGTCCTTTGACTGCATATCTTGCTGTGTCCGTGGCTTCCTCAAAGCATCACTTCCCTTTTCATACTGACTTTTAGGTGGTTCTGGTCAGATTCAAATAAAGTGTTCTGCAAGGCCCTTCCTGATCAGGCCCCTGGCTTCCTTCCACCCTCCTCTTCATTGAACCTCCACTCCAGCCACCTTGAACTGCTTGCAGTTGCACCAGTGTGTGACAGTCCTGGCCCCCTCGTCTAACTCAGTGTCTCCCCATGGGGTCTCCATACATCCTGCAGCACCCTTTATCATGGCACTGACTGCATCATTTAGGGTGCCCCTCCAAAGTGGGGGATGGTGACGATTCTATCTTCTGCTCCTGGTGCAACGCCTGGCTCTTGACATGTGAGATAAACATATTTTATAAATTAAAGATGGAAAGGAACTTTTTCTCAGAGTTTTCCTGGGTTGGGGGTGGGTGGGAATCTCGAGGTTATAATGCATCCCATTGTATTTTGTAGAAAGGACAAATCCCCGAGGATTTTCATGGGTTCCAATGGAGCCTCGGATTTTCTAGGTTTGCTTGAGCGACTCATCACCAGCCTCTCCATTTGCTGTGAGGAGTGGACCAACCATCTGCCATCCAGGAGCTGATGACTGCAGAAACCTGGGCATCATTGCCTGCCAAGTTTAAGAAAAATAAGATAGAGAATTGGAGTGACAGCTGTCCGGGTGCTGAGAGTCAAAGCTGATGATTTCCCTTAGTATTTTTGTCTGTGCCTTCAACAGAAGCACCATGCTAAAACACTGTTGTGCTGCACAGCTGAGAATCTGGCATTTGTTGTGGGTGGAAGGCAGTGACCAAAGGTGGAGGCAGTTTGGGGAAGGTCAGTCAGTATTTCACGTTGTTCCTGGGGAAATAATCACAGAGACAGCCAGTCAGAAATGAGGCTGGTCCCCCTCTTCCCTGGCCTCCTGCCCCTTGGATTTGTTGGCACTTTGGCTGCCAACAGATTAATGAAATCTTTTCAATCCTGAAAGAAATGACAACCTCATCAGGAAAAAAGTGTATTTTCAGCATTAGATGGAAGATAATATCAAGAAACAAAATCTTTTCCTATGTAAGAGCTTTAATACTTACCTTGTGCAAAATGTTGTGAGTTAATATCGTGGTTTCAGGGGAACAATTTTTCTCCTCAAATCTTTAGAGTTATTTCCAGAATTTCAAAGCCTATTTCAAAAACTATAGTTTTGTCTAAAGTACAATCAGCTCTGTGAATGGAAGGGTTGCGGAAGGGAGAGTGTTCACACTGAGAGATGAGATAGTTATCTGCTTCCAATGCCAATGCATAACATGAATGCTGTCGAGTTTTTTTTAAAAAAGCTTGAGATTTGTAATGCCAAAAAAAAAAACCTCTAATGATTTTTTTAAAAGTTGAAACAAGATGAATTTAATTACTGAGCTGCTCACAATAACTAGGAAACAATTCCTCTGTTATAAATTGTATTTATGTATTTTTCCCATGCAAAAAGTACAGGAATTATGAAACACAAATGATTAGAATTGTACGTTAGATTTACATAGTGAATCTGAATAGAAATAACTCCTTTTCTTGGATAATAATATTTTACTTTAAATTAGGTTGTTATACTATTAAAGGAATCCAGATATATAAAGTTGTTATATTTTTCATCACAAAAGTATTTTTTAATGTAAAAAATTGTCACACTGTGTTTCATTATAAGGATTCATAAATTTGCCTCTTTTATTTTAATTTTTTACAGCTCTTTTTGAAGTACATTTTTTTTCTTTGAGACAGGGTCTTGCTCTGTTGTCCAGGCTGGAGTGCAGTGGCATGAATTTAGGTCAGCACAGCCTGGAACTCCTGGGCTCAAGCGATTGTCCTGCTTTGGCCTCCCAAAGTGTTGAAATTACAGTTGTGAGCCACTTCGCCTGGTCCAATTGCCTCTTTTAAAAAGAATTGTGTTTAGAAAAAGTGCTTGTTCATACCTGTTGAGGAGCACAGCTATCAGGAGAGCAAATGATTTTTTAAAAATATTTATTTATTTATTTATTTTTATTATTTTTTATTTTCTGAGACGGAGTCTTGCTCTATCACCCAGGCTGGAGTGCAGTAGTGCGATCTGCAACCTCCACTTGCTGGATTCAAGTGATTCTTGTGCCTCAGCCTCCTGAGTAGCTGGGATTACAGGCATGCTCCACTTTGCCCGGCTAATTTTTGTGTTTTTAGTACAGACGGGGTTTTGCCATGTTGCCTAGGCTGGTCTCGAACTCCTGACCTCAGGTGATCCACCCGCCTCGGCCTCCCAAAGTACTAGGATCAAGGCGTGACGACTATGCGTGGCCACAAATAATTTTTAAATCAATATTTAGAACACATTTAGGGTGAGTGTTTAGAGCTTGACAACTTTCTCATTGAAGATTATTCCGTTTAAGATTCAACAGCTCAAGAGTCTGCAAATCTAGATCCTTAACCAGAACTTGCTTTTATATCTTTTCCTTACAAGAAGAATACCCAGGCTGGGACTTCAAGGCCCCAGAGAGGCAGTGCAGCAAGTTCCTGGGTTCAAATCATCCTTCAGCTACTTCTTAGCTGTGAGACCTTGGGCAAGTTACCTAGCCTTTCTATGCCCCAGTTTCTTCATCTGTAATTTGGGGCTAGTAATCTCTTCTTCATAGGTTTGTTGCAAGATTAAATTAATTTACATTAAGGGCCAGGTGTGGTGACTCATGCCTGTAATCCCAGCACTTTGGGAGGCCAATGCGGGCAGATCACCTGAGGTCAGGAGTTCGAGACCAGTCTGGCCAACATGGCAAAACCCAGTCTCTACTAAAAATACAAAAAAATTAGCTGGGCGTGTTGGCGCACTTATAATCCCAGGTACTGGGGAGGCTGAGGCAGGGGAATCTCTTGAACCTGGGAGGTGGAAGTTGCAGTGAGCCAAGATCACGCCACTGCACTCCAGCCTGGGCGACAGAGCAAGACTCCATCTCCAAAACAAAACAAAACTAATTACTTTAAGAATTAGAACAGTTTATGACTGGTACATAGTAGATCCTCATTAGACACTAAAAATTATAATTACAATTGTTAATTATAATTATTTATTATTATAATTATATGAGCAATTATAGGAAAGCTCTCACTCTTTCTAAAGAATTTGCGTGAATAAAGGAAGACTAATTTTCTCAATGTCTTTTTAGTACACTCAGAATTTTCGGTACAGCAAATAATTTTCAGTGAAGTCAAAATTATTTAGATAAAGTCTTCTCTTCGTGCCCTAGCAGAAAATGTTCAGAAACAAAATGAAATAAAGAGACAAAGGAAAAAAAAAACTGGCAAAGGGTCAGGTTTTGAGAATTGTTTTCAAGAAGTCATTGTATTCAGATTGGTGGAGCAGGCTACTGTAAACCGTAAGTAGGAAATGAGAACCCGTTGTAAGTTGATAAAATGGATGTCTTTTCAACTAAACAGATTGCTATCAGCCTAACAGAGCCAACTCATGTTCCTTTTCGGCCGGTCATTTCCTGTACTAAGTGTCTATAAGAGCCGCCCATTTGGGTGTTTCTCAGGATTATAGGTTTTTAGGTCACGCAGAAACCCTGGGGAACGCCTGAAAAGGCTAAACACAAGCAGTTACATTATGCACAAGCTGGATGACGTGACCCCGCTGCTGCTGTGTGGAGAGGGAGGCTGCTGAACCCGAGCTGGTGTGAGCTTCTCTTGCCGTAAGTCCACGGGTGGCCAGGAGCACGTGTTAGTCTGGTTAAGAGCTCTGCTCAGAAGTAGCCGCTGCAGCTGAAGGTTTTCAGGCGGGCTGAAGGCTGGGCCGCTTCTTCATTCATTTCAGAAACTTGAACAGTGGGCCTTCTACACACGCTGTCTTTGTCAGCCTCAGGCAGTTCCTCCATGGATGAGACACAGGGGCCTCTGGCCATGACTGTCCATCTTCTTGCCAACTCTGGGCACGGCTCCCTTCTGCAGAGGACTCTGGACCAGCTCCTGGATTGCATTTGCCCAGAGGTCCGGCTCTTTCAGGTGTCTGAACGGGCCAGTCCTGTGAAATACTGTGAAAAGTCCCATTCCAAGCGGTCCCGGTTTCCAGGGATGTCCGTGTTGCTCTTCCTGCACGAAAGCCCGGGAGAGGATAGGCTATTTCGCGTCCTGGACTCTCTCCAGCATTCGCCATGGCAGTGCTACCCCACCCAGGACACTCGGGGAAGGCTGTGTCCCTACTTTTTTGCCAATCAGGAGTTCTACAGCCTGGACAGTCAGCTGCCCATCTGGGGGGTGAGGCAGGTGCACTGTGGCTCCGAGATCCTGAGGGTGACGCTGTACTGCAGTTTTGATAACTATGAAGACGCCATCAGACTCTACGAGATGATCCTGCAGAGAGAAGCGACCTTGCAAAAGAGCAATTTTTGTTTCTTCGTGCTCTATGCCTCCAAGAGCTTTGCTCTGCAGCTCTCCCTGAAGCAGCTGCCCCCGGGAATGTCAGTGGACCCCAAAGAGTCTTCGGTGCTGCAGTTTAAGGTTCAAGAGATCGGCCAGTTAGTGCCTCTGCTACCCAATCCATGCATGCCTATCAGCAGCACCAGGTGGCAGACTCAGGACTACGATGGCAACAAGATTCTGCTTCAGGTATTTCTGTTTTGTCTCAGATCTTGTAGAGGCTCATGGAGCTGTGTAATTTTACATCGGAATGGGCCTAAGCTAGTGGTTCTCAGACTTGGTTGCATATTAGCGTCCCTTAGGGTCTTTCATAAATTCCCACCCCAGGGCAGTTTGATCCGAATCTCTGGGAACATCCAGGCCTAGGTAACTTTTTTACAGCTTCTTGGATGACTGTAATCTGTAACAGGGTTGAGAATCACTGATCTCATAAAATCTCATCTGACAGATAAGAAAGTTCAGATTCCATGAATTTGCAGCTGACACAAGTACTTTATAGTAGAATCAGACAGGATTCTACTATAAAGATCAGAATCCTATTAAAGAATCGGCCTCCTTTCTCAGGCTTGCCGTTTAAATGCCCATCAACTATACCCCTATCCTTTGTTTACTCTTTGGGCTCAGGAATGTCACAAGCTCTTCTAATCTGACTTAAGGAAGTTGAAGTCATACTTATGTTTAGATATGGTTTTTTTAATTTTTAATTTTTTTATTTTTTAGAGATGGGAGTCTTCCTCTGTTGCCCAGACTCGAGTGCGGTGGTGCCATCATAGCTCCCTGAGGTCTTCACCTTCTGGGTTCAAGTGATCCTCCTGCCTTAGCCTCCTGATTAGCTGGGACTACAGGCACGTGCCGCCATGTCTGGCTATTTTATTTTATTTCTAGAGACGGGGTCTCACTATGTTGGCCGAGCTTGTTTAGGGATGTTAAGTTTGCAGTACTATTGACTTAATTTTTATTCTTTATTATTATACTTTAAGTTCTGGGGTACATGTGCACAAAGTGCAGGTTTGTTACACAGGTATACATGTGCCATATTGGTTTGTTGCACCCATCAACTCGTATTGACTTAATTTTTAAGCATCTTGCATCACTGTCAAATTTTACCACATACCAAGTTAGATAGAATGCTTTCTTAAAAAAACTTGAAATTAAAGCCTTCCTTTGTAACCATCCTCGAAAACCTAACATAGCATGTGTGTATTTAGTCATGATAGCTGCCGTGCATTGCCTTTCCATGGTATGTGAGCCTGGGCACTTAGTAGCTGTATGACTGTGGGCCTCAGTTTCTTCATTAGCACAATAAAGGCACCCGAGAATTAGCATCTTCCTCTCTCATACTTACTTACAGGAAATGACCTGACACTTATAAAGTACATAATTAAGATAGTGCCAAGAACTCAATTTTAGCTATTATTGTTCATATTATGCCCTATACTAAGGATTCTCTTAAATTGATAATTTTATTTAATACTTATAACAACCTATGAAGTTACTATTTTTCCCATTTTGGAGATAAGAAAACTGAGCTTTCCAGGGGGTCAGTTATTTGCCCAAGATAGGAAGTATCTATCTACCCTCAAAGTTCATGTGGTCAGCCGCTGCAGTCCAGTGTATGTGTGTAAATGTGCAAGCAGGGGGATGAATGTCATGTTCACAGCAAAATATCCTGTGGCTTCTGTCCTTAAGAAATGGTCAGAAGCTCCTTAAGGCCTATTGAATAAAGTAATAAGAGACTACAAGATGAGATGTCTTTCCATTTGGTTAATTTTGTTGTCATCACTTTGACTTGTTAATAAAACATGAATCATATTCCATATTAAATGATTTCTAAATTATTCACCTTCTTGCTCACATAAGGTAGACAGGCACTGTTTCTGTTAGTTGCCTATTATAAAACCCCATAATTTCCAAGGCATCTAAAATTTCTTTCAGTTTTAGCGACTCTCTAGTACTTAAAATCAACCTCATGGTCAAACAAAAATGTAATGTGTGTGTGCAGCAAGGGACATGATTTTAATCATTCCTGTCTTTAAGGCTGACTGACATTTTTGCTATGGAACCACAGTTTAAACAACTTAGTTACTTTGGAAAGTTGAGTCACATTTGGGGAGTGTAGAAGAGTTTTTTGGATAAAGAGAAACTCCATGAATTGTATGAAAAGAGCCCTCTTCCTCTCTGGATTGTCCCAGGAGCCTGGCCACTTCTCAGGTGTGAATGGGGCATCAGCCCCTCACTCTTTTGTTTTTGAGACAGAGTCTCTCTCTGTTGCTCAGGCTGGAGTGCAATGGTGTGATCTCAGCTCACTGCAACCTCTGCCTCCCGGGTTCAAGCAATTCTTGTGCCTCAGCTTTCCCAAGTGGCTGAGACTACAGGTGCCTGCCAACATGCCCAGCTAATTTTTGTATTTTTAGTGGAGATGGGGTTTCACTATGTTGCCCAGGCTGGTCTCAAACATCTGGCCTCAAGTGACCACCTGCCTCAGCCTCCCAAAGTGCTGGGATTATAGGCATGAGCTACCACGCCCAGCTGCCTCTCACTCTTGATAGCCCCCTTGGACATCACCTTTGTCCTGACCTCCAAACCTCAGAGACTTCTGCTTCCTCACTCCAAAACACGCTTTGATCTCCTCTTGTTAAGTCAATGAGTCTAAGCTTTTGCAAACAGAGTGAGAGATCGCCTTCTGGAAAATTCTGCTTCTGGTGTCATATAATAAAAGTGCCTGAGGAAAGTGTGTAAAGGCTCAGCCATAATCCAAAGACAACACATTGTAGCTCCTAGATAGCTTTTGATTCTTTGAATGGAGTGAATTTTTCAGGATAGAAAATTCTTGGGCGTGGTGGCTCAGGCCTGTAATACTAGCACTTTGGGAGGCTGAGGCAGGTGGATCACTTGAGGCCAGGAGCTTGAGACCAGCCTGGCCAACATGGTAAATCCCCCTGTCTACTGAAAATACAAAAACTAGCTGGGCATGATGGTGTGCACCCGTAGTCCCAGCTACTCGGGAGGCTGAAGCAGGAGAATCGCTTGAACCAGGGAGGCAGAGGATGCAGTGAGCCGAGATTGTGCCAGTGAACTCCAGCCTAGATGACAGAGCAAGACTCTGTGTATTAGTCTGTTTCACACTGCTGATAAAGACAGGCTGGAGACTGGGAAATTTACAAAAGAAAGAGGTTTAATTGGACTCACAGTTCCACGTGGCTTGGGAAGCCTCACAATCATGCAGAAGGCAAGGAGGAGCAGTCGCATCTTACATGGATGGCGGCAGACAAAGAGAGCTTGTGCAGAAAACTCTTGTTTTTAAAACCATCAGATATTGGGAGACTCATTTACTATGAGTGAATTAATTCACTGTTCACTCATGCCTTAAATAGCACCCCAGTCACCTCTTGAATGCTTTGCTGCTTAAAAATTTCTTCTGCCAGATACCCTAAATCATCTCCCTCAAGTTCAAAGTTCCACAAATCTCTAGGGCAGGGGCAAAATGCCGCCAGTTTCTTTGCTAAAACATAATGAGAGTCACCTTTGTTCCAGTTCCCAATAAGCTCCTCATCTCCATCTAAGACCACCTCAGCCTAGACCTTATTGTTCATATCACTATCAGCATTTTTGTCAAAGTCATTCAACAAATCTCTAGGAAGTTCCAAACTTTCCCACATTTTCCTGTCTTCTGAGCCCTCCAGACTGTTCCAACCTCTGCCTGTTACCCAGTTCCAAAGTCGCTTCCACATTTTCAGGTATCTGTTCAGCAATGCCCCACTCTACTGATACCAATTTACTCTATTAGTTTGTTTTCACGCTGCTGATAAAGACATACCCGAGACTGGGCAATTTACAAAAGAAGAGGTTTAATGAACTCATAGTTCCATGTGGCTGGGGAGGCCTCAAAATCATGGCGGAAGGCAAAGAGGAGCAAGTCACATCTTACATGGATAGCAGTAGGTGGCAAAGAGAGGGCTTGTGCAGAGAACTCTCATCTTTAAAACCATCAGATCTCATGAGACTCATTCTCTATCACGAGAACAGCACAGGAAAGACCCACTCCCATAATTCAATCACCTCCCACTGGGTTCCTCCCACGACACATGGGAATTGTGGCAGTTATAATTCAATATGAAATTTGGGTGAGGACACAGCCAAACCATATCACTCTGTTTCGAAAAGAAGAAAAGAGGAGAGAAGAGAAGAAAAGAAAAGAAAATCCAGCCTAAACTTCCTTGGGTCCTGGGGAGAGGGGCTGGGTAGCGAGTCTGGCTTCTGTAAGTGAGTAGTCCAGGCCTTACACAGTGTGCTCAGGATCCAGATCCCAGCTCTGTTATCACTGTCTTGGCCCTATCCTCAGCCAGGCATCCGCCAGGGTCGCCAGCTGGCTGCTAGCAGCTCTGAGGGTTACATCCTTCATGTGGATTCCAAGTGCCTTGCCCCACCATGGCGCAACAAAATGTCTGGACTTCAGTTAGACCAACTAGGATCAGATTCTCTTCTCTAAATCAATTATTACGTGCAGGAAAGTGAGATTATATGGATCAGTTTAGCCCCGAGGCAAAGGCTCTGGCTTCTACCCCTAGATGCTGTGTGGTGTTCTGTGGGACTTTTAGGGAAGGTTGTGGGTCTCCAGAGAAGATCAGGGCGGAGGAGACAAATACAGAGTGGTCCCAAATGGCTGATGTTCAGCAAAAGTAAGAAAATTATACCTATTAAAGGAAGAACCATAACCACAAACTAACCTCTCTGCAGACCATCCCTCCACATGGCCAGGATGGAGGCGTGTGTGCAGAAGACCTGAGTGTGAGGGGAGCTAGGCCGAGGAGGGGCAGTGAGAAAGCTTTCCTGAGTAGCAATGCCCAGATCTGCGTGAGCTGGGTGGCCCAGGAGGAATTAGCCAGTTGGAGAAGGGAGCAAGGGTGTCTCAAACAGGTGACCGTGGGTGACGATGTTGGTGTGGTGCTGCTTAGCAGGCCATGCTCAGCAAACTTCCTGAGGTTTCATGTGGCTGGAGTGAAGGGAGGGGGAGTCAGGGGAAGAGGATGGGCAGGTGGCCTGAGGCTAGATCAGTGGGAATGTGGTCAGCCACTGGAATGTAAGTACCAAGAGCGGGGGGACTTTTTGGGCTCACTCCTGTGAACCTAGAACCTAAGGTCAGTGTCTGGCACATGGTAGGCAAAAACATCCTTCTACAAATGAACCCTGGCTAAGTAGCTTCTATTCTATCCTTGGTGAAATGAGCAGTCACTGATGAGTCCTATGAATGGAACTGACATGGATTATTTGTGTTATGAGGGTCAAATGAGAGAATGTACATGGTGGTGCTTGGTAAAGTAGAAGCTCCTGGAGACCATGTAACTGCGGTGCAATTGTGATCTGTGCATGTGAGAGGCTGTCAGCTGTCTCTGCCAGCGCGCCCAGTGAGCAATGCGTTTTCCACATGACCTCTTGCCATTGCAGACAGTCTGATGCCTCTCAGAGTCTAGAATGGGTGGTTTTGATGACAGCGATATGAGCATATCAAATAGATGTTCAGTAAATGAATGTATGAGTACATGAGAAGGCAAGTCCATGTTTATTCATTCCTCAGAACTTTGTTGAGTTCTTGCTCTGGGCCAGACATTGTTTTTCCTTTGGCAGTTTTAATTCTGCTGTCTCAATTCTTAGTGGGTGCAAAATGATAGTGGGTTCAACCTTCCCTTTATTCGTTCAAACAGTCCCTCTGCTTTTCTCCCTGTGCTTTTGCCTCTGGTGGTAGTGACAGTGTCAGTGTGTTCTGGGGGAAGGTAGCATGGGTGATGATGTCCGCCTCTTTTTTTAAACCTCCTGCAACTTAAACTGTGCCCTCAGTCAAATTAGCTATTTTGTCAAATCAACCACATGCTGCAGTATCTCTAGTCAACTACTGCTGGCTTTCAGCTTTCCACAGCTGAGACCCGTGTCCAAAGTTGTATTTTTTGTACTTTTTATAGATTTTTTTTCAATTTTTTGCATTATGGCTCTTCTCCCCTGATTCACCTGCTGATGCATTCATCTCCTGCCCTCCTCCTGGCAGGGGCAATCCAAGGGTAGAGTCCATGACTTTGGTGTCAGGCTCTGGCAGACTCTAAATTCCAGGTCACTGAGTTAGCATTGGTGATCTTCTCATTCTGTTTGATGTACAGTAGGCAAACTTTATAAATTAAATGATAAACCTCCCTCAAAGCCACTTGAAACGCTCAGCAAGGTCTATATTTCATGGCCCTGTGGGAGATGTGACAGCCATGATCTTGTTAGCCTTTGGGTGGGTGTTCTGTGTGGTATCACACTGCCCTGGTGGTCTAATGAGGAGCTGGACCCTCCTGCAAGCGCCTGCAGTACCAGGCAGCCTGCAGGAAATGCACTGTAGAGCTGCAGCCACCCACCTTGTGTGTAGGGAAGGAGAAGGTGAAATTGACTGAGGATGTCAAGTAACATGGAGGAAGTGTGACTTGGGGGATTGACTGAATGGGCTGTAGCAAAGTATAGGGCTGGAGAGTTCAAAGGAGTTTAGAGAATTTTTTGTGCACTGAAAATGGGTGCAGGAGGACACAAAATGGGATTTGAAGAAATCCATTTATTACGGTGTTTAGAGAAGGGGCAGACATGCTCATACCTATAATATATAATTTAGGACCATAATCCTGTTAGCATCAAATAGGACAGGTTGGAAGGGGGCTTGACTGACCACTTCAGAGGGGACTTCAGTTTTCCAGTCAAAGCCGGTGCAGTTTTGAAATAGGGAACTCATAATGGAAATAGGAGGTTAAATTGCATGGGTAGACTTGACTGAATTTGGCAGTAATTGGACATGGAGGGTGAAGAAGAGGAAGGTGATGATGAGTCTGGACACATTGGGCTTGAAGTGCTTGCAGGTCTTTCAAATGAAGAGATTCCATGGTCAGGTGGTCTCTGAGGGCTGGAACTCAGGAGGGGGCATGGGCTAGGGGCATAGGTGGAGTTGGTGGCTGAAGCCCTGGAAAGGATCAACATTACCAAGGAAGAGAGTGTAGAGAGAGAAGAGGTAAAGAGAGTGCCTGGAAAATGCGTGCACTTCCGGAGGAGAGGGAAGAAGAACCAGTGAGAGACGCTGAGAAGAAGCAACCACAAAGCCAGGAGGACGAGGAGATTGTGGTGTCATGGAAGTCAATGTCGCTTGGTGGCTTTCAGTCCCTAAGATGTGGCTTCTCAGGTGTGCTACAGCAGGTCCTTCAGGTTCTGTCCTGGTCTCCTCACTGGGCCCCCAGTTGCTTGTGTGTTGCCATTGCCCCTGGAGAGATCAGCACCTGCTGCAGGCCCTGTGTCCTCCACCAGTAACTGCTGCTACCACCACTCCGGGCTTATGGAACCGTCCCCAAACACTGCTGAGACCAAGCTGTAATTTCAACAAGATCTTTCTGAAGAGTTGAGGACAAAGAGGTGGGGAAAAACCCCCCAAAGAATTCTAGGCCAGAAGAATAACTTACAAGTACTTCTAGATGTCGCTATTCTCAGAGCTCCCAGGCAAGCTATGGCCTTGAGGTCCCTCCCAGGTCTCCTCCAAGTCTTCTTTACCCACTTCTCCTGGAGGTGCTCCAGGCCAAACTCACACAGTGAAGGAGGATGGTTTTCTCCCTTCTCTCTGAGGTCCACCTTCCAGGTCTTCTTTCCTTGATAAGGGTGACTGCTTCCCAAGTTGACTAAATGGGAAAGGTCACACACACCTCGCCTCCCACCACCATTGTTTGATGTTCAGTAGGAAAACTTTATAAATTACAAGATAAAACCTCCCTGGAAGCTAGAGAGGTTTTAGAATAGGGTGGTGTCCTATTCTTGCAACCTGGGCAGGACAGATAAGTAACAGAACAAGAGTACAACATCAGTACAGTCTGGGGTGTACCATCTCAACAACACATGTTGGTTGCCGGCCATCCATTCTGGAGGCTTTTCCTGACTTAATCATAGGGATGAGCTGAAACTCATGCCTGTGTATCCTTCTTGCAGTCCTGGGGCCTCACCTCTGGATCTCCTGCAATCAGCACCTGAGCTAGAATCCACATAACTCTCCAAGACAGCCATGTGGGAGAAAGTCATGTGATTTTGAAAGATTTGGTTTCACACATATGCTCTCAATGTAGACCCATTTCTCAACTGAGACCCATTTCTCTAGACGAATGCACTGTCCTCTAGGACTTTCTGTGATGATGAAAATATTCTGTATCTGTGCTATTCGATACGGTGGCCATTCGCCACATGTGGCTACTGAGCATTAGAAATATGGCTGGTGAGACTGATGAACAGAATTATTAATTTTATTATATTTTAACAATTTAAATGGCCTTATGTGGTTGGTGACTGCTGTATTGGACTGCCCTGGCCTAGGTTATTTCTAAGGTCTCCTGCATCTTGAAGCTTCTGTAACTATACTGTGTATAGCCTCGTTGGTGACAAAACTTTATCTCTTATCTCATCTGTTGTTTTTTTTTTTTGAGACAGAGTCTTGGTCTGTTGCCCAGACTGAAGTGCAGTAGTGTGATCTCGGCTCATTGCAACCTCCCTCTCCCAGGCTCAAGCTATCCTCCTGCCTCAGTCTCTGGAGTAGCTGGGACTACAGATGTGCACCATCATGCCCGGCTAATTTTTGTATTTTTTGTAGAGACCGGGTTTTGCCATGTTGCCCAGGCTGGTCTCAAACTCCTGAGCTTAAGTGATCAGCCAGCCTCAGCATCCTAAAGTGCTGGGATTACAGGCATGAGCCACCATGCCTGGCCTATCTCATCTTTTTTCTTTGCTTTTTTAGAGAGAGGGTCTGATCCTGTCACCCAGGTTGGAGCATTAGTGGCATGATCATAGCTCACTGCAGCTTTAAACTCTTGGGTTCTAGTGATCTTCTCATTTCAGCCTCCTGAGTAGCTGAAACTCTAGGCGTGCATTACCATGCCTGGATAAGTTTTTAATGTTTTGTAGAGATGGGAGTCTTGCTATGTTGCCCAGTCTGAACTTGAACTCCTGGTCTCAAGGAATCTTCCTGCCTTGGCCTCAAAGTACTGTGATAACAGGCATGTGAGCCACCGTGCCAGCGCCAAATCCTCATCTCTTAAGGGTAGAATTCAGTTCAATTTTTGGAAACAATCAAAAGATATTTAGCATTAATTGTATTGAGTATGGTACATAGTTGAAGAGATTTTAATATTATATTTTAAGATTACAACATATGTTACCTCCCTGTACTGAGACTATACTGACTCTCAAAGTCAGATTGCTAAAAAAAGTTCCAAAAATATTTGACACAATTATCAATCTTTTAAGTGCCTGTATAGCTTTTCGTAATCTACCTAAGGACAACAGATAATCTAATAATATGATATTATATGTAACATTTAATGAACATTTATATGCCAGCCACTGTGTTGTGTTGTTTCGTTATAAATATCTCCACTTTAAAGATAGGAAATTGAGGTTTAGAAAGTTTAAACAACTTGCCTATAGTCACCCGGGAAGCAAGGATAAAGTCAAGTTTCAAACTCAGGTCTCTCTGTCTCCAAAGTTCAAGCTTTTAACTCTTAAACAATTTTTGTTTTCTTTTAAAAAGAATATTTGTTAATATATAGTGTTTTGATTTCCATTACAGTTTTAAAGAATATAGCACATAGAATTGATTGTTTAAAACAAGATAATTCAGCCTGTTTTAGATAATATACTTCTTTCATTTCTAACACTGTAGCGAAACTTGATACTTTTTCCTCTTACCAAGTTTAATGACAGTTTCGCTGATGGCACTTTCCGTTTCATATCTTAGCAAGATTTTAATAAGAGTAACCTACTGGATAAGGTTGCAAACAGAGTTTTTTAAAATTGCAAGATTACCAACGAACGTTTCTTTCTTTTTTTTTTTTTTTTTTGAGACAAGAGTCTTGCTCTGTCACCTGGACTGGAGTGCAGTGGTGTGATCTCAGCTCATTGCAACCTCCGCCTCCCGGGTTCAAGCTATTCTCCTGCCCCAGCCTCCCCAGTAGCTGGAACTATAGGTGTGCGGCACCATGCCCAGCTAATTTTCGTATTTTTAGTAGAGATGGAGTTTCACCATCTTGGCCAGGCTCGTCTCAAACTCCTGACCTCGTGATCCACCCACTTTGGCCTCCCAAAGTGCTAGGATTACAGGCATGAGCCACCGCACCCTGCCAAGTGTTTCTTTTTCATTAGAGACTCTTTTCCAGCTTCTAATTAAAAATAAGTTTGTTGGCCGGGCGCGGTGGCTCATGCCTGTAATCCCAGCACTTTGGGAGGCCGAGGTGGGTGGATCACGAGGTCAGGAGATCGCGACCATCCTGGCTAACACGGTGAAACCCCGTCTCTACTACAAAAATACAAAAAAATTAGCCGGGCGTGGTGGTGGGCGCCTGTAGTCCCAGCTACTCGGGAGGCTGAGGCAGGAGAATGGCGTGAACCCGGGAGGTGGAGGTTGCAGTGGGCCGAGATCGCGCCACTGCACTCCAGCCTGGGCGACTGAGAGAGACTCTGTCTTAAAAAACAAACAAACAAAAAAAAAAGTTTGTTGACAAGTATTGGGGGAATCTTTCCTCCAAGTGATTTAATTGGTAAATGTCTGAGCGGTGTATGTTCACGCCCGCTGGTGGGATTCCTTCCTATGAGGTTTCCCTTCTCTGTGGGCCTTGCTGTCCCATTTGTTTGCTCACTCGATGAGCTCACGGCATTTTCAGTCTCTTTTCTGTTACCAGAGGCCCTCGTCATCTCCTTCAAACTCAACCAAGCAGATTTTCCTTGGCTCGATGGCTCTGGTATCTTGCCGTCTTTCTATGCCTGGCTTCTCAGTTGAGCTGTCTGTTTTTGCCGCCTTTAGCCACAAACTGATGGTGCTTCTCCCCCTGCCATTCTGCACCCTGAGTCTTCCCCTAGGAGTTGATTAATCCACTCTCTGGAGGGCCAGCAGTGCTTGAGGATAAGACATCAGCAGCATTGGTACACGTGGGCCACTCCTGCCTTCTTGAAATCCTCTCCTCTGTGGGCCGTCATAACCCAGTTCTTTTAATTAAGGGGTTCATTCTCTCTGACTATTCCTTTTCTGTGTGTGTGTGTGTGTGTGTGTGTGTGTGTGTGTGTGTGTGTGTATTTCAAAGACTCAACTGTTTTTTCCTCTCTCTAAATCATGTTTTCTCAACCTTGGCACTGTTGACATATTTTGGATGAGATAATTCTTTGTTGTGGGGGGTGTCCTGTACATTGCAGAATGTTTAGTGGCAGCCCTGATCTCTATCAGTTGGATGTCAGTAACACTGGCCCACTCACCCCCGAGTTGTGACAACCAAAAATATTTCTAGACTTTGCCAAATGTCCCTTGGGAGACAAAAATCACCCCAAATGAGGACCACTGCCCTGCACCGAAGATTTCCCCACTGAGGTTACGAAATAAAAATCACCTTGTGGGGTTGGTTATCACTTTTGTTCAACTTAATCCTGTACTTGAATTTCCTCTATCTCTTGAGGTTTTAGCCTCTTTCCTACTCCCTATAAGACCATTTAAACATGATGTCTCATCCCCATCCCAGACTCAATCCAGGCAAAACCAAGTCATCATCTGCAGCCCTCCTCTCCCCGCCCCCGACTTCTCCAGCTCCGTTCATTCTTCTCCCAGTTGCCCAGGTTTTGAAATACCAGTTGTTTTTAAAGCCTCCTTTTTTCTCAGAACCCCCACATCCAATCAGTCCCCAGCTGTTCTAATTTTCCTTGGGAGTCATTTCTGCTTCCTGCCTTCCTGCTTTAAGCCCACATTGCTTCAAACGCACATTATTATTACAGCATTATAATGCCTTCACCCTGGCTCCAGGCATTCTGTTTCATCCTGCACAGTGCTATCAAAATACATTTTTAAATGACTGCCAAATTTATGTTCCGTCTCAGTTCAATAACAAAAGGTGAGAAAATCAAATTAAAATGCCCCTGCCTGGCTTTAAAGACCTTCACATCAGACCCCTACTAGAATCTCCCTTTGCAGGCCAGTTGTGGTGGCTCATGCCTGTAATCCCAGCACTTTGGGAGGCCGAGGCAGGCGGATCACTTGAGGCCAGCAGTTTGAGACCAGCCTGGCCAACATGGTAAAACCCCATCTCTACTAAAAATATAAACATTAGCTGGGTGTGGTGGCGCCTGCCTGTAATCCCAGCTACACGGGAGGCTGAGGCAGAGAATTGGTTGAGCCTGGGAGGTGGAGGCTGCAGTAAGCTGAGATCGTGCCACAGCACTCCAGCCTGGGCAACAGAGCGAGACTCCGTCTCAAAAATAATAAAAAAAAGAATCTCCCTTTGCCGCCTCACTTCTTCACCATCCCAGCCTTCTTACCCTCCTCTTCCCTCCAGAGCTCTGGGCTCACTCCCACACCTTTGCTTTCTATATTTTATGTATTGTGGCAAAATATGTGAGACAAAAACTTACCATTTTCACCTTTTAAAAAAAATTTAGGAAGGCTTCTTTCTTTAAAAAAATTGTGGTAAAATACACATAACAATACATTTACCATCTTAACTATTTTTCGAGGGTACGATTCAGTGGCATTAAGCACATTCACAGTATTGTGAGACCATCACCACTATACATTTCCAGAACTTTCTTGTCATCCCAAACAGAAACTCTGTACCCATTAAATCAAACTCACCGTTGTCCCCTGCCCTTGGTAACCTCGATTCTACTTTCTGTCTCTATGAGTTTGCCTATTCTTGGTACCTCATATAAATGAAATCATACAATATTTGTCTCTTTGTGTTTGACTTCACTTACCATGATGTTTTCAAGGTTAATCAGTGCTGTAGCATTTATTACAATTTCATTTACTTTTATGGCTGATTACTATTCCACGGTATGTTTATCTGTATCCATGCATTGCCTGAACTATTCCTTATCCAAGGATGCCTTTCATTTAATCTTCAATTATCCAATTTTAAGGCTCTGATCAAATTCCACTTCCTCTTTGAAACCTCCCATGAAGCTCAAGGGCACATTAATTCCCATTCCTAACTAGAACATTTCATACCTAAATCTTTGTAACACGTAACTGATTATATATTTTCCCGTTCTTGTATTTTATAATGTGGGACTTTATGAATCTGCTTCTCTTTTCAGTATTTTATTACACATGTTTATTTCCAGTTGAGTACTTGGCAGATAGCTGCTTCTGAAATACTTGTTGATTGACTGACTACCTGTTTTCAGGAAATAAGATTATCTCTTAAAGAAGGT
Organism: Homo sapiens; assembly: GCF_000001405.40. Taxonomy (NCBI): domain Eukaryota; kingdom Metazoa; phylum Chordata; class Mammalia; order Primates; family Hominidae; genus Homo; species Homo sapiens. The sequence goes on along the minus strand of NC_000002.12, from coordinate 224,387,992 downwards.
ATATACAGAAACTGGTTTGGCATAAGCAAGCATGTGTTTCATTTTGTTTTATCAACAGATATTTAGCTATGTTTGTTTCTTTTTCTTTATTAGCCATTTAAAATAAAAGAACATAGTGGCTCTGCAAGTAAGTAATTTATGTTCTTCTTCTCTAGCATTTCTTGAGGGCTCCATGTTCTCCTTTCTGAGTCTCTCAGCTGTACACTCTCAGGATCTATGAACTCCCTCTTAGTGTCTCTCATTCCCCTCCCATTCTCCAGCTCCACCCCCATCATACCCCACCCCCAACACACACACACTCCCACTTCTACACCCTCGCTCAATACTTTATGTTGCTGTGAAAGAGGCATTGCTCAGAGGGTCCTGCTATTATAGGAGAGCATGTTGCCATTGGTGGTTTTGGCCAATTGATGAAAATAAGTACCTTTCAAAGGATCAGTTAATTGCAAAAGTCTGGTTTCAACTCTTAAGTGAGCCTGGCACTGTTTAGAGGTTTCTTATTATTTACCTAAATTGTTTCCATGCAGTCATTTTTTTTCCCCAGTGTTGAAGAAATTCTCTCTTGCTATCTTCTTGGAATCACTTACAGAGAGAAACATTATTTTCCCTTCATGATACTAGTCTGCCCCTTAACAGCTTAATCATTTTTCAATGATGTATATTTTCACTTGATTTTCAAGAGTTCAGAGTTATAAATGAGTGACCATCTTCCTGTTAATCACGTAATGCTGATGTTCCTTGAACTTGAAAAACCTAGCTCTCAATCTATAACATTTTACAAATATTTCTTAGAAAGATGATCTCAAAATGATCAGAATTCCTACAAATGCATTTCAATTTGTTTTTCGGCAAGAGCTTAATTCTCCCTGAAGGGATTCATCTCAATCACTCAGCATTATGTTTCTCCTGGAAATTCTTCATTCCAATGCCAAACATCTGCATTTCTATGTTAATAACCTTACACTCACTTTTGCCCTCTGCTTTAAGGATCTTAGACTTCTCTTTAAAAAAAGTGGACATTCCCCTCTCTTAAGAAGATTGCACAAATGTCTAGCCATAGTAATAAAAATCATTAGGAATTTTCTTAAGACTTTATGTCCACCTAATGTAAAATAATTTGGGGCCTAGTTTATAGGTGCTACATTCTCATTCATTTCTATGTGCAAAAATTCATATTTTGTTAAGCATTAAGCTTTATTTATTTATTTATATAGCAGATATTTAGTGATTACTTATTGAATGTTAGGCACTGTGCTAGGCACTGGACATACGATAACAAAGAAGGTGTATATAAGCCTGCTATTCCAGATTGCAAACTCTGTGGGAAGATACAGAGGAGTAAATAGCCAAGTACAAAATGGCATGGCGAGTACTCAGATACGAGAAGTTCAGACTGCGCTGTGAGAGCTAGTAATAATACTAATGACGATGATAATAACAAACACATGCAAGGCACGACTATCATTTAATCTTCACAGCAACTCTATGATGTTAGCACTTATTTATCTTCTTTTCCATATAAGGAAACTGAGGGACAGAAATATTAAGTAAGTGGTCTAAAATCCTACTGCTAATAAGTGGCAGAGTTGATATTTAGTGACACCTAAATCAGATTAGTGACATTGAGAAGGCTTCCTTCTCAATGCTGTGTAAGCTTGGAGCTAACAATGAGAGGAAGTTTCAGGAAAAAGGGCTAGAGGATGCACATCCCACACAGAAGAAATAATATATATGAACCCTGGCATAGGAAAGGGAAAATCATGTTCCATTTCAGCATGTGGAGGCTGAAAGGGAGAAAGTGGTGAATTACCAGCGTGGTATAAGAAGAGGCAGACAGTAAAGGGTGAGGCAGGCCACATCCAAGGGCTTAGATTTTATCTTAAGAAGAGTAGGGCATCATTGAAGCAGGACGATGGTGTGGTGATCCAAGGGCTTAGATTTTATCTTAAGAAGAGTAGGGCGTCACTGAAGCAGGACGATGGTGTGGTGTGATCCAATCCTCTGGCAGGGGAGTGGAGAATGGATTTGTGGGAGGTGACAGCATATGTGGGGACTTCCATTGGATGGCTATTGCTGTAATTCAGACAAGAGGTGATGATGGCCTGCTCCAGGGTGAATGACAGTGGGAGCAGAGAGAGTGGAATGTCAGCGATCTATAAGAGGAAGTGTCCATGGGGACGGGTGGATGGTTGTACCCGGGGTATGGAGAAGGGTGACTGATGCTCTTCCTGGGGTCATGTGGGAGCTAATGGTGCCATCTTCTAAGATAGGGAAAAGAGAAAGCAGAACAGACTTGGTGTGAGGAGGGAGATGAGTTCATGGTGCAGATGATTTGGGGCATGTTGTTTTTGAGGGATTGGTGGCTAGAAGGCAGTTGGATAGGTAGATGTGAAGCTTAAGAGACAGATGAAGCTTAAGGGACAGATCTGAGGTGTAGTTACACTTTTGGGAGCCTTCATCATTTAGACGCTAACTGAAGGCCTAGATGCCCCTGAGATTGCCCTGGGGCAGGTAGAGTGAGAAGAAAAGAGGACCCAGGCCAGCTCTGAAGAATGACAACATTAAATAAACCAACAAGGGAAGAGGCTCCCTCAATGGAAACGGAGAAGGGGTGGAGGGAAAGGTAGGAGAAAATCCAGTGGAATTTATTGGCCAAGAAGCTGAAGAAAAAGACTTCAGGATAAAGAGTACAGACTTCAAGGTCAAATTCTACCAAGAGCTCAAGAAATAATGAATGACAGGAGGGCTGATTGTAGATGACCTTGGCAAGAGCAATTTCATTGGAGTGGTAGGAGGGAATTACCAGCGTGGTGTAAGAAGAGGCAGACAGTAAAGGGTGAGGCAGGCCACATCCAAGGACTTAGATTTTATCTTGTCAGTGGCATGGGTAGAGAAAATAAGGGGAGGTTTGTAGAAAAACATAACTACACAAATTTTATATACAGGTTTGACAGTGAAGGGGAGGACAGAGAAACCTGGAGGGAAAGAGAGGGTGGAAAGAATGTGTTTTTCAAGACACGAGACTTGAACAAGTTTAATTGCTGTTGGAAAGGAATAGGCAGAGAGAGAGAAAGAGAAGGAGAGGGAGAGAGATTAAACATCCAAGATAAGAAAGTGGGAAAAATGAATAATTGATAGGTCAGGGTCACCAAGAAGGCGGGAGGTGATGGGAGTCTTGGCCCAGGGACCGGTCACTTTCACCTAGAGAGAATGGTGAAGCTGCAGGTAAGTTTCGCGGTAGCAGTGAGAGTGTTGCTAACTGGTGACAGCATCTGCTTCCTTGATAATCTGGATGGTGAGACCACCTGATGAGAGAGAGTGGGGGCGATGGTGCTGCTGAAGATTTCAGGACAGTTTTGAAGGTTTGAACAGCTGCTGGGTGAATGGAGAGAGGTGACTAAGGAAGCAGGCAGACTGGCGGGTAGCCTGGGAGAGGCCGGAAACCACGCCATCATGGGGCACCCATTTCACAGACCGATGTGTTTCTGTGGCATCCTGAACACATGTTCAGAAAATGTGGGCAGGTAGATGGATGAAAGGTGGGGAGATTTTGTGGGAGTCTGTGACAGAATGGGAATAGTGAGGGGAGTTGGAGGTATTGGTGAAGAAATGGTTGAAGTGATAGTCTTTGGACTCAAATTGACTCTGAAAGGCAGTGTGGATGGGAGGGGCTGACAGGGAGAAGCTGGGGATTGGGAGTGTTGATGTTGAAGAGCAGATGTGATGGGGAATTGAGTGCCGGAGCCCATGGCCTCAGAATGCCTGGCTTAAATAGAATCTTTCAAAGATGGGACATTTGCAGGTGGAGAAGGCCCAGTGGAGGGGCTGTGGGACTGGGTGACAGAGGGGAGTGGAGGGGTGAGCTGGGCTGGCCCAGGAGGGCGCTTCCTGGCTGCCCTGAGATGTCTCGGCACTGGTTGGGGCTTCAGGACCAATTTCATTATGATCTGACATTGATTTAGATGGCAAGGGGCGATTACTCAGGCTTCTCTCTGTGTTCACAGTTGCTAGAGAATGAAATACAAGCCCCAGAGTCAAAGTTATTGATTTCTTTCTCCAGATTGGATAATCTAATATCAACCCTGAACCATTTCTCAGTATGGAAATATCCATGCCAGTTTCCATTTCTAGAAGAAAAAGATGTCATTGGGTCAATTAAAAAGGTACATTATGATACAAGGGTACAGTGTCAAATGATTCTCCAAGAGGCAATGATGGCAGTTGGCCCTTTGAAGGACTAAGGGAGTTTGTTCTCCAGGGGAAGGGAAACCCCAGCTGACATTTCGGAGATAGTATTTTTTCCTCCTGATTTTGAAAGGATAAGCAAATAGTCTTCATTGGAAAGTGAGAATTTGGGGGTGATTTGAGGTTGGGATAGGGAGAAGGCTTTACTTTTTATTTTATACATTTGTACAATGAAATTATTTTTATGGTGATAAATTACTACTTTTATAGTAAGACTTTTTTAAAAAAACAAACAGATGAAAAGGAAAGAAAGGAAAGGAAGGGCAGGAGGAAGGAAGGAGAGAAGGAAGAAAGGAGGGGAGGGAGGGCGGAGCTGTGGAATTAGAGCAAAGGGAAATGTAGAGAGAGATAGCAAAATGAAATTAGGCAAAGAATTTTTCAGAAATATGGAGGAGGAGGTCGGGTGTATGTGATAAGAAACAGACTCACAACGACCGCAAGTTAACTGACTACTCGAAGCCTAGCTTTTCTGGGTCCATGGCAGTAGTTCCGAAACTTCGCTGCACATTAGAATTACTGGGGGAGATTTATCAGCTCTGACAGCCAGGTGTACTCTGACCTGATGAAATCAGGAGGTCATGGGCTGGGAGCAGGCATCATTGTTTTTTAATGATCCCAGGATGTTCCCTTGTGCAGCAAAGTTTGGGAACAGAAATTTCTCCTATGGGTTTGCATAAGGACAGGTCCTTCGGTGCAGTGGGCATCCCTTCAACAGTGTCGCCCCTAGAGAGAGTATCTGATGCTGGTGGAAGCTCTCTTCAACACACTCTGGGGCACTGCACTCAGCTGTGGTTCAGTGCAAGCACATCTGCGATAGGGGTTTCAGGTGTGTGTGGCTCTAATGAACTGGCTTGGCTCAGGGGTAGAATTTAGATATTCTAGAATAGTGGTTTTCAAGCTGGTTCTGTGAAGCCCTGGGGAACTAGAGAGGGGGTCCCGTAGGCAGAGGCTACCCTCTGTACGTCAACCAGGGCTGCGCTAATTAGATTGCTTCATATTTTGGGCTTCCAGGTAAGAAATTGTTTGGAAAAAAACTTCTTAAGATAGAGAGATGGCTCACTCCTGTCATCCAGCATTTTGGGAGGCCAAGGTGGATGGATCACCTTAGGTTGGGAGTTTGAGACCAGCCTGACCAATATGGAGAAACCTCATCTCTACTAAAAATACAAAATTAGCTGGGCGTGGTGGTGCATGCCTGTAACCCTAGCTACTAGGGAGGCTGAGGCAGGAGAATCACTTGAACCTGGCAGGTGGAGGTTGCAGTGAGCTGAGATTGCGCCATTGCACTCCAGATTGGGCAACAAGAGCAAAACTCCATCTCAAAAAAAAAAAAAAAAAAAAAGACAGGGAATCATTGATCTAGAATAGGGCTTGGTCAACTGTGGCCTGAGAACTAAAAATAGTTTTCTATTTTTATATGGTTGGAAAAAAATTCATGACACATAAAAAATATGAGATTCAAATTTCAGTGTTCATACATAGAGTTTTACTGAACACAGCCATTCATTTATATATTGTCTATGGCTGCTCTGCAGCAGAGTTGGATAGTTGGGATAAAGACCATATGGCCGGCAAACCCTCAGATATTTACTGTCTGGCTCCTTGCCGAAAATATTTGCCAACTTCTATTCTAAAAGAATCAGTGGAAGTCCTTGTTTTTTTGTGTGTTTGTTTTTGCAGCTTGGTAATATGCACCTCACCATTTCTATCAGAAAATTGAGATGTACTCTGCGTCATCTATACAAACAAATATGCTCTGTGTGAGTGTGTGTGTGTGTGTATGAGAGAGAGAATTTACTGATTTCTAGACCTGTTTTCTCACTGTCCTCATTTCTGCCTTCTTGCCTTGTAAGATAAATATGTATCATTATTTTTTCTCCCTTGAAATAGACCTTATTTTTTACAGCAGTGGTAGGTTCACAGCAGAATTAAGCAGAAAGAACAGAGAGTTCCCATATACAACCTTCCCCCCGAAAAGAGCCTCCTTTCCTGTCAACATCCTTTATCAGAGTGGTACATGTGTTACAACTGATCAACCTACAACGACACATCACCATCACCCAAAGCCCATAGGGTACATTAGGGTTCATTCTTGGTGTCGTACATTCTGTGGGTTTGGACAAATGTATAAGGATGTGCATCCACCATTACAGTATCATGCAGAGTAGTTTTCACTGCCCTAAAGTCCTCCTGCTCCACTTAGTCATCCCTCCCTCCCCCCAACCCCTGGCAACCACTGATTTTTTTACTGTCTTCATAGTTTTGGTTTTTCCAAAGTGTCATATAGTTGGCATCATATAGTCTCTCTCTGTCACCCAGGCTGGAGTGCAGTGGTGCAGTCATAACTCAATTTAACCTCGAACTCCTGGGCTCGAGGGATCCTCCCTCTTCTGCCTTCTGAATAGCTGGGACTATATGTATGGACCACACGTCTGGCTGATGTTTTTATTTTTTGTAAAGATGGGGTCTTGCTAGTTGCCCAAGCTGGTCTTGAACTCCTGGCCTCAAGTAGTCCTCCCACCTCAGCTTCCCAAAGGGCTAGGATTACAGGCATGAGCCCAGATAGGCTTCTTTCAGTTAGTAGTATTTATTGCAAGTTCTTCCGTATCATTCTTCTTGATATTTGATTAAGGGCTGGGCCAGGTAGGGATGGATCCTGGATACAAATTTCCAAGGGCTGTTATCAAAATGGAAAAAATTGCCTTTTTCCAGAAATCTTCTTGGGAAGAGTGTTGTGCATGGAATAGGATGCAAGGCTCCCAAGGGTGGAAGTCTTAAAGGGGGGTCAGTGAACTCCATCCTGTGGAGGGAGAGTGCAGTCAACTGCAGGGTGAGGGTTTTGCTGAGTGGTGTCTGTAAGTTTGTAACCAGAGTGGAATTGCTAAGGATGAAAACACCTAAACTTCCATATAAGCCATGCCCCCTTTTTGTTTTCTCATGCAATACCAGGCCTCTAATCTAAATAAATGGTGCCCCAAGAATTTAAAGAATATTGCTGCCAAATTATTAGCCGTCTGGAGTGGTCACATGTCTTAGAATGGCCCAAGATATGTATTTTTATTAGCATGATCTAAAAGAAGGATCACCAGCTTTGGAAGATTGAATTCTTACTTCAATCCTTATCTTAACTTTAACCACATGGTTTGGTGGCTTTCTAAATTTCTTTTTTTACATGGTTGCTAATAAATATATCATTTACAACATCCAGTGAGGTCACTGAATGACATCTGTGAATGTCTGCATTGTTTGAACAACTTGCTCTACCAGAAGTGTGGTGTTGTCAATTGGCCATTTGATTCCCAAAGTCTTACCCTTGTCAAAAACTTAATTTAGGGAGTCCCAAAGAGAGGTATTTGGGGCTGGGTCTGATTAGATATCTCATAATTATATTGTACTTATCACTTCTATTCAATTCAACCAAATTTACTGAAAGTCTGCTATGGGCATGGCATGGCAGAGGGTGAATAAGGCATAGTCAGCTCTTGGCACTTAGTTAATGGAAATTATGTTTCATATGTTCCTCCTTTCCTTTCCTGTAGGTTCAGCTGAATCCAGAACTTGGTGTTAAGAATGGCATCTTGGGAGCTGGCATGCTTCCCCTGGGCTCCAGGCTGACTTCTGTCTCTGCAAAGAGGACCTCAGAACCCAGGAGCCAGAGGAACCAGGGCAAGAGGTCCCAGGGGCATTCTCTGGAGCTTCCTGAGCCCAGTGGGAGCCCCACATCAGACAGGTGTGCTGGCACTTCGTGGAAAAGCCCTGGCCGGTCATTCCAGGTCAGCAGCCCAGCTATGGGTGCCCACCTGCACCTGTCTTCTCATCACCTTGAATCCGGGGCCAGAATGAAGGTCCTCAACCGGGAAAACAGCTTTCAGAAGCTTGAGGCCGAGACGAATGTTGACACCGGCTTGACCATCATAAATTCTGAACCCAGGCAGACTTATTTTGGCGGATTTCCAAGGGATTTACAGACCAGCCAGCCACCATTCTGCTTGCCAGCCTCTTCCTTGGGGGTGGCTACCTCCAAAAACAACAGTGTCCTTAAGGAAAGAGTCTCTCCTTTGCCACTTGCTGGCCAAAGGGACCTTGGTACCAGGAAGACAATTTCAGAATGTCTCCTTCATCTGCAAGTTCAGGGTGAAGAAAAAGAAGAAGATGAAGAAGAATTCTTTATATAGCATAAAATAAATGTGGTTTTCTAAAACACAAGATCAGATAAAATGTTCTAGAAATGGAGTACTGACCCAGAATCAGCCTGTTAGTTGTTCATCTGAGGGGGGCTGAATGCTCCCCATGCACAATCTGTATTGATTTTATTTCAAATGTTCAAAGTCTAAAGGTGCTGGGAATGATTGTTTATTTGCCGTCACAGTCATAAGAGAACACAGCCAACACACAGGGAAAAAAACCGAATGCTTTTGTTCCGTGGAGATGCACTAACCCAGCTGGATGTGTTGAATCCAGCACCTATCAGGATAATTGCATTGTATGCAAATGAATCGGTATGTTATACAACACTAATTAGTGTCTGTAATTTGGTTTTAATTTTTACTTAGGTTGCATAGCTCATCCCCCTGGACAATATGGACTGCTATTTACTCTTGAATGCTTTTTAATTTTCATGTGACCTCTTTTGGTAACTAGGCCTTGTTCACATACCCTCCTTGTGATTTTGTCTTTAAAGTTGTTTGTATCTGGAATGAGTGAAAATGCAAAGTGTTTTGAAAATTATAAACAGTTAATTTTGTTTTCCTGTTTAATGAGCCAAAATACTGGAAGCCAGAAAATCAGGTTGAACATGAATGCTAGGCTCTAGGGCTTTCCTGCTCATCTGCTTCTCATTTGTTTCTGCACTATGTCAAAGAGGACAGTGGTTCTTGTTACAAACCAAAGAGGAACATTGAGCACAGTGGGAAAATTGGACTGGTTGATCTGGTCACTGGAGCAGGACTTGGGTTCTTCTGGCCAGATTTTGACTCCCAGATTCCTTTACAAAACGCACTCATTCATTCATTTATATATGTTCATTCAATAAACATTTTTTGAATACCTACATTTGAATAAGACATTGTGTATATGGTACATATACATTCTGGGGCCATGAAACCCAAAAAGTGTTTATGGTTTCACCACTCTGATAAATTCATTCTACCAACTTTTAAAAAGATACTGAATTCCAAATATATTCCTCCAAAAACTTTTTCCACAGTTGAGGCCCACACTGGCCACATAATGGTGTAATAAGCATTTGCAACCTGCAGATGGAGACTGGGCATATTATGAATTGCAATTATAATTGCAATGGACAAATTCTCGTTGCCCATATGCTGAATTTTTTGGATATGTCTGTACACACATGTTTAAAAATCCCGAGGCCTGTGTTTCAGTTCATTTATAAGGTTATTCAATTCCACGAACTTCACTCTCAGAACAGATGTTACATAAGAGTGTAAATGTTGATTTAGCTGGATCTTTTGGAGACTTGGAGACTTACTACACCTAACTGGAGACAGAGATGAGTTCAGTCCTAAAGTCAAATCTTGCAAAAGTGAGTCTAGGCTGATTTTGGGTGCTCTTCTCCGCAAAAGGGATAGAAACGGAGGAGAGTTGTAAATGGACAAAGACAAGACTCCTCAATTGATATTTTTTGTCCTTAAAACATCAACATATTCTCATTCCCATTTTGTCTCTCTCTCCCCTAGACTACAATTTGATTTTAGAAAACGGGATGAAGAGCTTAACTTTGGTATAGCTTTCTATAATAAGAGTTAAAACAAAAAAGGAAGTTGAACTACTGAACTTTGAATAAGCACAGCAGGAAGAAGTTTTGAAATTTCCTTCCCACTTTTTTTTTGATGTTATCTAAATTTTCTTAATATAATACATGGGTAAGAATAAAAGTACCTGAAAATTATAAAGAATATTGAGAAATGTGAATCAGGCACCTTACAAAATTGACTTGTAAAATAATATACCCTTAAAATGTCATCTATTCTATCCTACTTGTATTATTCAGGGTTCCCTAGAGGAACAGAACTAATAGGATAGATAGATGTATATATGAAAGGGAGTTTATTAAGGAGTATTGACTCACACAATCACAAGGTGAAGTCCCACAATAGGCTGTCTGCAAGCTGAAGAGCAAGGAAGCCAGTCCAAGTCCCAAAACCTCAAAAGTAAGGAAGCTGATAGAGCAGCCTTCGGTCTATGGCCGAAGGCCCTAGAACCCCTGGCAAATCACTGGTGTAAGTCCAAGAGTCCAAAGCTGAAGAACTTGGAGTCTGATGTTCAAGGGCAGGAAGCATCCAGCACAGGAGAATGATGAAGACCAGAAGACTCAGCCAGTCTAGTCCTTCCACATTCTTCTGCCTGCTCTATTTTAGCCACGCTGGCAGCTGATTAGATGGTGCCCACCCAGACTGGGGGTGGGTCAGCCTCTCCCAGTCCACTGACTCAAATGTTAATTTCCTTTGGCAACAGCTTCACAGACACACCCAGGAACAATACTTTGCATCCTTCAATCCAATCAAGTTGACCCTCAATATTAACCATCACACTACTCAACACAGGAATTCAATTTACAACATGATGGGATGGAAATACCAGTGAACTGGGTGGGGAGGCCCAGATTTTGGTTTCACTTTTAAATTTACTATTGATGTGACCTTGAGCATGTCAGGCTCCTTTGTCCTCTGTTGCTTTATCAACTGTAACAAAAGATTGTTAGGGGAATCAAGATGTTGTATATGAAAGCATCTGGATTTCATGAAGCATTATAAATGTGTGAGTTTTTTATGATTATTGTATTATATTGTATATTATATAATATAGTGTATTATTAATACCATTGGTCCTTCGGACCCACAGTTTAAAAATATCATGAGAACAAAGGACTTCTTTTGAAACAAGTTTTAGTGAAATCAATGAGGCAACAAAAAATAAATCCACCTTTCTAAGATTTGTACTACATGTGCCATTTACTTTATGTTTCTATAGCTAAGAGGAAAATTATTTATAACAAATAATCAAATGCATCCCAAAGTTCAATAGAGATTTTATACAACAGGGATAAACTATGAACTAGCTCAATCCAATTTATCAAATTAATTAGACTTAATTAAATTAGACGGTATTCCCTAAAATGTATAATGTGTCACTTTTTAAATCTGAAAGTCTTCTGATGATCAGAATACTTTATTTTTCTATAAATAAAATCCACATCTATTGTGGGTTCAGTCCTAGACTGCTGCAATAAAGCAGATATTGCAATAAAGCAAGTCCCATGAATTTTTTGGTTTCCCAGTGCATATAAAAGTTATGTTTACAATATACAGTAGCCTATTAAGTGTGCAATAGCATTATGTCTGAAAAAAACCAATGTACATACTTTAATTAAAAAATATTTTATTTCTAAATGCTAATGATCATCTGAGCCTTCAACGAGTCATAATCTTTTTGCTGGTGGTGGGTCTTGCCTTGATGTTGATGGCTTCTGACTGATCAGGGTGGTGGTTGCTGAAGACTGGGGTGGCTGTGGCAATTTCTTAAAATAAGACAACAATGAAGTTTGCTACATCAGTCAGGATTCTTCCTTTCTTGAAAGATTTCTCTGGAGCATGTGATGCTGTTTGGTAGCCTTTTGCCCACAGTAGAACTTCTCTCAAAATTGAAGTCAATCCTCTTAAACCCTGCTGTTGCTTCATCAACTAAGTTTATGGAATATTCTAAGTCCTTTGTTGTCATTTCAACAATGTTCACAGCATCTTCATCAAGAGTAATTTCCATCTAAAGAAACCACCTTCTTTGCTCATCCACAAAAAGCAACTCCTTATCTGTTCAAGTCTTATTATGACACTGAAGCAATTCAGTCACATCTTCAGGCTCCACTTCTAATTCTAGTTCTCTTGCTATTCTTCTGCTAATTGACAATGCTCTTAGTCACCCAAGAGCTCTGATGGAGATGTACAAGGAGATGACTGTTGTTTTCATGCTGCTAACATAACCTCCATTCTAGCCCATGGTTCAAAGAGTCAGTTCTACTTTCAAGTCTGCAGTTACTTCCTTCACTGAAGTCTTGAACCCCTCAAAGTCAATCATGAGGGCTGGAATCAGTTTCTTCCAAACTCCTGTTCGAGTTGCTATTTTGACTTCCTCTCATGAATCACAAATGTTCTTAATGGCATCTGGCATAGTGAATCCCTTCCAGAAGGTTTTCAATTTACTTTGCTCAAATCTATCAGAGAAATCACTATCTATGGCAGCTATAGCCTTACAAATTAGATTTTTAAAATCCTAAGACTTGAAAGTAGAAATGACTCCTTGATCCATGGGCTAGAATGGATGTTGTGTTAACAAGCACGAAAACAACATTTATCTCTTTGTACATCTCCATCAGAGCTCTTGAGTGACCAAGTGCATTGTCAATTAACAGTAATATTTTGAAAGGAACTTTTTTTTTTTCTGAGCAATAGTTCTCAACAGTGGCCTTAAAATATTCAGTAAACAGTAGATATTGCAGTAAAACTGCAAACAGATGTGCTGTCATCCAGGCTTTCTTGTTCCATTTATAGAGCACAGACTATGTAGATTTAGCATACTTCTTCAGGATCTTAGGATTTGCATAATGGTATATGGGCATTGGTTTCAACTTTAAGTCACCAGCTGCATTGGCTCCTAACAAGACAGTCAATCTGTCCTTTGAAGCTTTGAAGCCAAGCATTGACTTTTCCTCTGTGTAAGTCCTAGATGGCATCTTCTTCCAATGAAAGGCTGTTTCATGTACATTGAAAATATTTTGTTTAGTGTGGCCACTTTATTAATGATCTTAGTGGATCTCACAGACAACTTGCTGCAGGTTGTACATCAGCTCTTGCTGCTTCACCTTGTACTTTTATGTTATGGAGATGGCTTCCTTCTTTCAAACTCACAAGCCAACCACTGTTAGCTTCAAACTTGCCTTCTGCAGCTTCCTCACCTCTCTCAGCCTCCACAGAATTGAAGAGAGTTAGGGCCTTGTTCTGGATTAGGCTTTGTCTTAAGGCAATGTTGTGGCTGGTTTGATCTTTTACTCAGACCATTCAAACTTTCTCCATATAGCAATACGGCTGTCTTGCTTTCTTATCATTCATGTGTTCACAGGAGTCACACTTTTTATTTTCTTTAAGAACTTTTTTTTTTGCATTCACAACTTGGCTAACTTGTGTGGTACAAGAAACCTCACTTATTTCAGCTTTTGACATGCCATCTTCACTAAGCTGCACCATTTCTAGCTTTTGATTTATTTATTTATTTATTTATTTATTTATTTATTCATTTTTGAGACAGAGTCTCTCGCTCTGTCACCCAGGCTGGAGTGCTCACTGCAGCCTCCGCCTCCCCGGTTCAAGCGATTCTCCTGCCTCAGCCTTCTGAGTAGCTGGGATTACAGGTGCTTACCACCATGCCTGGCTAATTTTTGTATTTTTTTTTTTTAGTAGAACAGGGTTTTGCCATGTTGGCTAGGCTGGTCTCAAACTCCTGACCTCAGGTAATCCGCCCAGCTCAGCCTCCCAAAGTGCTGGGATTACAGGCATGAGCCACCGTGCCCAGCCTCTAGCTTTTAATTTAAGTGAGAGAGGTGCAACACTTTCTTTCATTTGAACACTTAGGAGCCACTGTAGGGTTATTAATTGGCCTAATTTCAACATTGTTGTGTCTCAAGGAGTAGGAAGGGCTGAGGAGAGGGAGAGAGATGGGAATGGCCATTCAGTGGAGCAGTTACAACACATATGACATTGATGGATATGGGTGCTATTTGTGGTGCCCCCAGATAATTACAATAGTAACATCAAAGATCACGGATCACAGATCACCATAACAGATATAATACTAATGAAAAAGTTTGAACTATTGTGATGATTACTGAAATGTGACCCAGAGACATGAAGTGAGCCCATGCTGTGGGAAAAATGGTGCCAATAGACTCACTTGGCACAGGGGTTGCCACAAAGCTTCAATTTGTAAAATAAAAAAAAAAAAACCCAAAATCTGCAAAAAAACAATGAAGCAAACACAATAAAACAAGGTATGCCTGTATAGGCATATTAAAAATCAGTTGCGTTGCAGTTATTTGGCTATTTTTAACCTTATTAATAATATTTCACACTTTTTGCAGGTATTATTTGTTCATTGCTAAACGTTAACAGAGATGGTAACATTTGGAAGCTTGCAAACATATTAGTTTATTAGTGGAAGTAGAGCAAGGGATGTGAGATTTGAGGGTGGAGCAGGAGACGATAGGAAGAGATGGACACACCTTGGCTTACAAAGGCAGGTGAAGCTGGAGCCTCAGCAGCAGCTGCCATGTGCCTTCTGCTTGATGGGAACTTTGTAAGGCAGCCTTGGTCTTTCCATTGCCCTTCAACAACCTGCTCGGTCACTCCAGTTATGCATGGAAGGATTGCTGGTGGAAAGGCTCCTTCCTTCCCTCCCAGAGAAAGAAGGAGAAAGGGGAAGGGAAACATAAAACAGGAGAATGGAGCCACAAGCACACACTGCATTTTCTGTTGATTAAAAGCTCCTCAATTACATTTCCATGTTACAAAATATATTCAGAAGTTCCTGAAAAACTCACTACCGTGTGACTTCCTAGCATCTTCTCTAAGCCATCATGGATTGGTCTTTCCCTTTCGCTCTGTTCCTTTCTCTTCCCTTTCCTTCCCTTTTTATTTCTTTTCCCTTCCCTCCCTCTGTTTCTCCCTTCTTTTTGTGCTTCAATTTGATCCTCTCTTTATTCTTTGCTCTGTTTTAAAATACTTTTTCTTTGCTGCATCTCCCAGGATTCCCTCAAGGGGCTGAGACGCAGCTGCAACTTCTAAATGGGCCTCCTCGCCTAAGCTCAGAGAATGAGCAATAAGAGATCTCTGGGGAAATTCTCCCTAGTTTCTAGTTCATTTCAGGATTCTGCTCTGGGTCAACTAAACCCACGTCACTTAGAAACAAACTGATCTCTGCATCCACAGCTCCCTTGTTTTGCACCTACTAAATCCTTACCCGAGGTTTGAGATGTTTCTTAAACATTTCTCACAATTCGCAATGTTTAAAATTCGCTGTAGCAAGTAAGAGGAAAAGGTGCTTATGGCCCCTAGGCCACATAATTAGGATGTATGTTATTAAAAACTTGATTTCATCAAAATTTATTTTCTAATATAATTATTTAAAAAGTCTTGTTATTCCAGAGAACCTAGCTGAGTTATTGGAGACACAAAGTCTCTCTTATTGGAAGAAGAAATGTATTGTTTTCACAAATCCCAGTTCTGCCAGAGATGTTTCTGAGGTGAGTCTCTTGAGAACAATAATTCTTTTTTTTCTTTTGTACTTTATTACTTATTTTTTACCTTTAATTGGTATGATTCCATATTCAAAATTTAATAAAAGAAATATTCATTGTCTATTTCTTTTTTGGACACTTATTTTTTATTTGTTCTTAGACATTCACTTCTGAATATTATCATAATTAGTTTCATTGATTATAGCTCAAAATAATTTTGTCATATATAAAATTTCTTCCATATGTCAAAAATGCAATTTAGGCCTTTCTTACATAAACATCTCTATTGTCAAGCAAAAAGCTGCTCTTAACTGAGTTTATTTCTTTTTTTTAACTTTTAAGTTCAGGGGTACATGTGCAGGTTTGTTTTATAGGTAAACTTGTGTCATGGGGGTTGGTTGTATGATTATTTTGTCACACCAGGTATTAAGCCTGGTACCCATTAGTTATTTTTCCTGATCCTCTCCCTCCTCCCACACTTCACCCTCTGATATGCCTCAGTGTCTATTGTTCCCCTCTGTGTCCATGTGTTCTCATCATTTAGCTCTCATTTATAAATGAGAACATGCAGTATTTGGTTTTCTCTTCCTGCGTTAGTTTGCTAAGGATAATGATCTTCAGCTGCATGCATGTTACTACAAAGGAAAAGATTTCATTCTTTATATGGCTGCATAGTATTCCATAGTGTATATGTATCACATTTTCTTTATTCAGTCTATCATTGATGGGCGTTTAGGATGAGTCCATGTCTTTGCTATTGAAAATAGTGCTGCAATGAACCTATGTGTGTGTGTCTTTGTAATAGAACGATTTATATTCTTTTGAGTATATACCCAGTAATGGGATTGCTGGGTCAAATGGTATTTCTTTCTTTAGGTCTTTGAGGACTTTCCACACCATCTTCCACAGTGATTGAACTAATTTACACTTCCATTAATGGTGTATAAACGTTCTTTTTTCTCCACAACCTCACCAGCATCTGTTATTTTTTAACTTTTTAATGATAGCCATTCTGACTTGTGTGAGATGGTATCTCATCGCAGTTTTGATTTGCATTTCTCTAATGATCAGTGATGTCGAACTTTTTTTCATATGATTGTTGGCCGCATGTATGTTTTCTTTTGAAAAGTGTCTGTTTATATTGAGGATAATAATTCTAAGGAGAGACAATAATACTGAATTAGAGTTGATACTGATGACAGAGCTATCTGGCACTTCCCACATGCGAGGCACTCTCTTGAACATTTTGGTCTTCACAAAAGTCCTGTGGGGTAGGTGCTGTGATGATCCGAACTTTACAGTTGAGAAAATTGAGGCACAGAGAGGTCTAGAGCCTAATCCTGGACTGTGCAATGAGTCATGGGCACAGTTAGGATTGGAAGCGAGGCTGTCAGGCTAGTGTCTGTGTCTCTGACCACTAGCCTAACAGCCTGGCTTCAATCTATTAGGAAGAGGGGGGCAAGAAGAGTGACCTGAGCTTCACGCGGTCCACGCTGCCTCCACACTGTGCACACACAAAACTGGCGTCACCCTGGTTTCCTTTCTGCTCCTCAAGCATGCCCCACTTGTTCCATCTGCCTGGAGCTTTCTGCCCAGACCTGCCTGGTGGACTCCTTGTTGTCATGGAGTTTCAAGTTAAAATCCCTGCTGCAGGGGCTTGACCAGCTGACACGTTATTAAAACAACCCTGGCACCCAAGCCCTAGCGCAATGTCAGGACCAGAGTAGCTGCTTTTACAAATAATTTGTTCAACAAATGCACAGCAAGGAATAGGAATGTGGAAGAGGCTTCCATTCTCTGGAAGCCAGAAAGTAAGATATAGTCTTAGTGAGTTTGGGTTGTGTATTAGTCTGTTTTCACGCTGCTAGTAAAGACATACCTGAGACTGGGTAATTTATAGAGAAAAGAAGTTTAATGGACTTACAGTTCCACATGGCTGGGAAGGTCTCATAATCATAATGGAAGGTGAATGAGGAGCAAAATCACGTCTTACATGGTGGCAGGCAAGAGAGCTTGTGTAAGGGAACTCCCCTTTATAAAATCATCAGATCTCGTGACACTTATTAAATATTCGCAAACAGCAGGGGAAAGACTCACTCCCATGATTCAATCACCTCCCACCAGGACCCTCCCACATGTGAATTATAGGACCCAAAATTCAAGGTGAGATTTGCATAGGGATACAGCCAAACTATATCAGGCTGCTATCACAGAAAACCATAGACTGGGCAGCAATTTATTTCTTATGGTTCTGGAGGCTGGACATCTGCATTTAGGCTGCCAGTATGGTCCAGTTCTGATGGGGACTTTCTTCTTGGCCTGCAAATGGCCACATTCTCACTGTGTCGTCATGTGGTGGAGGGAGACAGAGAGAGCTAGTTCCCTGGTGCCTCTTCTATTAAAGGCACTACTTCCATTATGAGGACTCCACACTCATGGCCCAATCACCTCCCAAAGGTCCCACCTCAAAATATCATCGTACTGGGGGCTAGGCTTCAACATATGAATTCTGGGTGGTGGGGGGGAACATTCAGACCATAGCAGACATGAACTATATCATTCATGTTTGTATCCCAAGTTCTGGGCCCACTCCAGAGAGCCCTCTCTGCTTTTCTCAGGTATGTACTTTTCCTAGTTTGCCTGTTGGCTGCAGAGCTATTACAGCAGCAGTGGCTTCTTCCTCATCTCGTCCTTATTAGTGTACAAGCATCACTGCACATGTCTTTCATGGTTTGTGCTGTTGTGCTCTATCTGAAGCTCACCCCCAAGGTTTGGGCCTCCTCTGTTGGTCCCACAGTCATGTCCTGTGAGCCAGATCCTAGAGCTTGTTCAGGCTTCACAGGGCTCCACCAGCCAGAATCACTGCAGGAGCCCTGAGTGCAGCTCAAATGAGGGGATCTGGGGATGTGGGGGCTTCTAAGGAGCAGCTTTTCTCTTCGGTCAAGCGATTCTCAAGGGTCACAGCAGAAATGATGCTGTCATTCTCATTGTATAGGGCTGTTTGAGTTCCTGCGGGCACTGACGGTGGTTAATTCAAGCTAACACCCATTAAAAGTCATGGTTCCTTTATGTCCTCTCACGGGATTGCAGTTGCATTTGGGAATCTTCTCTTGCTTTGTGCAATGATCTAATTCACAGAATTAAGCAGGACTGAATTTCAGCAGGATTTTTTATGGGATGTGTATCTTATTTACCTTGCTTTTCACCCTATCAAAAGTCTGTCACTAGAGGGCACTGTTGTAACACTATGTAAATTACTGTGGCCGAATCGCCAAACCCTTTTTTCCCCCCTCTGCTTCACCCCAAGAGAAGACATGGTAGATATTTAAAAGTTAATTAATGCTTAGAAAGTTCCCCCATAGGAGTCTTGGTGGGAGGCAGAGCTCACCTGAAAGATGTCCCATCCCCATCTCCCGTGACTTGGGCTTATGACTTACACTTGGACAGTCAGCTAGTCTCACCTGGAGTTTTGATGTTCACACTCAAGAATGCGGCGGATTTCTTTTGGGTGGGAAGAGGACGTGGTCAGCATTGCTCTGGTCAAAGGAAGAAGCGATGTCTAGTCTTTGACCGTGGGGGCGGCGGAGCCTTTGGACCCACCTGGTTCTGTGGCCTGATTTTGGTTGTGATTCTGCCACAGTTCTCGTGAGTTTTCTGAGCCCAGTTCTCCAGCCTTCTGATAAATTCATTGTCAGCCTGAATCAGCCAGAATCAGTTCTGCTCTTACAGCAAATAATGGAGGCTGATACAGGTGCAACACTGATTGGGTTGAGGCCAGGTACAAAATTGGGGCACAATGTTAAGAAATTGATGGTCTGGATGTTCTGTTGGCTTTGATTCTTTTACTCTTTTCCTTTTGGTTTGCTCCTTTCTCCTCTTCCATGGCTTTGACAGTAAGGTGCCCAGCTCCTACTCCTTTAGCAGGCTAAGAAGGAAGCAGGAGGGGACACAAAGATGGAGGCAGGGTCCCTTTGGAGAAGTAGGTCCTCCTGTTAACTTTTGTCCAGGCTACACAAAACAAATCCTGCAGGCCACGTGTGGTCTGGCCTAGGTTACCAGGACAGAGCCTCAAATTAGTGTAGGGCCCTTTGATTTATAAGCAAGAGTGACTGAGAATGGATTACTTAAACAAAAAGGGAGAGAAGGAAAGTTATTGGTCATGTAGCTAAAAAGACTGTTGTCAGGGGATCACAGCCCCAGAGCCACATCCCATCAGCTCGGCCCTGGAGTGGGAAGACTTTGTCTTTTCAGAGAGCTCCAGGAGAAAATCCACAGGGAGAACGCTGATTGGCCTGGCCCGAGTCACACACCCATTCCTGGGCCAATTGGGTGGTCTGTGTGGCAGGGCTCTCTGATTGGTGGGGCCGTGGCTCTGGGTCCATTTGTTGGAATGAAGGATGAGGGGACCGGAGGGAGGAAGCCAGCCCCACAGAGCGACAGGGAAGGACCCTGTGCAGGAAAGGGACAGAAGTGAGAGGAGACAGCAAAAGCAGGCGTCCATTTCTGGCCAAAACTGTACCTGGCAATAAGAGAGGAAGGCCCTTTTCATGTCCCCGTGAGGGGGTCTGTATTAGTTCATTTCACACTACAATAAAGAAATACTTGAGACTGGGTAATTTATAAACAAAGGAAGTTTAATTGACTCACAGTTCCACACGGCTGGGGAAGCCTCAGGAAACTTACAATCATGGCGGAAGGCGAAGGGGAAGCAAGGACCTTCTTTACATGGTGGCAGGAGACAGAAGTGCAAACGGGAAATGCTAGACCCTTATGAAACCATCAGCTCTTGTGAGAACTCACTCACTATCAGGAGAACAGCCTGGGGGAACTCACCCCCATGATCCAATCACCTCCCACTGGGTCCCTCCTTCCACACATGGGGATTATAGGGATTACAATTTGAGATGAGATTTGGGTGGGGACACAGCCAAGCCACATCAGGGTCCTTGGATGTGGGCTTTGCTTATGTTTCAATGTCTTTTGACCTTGTGAGATCCCCCAGCATACAGTGACCCTCAGTCTGTTTTGTTTCCTTTAGAACCTGTATTAGTTTTCTAGGGCTGTTGTAACAAATGACCATAAACTTCATGGCTTAAAACAGCAGAAAGTTAAAGTTATTCTGTCATAGTTCTGGAGGCCAGAAGTCCAAAATTAAGGTGCTGTCAGGCCCACTTGCCTTCATGGAACCCAAAGAGAGACTTCCCTGTCTCTTCCAACTTTTGGAGGCTTCAGGCCTTTCCTAGCTTCAATCTCTGCCCCTGTCTTCACATCGCCTTCTTTTCTTTGTGTCTTCTCTGTGTCTCTTATAAGGACACTTATCATTTGGTTTAGGGCTCACTCAGATAATCCAGGATGAACTCATCTCAAGATCCTTAATTTAATAACATCTGCAAAAACTCTTTTTCCAAATAAGATCACATTCACAGGTTCTGGGGGTTAGGGTGTGAACATAACCTTTTGGGGGGCTACCATCAACTTACAACAGAGCACTTATATAATCTTTTCTGGTTCAGTCATTTATTTGTATTACGTGTCACCCTCCCTTTGCCCACTCCACTGCTTGCTCTCTTTCTCTCTCTCCCCACCCAACTCTCCTCTGTCTTTCACTCCATCAGAGCTAGGATCTGTCTGTCATCTCCATAACTGTATCCATAGGACATAAAACAGTGCCTGAACAAGGGAAAGAAAGAATGAAAGATTGGGTTTCCTTGGACTGTGGCCCCTTAGCACTTTATCCATAAATTTGGTGCTGCTCTTAACCTATTGTGTCAGTGTTGGGTATGTATGTACATATGTATAGATCCCTGGTTTTAATATGCGCTCCCTGAGGCCTGTTTTTCATAATTCCAGGCAATCATTTCTGCCCCATAATTCAGAGCAATAAAATTGTGTGCCAAGTATTATGCTACACGCTGACTTGGTTATTAATAATAGATAAAGACAAGTATAAATACAGCCCACACATTGCATAGGTTTGATTTTATTTGGATTCCAGCTGTAAATAATTTTGGCTTTCTCCCATTCCTCCCAATATTTTTCTCATATCAAATTACAGGGTAAGCTGCCAAGCCTTGAACCACGTGTGGCCACAGCCTTTAAGTATGTTTTTACTCTAACCCTTCTTTTTCAAGTCAATCCCTTTGCCAAATTTTTAATTTTCTTAAATTGGCCCAGAACAATTGAGGCGTGAAAAGAAGCCTTCATATGGACAGTAAAGTGGTTCTAACAAATTGAAAAGTAAGAGACTAAAATTTGTTTTTGACTGCCTTCCATCTAGTCGTTTAAAAAATCATAATTACCATGTTCTACCACCTAAGCCGCTGCCTCATCAGTCTGAAACACCTACTGGGAAGAAGTATTAATGGAATAATTTCTAGTGAGACACTTCATAGCCACAAAGATAATTAAATGATAGCACCGATGTCCCACTGCTTTGAAGGTTTGTGTGTGTCCACCCTGTGTACATGGAGGGTTTCCAGCCAGCCTCCCACGAAGTCTGTCTTGATTGCCTGCTACCAAGCAACCACACAGTGCTGGGCACTGAGGAAATATTGGCCTGGTTTGCAACCACGGGATTTAAATGGATTCTTGGAGCTTTCTGCAAAAGAACAGTTCTCCCATGTTTGAAGAAAGAAGTAGGTGTACTCCAGAGAAACAGGTTTCAATTACATCGCGCATTGCTCTGCTAAATGAGCAAGCTTTAAAAGGGCCCTGCAGACGCCACAAAAATGTTTCCCAAGTGCAAAAGTGTAAAAACATAAGCATCTTTTTGTAAATGTTGCCCTAAAAAAGCCTGCCATAGGAATGAAAACCTAAGGAACGAAAGCCAGATTGGGATCAGATCCACGAGATACATAATTAGTGAGCATATCACCTCCTTCGATGGTTACTCATCTGTTTTGACCACACCGACGTGGGCCAGAGTTTGCCTTCAGTCACACCCATGAAAGTCTGGGTGAGTCTGAATTTAATGCCTAATTTGACTTTGTGAATATTTGCAGCTTGCATATAAAGAAGAGATAGTCCAATGAGGCAGCCGAAGTCAGCGTCATAAGGAAAATTTTTCCCTTTTGCTGTGAGCATCATTTAAGAAAAAGGCGAAAGTATATCAGTGTCCTGGGCAGTTTTGATTAAGTCTAAAAAGTGCACTCTTTATCAGCACTTGAATTTAATATGGTGGGGCACCATTCAGTTACGCTACAGACCAGCATGTCTCTATATCGTCGTAACATTAAGATTCTAAGTTTCTGTACCTGTGCTAGGTTTTGTTGTGTTACTTCCGCAGAAAGCCTACAGAAGTGGATGAAAATAGAAAGGTACGTGATGAAATAAATTTATATTCTCTATCCTTTCAGCTGTCATATGAGGCTGTGAACAGTTTTCTTGCCCCAAGTGGCGTGAAAAGGAGGGTATCCAGGAAGAGGAGATGAAGGCCATGTTTTAAATGTATTAAGAAAGAAGTGCTAGAGCCTCAGTTTTCACACAAAGGCAAAGGCTTTCCTTTTTCAATTGATAGCTCTGTAGTTTCTTTTTCTTTTTCTTGAGATGGAGTCGCTCTCTGTCGCCCAGGCTGGAGTGCAGTGGCGCGATCTCGGCTCACCGCAAGCTCCGCCTCCCGGGTTCCCGCCATTCTCCTGCCTCAGCCTCCCGAGTAGCTGGGACTACAGGGGCCTGCCACCACGCCCGGCTAATTTTTTGTATTTTTAGTAGAGACGGGGTTTCACCGTGCTAGCCAGGTTGGTCTCGATCTCCTGACCTCGTGATCCGCCCGCCTCAGCCTCTCAAAGTGCTGGGATTACAGGCGTGAGCCACCGCGCCCGGCCG